>NC_000001.11:215059587-215684587 GCF_000001405.40 Homo sapiens | reverse complement strand
AAAAGATTCCTAAGGTCTACAGTAAGTGAGCTTAGTGAAAATACACCCCAAAGACCAGAGGGAAAGCTCTGGAAACTGCTGGATCATCAGATCAATAGACTCAAAGATGACTAAGTTGGGAAGCTTTATGCAGTTTAAACATTTGTGCAGGGAGTATCCCCACACAGCCTTTTATTGACAGCTACAGATCAATGGTAATTTTTGATCATTTTCAACTTACATAAACCTATTGACCCCATGGCCACCTTTGGGGCACTTCAAGTCATCAAAAATAATCAGAGGAGATGGTGTAAAATTGTCAGACTGCTGAAGACTCCAAGTAGTTGCATATGTCCCCAGGAGCTGAGTCGAGAGGTTAAAATATAGTTCAAATTGCCAGCAGAACCTCAACTGACAGAGTGTTCCAGAGAGTCTTGTCTTTATGTCTCATAAAATGAGGCACTGATTTGTATCCAAACTCTGACCTTCATGCATATAAAGTTAAAGAAGGAAAAAAGAGGCTGAATCCCATTGAAGATATTAGATTGCAAAGAATGGATTATTCCTAGTAAAATATTTCTTCCTGTTTTTCTTTGTTGAGTCATCTTCTTCATCTGCTGCCTAACAAAAGTAGCTGACATGCTTGTAGAATTACGTACAATATGGACGTGGACATAGAATGAACAAAGACAAAACAGAAGCAAGTGCAAGGTGGCAGGCCAGAAGTCAGGGACAACAAAAAATGTAGTCAAAAAAATCATTAGGAAGAGTGAAAGGAAGGAAAGAGCAAAATAATGGCAATAAAGGGGAAGAAGTAAGAGTATTGAATTAAGATAATCTCTATAGAGGAAAAGGAGTGAGAGAAGAAGGAAAGGGTGAATAAGAAGAAAGAGAAAGGAAGAAACGGAAGAAAAGTGAAGCAAAGGAGTAAAAGGAAGGAAAATCGTCTTTAGTGATGACTTTTCCTAGTTAGTAAGACAGAACGCTACATCTCCAAAGGAAGGAACTGAATCCAAAACATCTAAGATCCACAGTGCTCAAGCAAATATCCTAAATTTAAGAAAAATAACAAGAAACTTAGTACGTAAATGAGAGCCAACCCAATTCACAGAGTGAACTGCATCCAAATTTTGCAGCAGGATTCTAAAATAGTGAACTTTGATGTTGGAAATTCATTCAGGAGAGAATAATATAAATTATTTCCTAAAACGTCAAAGAATAAATTGGCAAGGATTATCTTGTCATTTTTATGTTTTCTTCATTTTTTAATATAGCTTTTACTAAACATTGACAAAAACCATGGCTATTGTTTAGATCTATTTAAGGAGTCTATATGTGGTTTGTGTGTGTGTGCGTGTGTGTGTGTGTGTGTGTGTGTGTGTGTGTGTGTGTATAAAACTATTCAGGAATAACAAAGTAGCCAGATGCAGCAGTGGCTTGCACCTGTAATCCCAGCACTTTTGCGCAGCCAAGGCAGAAGGGTGACTTGAGCTCTAGAGTTGGAGACCAACCTGGGCAACATAGTGATACCCAATCCCTACAAAAAAAGGAAAGAAAGAAAGAAAAGAAACATTTTGTTTTAATTAGCCACACACGGTGGTACATGACTGTAGTCCCGGCTACTCCAGAAGCTGAGGCAGGAGAATCACTTGAGCCCAGGAGTTCAAGGCTGCACCGAGCCATGATCATGCCACACTCCAGCCTAGGCAAAAGAGCCAAAAAATAAGAATAATAATAATAAATTAAATAAATAAATAAATAATGTAATATGAGAACTTGTCCTCAGTATAATTTCATGATACAGAAATTACTTTTACATCCCAACATGTGGTTATTTCTCTCCCTTTTTTTTTTAGATACATGTAGACCAGGTTAAGCAAAACAACTGTTGTAATGACCCTTTGTAGGAGTATACCCCTAAAAATTTTCTGTGCCAGGCATGCATGAACTTCAGCTTGCAACCTACAGGCCATATTTCTATATTAGATGGTGGAGGTTTGGAAGCTAGGGCATTTTGAATACTTCTGCTTTCAAGGATCTGAGCCGTAAATGTTTATTAAACGAATCTATAATGAAATCAGTTTTGTTATTTTTTTAATGGTTGCCTGGAGTGTGTTGGATGACTGAATGCCAGTTGTTAATCATTAAGTACTCATGTTACCAAAAGTGTTTGATAGTATTGCCATCTAGGGGCTGAATGGAATTCTCAGCTCTGAAATAAATTATAATTGAGCAGGTGCAGCTATTGACAATATACATATGTTTTTGCTTTATAGCCCACATGCTTTTCATGTTTCTTATGACAAAAGCTTATGAAAAAATGTCCCCCAGCAGCCCACCTTTTTTATATATAATCTGTTAGAGGTGATTACTATTTGCTTTGGAGCGTATGCTTTTTTGGCATCTATTACTGAATATTCTGAACAAAGAATTATTCTTTTTTGCATTATTAATCTTGCCCATGTTTGCCCTATTTCCACAGAAAAGGAATCATTTATCAGAAAAGAGTGTTTGTAATCGGGACTTGTAGCATCTTCAGATTTAATATTCATTATGGTCATTCTAGTTCTGTGCTATATTTATCTAAAAGGCCAATCCAATGTTATGGAGAAATAAGTTTTTAAATATTTATGATCTAACTTTTAATATTTTAAAAAAGAGAAATTAGTATTTCTGTAAAATTTGTTTCAGAGTCTGATTGCTCAGCAAATGTTTAAATATTAAAAGATTTCAAGAGGTTAGCGTGTAATATCATAATGGGACTTATTGAAATAGGAAAATTGACTTTACAAGTTTTTGATATGTGAAGGAAATTGTATTTTCTCTGCCTATGTTTAACACATAACAAGAAATAACACAGTTAAAATATACAGCCAATAATGTCAGAAAACAGCACCAAAACCTATTTCTACATTGTTTTGTTTTTGTCTAACCAGTTTGTTTGGAAAACAATTCTGTTTGATTTTGTCATCTTGTTTTAGATTTTATCCAAAATGATATTTGGATGCCCCCACACATAATTTTTTCTGATGTTCTTGGGTGCCTACTTTCAGAAATAACTTTCACTACTCCACTTTATATTCTTCTTCCCTTGTTCATCAAGGAAAGAAGACAATTGAAGACCATGTATCACATTCAAACATCTAATAAACCAAAGCAGATCATTGAATGTAAATATCCTACTAACCCAGTCAAAACTTTCTCATGATTTCTTATATCCAATGGGGATGGTACGCAACAGAAAATGCCAGTGTGTGTGTGTGTGTGTGTGTGTGTTCGTGTGTGTGTGTTTACCTATGAACACATTACTACCCCACTTGCATACATAATTCCTACTTTAAAAGGACATATCCTTTCAGTCCAGATGTGGAAAGAGCACCCCAGGGCCTTTAGAAACATTAGGATTCTTAGCTCCAGTTTAGTTATGCCAAATATGTTAATGCTGCTCTCCAAGCAGAAAAACAAACAAATTTTAAAAATCCTAATTAGGCTATCCCTTTTTTTCTTTTCTTTTAAAGCAACAAAGACCAAATTCTCCAAGCCTAGCTAACAATTACTTTTGGTAGGTTTCATAGTTTTACTTATGGTGCTTTTAACAAATGAAAATATTTTTATATCTATATTAATAATAGACTTCTCTAAGGGTGTTTGTACATGTATAGTTGAATTGGCTTGTTACTGTTTTCTTGTGTTTATTTGTTTTATTGAATTCGTAAGATATATATACATGCCAAGAGAATGAGAGAGGGAGACTGGGAAGATGGAGAGTCTTGTGTACAAACAGATTTGGAAATTAGGGGTGTTCAGGTTAACTCTCCAAACCCTTAATATTAACCTGGCAGGCAATTATCCCAGTCTCAGACATGCAGCTTGGCACCACTGATTTCCATTTTGAGCTGGATGCAGCACTGATCTGAAGCATCATGTTTTGTTTTTTTTTTTAATGTTTATATATCACACGCTTTGGGCTGCAAGCACTGAAAAGTCAAGGATGCTATCTGGTCCACTTTCTGAGTGTCTGAAATCATACAACATTGGGTAATATATTCACGGTGTCAACAAGAATAAGAAAAAATGCGTTGTTTTCTTAATGATAATTCAAAACTCTGCTGTAGTGTTTGCGCTGCTGTTGCCTACAAGCTTTGGCCATGAGGTTCAGAGAATGACTTTCCAGCAATATTGTCAGTTTCAAAAAAAAAAAACAACAACTTAACCTGTTAATTTTCTTACAGGGAACAAGCCATCAAGCCCACCTGTACGGGTTAGAACCATTCACAACATATCGCATTGGTGTTGTGGCTGCAAACCATGCAGGAGAAATTTTAAGCCCTTGGACTCTGATTCAAACCTTAGAATCTTCCCCAAGTGGACTGAGAAACTTTATAGTAGAACAGAAAGAGAATGGCCGGGCATTGCTACTACAGTGGTCAGAACCTATGAGAACCAATGGTGTGATTAAGGTAATGTCTACCCTGCATAAGAAATTATGTTTGGTGTTCTCCAGATAAATAGATGAGCCCTGACATGCCATCAGGTCACTGTGGGAAAACTCCCTTCACAGCCTGTTTAATTCTCCTTGATAGCTCCTCCAGGCACTTAATCATAGATCACAGAAACCTAGCTTAGATGTGTGATGCTTCCTATAACCCAACACTGAGCTAAATGCTCTCCATGGATTATCTCATTTAATCCTCACATCAACCCTACTAGGTGGGTACCACCAAACCTCATGAGGCATATGCAGGCTAAGTAACTGCCCAAGCCTACACTGTAAGTAATTGAGTTGGGATTTGAAGCCAGGAACTCACATCAGAACTGAACTCTAAATGACTGTGTTCTTACTGCCTCCTGAATTACCCTACCCAGTTATTTGCTTAAGACTTGCCTAATTTATGCTTCAAACAGAGCTCATTAAGCAAGCCACAGGTGTCTGCTAACTTCCCAACTTCTGTATGTAGCCGTGAGAAACAATGTTATAAATGTTGTATACGTATCTCAAGCTCTGCCAGCCCATGAGTACAGGGGGACTGTATTTTCATGAATAGCCTGCATTTTGATGTTTTGAACCTTCAGCCACACAAAAACCAGCCTTCATCTACCTCTCTGATGTTCCTCCCCAAGGATGGTGGCAGACATACCTGTTAGTTCATACTACTGCCTTTACCTCCAGTCTCTCCTGGCCGTGGTCCATCTCTTAGGCCCTCATCAACTACCTTCTGCGGGCTGGGACTGCAGAGTCCCCCAGCCTGCAGCTGCTATAGACACACTACCCTTTTCTTTGCCACTCCTTCTCCAAGAGGCAGACTCCCACATCAATTCCACATCACAGGGTTGAGACTAAGCTGTTACTTTTAATAAAGCCTCCCTGAAAACCCTAAGAGAGGGATGACAGCAGGAAATTACGTGCAGCAATAACTAAGAACTGTAACTAGAGCTCACAGTCCCAGGTCCATCCTGTGGGCTGCCTCTCTGCCTAGCTTCAAGGCCTGCTGCAAGTAGCAGTAGCAAGCTGCTTCCCACCAGCCTGCCTACATGTGGACAGAAGCCAGACTTCTCCCCCCTGGGGCAAGAGGCTTGAGCCTTAGGATTCATGACCTTAAAATCCAAATCACGGCCCCAAGGCACCCATCAGAAAAGAAAGCTCCTTTTCCCTCAAAGCACTTCTCCTTGTGGGTATTTGGAGTCATGAGAGCATCTGCTTCTTGGTGGCATAATTGACAATAAGAATATTGACTCCTTGGACCTTTATTTACATTTCACCAAATATTAAGCAAATATTTGGTGAAATACTTCTACTAAGTGCCATATACTTATTCAAGAGTGAACAAGACAGTCAGGTTCCCTGATGTTACAGACCGTGTGTGAGTGCACGTGCGTGTGTGTGTGTGTGTGTGTCTGTGTGAATAAATGTGGCAGAGTATATGAATGGTGGGGGTACAGAAAAGCAAACAATAAGCTAGTAAATAAATAAGCAAGGGAATTACTGAGAGCGATGAATGCTATAAAGAAAATTAAATAGAATAATGTAATTATGCCTGCTCAGGCTATTTTAGAATGGAATATCATTTGAATCAAGTTGACATTTGAGCTGAGTCCTGAATGACAAGACAGAGTTAGTCATGTGAGGATATGGGGGCAAAATGTTCCAGACAAAATGAACAGCAAATGCAAGGCCTGAAGCCAGGAATGAACTTGGTGTATTCAAGGAAAGAGAAGAAAGCTAGTGTGTATGAAGTATTTGGGAGAAAGAAAGATGGCACTAGAAGAGGTTGGAGGGACTGGTAGGAGACAGATTGTCCCAACATTGTAGGCTGTGGTAAAGTTTAGAATTTGTTCCAAGTGCAATGAAAAATTACTGAAGGCTTTAAGCAAAGGAATAGCATGATCAAATTTACGTTTTTAAAAATCACTCTGGCTACCCTGTGGAAAATGGACTATATAAGGACCAATGGAGTTTGAGAACTATTAAAGATTTCAAGGTAGAATTGAAGGTGGGTCAAATTAGAGTAGCAGTTGTGAAATCATGCACTATAGGTGAATCGAAGATACATTCAGAAGATAGAGATGACAAAATGTGTTAATGAGCTGAATGAGAGACATGAAGGAAAGGGAGCGCTTTGAGATGAGTTTTGGGTTTAGGCTTTGGGCTATTGATGAGGAAGGGGAGACTGGAAGATGAACAAGTTAGGAGCAAGTAGATAGTGTGAGGTACAAGTCTAAAACTCCTGAGAGTGTTCTTTGCTGGGATAAATGTTCAGAATCCGTTAGCAGGTGGATGTTATATAAACCCATGGTGCCAGAGGAGATCAGCTATGGAGAGAATGTAACTCAACCTGTTGAGAGTCTGGGATCAAGCCCTGAGGCATAAATGTGGGGGTCAAGAGGAGGAAAGAGAGCCAGCAAAGACTGATAAGAGGGAACTAGGCTAGAAGGAAAAGTGCATGAGTGGAGTGTCCAAAAAGAGAAGAGAAAATATGCCAAAATGTTGCTGAGAGCAGAAGTAAAATGAAGGCAGAGAAGCCACCCCGAGTATAGAAATGAGGAGGTCACTGTGATCTCGACAAGGAGAGTATGCAGTAGAATGGGAAACCTGGTTGGCATGGCTGGTTGAGGAGAGAATGGCAAGGGAGGAAGTAGGACATCAACTCATTAAAGCCATTTAGATGAAAAGAAAAGCAGAGAAATGGAGCAATAGGTGGAGACTGTGGGATGGGAAGTTTTATTTAAAATCATTGAAAAATACTAGAGTACATTTAAACACGAATAGAAATAACCAGTAGAGGGAGATAAACTGGTGACGTAGGAGATAATGAGAATAACGGCAGTAGTGAAGTCTTGGGGAAGGAGGAAGGGATGGGATACAGCGCTTAGGTGGCCTTCAGTAGGTACAGAGATATTTCATTCATAGCAAAAGGAGGAAAAGCAAATCATGTAAGTCTAGATTCACATGGATACAGAGGTCAGAATATATAACATGGAGGCATTCTTCTCTAACTGCTTCTATTTTCAGTGAACGATGTGGTTATGTCAACAATCAATCAACGGTGAGGGAGGGAAGAGGGTGTTAGTGGTTAGGGGAAAGGAAGAAATATGAAATAATCACCTGGGAAAATGACAGAGCAAAAGCATGAGGGAATAAAATAGGATTACAAATTGGTAATCGCCTATTTAAAATGTATGGATAGAAGTTTAAAGTGAGACCAATAAAAATGTTTGGGTGTTTTTCTACAAACCCATTTCAGAGCTTGAGTATAGAGGGACAGCTAAATTTTACACTAATTAGAGATTTGCCGGGTGAATATCAGGGGCAGCAAGGGGTGCTTGGGGGGTCACAGAGGCTGCAAGCTAGTTATGGAACCTATGCTCCCTTCAGAAGATATGGCAGTCCCCTTCCCACATGGGGGTGGTCTTGCCCTGGGTCCTCAACAAGAAAATCACACCAACATACAACATTCCAACATAAAGAGGTTTCCAAACTTCTAGGCTGTGTAATCTTAGGGAAAAAATGGAGTATGTTAACAATTTAGTCTAAATTAAGCTTGCCCAAGAACCACTTCTGGGAATGTTTCAAGGGTGTGCCTTCCAAGGGCTGTAAAATGTGTCCTGTCCCCTCTTGAGAGTCACCATGATAGGGAGTCATCGAAAGGAGTGTGTCATCTCTCTCAGGTTTGTTGGAGCAGGAAAAGGTTGGAAAATCACTGTTCAAAAACACCTGCATTCAGATTAACTTACTTCCCATCTTTCAAAAAAAATGAAAACTTGCTCTACATTTGTACAGTATAATAAGCATTCAGATGTTTTTTTCCAGAACAAAAGACTACTTTGCCCCCAAAGGAGCAATCAGTTCTTCCATGGCCTGGAAGAGAAAACAGGGTGTTTTTTTCCATCCCCTAGTCATAAAGATTTATATACATGTATATATGTACATGTATATATATGTATGGATATTTGTACTTATGTATAAAATATAGGTGTCTGTGTGCCTAAACACACACACACACAAGCATACTCTTTCAGCCCTGGCACTCTGTAACAACAAATGATTAAGCGTTGTAATTCCATTTCCCAGCAAATGCCGTGGAAGGTAGACCCTACTTTAGTCAGTATGAGATCAGAAGCAGTTCATATCCATAAAACAGGAGACTTTAATACTATTCTCTACTTTAAAAAAATACAAATAGGAGAAACCTTGTGAATACCATTTAAGTCAAAGAATCTGATTCAATAGCCCTTAGTTTTGAGATAAATGTTTATGTAGTTCCCAAACTGAAAAAAAAGAAAAGAAAAAGGCAAAGAAAAACATTGTTTGTCTCTCTGTGGGCCTTATGTTAACTGAAAAAAATCACATATCCCCAATTAATATCAGAATACTTCTTCTAAATTAGGGTCATCAAAATAAGGAACAAGGGGGTGAAGGTTAAAAAGGGGCTAAGTAACTACACAAAGAAATTGTATGCTGCAAGTTATCCCTTTTGCTTCTGTCCTTCTGTAGACATACAACATCTTCAGTGACGGGTTCCTGGAGTACTCTGGTTTGAATCGTCAGTTTCTCTTCCGCCGCCTGGATCCTTTCACTCTCTACACACTGACCCTGGAGGCCTGCACCAGAGCAGGTTGTGCACACTCGGCGCCTCAGCCTCTGTGGACAGATGAAGCCCCTCCAGACTCTCAGCTGGCTCCTACTGTCCACTCTGTGAAGTCCACCAGTGTTGAGCTGAGCTGGTCTGAGCCTGTTAACCCAAATGGAAAAATAATTCGCTATGAAGTGATTCGCAGATGCTTCGAGGGAAAAGCTTGGGGAAATCAGACAATCCAGGCCGACGAGAAAATTGTTTTCACAGAATATAACACTGAAAGGAATACATTTATGTATAATGACACAGGTTTGCAACCATGGACGCAGTGTGAATATAAAATCTACACTTGGAATTCAGCTGGGCATACCTGTAGCTCTTGGAATGTGGTGAGGACATTGCAAGCACCTCCAGAAGGTCTCTCTCCACCTGTGATATCCTATGTTTCTATGAATCCCCAAAAACTGCTGATTTCCTGGATCCCACCAGAACAGTCTAATGGTATTATCCAGTCCTATAGGCTTCAAAGGAATGAAATGCTCTATCCTTTTAGCTTTGATCCTGTGACTTTCAATTACACTGATGAAGAGCTTCTTCCTTTTTCCACCTATAGCTATGCACTCCAAGCCTGCACGAGTGGAGGATGCTCCACCAGCAAACCCACCAGCATCACAACTCTGGAGGCTGCTCCATCAGAAGTCAGCCCTCCAGATCTTTGGGCCGTCAGTGCCACTCAAATGAATGTATGTTGGTCACCGCCCACAGTGCAAAATGGAAAGATTACTAAATATTTAGTTAGATATGATAATAAAGAGTCCCTTGCTGGCCAGGGCCTGTGCCTGCTGGTTTCCCACCTGCAGCCTTACTCTCAGTATAACTTCTCCCTTGTAGCCTGCACGAATGGAGGTTGCACAGCTAGTGTGTCAAAATCTGCCTGGACAATGGAGGCCCTGCCAGAGAACATGGACTCTCCAACATTGCAAGTCACAGGCTCAGAATCAATAGAAATCACCTGGAAACCTCCAAGAAACCCAAATGGCCAGATCAGAAGTTATGAACTTAGGAGGGATGGAACCATTGTATATACAGGCTTGGAAACACGCTATCGTGATTTTACTCTCACCCCAGGTGTGGAGTATAGCTACACAGTAACTGCCAGCAACAGCCAAGGGGGTATTTTGAGTCCTCTTGTCAAAGATCGAACCAGCCCCTCAGCACCCTCAGGGATGGAACCTCCAAAATTGCAGGCCAGGGGTCCTCAGGAGATCTTAGTGAACTGGGACCCTCCAGTGAGAACAAATGGTGATATCATCAATTATACCCTCTTCATCCGTGAACTATTTGAAAGAGAAACTAAAATCATACACATAAACACAACTCATAATTCTTTTGGTATGCAGTCATATATAGTAAACCAGCTGAAGCCATTTCACAGGTAGGTAGCCATGTCTCGGTTTTCTGAGAGTAAGCCACTGCTGACCTTTCTATTGCCTGAGCCCTTGGTCAGTTCTAATGAAGACTCTAAAAATGGGATGCAAGGTGTCCCCAACCTCCATCCACCTAAACGTGCATAGTAGACAAAGCACATCCTCACCCAAGCAAAGCCTGCTTGCATAACCTCCAGAGAGCAGAATTCTTTCAGGTGATGTTTTGAGAGTCAGTGTTTCAGAAAGGTTTGCAATGCATCCTGGTATCTGAAATAAGTAGGACAGAGATGAGGCTAGTCCCCCTGGAAATACGCAGGCCCCTGGACAGTTCTGACAGCCCCGATAGGGTCATCTGGCCAGACTGTGAAGAAAATGATGTATTATTTTAAGGTTAAAAAGTGCCAATCAATGAGCGCAATTACCAGCCAGAGTTAGACTAAAACAAAATTTGTTTCGTGAAGAGCCTTCTTATCAAATCCAGCACTTCTTCCAGGAATAATAAGGCTTCTCTGACTCTACTTTCTTATGGTTTCTCAGGACAGTGCCACTTTGCTAGCTCATGTTTTCCTAGCGGTCCCATCTGGGCTCTGTGACATGCATGGAAGTGCGTTGTTCTCCACACAAAAGAATCTTGCCCATTGTTTAAATAATTGTTTGGCAGTTTTCCCCATCACATTTTAAGTAACTTACATCCCCAGAGAGAAGGGTAATAAGAGACATTTTATGCTTAAAATTTAGTAAAATGAACAGAATCACTTAAAAAAATTAAAGGCTGAAAGAGTGTTGATTTCCAACTACCTCAGGTAAAATTCAGCTATTATTGTAATCTAGTGATGTGTAGATTAGATCCTCCTATAATTACCTCTGATATATAGTGCTGTTGAAATGAAACATTCGTGGTTTTATGCATCTACTCATGACAATTATTTAGGGTCTATTAAATATTAAACAGTAATTAAAACTTCCTCAGGTATCCTCTGCAGCTAATCCACATGCTATGTGAGTTGGCTTTTATATTACCTTACACTGATTCAGGGCATTAAAAAGGTCCACTGTAGCTGCAGAGCTGTATATTCTAGACTGGCTTCCTCTTTACCTGACTGTACCTCCAACTTTCAAAAACCATATCAATTTGCTCCCTTTTGAAACTCTTATTCAAAAAGTATTCTAGAGGTGAAAGAGTTTGTCCAGGCATGAAAGGAATGCTTTTTCCAGGCTGGAAAGAAAAGTTTAATTTATCTGATAAATTGCAAGGATATTTAAGAATGTGAGAGAAATCTCTTCATTATCCACTCTAACTGAATCTGTAAGTGGCATTGACATAAAACAGAGTATCACTTCTATATGAAGTTGGAGTTCATGCGTGGTTTTTTGTTTTTGTTTTTAGTGGATTAATGTTCACTGAATATTGCAAATGTGTGTGTCCTCCTTTCAGCACCCCCAGCTGGTCAGTAAGAAGAAATAGTCTGGGAAAGTCCTAAGTAGCAGAAGGAATCCAGCCCAAAATTTAAAAACTACCACGGATAACCCAGAAAATGAATAATCTTTATGTGGGAAATCAAAATTGACTTCACAGAATTGCTTAGAAGTCAGATCTACCATACACAGCTATGGATTTGATCACCAATAAACTGGTAGCCCTGTCATGGTGGAGATCGGCATGAGAGGAGAACCAGGGGAGGAGGAGAAGAAAGTGGGAATAAAATAAGTCACAAAGGGAAAAAGGTGTAATTAAGAAAGCAAAAAGGTGGAAGAGACAGAACATGTACAAGAACAGAAAGCAGTGATTCAAAGAGCAAAGAGGGGAGGTAGAAAATAGAAGAGGAAAAGGCTAGAACTAAAAGGAATAAAGGTAGAAAGAAGATAGCTGGGTGCCTGCGGGAAAATTGAAGGTGTCATAAAATCAATGGTGGTTGGGAATAGAGAAAAAAGTGCTCATTTACAGCCATAGGCACTAAATACTCACAAAAACTCATTTTGTTGGAAAGGAGAAGTCCCTGCTATGTAAATAGACCTTTTCAAGTAGCAGAGACCAGCTATGAGGCAAAACATAATTGATTAGTTGAATTTAACTGGATGGTGATAAGGTGTCTTCATGATTGATAATCTGGTGTGTAGTTGGGTTAACTTTGGCCCCGCAAGGTCTTTGTATCATGTAAGGGAGGCTGTTTTAAGCTGTTAGGTATCAGGTGAGGGGATTTATTACCACTGAGACCGTAATTCCATGATGTTCCTTCATGACCTGGAAACATTCCTGGGGGATCATTCCATGATGTTCCTTCATGACCTGGAAACATTCCTGAGGGATCATTTAGCTCTAGCTGCAAAGGTAGGAGTCCAGGACTGCTGAGAACTGCTTCATACTTTCTAAGGTCTGCATTCTTCATTGCTATGTTAAGTAATTCTGAAGAGTACCAGAATTTTCATGCCGGAAAGAATCTTGAGAGTTATTTATTCCATACATCCTTGTTTAGGGGAAGAATTGCACTCACCCCTTTCGAACAGATCAGGAACTTTAGTTTAGAAAGCCAGGGGGATTTTGATTGTTCAAAAATTTCCATGGAAATATAATTTTTTTTTGAGACAGAGTCTTGCTCTGTCACCCAGGCGGGAGTGCAGTGGCGCAATCTCGGCTCACTGCAAGCTCTGCCTCCCAGGTTCAAGCCATTCTCAACTTTGTTATTCTTAAGAATTAGCTGTGAATAAGAATACATGTAAGCTTGTCTTTTTTTTTTAAGGCCTGGTGTTTTAAAGATTCTTCCCATGAAAATCTATTTTGCTGAAAATCACTAATTTCTGCCTTATGTCCTGAAGGTATGAAATACGAATTCAAGCGTGCACCACCCTGGGATGTGCATCAAGTGACTGGACATTCATACAGACCCCTGAGATTGCACCTTTGATGCAACCCCCTCCACATCTGGAGGTACAAATGGCTCCAGGAGGATTCCAGCCAACTGTTTCTCTTTTGTGGACAGGACCGCTGCAGCCAAATGGAAAAGTTTTGTATTACGAATTATACAGAAGACAAATAGCAACTCAGCCTAGAAAATCCAATCCAGTCCTAATCTATAACGGAAGCTCAACATCTTTTATAGATTCCGAACTATTGCCTTTCACAGAGTATGAGTATCAGGTAAGAAATGTGTATTATAAACAATTCGAGCTGATTGTTTGCACCCGTCAGCACCTGCCTGTAAAAATGGTGCACAATTTGAAAAGGCACTTAAAGAAATGTAGGACTTAAGGAGAATAATAATATTCCTTAAAAATTTTTAAGTGGTAAATGAGGAAAAACCATGTTCATTGCCTTTTTCATTTTCTTGGTTTTTGAGCCATATTATATACGTTGTTTTTCTTAAGTAGATTCCAGGTGAATTTGCATTTCTTATTAGTAAAGTGGTTTCTGCCATTAAGATTCCCTCTGTCAGCGTTGCCTTGGTAGGAGACACTCCTTATTTAAAGATCACTTTGAAAATAACTCATTACTCGTACCAAAATAAAATCAAATAGCAAACATCTCTAGCCTCGGTGCTCAAGAAAGATACAGAATGTTGAAAAAAGTCTAGAGGAATACAACTCACCTGCCCATGGCGATGAGTTAAGTTTTCTCTGAGGATGGCCTAAAAAAATAAGACTGCATTCTTAAAAAGCCAAGAATTAAGAATAATATTCAGAAAATATGGTGAATTCTGTGGAGGACTTCTGTTAGGTTTGTTTTGTTTTGCCATCAGAGTCCATTTGCATTCTTCTTGTGATAACAACCTCATTTCCTGTGGGAGAATGTGCTTCCCCCACCCTTTGCTCAGGCGTGGTGGGAGTGTCAATCAATGTGTCAGGCTGTCTTCTAGCCAAGTGGTGGGCACATGAGCCGCTCAGCCCCTCAGATTTGCCTGGGGCTTGATCTTCAGCAGAGTGACTCAGAATTTTAAAAGGTGGAGGTGAGAAGTCGTGATAAAATATCCCTAACCTCAATCTAAAAGTTTTTCTTTTCCCTGCTATTTCCAAGCATGGTTCTTCAACCGTTCTTTTAATTCCATAAACTCACAGTAAATTCTCATTTGCTTAAGTCAGAATCAGTGCCTCTTGCTTGCAGTCAAAGAAAGCTTACTGACTGATGTAAGCACTTAAGTGCCAGGAACAATGCCAACAGAAATTTTCTAAAAGAGGAAACTGAGCCTTAAAAAGCTTATTATAACATGAAATACTAAAAATAATAAGTCACCAAAAAGATAGTGACCAAATCAATGAGTACAGTGAATACAGGGAACATTTTAAGCATGAAAAGAATATTTTAGGACAATAATGTATGGGACAAATTACCGAATTAATAAGATTTAAAAATATAAATAAATTCTCGAATGGTTTGGAAAAATACACAGATATAAATCCATAATCCCTTGTTTGCAATTCCAAGTCTAAAAATCTCTTAAAAGTATTTTCTTGCTTTACCACAAGTCATTTGGCAACAAAACCCAATCTAAACAGACTTGAGACTATTTACAGTATTTATTTATCCCATTTAATATGAATATTTATATGTTTTGCTACAAAAATATTGCTTTATTATAAGATGGCTAATCAGATCATGGTATGGATATTACAAAATATACAGTATATACATTTTATCCTATTTCAAAATCTAAAAACAAAATTATTTTAAAACACATCAGGCCCCCAAGGGTTTAGGATAAGAATTGTGGTTTATGTCATAAAGGAACAAAATACTTACCGATGCCACCATCGGAAACGTAACACTGTTAGAAACAGCCAGAACCTACGTGCCTGCCCTTTTGTTCTTTTCTCATTACCTTTATTGAGAAGTGTCACGTTATCAAGCTGTCAGTTATCTAGTCTCCCTTACAAATAAAAATGGTACCTTCGTGAGAGAGCTGGATGAAATCAGCATAAAATCTTCAGCCGCTAATTAAACGCAACTTAATGACCCATATATAAGAAACACAAACTTTCTCTGGTATTGTGTTGTGTCATTGGGTTAAATTCTGGTCACATGATCTGTGGAAGTCTCATTCCAGTTTTTGTTTGTTTGTTTGTTTCTTTGTTCGAGACAGAGTCTCGCTCTGTCACCCAGGCTGGAGTGCAGTGGTGAGATCTCGAGATCTCAACTCACTGCAACCTCTGTCTGCCAGGTTCAAACGATTCTCCTGCCTTAGCCTCCAGTGTAGCTGAGATTACAGGCATGCACCACCACACCAGGCTAATGTTTTTTTGTATTTTTAGTAGAGACAGGGTTTTGCCATATTGGCCAGGCTGATGTTGAACCCCTGACCTCAAGTGATCAGCCTGCCTTGACCTCCCAAAATGCTGGGATTACAGGCATGAGCCACCATGCCAGGCCCCATCCCAGTTTTCTATGGAATGGAAAGCTCCAAGCATGTGCCTTGTCTCTAGTCAGATTTTTCATCAGGCACTAAGGATGACTAAGAACAAAGGGACCCACATTTCAGAGGAGAGGCAAGTTAAGAACCTTAGGCTGTGTGGTTTCTTTTGTAACTGTTACTATCGGCTCTGTGTTACACTCCTCCTCCATACTCATCTCACTCAAATGAAAGTATTTAATTTGGTTTTTGATCTCCAATTTTTATTTATTAGCTAATCCCACGTAGTTACAACATAAGGATAGAAAACAAAGAAAATCAAAATCTAGCTTAGCCCAAAGGCCCAGTTCTTATGGAAAATAATATTTTGAAAAGCATAGATTAAATGCTGAAATAAATGATCAGAAAATATTAGTTTCATTTAGCCTGTGTAAATATTGAGTCTATGTGGACCCTGAGTAATCTTACAGAAGTCATTTAGGAAGTTATATACTAAAACAATTTATTTTTCTTTAACAAAAGAGCATTTTTGTATTTGTGATGAATTTGCATTGCTCTCAAAACCACTTGAGGGTTACTTCATCTGCAAGTGGCCTTTGAAAATACCTTCATTGTCCTATATAAATCTGCTCACCCAGCAACTGACAGTGATTTCACCCTTCTGCAGAGGAGTGTGTTTTTGAGGTAATTGTAGATTGTAGGGAATAAAAACAAAGACCTGAGAAACTTCCTAGCAGTGGGGAAGGATTAATCAGAAGATCGTGAGGATGTATAGTTGGGGAGGTTGCCACCCACATGGTGTGCCTTGCAAGTATCAGCTGGGGCTCCCCACCACCTTCCTACACTACATTACATCATTGTACTCATTTCTGGTTTTGAGTTAAATCATTGAAGGCAGTTGTTAAAATTTAGTTATGTGAAAAGAACAAGACAGTTTTCACTAGTCTAAATCAACTCATTCCATCAGTTGGCCAGTGATAGAAGAGGGTATCGCATGGATAAGTTCTTTTGTTTTTCTTTCTTCTTTTTTTTTTCCTTCTTCTTTGTTTTTTTCCTTCTTCTTCTTTTTCTGAGACACAGTCTCGCTCTGTCACCCAGGCTGGAGTGCAATGGCACGATCTTGGCTCACTGTAACCTCCGCCTCCCGGGTTTAAGCAATTCTCTGCCTCAGCCTCCTGGTAGCTGGGATTACAGGCGCCCGCCACCATGCGTGGCGAATTTTTTTTGTATTTTTAGTAGAGACGGGGTTTCATCATCTTGGCCAGGCTAGTCTTGAACTCCTAACTTCGTGATCCACCCACCTCGGCCTCCTAAAGTGATGGATGAGTTCTAACGGGCAGGAGGGTCAGGAAATATCTGGAGAAATGGATACTTATAGAGAGGGAGGAGCTACTCACTGCAGAAAACCAAAGAGGGAAATTAAATGAGCAGCAAATGTCACTCACCTCACCACAATTCATATAACCAGCTTGATAACTAGCTCCTTTGAAGGTGAGCAAAATCCATGTGATATCACAAGCACCTTCTAAGTGTTCACTAATACTTCAATATGGAATGCCCTAAAGGTAGCATCCCCACTGTTTACAGTACAAGTGGAGGACCTAAGAGCTTGTTCAAAGGGCAGACTCCTGGGTGGAATGGGAAGGGACCCCAGCAACCAGTATTTTTTTTCTTTTTTTGAGATGGCATGTCACTCTGTGGCCATGCTGGAGTGCAATGGCGCAATCTTGGCTCACTGCAACCTCCAACTCCCCGGTTCAGTCAATTCTCCTGCCTCACCCTCCCAAGTAGCTGGGATTACAGGCACACACCACCACGCCCAGCTAGTTTTTTGTATTTTTAGTAGAGATGGGGTTTCACCATGTTGGCCAGGATGGTCTCAATCTCCTGACCTCATGATCCACCCGCCTCAGCCTCCCAAAGTGCTGGGATTACAGGCGTGAGCCACCGCGCCTGGCCTAGCAACCTGTACTTTTAACAAGCAGCCTGGATAGTCCACAACCCACTTTTTTTTGGAAATACTGCCTCAGAGGGTGAGACATTGCTGCTATGCTACTTAAGCCTTATTTTCAAGCGGTGATTTTCTGAATCAGTGGTTCTCAGCTTTGTGCATTAGAATCACCTGGGGAAATTTCACAACATTCTGGGTGCTGATACCCAGTCCCCATTCCCCTGTAGTTCTGATTCTGGGATGGGTTCTGGAATCCCTGCGATTCAAAAGGTTCCCAGGTGATTCTCATGTGCAGCCAGAGTTGAGAATCACTAGCCTAAACTGTCATAAACAGCCCAAATAAGTGAAGCCAGCTCCCCACAAATGCCTAATTTACATGATGATCATTGATAATAGCCTATTGACGTTGGTCTATCCTGGCTTTCCTAAAGAAGGGTCCTATTGTTTTGATGTGAAACTAGAAAGGAGAACAGAATATATTATCTACAAAGTCCATGTCTCAGCTACTCATATAATTTATTTTAATCTTCCTCATGGATTTTATTTGGATTTTGTTATTGTTGTTTTATTTTCTTTTGTTTCTTACTTGGGAGGTCCGGTCTTTGGTGGTAAGAGTAAAGTTCACCATCATTTAAAACAGGGGATTTTTCTAGTTTGAGTCATTTCAGCATAGCTTCCAGAATTCTGGGATTCTGAAGGATAACACTCTGGAGGATTAGCTTTAATAAAGCCAGTGAGATCTAAAATATGAATCAAAAAATTAGGAATATTACTTTTTCTTGTTTTCCACAAGAATGGGTTGGTGGCTTTACAGAGTGCACTGCAGGGTCCCATTAGAAAGCAAACATTCTCTGTGAATTTCAAATGCAACTTAGTTTACCAAAATCTAATTCTCAAACAACCCTGTGAATGTATGTTCCATGCATAAATGCGATGCATCTGTACTAAATAAAATTCTTCCATTGCACAGACCTCTTCCTTAAACAGAGATCACAGTCTTGCTTGTGCTACAGAATATTTACAAATCCAAGAAGATTTTTTTAAAGACAATAATCATTTCTATCTTCAACCCTTTCAAAATTGGGCTATTCTAATACATGCAGTGTGAACCTCCAAATTCTATGTGGAGCAGTTCTTAACTGTTTAGCAGCAAATTAAGACAATATTTTTCCCACAGGCTTTGAGAGGGACCTGGGTGTGAGTCTACTCTGTTAAGACATTTTGGTTTTTACCTTTGGGGAGTGAGCTGAGGCTAATGAATAGCTCTCAGTAATTGTGCATTCATATTCATACTCTTGCTTAAGGCAAAGACTCACCACGGATTTGATAGGGCCCGCCACCACCCCCCCTTTCACTGATTCATGCTGTCAGTGACTTAATTAGTTTTCCTGAAACTATCTCACTTTGACAGATTTTTGCGGTAAGCACCCACGCACACTCAGGGTCTCTGAAGCATTCTGGTGCCTCATGACTGGGTGACTGAGAAGCAGTAGGTCAGTCTTAGAGGAAACTCTGTGACTCATGGCATGGGGTCTGAACTTAGGGCTAGTGCTGCAGGAGCCCATGCAGAATGGCAGTCTGCTGCTTTCTAACAGACCAACACTGCCCCCAAACAAGAGGATGGAAAGAAGGGCTGTGGAGGAGACACAGAAGGGGATCCTCACTGTTGCTGCCAGTGGCAGCTGCCTGAAGACTGCCAGAGGTACTGTGGAGGCCTTCCCTGCACCAGCCCCCACCATAGGCTACCAAATCGTTGGCGATGAGTTAGAAGTGGGAGGGAGAAAGGCCAACATCTTCTACTCCTTCTCTCACTACTTCTGGATATTTGAGCACATTAACCTCTTTGGGCCTTTCCTCATAATATAAATTAGGCCTGCTATGATGGAATATCATAGACTGGGTGGCTTTAAATAACAAATATTTATTTCCCACAATTCTAGAGGCGGGAAAGTACAAGGTCAAGGCACCTGCAGATTCAGTGTCTGGTGAGGGCCACCTTCTGGCTTACAGATAATGGTCTTCTCCTTATATCCACATATACCAGGTAGAAGAACACTAGTCCCCTTCATGAGGGCTCCACCCTATGCAACCTAATAACCTCCCAAAGGCCTCCATACCATCATATTCAAGATTAGCCTTCAACATATGTATTTGAAGGGGACAAAAACAGTCAGTTCATAGCACTCATCTATAAAAGGAAGCACCCTCCAGCTCTGTATTCTATGGGCAGAGTAGTGGTAAGCTACAGGTATATAATTTTTAGAAAGTCTAATCAAACTTTATCTTCTCTTGATTGGTTTTTGTAATCTACAGTTTGTAAAACCCTACAAAATAAATTCTCACCCAAAGCAACAGAATTTTCTAATGGTATTTAGCTTTAAGTTGTGTTGATGCAAGTGAATGTATGAAATCAGCTTCAGATAATAAATGGATATATGGTTATTCATCACCAAGATGGACACATGGAAATATAATTAGTTGTGTCTCTCATTGAAACCTAACATATTTATTCACTAATATATTTTTTAAAGTATAGCTATATTATAACATATGAATGTAAATAAATAATAAACTTATTTAGTTAGCTACAAATAAGTCTCATTTATGTTCCTGAGAAAACCCACACTATCAAAAAGTTGTCATGACTATTTCACTACAAGTAACAGAAAGCCAATGTAAACTAAGTTAAACAGAAGGGAATTGTTTCTGCTCTCGCATCTGGGAAGGGCATTGAAGGAATCCCTTGAAACCAAAGAAAAGATATGAACACCAGGTCCTGGAAACCTGGGATGCAGGACTCGGATGATGTAGGATTCATTCATTCTGTCCCTCCTTGCCCCATCTCAGCTTGTCTCTGTTTGGCTTCATTCTGCACACTTTCACCAGGCATCTGAGGAAATCACTCCCAGATTCAAGCCCTTTCTGTGCATCAGTTTTCTTGTCTTTAAAATGTGAATAGATATAGCATTGGACTCATAGGCTTGCTCTGAGGTTAAATGAGTTAATATGTGAATGTGCTTGGAACAGCACCTCATACATAGAAACCACTTCGCCCATATAACAATAATGATTATTATTATTACCCATCCACCTTAGAGTGGAAAGAGGACTATAAGTCAACCAATACAGGACTCTGACTGATCCTTTTGCACTACCTGCCTTCCTGTGAACCAAGAGAACAGAGGACTATGATTGAGCAGGTGTGGTCGCAGGGCCCACCTCCTACAGGCAGGGCTGCATGAGGTATGCGGGAAATGCTTCCAGCCAGAAGCAAGAACTGCCCTAGCACGCTACACACACCAACCACGGGAACAAGTACTCCACACCTGTGAGATATTGACAATCCTTGTGCTCTTTCACATTGGATGCTCACACCCTTCCTGTTTTCCAAATGAAGAAGCTGAGTTAAGATCACATAGCTTGTGCAAGAAAGATACTTAATTTCTGATAACTTCACCTTTCTCATTTAAAAAAATGGGTGTGTTATGAGAACTAAGAAATCTGTGTGTCTAGTAGGATGCCTGCTACTTAGTAGGTCCATGCCCCCATCCGATCCCCCCAGGATCTCACTAGTTAAAAGAAGGAGAAACTTTCATTCAAGACTGTAAAAAAGCCAGGTTAAGACATTTCTTTTGTCTATATCAACAAGTCATTGATAAAATGTTAGAGTGTAAAAATCTCAATCAGGAGTACAGTTGCCTCTAAAGGTGTGATACTCCTTCCGCTAGGAAGTTCAACCCTCCTCATCCTTGCCATTTCTCTTCTCAGAAAAAGAGTAATTTACCCACATACCCATGACTAAAATTCCAAACTCTGATAGTCTGACTCTACTTTTATGCAATTAGCTACTTGCTTTGTATTGCCTGTTTTCTATTGCTGTCACCCTTACCCCATCTCTTTTCTATATCACATTTAGAGAAAACATATTGAACACATTTTCTGTTTAGTTTTGGACTTGCATTTAATTAGGTATTAATCTCACTAATGTATTTCCGACCAGCATGGAGGTTTTTGTCTGGTTAATTTCTCCCACAAGAACTAAGCTCCCCACACCCACCCCAACTCCCACAGCTCAAGGTTTTAAATGATTTATTGATATTGTCTGACTCAGGCAGTGTATTTATTCTAAAACTTTAGGGCCTGAGTGCACAGGTTAGACTGAAGGCCACTGGGACATTTCCATGTATAGAAAACTAAAGTTCGCCACTAGGCCCAGGGCCTGATCATTTTTTGCATCGAGCCTTTTGTTCCCACGGGAGATCATTTCCACCTGTCAGTGTGAGCACATTCAGGAGCATGCTCTAATTCTTTTTGTTCTTGTTCCATCTCTCATGGCAACCCTTAGGACTTTATTCTGAAGCTTCTGTTGTTGGCAATCTTCATGGCGCCTTTGGGACAAGTTATCCATGTGAAGATGGGTTGGTTCTCACCCTCTTGCAGATGCAACTCAGATTTATATTTCACTTAAGGTGATGTTGATCTTCCTGTCTCTGTGTTGGAAGTTTGTTTGCTGAAAATAAAATGTTAAACACAACAGATGCTCTTCAACTGAATGTAGATAATATGCCATTCCAGCCTGCCCTCATGGCTCTTCAGATGGCCATGAAAACAAAGGCTCCCAAAGTCACCTAAAACTTAGGTCCTGTAAAAACATCTAGGAAAGGGTAAGATGTGTTTTACTTATTTTCCTCCATCCTGTAAATTGAGTATTTAATAAACTGTCCTTATTAAGCACCTACAATGTTCAAAGTGTATACCTAGTTACTAGGATTGAGGCAGGAGGCTAAAATCCATGCACTCTCCCCTTCAGGGACTTAAATTATAGTTGATAAGTCAAATAAAGATGCCCATGAATAATGTATCCATAAAAATATGGCTAGGAACGTTGATGTTTGCAGGATCTGAGTGATGGCAAAACAGACCCAGGGAGGAAGAAGCAGCTTCTTTATCTTCAGGGACAGCACGATTTCCACACCAAACTCTAAAGGCCACTCTTATTCTACTCTCTGGCCAGATGGTTTTGTGCAGGACAGGTGGCACCTTGATATTAAAGAGGTACTTGACTAAAATCATTCCACAGAGACATGAAGGGGCACCATTTCTCTGTTCCTTCAGTCTTACAAAAAGAAATCCCTTTCTAAATCTCCATCCTTATGTTTAGAAGCCTCT
Source organism: Homo sapiens (assembly GCF_000001405.40). Classification (NCBI taxonomy): domain Eukaryota; kingdom Metazoa; phylum Chordata; class Mammalia; order Primates; family Hominidae; genus Homo; species Homo sapiens. Next base: position 215,661,648 of record NC_000001.11, on the reverse strand, counting down.
CTTAGCCCACCTACTGTTATTGGTACCCATGTAATGGTTCAAAATATTCTCCACTGTATCAATCGGGATCTCAGCAGGAAACATATGGCACATTCAAAGGGTATTTGAAGAAAATTTAATGAAGAGGCTATTTATGGAGGTGTGGGTAGAATTAAGAGAATCAATAAGGGATGTTGAAGTACCCAGGGAGTAGGAAGAGCCAGAAGCTGTTACCTTCTAGGCCTGCAGGGACAATGGAAGAAAGTGGGTCATTGAGAGGAAATTCAGCCTTGTCAACATGCAGTGCCAAAGAGAGGAGCAGGAGAAACAAAGAACCTGAACTCTCTCTTCCCTTTGATCAAAACCTAATGGAAAGGAGCCAGAGGAGAAAAGATTCCAGGTGAGGCAGTCTGATGAAGTCAGCATTCCAGAGTACAGACCAAGCCAGAGAAGGGCAGAGGATGGATCTGGGGAAAAACCAGCTCGTCCCCCACACTCAGATTGATGCTGCTTCTCAACCAGTATATAATAATGCCTTCACCAGTAGAATCCTTTCTGGGCTAGAGGATCACCTGGCCAGCTTTGGCTTGTCAATCTATGATTATTGATAAACCACTAAGTAAATCTGAAGACTTAAGGAGGATTGTACTTAAGTACTTGAACCAACAGCTTATTACCTTTAAATTGTAAATAAACATCTCAGGATATATGAAGCAATCTAATCTGCAGGTGGAAACAAAAATGTTAACACATTCAAATAAGTCAGATGCCTTAAATGGTAATTTGTAAGAACATAGTTGAGACTTCTTCTTGTTAATTGATTTATCTGTTGATGGAGCTGATCATTACTAATATGCCTATAAGCATCTAGAAAACTGTACGGTTCTCTCTTTGATTCCTATAGGCATATTTCTAATGGAAACCAGTAATAAAATTCTTTTCTCTAAAGAATCCATTGAATTGCTCTAATTTTTTCTTTTGTTCATGTTTGAGGACTTTTTGAGAAATTTTAACTAATTATAAAACAAAGTAGAGAAGCCATCCAATTAACAAATTTCATTGTAGAGCAATATTTTTGAAAAGCCAGGCTTTTATTTACTCTAACCCTCAAAGCTCTACAGTACAGAAGTACCTGGAAGAAAGATACACAGGGAGGTGTGGGCTAAATTCCAAATGCTGTGGGGAGTTTTCCAATCTTATTAATGTGTAACAACTAACTGGAATCCAGGAGTGAGTTGCACAATTGCTATCTAGCCCCACTAGATCCCCCAAACTGTTAAGTCATTCTCTCCTGTCTTTTCACACAAATAATGTGATAGTAATCACTATTATTTATTTAGGGTTTGCTGTGTGCTAAGGGCTGTGTTAAGAACTGCATGTATATTAACTAATTTAATCTCAAACAACCATTTGAAATAGGTGTTATTACTGACACTATTTTACAGGTGAGAAACATGAAGCATTGAAAAATTAGATACCATGCCCAAGGATATAGAGTTGATAAGTTGAAGGACTCAAATTCGAACCTTAAGATTCAGTTTCAAAGACTGGTTTCTTAAATTCTACCCCAACAGTTACCTCCAAATTGCATTTGTATGCAGCTTTGGGACTTTCAAAAATCAATGAAATATTTATAAATGTATTCATCCCCTACCCCATTCCTCAGAAATTTCTAGAAACAATATTGCATGTAAATCTTAAAATAGTCCTGTGGGATAGATGTTGTTATTTCTTAGCATAGTCAAGAACCTGAATGATTTAGCAAGTTACCTAGTCAAAAAGCAACAGAGTCAGAACTCAAGTCCTGACTTTCTGACCCCAAGTTCAAGGTGGCTCTGCTGAACTGCAGCTTCTTCAAGTCACCTCTATCAGGAGCACAAATTCCTGACCCTGTGAAGACAGACCGATTAGGGTTGCAGTCTAGGCTACATGAATTACCAATTCTGGATCCTCAGCTATTAATTTAAACTCACTAAACCTCAGTTTTCTTATCTGTAAAATTGAGATTAAAAAAACAAACAACAACAAAAAAAACTTACCCCAGGAAAGTTGCTGTGAACTTTAAATAAGTTGACTTTAAGGCTAGGGTATTGTCACTTACAAAAAAAAGTAAAATTTAATATATAAATACATAGAAGGTGTTCAGTATCCAGCATTCCTGCAAAATGAAAATCAAATAAAGTCACTCTCCTACTGCAAACCCTACTTCCCCCATTCCATAAGATGCAAACTCCTCTCTAGTTCCATGAGGACTTTCGTGGTCTCATTTTTGTCCAATTCTGTCCTCATCCCATTGCTTTCCGGCCCTTACTCACTAAGGTCAGCCACACTGGCCTTCTTGAGGATCTAGCCTTAAGGCCTTTGCACATGCTTTTCTTTTCCATAGAATGCTCTTCCCTCAGATCTTCATCTGGTACTTTCTGCCAATTGTTTCCCAGCTTGATGGTCATCTGTTGAGAGAACCTCCTGGATAAGCCAACCATTTTCTGCTCTATCACCTTATGTATATCACCCTACAATCTCATCATTTCCTTTCTAGCATATATCCTAACCTGTTTATTTTATTTGTGTTTTTATTGATTGCCTCTCCTCACCAGGATGTTAATGCCAGCCTTGTTCACTGTTGTATCCCCAGCTCATAGAACAGCATCTGGCATATAGAAATGGCTCAGTCAATATGTGTTGAATTCATGGATGATAAATGGTCTTACCTAATTTACTATCCTTCACGGAGATGTTAATCACAATTGGTGATTGTGATCTTAGCTTCTTCTAGCAACTTATTGTGGATAAAGTATATATTTTAATGCTATATCCATTAGGGTATAGTTATTATTGCAGAGAACATAATGGAATTTCAATGCATTTACACATGTTTGAACAGGATGAAATATATGAGTAGTACTTGCTTCTGTGTAATATGCAATATTGCTGAAAGCATGATAAGTGGCACGAGAGATGGATGTCACGTTGTTTGTGATAGTTTCCCCTGTCTCACTTTTAGGCTACCCTCCACAGAAAAAGCCAGTCCACGCAGGGCTCTATGAAAAGCCCAGGACAGCAACCCACCCATGTGGAAGGTGTGTACAGGCCTTCTTTTAATGGCCTTATGTAGGAAGATGTAAAGAGTTTGGGCTTTTATGTCACATATCTGTATTGGAAAGCCAGCCTTACCACTTACCAAGTTGCATAAATTTCTGTGTTCCTCAGTTTTCTCATGTGTAAAGTGGGGATAATAATACCAACCATATAGGATTGTCGAGAGGAAAAATGCAAAATTAGTACATAGAATACACTTACAAAAGTGTAAGTGCTCAATAAACCCCAAAACTACTTTTACATATCCTCCATGAGAGTCGGATGGGGGTGGGTTCCTGTTTCCTCTTAGGGAGAGCAGATATAAGAAAAAAAAAAAAGTATGTGATAACTCCAAATTTTGATTATTTAGTTTTATTGTTAAAAGTGAATCAGGGTTGGGAGGCCAAGGCGGGCGGATCACGAGGTCAGGAGATCGAGACCATCCTGGCTAAGATGGTGAAACACCGTCTCTACTAAAAATACAAAAAAATTAGCCGGGCGGGGTGGCGTGCGCCTGTAGTCCCAGGCTACTCGGGAGGCTGAGGCAGGAGAATAGTGTGAACCTGGGAGGCGGAGCTTGCAGTCAGCCGAGATCACGCCACTGCACTCCAGCCTGGGCAACAGAGAGAGAGAGACTCTGTCTCAAAAAAAAAAAAAAAAAAAATCAGGGCAAATTTCAGTATTTCACAGTGTTAGGTCAGTTTTTCCTTCTTCAGGTATTAGAGGAGAACCATATTCACAAGTATTAAATGGCTCCAAAGAGCAAGGCGGTATGAGAAGCAGTAGCGACAAGACACCCAATTCTAGCATGGGAAATGTCTTGTTATTTTTCCAGTAGCTTCACGTCTCTGAACTTCAAAAGTGCTCATGGAAAGCAAGACAATGTCCTGCTGTACCCTCTTCCCCTGGGTCCCAGAATTCAATTAAAATCACGTTCTATCTTGCCTAATCCAAAGTGTTTTAGATGAAGGGAACCTGGAAAACGGGACTATATCTGTAAAAGTGTGACTGTATTGTATCCAGCAAGGTTCTATGCAGATAGAGATGCTGGAAAACATCCATTTGATGGTGAAAGAAAATCAGATAGATAGACAGTTAAATAAATAGCTCCTAGAGCTTTTCAGCACATTATTCCTTCATAACTGGAGCCTGCAGGGCTACTCATGAAATAAAACAATCTTGTAATCATGTAATTTCAAATTCATTGCATTGTCTTTTTTGCCAACATTCTTTAACCGCGATTCCAGCAAAGAAGATTTCAGCATATTGCTATTCAAACATATTCAAAACCTATGACAAGCTACCCTTTAAGAAGGCATTAGCGTGAGTGCCATGGGAAAATGTACTCCAAGGTTGTAGATGAATTGATATGATCTCCTTGATTGTATCTTTTTATTTATGAGGCATAATTTCTGAGCACTGGAAAGCAAACTGCAATGAGTGATGACTAACAACAACCAAAGTCATAAATCAGCAGCAGTGAAAGAAGTAGTGATTTTGATCGAATCTATTGAATTAGCTGTTGGCCTTAGCCAATACAGGTATTGGAAAGACCTTTTTAATATCTATTTGTCCCCCTCATGGGAATGTGATAACAATCTCATTACATGCCCCTAGGAAACAAATAATTTAATTGTTTGCCCGTTAACATACAACCTGTTTACTTATTAATTACTGGCATAGCTGTTCATGCTAGATTTTTTGTTTATTTCTGATGTGAATTGTTACAAAATTATGTTCACATTCCTTAGTTTTTATAAACAATTATGTCTCCTTAGAGCTTCTTGATATAAATTTGTCCTCAGAATTGTTGAAATGCTTTTTTTAATCAAATATTGTCATTATCCCACAAGGAAGTATGTTACAGAGTTTCACAGAAGTTGCAGAGAGCTCAGATATTCTTCCCTCTCTTAATCTCTGACAGTTAACACTTTTACTAATACAACTCTTGTAATAAGCAGCCTGGATAAAGAACAAAAATCTCAAATTGCTCCAAGCGTAAAGACAGTCATCATCACTTACATTAGGAGTTAACAGATTAGAGATCTTTTGTAAAAGATTAATCGGCTGAATTTGGTTACTCCTGTATTACAATTTTATGAGGAGAATAATAGCAAATGTAAGACCAAATAGACATCAGCTTGGTGCTGACCCATATACAAACCATCCATAAACCATATATTATGAAGTATGTTCCCTTGATTTGAACAAGACTTGTAGCATTGCCTTGGCCAAAAGAATCATAAAATATTTTCACAATTTAGGGGTTTTTCTTATGATACCATAAAGGAAAAATGCATCAGGAACCCCCTTGAAATGTACATTAATAACTTAGCTTTGCTGTAAGACAATACTTGGAAAACATCAGTCCTAAGGAAGGTTATTTCAGAAAGATATGAGACATTGAGCGAGGCAAAGCATTAAGGTGAAAACTACTTTGTTTAGCCAATACAGGCATTAGAAAGACCTTTTTAATATCTATTTGTCCCCCTTATGGGAATGTGATAACAATCTTAACAAGTTAAGTGTGGAAATTGTGCTAAAAAATAACTAGCACAGGCCGGGCGCGGTGGCTTACGCCTATAATCCCAGCACTTTGTGAGGCGGAGGTGGGCAGATCACTAGGTCAGGAGTTTGAGACCAGCCTGGACAACATGGTGAAACCCCATCTCTACTAAACTACAAAAAATTAGCCAGGTGTGGTGGCAGGCACCTGTAGTCCCAGCTACTCAGGAGGCTAAGGCAGGGGAATCACTTGAACCCAGGAGGTGGAGATCGCAGTGAGTCGAGATCGCGCCACTCCATTCCAGCGTTGGTGAAAGAGCGAGACTCTGTCTCAAAGAAAAAAAAAAAAAAAAAAAAAAAAGAATAACTAGCACAGTAACAGAAGCATCCAAAGGGTCACCATTCTTGGAGATTTCTGATACATTTCCCCTTCTCCCATCCTGTGCAGACTGATGGTCCCTTCTCTTTCCCATTCACAAAAATTATTACAATGCTTCTGTTCACAAATGTTTGCTTTTCTCCTAGAATAAAATTAGGAGGAGAAATGTTGGGTTGAGAGAAATTGGGAGCATTTAGAATAATGTTACTCTGCACTGAGAGAAAAATAGACTCAGCAATTTCTAGAAATATCAAGGTTTCAAGAAATTACTCCTTAAGTGAAAATTAGGAGGCAAGAAGTGGTTCTACAAAGTCAGTAAACTCTAGTTCTGTTTGGAACTGTGAAAAAACACAGTAATTAACTCTATGATGATTATTGAATTGTGACATATTCCAAGATACATTTATTGTGTTTATTTGAATGACTAAAGTTAATGTGAAGTATAACTCTAAAGAGACATAACAAATAGAAATTGAAAATGTACAGTGCCTATATTCTGTACCTGGCTCTATAAAGAATAGGCCTTTGTATTTTTCAAATAATATTGGGTGTAAAAAGCGCTTGGAAATATGTTGAAAGGGCAGAGTCCAAGGTCTTCTCACCAGAAATTCTGATACAGGTACCCAAAATCATTTTGATGACCATGGCTAAGGAATATATTGTGACAAAGACTTCTCTTAAAAGAAGATTTCTAAGAGGCAATTTTCAAGAGAGAACAAATGATTAAATTCATTGTTTTCACAGCAATGTGATTATGGCAGCTTAGTGGCAGATGTTGACACTCCATGTAATTAAAAATTTTTAAGGCAAAATACAATAATTAGTCCTTTGGGGTAGGAAAGAGTAAATAAAAGAACAATTTCATTTTTTTAATGAACAACAAGCATAAATATGGTAATAGTCTCTAGTTAGATTTAAAAATATATTACATTGAAAACAGAAATTCCATTGAAAACTGACATATTAATCTATCATTTTGCTAGTTAATTACAGAATTTGTGGCTAAACAATTTTAGTTTTTATGCTTATTAAAAGTAGTTAATCTATGTTTTCTATGACATTTTACATTGTAACTTTCTTCATGGTTACAACAGAAACCTTAGAGAAATAAATCAACAAGTCAGTCAGTCCTAACTTTTCATTATTAACGACTAGGGAAGTTTCTGACTCTACAATCATAACTGTGTGTGCACCCACTCATTCACATGTGAAAGTGTTCACCAAACCCAAATAATAATGTATTTCAGCAGCAACTTTAATCATCTTTAATCTTTTATTATAAAAGAATAAATATGTTCAGTCTATGAGAACACATGGACACAGGGAGGGGAACATCAGACACAGGGAGGGGAACATCACACACCAGGGCCTGTAAGAGGGTGGAGGCTGGGGGAGGGATAGCATTAGGAGACATACCTAATGTAAATGATGAGTTCATGGGTGCAGCAAACCAACATGGCACATGTATACCTATGTAACAAACCTGCACGTTGTTCACGTGTACACTAGAACTTAAAGTACAATAATAAAAAAATATATATATGTTCAGTCTAAACACTGTAGGAACAAAAATATCCTGAATAAATCAAAGATGAAGAACATCTTGGCTTTTTTTTCTCTTGGCCATAGAATTTATAAGCCTTACTTGCTTTTCTTCCCCAATAATAACTCTTCCATTTTTCTAGGAGAAGCCCACACACTAAAGAAAGAGAAAATACACAACTGTTTGTTCACAAGATATTTTATTTATTGATTTTTATATGGGTTCATTGCAACTAAAAGATCGGGACATATTGCTAAAAAGTTTTCTATGTGGGATCTCTGCTGCTTCTTTCTCTACCCTATAAAGACAGAATCGAATCTTGGGGCATTGTTTCTCAGTGGGAATCATAAGCATAACCTGTTAGTATTTTTACCCTGAACCCTGAACTACACTTCAATACTTTTATCTCTTGCTTAGCCGGGCATAGACAAAAATCCACAGTGATATTTTAGACAAAGAACGTTTTTACCTCAGCAGAGACAGAGACAAAGACAGAGAGACAGAAGGAGACAGAAAAAATATTATTCACAGGTTCTTTTTTCCTTTTCTCCTAGTGGTTTGATATAACAGAGACACTGCCTCATCATACAAGTTTTGTGAAATTCATAATGCTTCATTATCTCAGTCAGCTTTCTCTTCATTCTGTTTTCATTTTCACAGTAGCTCATGTAAATAGGTTGATCCTGCTTTGCATAAGCATGTTGATTTATATGAATGCTATTTTGATCTCAAATTGATTGAATACTAAAAAGAAAGTCTAGGAAAAAGAGTAATGTATTATGAAGGACTCCTGCCAAAGACAAAATAGCCTGCATACATTCCCTATTAGTGATGGGGAATTTTGAATTGCCTGGTTTTCAAAGAGAATATTTCCAAGGAAATATAGCAAAACACTATAATACTGAGGCCCAAGTGTTTTTAAAATCCAGGGATTAAATCACATTTTGGAACTAGAACTCCACCTAGTAGAAGTTCACGTAACACAGGAAGGCTGAGATTTAGTACAATCTACGACACTACCATTAAAAAGCCTTAATAGTATTTATGATTCTATATCTACATTGAAAATGAAAGAAAAGTTAATGTTCATAAGCCAGAGCCAGAACTGTGCTGAGCACTTGCTATGAATTATGCTTATTTCATCTCATTTTCTTTCAACACCCTATGCCTGCACTACTTCCATCTCCTATTGGTGCACAGTAATTAATTGGCAAGTTGTTGAATTTTTCTTTTATTATACCTAGTTGCACTTTCTTCCTCATTTTCCTCCCCATCCATTGTAGCCTGAATTTAAATTCTGCCTGCGCTCAAATCACCAACCAAAGTTCTGCTCTTGGCAAAAAACGTCATATCAATATTTGCACCTTACTTTGCATTCCTTTGTCAAGAATATTGTTTTAAATCTTGTCATTCATTGTGTAATAATAGGTGTCCCCCCCACCACTTCCCAGAAAGATATTTGCAGTAAAAGAGGTTGTTCTGGGGCACAGTGAGGAGACAGGAACCCTCCTCATCAGCCCTGAAGTCTGACTTCTTCATGAATAACCTCCACCTCCCCTCCCTAGTGTAAGTCTGACCTCACCTATTTCTGAGGGGACTCTGAGAGCAGCTGCAGTTGTATTCTGATGGATGGACTCTAACTTCCATGAAATCTGGCTCTCCCATTGCTAGCTCCTTACTTCCCTGTGCTTACCAAAACAAACCTCCCTCACCTAAGACAACTTGTACATGTCTATCCATCCTTGCAAGCTAAGACACCTTAACCTAATCTAGAATTGCAGGTATTCGTCTATGGACAAGTCGTTTAATTTTCATGATTCTGACTATTTTATTTATGCATATGGATGGCATACAGAATCAAAAACCCTGCTCATTGAAACAGGCACTGGAGAGCAGAATTCTTGTTTCAGCACTTGTAACTTTTGTCACCTTGAACAAGATAGTGAAATTTTCTGAGGCTCAATTTCCTCACCTTTAAAAGGGGACTAGTAATACATTCTCGGCTCACCTTACAAGGTTTCCATTGGAAGGACTAAATAAGCTGACATAAGTTAAAGTGCTTTGTGAAATGTAGAGTTTATACAAATGTGAGTGATTATTATGCAAATGATGAGAGGATGTATCCGAGCTCTAAAAAGAGCAGGTGTATCTATGTAAGTAGGTTAGTTGTCTCTTTTAAAAAATGAGGCTCCTGGCAATCCTATCAGCAAGGGGCTGGAGATTTGCATTTGACAGCAACCTGAAAACAATTCAACATCAGAAAATTTACTTTCACAAAGGAATCCGGAAAAAAAGAAAAGTATGAAAACCACTGATAGGAGTTGACCTAACTACTAAAAATCTGTCTAATGTTTCTTCTCTTGAAGATATTATTGATGCAAAAGCAAAGTAAACAAAAATGAAACTAAACTCTCACTGCAAAATATTCTCATAGGTTTTTTCTTTTTTTCCCCCACAAATATCTCCTATTTTGAACATTCTGCATGCTTTTTTTTTTTTTCAATACTGCATGCCTGGAATGTGTGTACTGTAGAATCAAACAAGTTTTTCAGATTTGTCTTTAAAAGCTCGGGGGCAAATTTTTAGAAAATATATAATGTAGAAGAAACACAATGAGAAAAAAATTTCCTGAAGTTAGGCTTTCACATGAAAGCTTACTAAGGAATACTACTACTCCTAAACACGCAGACAGTCTTCTTGTATTGCCATTTAGATCTATCATTCTGATTGATCACTGTGTAGTTGGCTATTATTGGGCCTAATTTAACCCTATACACTCACACATCCATCTACTCTGTCTATTGTACCTGACATTCTACAAATTACTTACTCATGCAAATGACGACCTAAGGCAACCTTTTAGGATATTCGTGTTTAATTATACAAATGGTTCTTGATAAATAAGATTATACATCGTTCCATATGTTTATTCCCTCCTTGATGAAAGGAAATTTAATTTTCATGCAGATTTGGTGGGGACAATGTTTAAGAATTGCTGAGTTTTTTGTAGTCTGCAGATCCATCCAGTCTGCAGAAGCTGACAAAATCACTCCACTTCCCACACAGAGATGAGCAGTTTTTTCATTAGGCTTAAATCAACGTGCTGCATTCTGAAATCCTAAACGGCCCCCTTTGTGTTCACATGGTCAAAGGCAAAAGGCAAAAAATAAAAATAAAAAAGGAACAGCCTGCTCTCCTTGCTCTCCTGTGTGATTACAAGGTTGCAAGATCAAAGTTTATCTCTTCCTGTTGTGTTTAGTTGCTTTTGGTTGCCAATTTCGTTTTTTTTCCTTTCTTTTTTTTTTTTTTTTCCCAGCCTTAGGGTATCTTGCTTTTGACAGTCTTGTTGATTTCTCTTTGGAGGTCTGGGCAGTGAATTCTGCAGGAAAAGCCCCCAGTAGCTGGACATGGTGCAGAACCGGGCCAGCCCCACCAGAAGGTCTCAGAGCCCCCACGTTCCATGTGATCTCTTCTACCCAAGCAGTGGTCAACATCAGTGCCCCTGGGAAGCCCAACGGGATCGTCAGTCTCTACAGGCTGTTCTCCAGCAGCGCCCATGGGGCTGAGACAGTGGTGAGCAGCAGAGCTAAAAATCCAGGACTGGTTGACTTTTAAAAATCATTACTATGAAACCTTTGTTTTTATGTTTTTGTTTTTCCCTCCATCTTTCTTATCCTTCTGTTCTCAGTTGCTCTACGGTGAACTTAGTAGCACAAATATCCCTCAGAGAAGAAAAAGTGAACCCTGAGGAAACATACAGAAAGTATGTAAACTCTTAGGGAGAGGGATGCTAAAGGTGGTATTAAAGACTCCACAAACGTAAGAAACTAAGACTTTAAAGGCAATCACACTAATTTAATTTAATTTAATTTAATTAGAAAACAGATCAACCACTTAGAGTGGTGGCACATAGTAAGAAGTTGGCAAATGGTAATTATTGGTGGTGTAAATGTTAGTATGAAAACAAAATAGAGCAAAGAATATCCTTGGAATCTCTATTTTGACATGCACAAATCTCTAATAATACATGGAAAACTCTCATTCCTCTGGTGATTTCAAGAAAGTTCTAACCCTTTAGAAGAGAGAGCAGAGCAGCTCCATCAGCATAGCCCTAGCTCCACTGTTTGTTCGTTAACACGTTTGAGGCACACTGGGAGACAGGAGAGATTGCTCAGGGAAATCATCTTTCACATTGTGCGTTAGCCAAGCCACTTCCCGGAAGCGATGCTAAGAATCAACTAGACCAGTTCCTGCATTATTTAAATGAAGATACCAGCAGCCAGCACGATGAAGACTCTTGTCTCTGTGGTATAGCTTGTGTCACTCTCAAGTTTCTCATGAATAAGTGGAGATTATAATACTTTGTTCACACAAACATTGTATAGAGATTGTGCAGATCCTGGTATTACACTATGCATTATTTAGGCCAATTTAGGGAACAATTTGGGCAAGTGTGGAGAATTCCTCTGAGACCAGAGTGTCAGGTATTGAAACACAATTTCAACAGATAACTTACATACAGGGAGGCTTGGATTGAATGTTAAAGGAATATTAGCATATTTTCTATAGGGCTTCGTACTCAATAAATATAGATGATGTAAATACAATCAACCCTTGATTATCCATGCTTATAAAATGATAATAAACTAAAATAATTTATATTTGGAGGGCATTGTATGCATTTTTTAACAGCTCTTCTTAATCATATGTTCTTTATGTCAACATGAACATTAATTTCAGTTTCTGAACTCTTGTTCCGAAGAGTACTTATTAAAACCACAATGAGGTTAAAAATTTGCTCAAAATAAACCAAAACTTTATAATCCTACAAAGATGATTGAGAGAAGACTATGATATTTTGTAAAAACCAACACCCTCAGAGGAAGAGATAGACTTTCAAGCCCTCCAATACTTATACCTGATTTTAATGTAGATCTGAAAAGATTTTTTGACTGAGAAATTGCATGCAAGTAACCATGGCAGAATATGGACCTTGGTGAATGCTGACTAGACATATAATTGGAAGGCAGATTTTGTTTTTTGAAAAGACATCACTCTGAGGGTCATAGACTTTGATCAACACTTTGTGTGTTCCGTGCCATTTTCTAATACCTTTCTAAGGTAATAGATAATCGATAATATTATGCCTTGTGATTTCCATCCTGCTACCTCAAACGTCTATTTAACGGTTACATTATCAGATTTTTCACCTATTTGTCATACCTCTCTAACTGAGTTGGTAATTTTTTGAGGATAAATGTCATGCTAAATGCCATGTTGTGTCTCCCAGAGTGCCTGGCATGGTACTCCATTTGTAGGAGGTGGGATCTTGGATAACATTCATCAAACACCTTTAATGTTTGACACTGCCTTTATCTAGCCTTCCTTCCTTCCACAGCTATCCGAAGGCATGGCCACCCAGCAGACTCTCCATGGCCTTCAAGCCTTCACTAACTACTCTATTGGAGTAGAGGCCTGCACCTGCTTCAACTGTTGCAGCAAAGGACCGACAGCTGAACTGAGAACCCATCCTGCCCCACCCTCAGGACTGTCCTCTCCACAAATCGGGACGCTGGCCTCAAGGACGGCCTCCTTCCGGTGGAGTCCCCCCATGTTCCCCAATGGTGTCATTCACAGGTAATGGGTCAGGCAGAAGGATGAAGAAACTAACAAGGCATGTGTACAGACATATGAACTCATGGTATAGCCTACTCTGCACCTAGGCTACAAACCTGTATAGCTACCTGGCACTCCCCAGGGAGGACTTGCTTATTGAACAGATATCTATAGCAAAGTAGACAAACAAATTGATTTGAGTGGTAATGTTACCTGCGATGTATTTAAATCATAAAAGCAACTAATGATAGAAAGGAGAACAACGAAATGTTTTACATTAAAAAGACAATGCAATGTGTTCGTATTCAATATGCTCTTCCTAATGGTTATCTGGAAGCATTCCTTCTACCAGCCTTCACTGGAACATAAGATACCTCCACAGTTAAATCAGAATTGCCCTGATCTAATTTAAAATATTGTCATAAACCACTGTTTGAAAGGAAAAAGAAGACACTTGACTCAAAATCATTTAGAAAAAAAATTATTTACTCTAAAAAGAGAAGAACCATTTATGTCTCTCCTCTTAAAAGAGGGAAATGTCTTATCTCTACCAAAAAGGATCACTAGTTGCTGGGTAAACAGCAATGTGTGTGTAGATGGTGACTTCTCTTATCATTTCTCTGGTTACATCTGCTGCTCGTTTCCAATAGCATTACATAAGGTGTTTCTGAGAGCAGTTTCCTGCAAATGGAAATTTTAAAGAGCCTGTAGCTCTGTGAAAACAAAATGTCTCCTCACAAAATAGAACTGGTTTTAAAAGAGAGAGTTAAACTAATTCCATTACCCGTCTTGACTCTACGTATCCATTCTCATTTTAGCTATGAACTCCAATTCCACGTGGCTTGCCCTCCTGACTCAGCCCTCCCCTGTACTCCCAGCCAAATAGAAACAAAGTACACGGGGCTGGGGCAGAAAGCCAGCCTTGGGGGTCTCCAGCCCTACACCACATACAAGCTGAGAGTGGTGGCACACAACGAGGTGGGCAGTACGGCTTCCGAGTGGATCAGTTTCACCACCCAAAAAGAATGTGAGTATAAGTGGCTGCTACCATAAGCCAGAGAGATTGGAATGTGGTCAGGAGAAGCTTGCCCTGAAACTCGGAGAAGCCACTTTTAAAAACAGATTGAGTGGGCTCAATAACACTGAATGTTACTGAAGCATTGATGAGGATGACTACTGAGGAAAAATGCCTACTGGATTTAATAATATGGAAGTCAAGGGAAAATTTAAGAAGGATTTTCTTGTGGGGATAGGGTAAAAATAAATTTAGGGGAAGTTAAACGATCAATGGGAAGAAAGAAAATGAACAAACACTGGTAGACCATTTTTATAAGAAGTTTTGCTACTCCTTTTCTTTGTAAATTACATGGCATAATCTCTAGTATGTCCAGAGAGCATTGAGACATAGCACTATTAGGAAAAGCAAAAGGGCAAGTGAGTGAAGGAAAGAGCAATCAACTAATTAATTGGGGGCTTCCTTACATTTTTATATAATACAGTCACGCATCGCTTAACGATGGAAATATGTTCTGAGAAATGCATCGTTAGGCGAGTGTCGTGAAAATATCATAGAATGTACTTGCACAGACCTACATGTTATAACCTACTCTGCCCCATAGGCATGTGACTGTGCTGAATACTGCAGGCAATTGTAACACAATGGTTATTTGTGTATCTAAACATAGAAAAGGCACAGAAAAAATCTGATATAAAAGATAAGAGGGCCAGGCACAGTGGCTCACGCCTGTAATCCCAGCACTTTGGGAGGCCAAGGCGGGTGAATCACCTCAGGTCAGGAGTTCGAGACCAGCCTGACCAACATGGTGAAACCCCATCTCTACTAAAAATACAAAAATTAGCCAGGCATGGTGACACATACCTGTAATCCCAGCTACTCAGGAGGCTTAAGCAGGAGAATCACTTTAACCCAGGAGGCAGAGGTTGTAGTGAGCCGAGATCACGCCACTGTACTCCAGCCTGGGCAACAGAGCAAGACTCCTTCTCAAAAAAAAACAAAAAATGTAAGAGATGGTACAGGGCAGCTCCATTATAATCTTATGGAACCACCATCATTTCTGCAGTCTTGCTCAAAATGTCATTATGAGATATATGACTATAACTTAGATTTTATAAGGTATATGCTTTCATTGTTTAATAATGGCAAACACAAAAAGTATTAAGAATAATAAGTGCTTATCAGAACCAACTGCATAATTTATGGAGTCCAGTGGAAAATGAAAATATGGAATCCTTTGCTGAAAAATCTTTAAGAATTCCAAGACAGTAACAGTACAGCATCAGGCTAAGTCCAAGACTCTTCTATGTCACAGGCCCTTGCAACAGCACAGGTCACATGCCAAGGAAGCTGGTCCAGCTTATTATACCCCAACCCAGAGGCAACCACTACTAATATTTTGGCATAATCAATTCTTTTAATCTCCTTTCTATGGGTAATTTTTACTATATGGCTGAAATACTATAACTAAAATTTCATAGTCAGCTTTTTATACTTGACGTTATTGTATTTGCATTTCCCGTGGCATTAAAAAAACTCTTTAGCCACCAATTTTAATGGCTATACAATATTCCATATATAAATTAATTGGGACATTTTGTTTTTTTTTTAATTTCCCATTAATAAATATGATGAAAAAATCTTTGTGAACAGATCTTTGAATGTCTGGTTATCTTCTTAAATTAAATTTTGACAAATAGAATTTGCTATTAATACATCAAGTATTTTAATATTTTAAGGCTTTGGATACTAGTTTCATGTTTGCTTTCAAGAAAGATTATGTCAGATTATAAATCTTACCTAAAATACTCTATCTGGCATTGAATATGATGCCAATTTTAAAAGCAAGAATTACGCATTCATAAAGACCAATGTCTCACACAAGGAGCTTAATGTGTCTGAGCAACAACATGGTAGGATGTTAGTAACAGATCACATTTACAGAGGACTTGTTTGTTCCTGGCAGTATTTTAGCATTTTACAAATAATTCTTACAACAGACCTATTATTATCCAAATTTACAGATGAAAAAACTGAGGCAGAACTATAAACTGTGTACTGCGATTCCAGGATGCCATTCATATAGACTATGATCTGAACTGAGGCTCTTGGAGTTAGACAGTGACGTGGCCCTAAACTAAGGCCAGAGCTTAAGTAACCTGGCCAGTTTCCACATCTAGTAAGTGCAGTAATTACTCTGAACTCATGGTCACTGAGCTCAGCTGCTGTCTCAGTACTACTCTTTCCCTGATCAATTCATTTCCTACTCTCTGTAATCAAGACTTCAAACCATCTCCACCTTCGCCAAACCTCCCTCTGCCGCTCACCCTTTCTCCCTTCATGCCCACAACCCAGCTCACCCATTTCTCCCTTTATTCTCTGCAGAACTCCTTGTCTTGTAATTTTCCAGGAAAAGAGATGTCTTCAGTCAGTAATTTGCTCCACTTCCCACTGCAGACAAAGCTACCTGCATATACCCCATTGCTGTCAGTGACAAGGAAAGGGTGGTCCTTCTTCCGTCTGAAATAAACCTGCCTTCCATGCAGTGAACTTCATCCACTTCATTACTCACCATCCCTTCTCTCTCCTTAATCTTTCTGTGTATCTCACTTTGATTCAAAGTTCCTTCTACCCTTCTAATGTTAAAGCAAACAAGCTCCTCTTCCCCTGCAGTGATGTGGACTCTACTCTCTCTGACAGCAAAACTTTCCTGAGGAACGGTCTGCAGATGCTTTGCCCATATCCTCTCTTCCACTTACTCTTTAACTTCCTCAGCACTGGATGAAAATCCCTTTCTAAGTTTGCCTTTGGCCTCCATACTGATATATCCAGAAGGCATGTTTCTCCAGGAGTCACCTTCACTGACTTTCCAGTAGCATTCAACGCAACTGAACTTTCAATGTTCAATCCTTTTTTAAAAAGTGGTTTACCCTCATTTTCATTACCACCCTCTCCTGGTTTCTCCTCTACTTCTTTGGATTTTCATTTTTAGTCAACTTTGTTGGTTGATCTTCTTCCGCTGCCCAAATCTTAATCCTAAACATTTTAACTTTGTCCCCTTGCCGTTTCTCTACTCCCTCCTTTCCTCCTCCCTCATCAGGTGAGTTCATCTGCTCCAAGGCTTTGGTTCCAAAAGCCAAACTCCAGTGGTCACCTCCTAGTCAAGTGCTCTGTTTTGAAGTGTATACCCCTCCACCCAGATTCCTCACAGACATCTCCCTCTGAATTTCTCATAACCAGCTTACATTGGACAGGCCCCAGACAGAGCTTGCAACTTTCCCCTTCAAGCTATGCTTCCTTTAGTCCTCACTTTCTCCATTTTCATCTCCAGCACTGGGCACAGTATCTTAGATTCCAATCAATGTTGTTTAATGAATAAGCGAGTGCACCTAACACTGCATGTTTATTGTTGACACTGCTCAATCAGCATTTTTTGTCACCCATACTATATTCAAAGCAAACTGTAATGATTCTTAATGTGTGCTGTCTGATTTTGTAATCTCCTTTGCACTACATCCAGAAGCCAATTTTGCTAAATGTTGCAGTTTTTTGGTTGATGTGGCCAGAAAGCCAGAGAACAGCTAGGTGAGCTTTGTAATTTATAACCAATTCCCTTTTGAGTCATGAAGCTTAGCTTTTGCCAGAATTTTTTTTTTCTTATGCTTGGAAGAACAAAGTGAACTGATTTAAGATTTTCTTCCTGTGGCCAGGCACACTGGCTCACACTTGTAATCCCAGCGCTTTGGGAAGCCAATGGGGGAGGATTGCTTGAGGCTAAGAGTTCACGACCAGCCTGGGCAACATATCAAGACACCTATCTCTACAAAAATTTTTTTTTTAAATAGCCAGGTATGGTGACATGCGCCTGTAGTCCCAGCTACTCAGAAGACTGAGGCAGGAGGATTGCTTGAGTCCTGGAAGTCAAGGCTGCAGTGAGCTGTGATCATGTCACTGCACTCCAACCTTGGCAACAGAGCAAGACTTGGTCTTTAAGAAAAAAAAAAAAAGGATTTTATCTATTTGTGTTTTTTTATATTGGAGAAGCAGCTTAAACCTGGACTAGCACCATAGGAGAAGAGGTTCCCTTAATCCACTACTGGGTCAATAGTTACGGAAAAATACAAGAAATGACTATGATACAGGTTCTAAAATACCACTTATGCTACTTTTAACTCATTATAAATACTGGGAGCACGAAAACATGCACCAGAGAATACAAACCAGAAAATAATTTGGGGCCTGGTGTGGTGTCTCACGCCTGTAATCTCAGCACTTTGGGAGGCAGAGGTGGGCAGATCACTTGACGTCAGGAGTTTGAGACGAGCCTGGCCAGCATGGTGAAACCCCATCTCTACTAAAAATCCAAAAAAATTAGCTGAGTGTGGTGGCACACACCTGTAATCTCAGCTACTTGGGAGGCCGAGTAGTGAGAATCACTTGAACCTGGGAGGCGGAGGTTGCAGTGAGCCGAGATAGCGCCACTGCACTCTAGCCTGGGCAACAGAGCAAGAGTCCAACTCAAAATAGTAACCATAATAATTTAAAAATAGAATATGCAGTTTTATATAGATGTGATCACATGTACACTCAGCAACGGGTCTGGAGAAGAAGCCTAACAACACATTTAGTTCCCTCTGCTTGAATCCCCCTTCAGTGGAGAGAGAGGTGAGGTGTAAATGTTTAACAGCTGGCCTGCTTGAGGGAAAAATGGCCTGATTTGAAGTGCTTATCAGTTTCCATGGTGTGAATACCCCCATTACTGCTCTCAAGTGACCAACATGACAGCACTGAACAGAGTTAGGAAGGGATGGGTTGTAGCGTATCATTATATAATATTTCCACCAGCCAGATAGAGTGGATGTAAATGACCTCGAGCACACAGACGGTAGTAAAATGTAGTGAAACAAATAAAAAGTTATGAATTTGGAGTATTTATAAGCTTTGTTTTAATATAATTTATTTAAGTTTATATAATTTAATTTTTAGTAGTGGCCGGATTTAACAATGACTCACAAAATTCCTGAATATTTAACAGTTGGGGTGAGCCAACTTCAGCACACCACTGGAGAGCACCCATAGGGTGAATTGGTAAATTCTGTTCTTTTCAACAAATGTGTACCGATGATAACAAAGTAGCATGGGCCTTATTTAAGCAAGCCTAGGTTCAGCTCCTTGGTCTCCTACCAGCCACTGACATAGAGCAAGATATTTGACCTCTCTGAACCTGAGTTTTCTCACCCCAAAAATTAGGAATCAATCTTTACAGGATTATTTTGAGGATTAAATGAGATAAAGTATGTCAAAAGCTAGGAGCGTAGTGGTACTTACAGCTTTTTCAGTCTTCCTTGGGGAGGATTTGTAAACTCATTATTCTCGATTATTTTAATTGCTTACTCTTTTTCCTCAGGAAGGTCTCCAAACCCTACAGGACAAATAAGACTCCTATCTTTCTATTTTCTTGCTAGTTACAAGCTGTTTCTTTATCTGTGCTGTTATGATATAGGGAAAAAGTGAAAATCTACTGAACTAAGGTGATGGAGAGAAGTCATAGACAAATAACAATAGAGTATTCCTTGTGATATCAGGCAGAATCAATGTTGGAAAAGCATTGAGATTTAAAGAGGGCTTGATAACTCTTGTTTTGGTGTTTGCAGAAAATTTTTCTTATGGCTTTATGAAAATATCTTATTTTGAAAGATAACAATCAACTGTGTCTTTACGGTTGAATATTACAATTACAAAAGCATAATTATTCCTTATTTTGTTATATTTCCTAACATCAGAAATAGATGGATTGATTTTTAAAGAAAAAGAATCAGATTCAATTTAGTCTCACTACTCACTCCTTTCTTTTCTTAAAAGCCAATTTGGTATATAGGTGAATCTTAATGTTTTTACAAATATATTGATTATTTTGTAGAAAATAAGATCTCATGAAATAAATCTCTTCTGACTTGACAAGATGACATGGTATCCCTTCATTTGTTTCCACAAAAATTATTCATTTAAAAGGTGAGCCCCAGTTAAGGATTTTCTTTTTGTTTTAGTAAGGAACTGAAAAATCAAGAGAATGTGCCTGTGAAATGCACACAAAGTTGCTTCTATATGTGATATAATACTTAGGACACCTGAGCTTGATTATATACTAATGTACTATGCTATTGATTGATTAGTCAGGGCCATGAATTATTATACTTGAATTACTGTTTGCAAGGCTTTTTAACTATCTTAGAAAACAAACTAACAGTTTGAGAAAAAGCTTTAACAATAAATGGGTGCCAAAAGGACGTAATTCACCATCTAAGCAGTTTGGTTTGGAGAAAAAAATATATTAACTTCATCTAGTCCTTGGGGCTTTGTGGCAATAAATATTGATTTGATATGAAAAATAGCTATCTACTGTACTTAATAGTATTAAGGATACTTTACCTGTTAAAAAGAGGGAAAATGCAACAAAATATGAGCTCCAGGGTTATGCTGGTGAGCAGATCCATTGTATGTTAATAGTTTTATTTATAAAACACCACTCTCTATCGATTTTTTTTAAAGCAGGCATAAAGTTGCTGAGAAAGCATTTCACACATGTTCCCATTGGTTTTCTTTTCACCCCTGATACTGGTTGTTTCGTAATACTGAGGAAAAAGTGAAGGATTCTAGCAATGTTGGTTTTCTTTTTTTTTTTTTTTTTTGTTTGGATTGGTTCGGTTTGATTTTGCTCATATTTTTTTTTTTTAAAGTGCACACCTGCACTCCTTCAAAGAGGTTACCCTTTTTAGAACATACAACTTTCTCCCCACAGTGCCTCAGTACCGAGCCCCATTTTCGGTGGACAGCAATTTGTCTGTGGTGTGTGTGAACTGGAGTGACACCTTCCTCCTGAACGGCCAACTGAAGGAGTACGTGTTAACCGACGGAGGGCGACGCGTGTACAGCGGCTTGGACACCACCCTCTACATACCGAGAACGGCGGACAAAAGTTAGTTTCTGACTCCTGTTTCTCAGTGTGGAAGGCGCTCTGTTCCCCAGCTTTACGGGATGCTAAATCTGAAAGCTGACCAGCAGATGCTCACCATTAAAATGTCTTGGTTTAAGTGCCCCCTTCTTGTGAAAAAGTTACTGCTCAGGATAAATAAGGTTTTCTTTCCTTCCCATTTGCAGCTTGACAGCACTGCAGTTATAATGCAGTTCAAGGGGACAGCGCTGCCTCCACAGGACTGGAGGGTCCCCAGGAAGGGATAAGACCCAAGGGCCAGTTGGGTTCACAAAAGAAATAGCACCCATACATAGTCAATGACTACCCTAAAATAATACACTTCTAGCAACTTCATAGATTTTCTTGCTGTATCTCCAGTCTCCAAACAGAGCCCTATCAGGAAATAACTATCTCCAACTCATGAGGACCTGAATAAGGGGTTTCCTTAACCTTCCTTGATATCAGCCCCTGAAAGAACAATCTTGACCCTCTAAAATGGAGTTCCTTCTTCCTGTTTACTTACATGTCCCTTTTCTCCTTGCCTTGTTTTTAAATTGAAATGAGAAAATGCTTTACAAGGTGCTAAGTATTTTATAGTGATCAGCATGCTCACAGGACCAATGTTCACTATATAATGAATTGATTAATGAGTATTTTATTTTGGCTGTAAGGTAGAGGTAAACAGTGAGCTCCAGCATTGCATGTATAGTAATAGAAACTTAATAACATTTTTACAAAGATTCAGCTACACATGTTCATTGTTACAGTTCATGGTCACCTGGGCAGCTCTTTGGGAAAGGAAGGTGGCCTGATGGTTGGGAGACACAGGTTCTACCTGGCCAGGCCTATAACCATCTGTGTGACCTTGCAAGGGTCACTTCCCTCAGGTTCCTGGCCATTGGAAGAGCAATTTAGACCATGTGATTTCTAGGATCCCTTTTGAGCTCTCCTGTTCAGTAAGAAACTCTAGGTCATTTAGTGGAAAGTACACCTGTAAATTTTAAAGGAAGGATTTAAACCGTGTGCAGAACAAGATGCGCTTTGTGTATTACCCTTTACTCGTCTGATGTTCTTTTCCTTTGCTGTATAAGCTCTAATTTTCCTTAGCTCTATTACTTATGGATAGGCTATTATTACACTAATGATAGCTTTTTTTCTTAAACATTTTAAAATTAGAAGTAATTTTGAATATTATATAAAACGTCATAACTTGCTTTGGAATCCTATTTTTCATGCTATGATGCATTGCTCTTTTAAAAGCATGTGCCCTATTTGTAGGTGTTGAATGAACAAGTCATTTACCAGTTCTTCCTTTTGTCTAGCCTTCTTTTTCCAGGTCATCTGCACGACTGACGAAGGAAGTGTTAAGACGCCGTTGATCCAATATGATACCTCTACTGGACTTGGTAAACAACTCATATTATACTTGGCGTAGCACCTATTCATCTTCCTCAAGAAACACACATATGTTTGTTTATACATACTTGGAGTCCTAATATATTAGCATAGACTATACAGAAGAAATTGTGCCAAGTGTTGTCAGAGTTTTTTTTTTTGTTTTTTTTTTGTTGTTGTTTTTTTTTGAGACGGAGTCTTGCTCTGTCACTCAGGCTGGAGTGCAGTGGTGCAATCTTGGCTCACTGAAACCTCCACCTCCTGGGTTCAAGCGATTCTCCTGCCTCAGCCTCCCGAGTAGCTGGGATTACAGGCACGGGCCACCACACCTGGCTAACTTTTTGTATTTTTAGTAGAGACATGGTTTCACCTTGTTAGCCAGGCTGGTCTGGATCTCCTGACCTCGTGATCTGCCTGCCTTGGCCTCCCAAAGTGCTAGGATTACAGGCATGAGCCACTGTGCCCAGCCAGAAATTTTTTAAAAAGTCCTCATGGAACTTATATCAGGCAAGGAGTTACAATACACTCTTTTTTTTTTTTTTTTTTTGAGACAGAGTCTTACTCTGTTGCCCAGGCTGGAGTGCAGTGGTGCAATCTCAGCTCACTGCAGCCTCTAGCTCCAGGTTCAAGCGATTCTCCTGCCTCAGCCTCCTGAGTAGCTGGGACTACAAGTGTATGTCACCACGCCTGGCTGATTCTTGTATTTACAGTAGAGATGGGGTTTCACTTTGTTGGCCAGGGAGGTCTCGAACTCCTGACCACAGGTGATCCACCCACCTTGGCCTCCCAAAGTGTTGGAATTACAGGCGTGAGCCACTGCACCTGGCCAGAATGTACTCTTAAAATGCCAAATATTGAATTGTAAATATGGAAAAGACCAGAGAGCTCAAACTAAATTTTTCTCCTAACCACAAACCCTGTCAATAAAGAATTGTATGACTTCGCGTGCATAAAGGTGATTTACAGAGGAAGTTAGAGGAGAGATCAGAAGAAGAAAGAAAATATTCAGCCAATTCATGTTGATCATAATGTTAATATTCTAGATTCAAAGCCTAGAATGATAAATTTGGAAAGTGTCTTTTATTCTCCATAAAAGATTATGATTGACTGTTGATATCGGGTAATTTAGCTCAACGGGTACAATTTTAATTTTTAAGGAGCATCTTTTAAACTGAGTTTTACTCATAGTCTCTGAATCTAAATTTGTGATACTTTATAAAAGCAAATTAGAGAAATGCCAAATCTTTTCCACTAAAACAGATTCGGGATTGATATCCTATTTTAAATTCCAGTAATTAATGATATATCAAATTTGCATGTATAGAGTTTTTTTTTGAAAAATAAACATGTCCAAAATTTCTGAAACACAATTTAAAAAAAAAATTTTTTTTAATTTTTTTGAGACAGAGTCTCATACATGATGAAACATGTATATTATTGTCAAGGATAGTTTCAATTTGTAAAAATAACGTATTATTCTATGTTTCCAAACTTTACATGTCTGGATGTCATATAAAATTTCCTACAACACTTAATTCTTCTCATACGGCTTATTTCATTTAATAGCAGTGGTAGGATAGAACAGATCTCATTTAGTATTCTGTTAGCAACTCCAATATTTCCCCAAGTGGACAAGTGGAGGTATAAGGGACACAGGAATTTATCCAGGAATGCTCTGCTAGCTTGTTACTGGGATGAGAACACCAACACAGATTTTCTATTGACTTCTGGCCTGGGACTTTTTCTTTGCAATGGTTTGCCAAGTTAAGTACGCATAGGAATCACCTCATGTGCTTGTTTATTGTAGTTTCCCGGGCCTCTGGCAGAGATTCAGACTCAAGGAGGCTCAGAATCTGCTCTTTAAATAAGTCCTGTCCAGTGATTCTGACACAGGGCTCAGAACCACGTGTTGAGTGATGCCGGAAAACCAAGGTTGCTCGCCTTCTAAGCCCTGCCAGTCTAGTTTCCTTGGTGAATGGGAAGTGTGTTGTTCCTGGAGGCAGGCCATCAACAGAGACGGATTTACTCTGACACTGGCTGTGGTTTCGGTTTTCTTTGGATCTGAGGCCCAGCCACCAGAGTTTCAAACCCTGACAGTGAACCTCCCATGTGATGCACAGGTAGAGTCCCTTAAGGTGAAGGGGTACTTCAAAAAGACAGAAGGGAAGGGATAAAGGGACACCATCCTGATCTCGAGGTCTTCATAAAAAGGAGAAATCCCCCGTTGGCTCATGAATACGAATTGAGGTTTCCACTGTGTCTGGAGGCCGGGCTTTGGGTAGAGCAGAGGGGAAGAACTCTGAGGATTGTGCAATGCTCTGGCAGATTCCAAGATGTGCTGCCCAACTAATATCCATCGTCAGTTCTAATTTTCATGATGTAACTTTTTTAAAAACATTCCTGTTCCCTTGCCTGAAGGCAGCCTCCAAGCAGGAGAGTGGCAGAGACCTCATTTTCCTCTGACTGTTCTAAGGGCTATTTCCCTTTTGAGGCTTCCCTCGGGCAGGCTGCCCTCCCTTCCCCTGCGTGCTGTGGAGCAAGGGGCCCACTGGGCCCATCAGATCAGTTTCTGGAGTTACAGCCAACAAGTTGTTTTCTCTCTGTGCCACACACAGAGGAAACAACTCTTTTAGTGTGCAACCTAGGCTGGTTTGTTTTTAATCAAACAACACACATTGGTTCCTAATTAGGGGAATTTCGACCTGCTGGAGCTTGATTGGAGTGTTGACTCAACCCTTTATTTTAGAGATGAGAAGCAAAGGTCAGAGTCCAACATTTAATCACAGAGCTGATCGGCAGCAGAGTTAGGGTTGGCAAAGTAATATCCCTCCTCTTACGGAGTTCAAAGTTTAGTTTTAGTCACCATCTGTTCCTGCCTTTAATAGTTTCACCCCAGTTCTGAACTTTTTTCCTTTAAGTCTTTCCCTGCTAGTGTGAGTGTGAAGTACCACGCAGGCCCATGGAGTTCTAGAGGTGTTGAAAAGGGGGAGATTTGTCCAGTGAGTGAGTGGGCTTTGCAGTTGTGTCTGCTTGTTCTTCTGACCTGGCTGTGGGTATTAGATTTAGATGAGCAGCTCTCTGGCTCACATCTCCACACCAGCCTGTGTGGCCGCTGCATCAGATCCACAGGTTTCTGTGCTGGCCCCAGCAGTGGCTGGATGGGAGCAGATCTCTGGCCACCCCACCCCCACCCCTGCCGCACCCCTGCTTAGCTTGCCAAGCTGACAACATAATTTCACTGCCTTCGCCTATCCTGCATGATTCTTGTCAGCCTCTCTCCTATCTTCCCCACAAGACTTAATAAACCTGCCTGGCTGGGTGCGGCGGCTCATGCCTGTAATCCCAGCATGTTGGAAGGCCGAGGCAGGCGGATCATGAGGTCGTGAGATTGAGACCATCCTGGCCAACATGGTGAAACCCCATCTCTACTAAAAATACAAAAATTAGCCAGGCATAGTGGCGCACACCTGTAATCCCAGCTACTTGGGAGGCTGAGGCAGGAGAATCACTTGAACCCAAGAGGCAGAGGTTGCAGTGAGCGGAGATCACACCACTGCACTCCAACCTGGGTGACAGAGCAAGACTCCATCTCAAAAAATAAATAAATAAATAAATAAATAAATAAATAAATAAAAATAATCCTACCCACCCTTCATCCCTGTAAAGCTCTAAGCATAGGACCTGGCACCAGGTACATTCTTGTTAAATGTGAGCTACTTTTATTAATACTAACTTCATGTGCAGAGACTCACACCAACTGAACTCTCAATGTGTGAACGCCAAGCAAAGGTAAGTGGCTCCAGTGCTAAAAGATTTCTTTCCATAGGAAGCTTTCCCAGTGCATTTGGGTGATGGTTTGCTGAGCTTTGCTCTTTAACAGAGAGGCCATGTAAAGACAACATGGTAGCAAACACAGGCTGTTAATATCATAATGGAAAATGGAATCTGATGCTTCAAAATCCAGTTTGCACGAAGTATCAGGAATTGGACTGTTGCATGAAGCAAGTACACCTCAGATCTCCAAGGAGTGATTTTGTTTGTGACTCTGCAGCAATAATAGTAAGGGTCCCAGTCCCTCATGAGAATCCAAGCAAGGACTTTGCTCCCAAGACACACAGCTATGAAACAGGTGACCCTCAAGGTTACTTTGGTAACCTCTTTTAAAAATTGCTCCCCACACTCCCATCTTTCCCAGGGATTTGTCAAGACAGTGGTGATTTCCAACCTGAGCAGCAGCGCCAGAAGTGTCAGCAAGGCCTCTCAAGGGCTGTAAGCATCTCGTTATAACCCAGCAACCTGCTGAACCATTACCCCAGGCTGCACACAAGTGCAAACAAGCAGTAAGAGACAAACTGCTTTCTGCTTTCAACTCCTCTCTAATTTACTATCAAATAGCAGGGCCAGAGATGACAAAAATGCTTTCTGAAATAACATTTCCCCTTTCTTTCTCTGGGTTTTGCAGGCTTGGTCCTAACAACTCCTGGGAAAAAGAAGGGATCGCGGAGCAAAAGCACAGAGTTCTACAGCGAGCTGTGGTTCATAGTGTTAATGGCGATGCTGGGCTTGATCTTGTTGGCCATTTTTCTGTCCCTGATACTACAAAGAAAAATCCACAAAGAGCCATATATCAGAGAAAGACCTCCCTTGGTACCTCTTCAGAAGAGGATGTCTCCATTGAATGTTTACCCACCGGGGGAAAACCATATGGTATGTTTGTAGAGGTGTGGCCCCATTTCCCTATCACTGGACTAGAATACTTGTTTTCCTTCTGAGAAAAATGTGTCATAGCCATGGTAACAAGGAATTAGATGTAAGTTATGTTTCACTAAGTGTGGGGACCAAGAGAGGCTAACCCTAGAACAGCTTTCTCAACTTTGGCTGCACATTAGAATCACCTGGAAAGCTTTAAAAAATATCACTGCCTGGACTTCATCCGAGAAATTCTCATATCCTTGGTCTTGAGTAGGGCCTGAAGATTGGTATTCTTTTCTTCACTCCAAAACTGATTTTAATGTGTAACTAGGGATGAGTATCTCTGCCCTGTAATTGTAAGCCAGGGCCTGGTGGAGAAGAGTTGTATGTTGAGATTACCTGGGGAAATTATAGGTTGTATTACTGTGTAATTTGGTGGCGGGGAATGAACATTAAAAGGCGGAGATGGGGAGGAAGGGGCTACAGTGCTAGTGGTGCTCGGTCTGTCCTCTGGTCCTGACACCCTGTGCCACAGAGGATGGATGGCTCCTCTTAGCTATAGACCACTCACTCCCAAAATAGGAGGTCCAGTAAAGGTCTAGTGGGAGAGGGCCCCATCACTTGGTATTACAGGACAGTCATTGCCCAGAGCACTCATTGAAGGGTAAAAGGTGATTTAATTCCATGGTGCAGTCTGGTGTGGGGCTATGTCTACCTGGAGGAGGAAAGGCTGCGTTTTCTAATCCTCATCAGGTACCCATCTGTTCACCAAAGCTGGGCGCCCACAGGGCTACGTCTCCCTGAGGAGGTGCCTTTTTTCCAGTTTGCACTAAGGTTCTATATTAGCTAGTGGCTACCCTAGGCAGTACTAAAATTAAGCACAGAAGCCTGGTCAAGCTGCTTACACTTCAACATTTAAAAAAACAGCAGTGAGTGAACACAGCAGCACCATCTGCCTTCCAGATCTCTTCACTTTTCCAGCACTCAGCAATGAATGACCACTGGTTAAGCCCCAACATAGCTGGATCAGACCTAAGTAGCAGGAGTGTTGGGAGCACAAAAGGGCAGTGGGCCCTCCGAGGTCCACGGTTTGTGGTTTTTGTGGGAAGTAGCAATGGGACAATGACGTGGTGGTGGAGAAGCAAAGAAGGCACTGCCCAACACCATCAGGGCCTTGGCTCTCTACTCACATCTGTCCCACTCCTCTACTCACTCATCCTCCTCGGAGCCTCCTTCCTCCCTGAGCCCATCAGACAAGCTCTAACCACAGGGCCATTACTGCTGCTGCTCCTTGGGTGGCTCACACTCTTGCTTCATTCACATCTCTGCACAAATGTCACCTCCCATTCTATGTAAAATTTCCTAGCCCCTTAACCCACTTCTTTTCTTTTCTATAGCATTTACCACATAACACTAAGTCAGATATGTTTGTCTGACTCCTGAAATAGAAGGTAAGCTCCCAGGATCAATGATCTTGTGGGCCTCTTCCTGTTGTATGTGCCCCGGGACCCAGAACGGTGCCTGGCATATCATAGGCACTCCACGAATGTTTGTTGAATGAATGAATGTCGAGTGATCACTTCGAACCATGGGCTGTTTGCTCCTGTTCAGTGAATAGTCATTAGGAGATTCTCACTGAAGAGCAGATATTTCAAAATTTTTCCTTGTTAAAGAATAACTTTCTTTAAGGAGCCCATGTTCCTAGAAGGTGCACTGCTGCTGGAGGAAGGCAGTGGAAGAGAGAAAAGAAGGCAGGAGAGATCTGTTTAGCCTGGGAGATGAGCTAAACTGAAACTAGGGTCTATGGAGTGCATGGAGTGGTGAAAGGGAGGTTCCCAAGCACTGCTAGGCACATCTACTGTATAATGTGAGGTGCGGTTACAGGAAAGTGTACCCACATACCAGCAATGTCCAGAAGTCATTTCAGTGATACTTTCTCCTGTCCTTTGACCCAGTCCCTATAGGCAGGCACCTCTGTGTCAGAATCCTCCATGAGGAAGAACACTGTCTTCCTTACTTGGTTAACTTAGTGACCAGAAGACACTCCCATCATTCTTGTGGAGATGTTATGTTACTCTGGATATAACCCCATTGCTCAGGGTTTTAATGAGTCTTGTTAAGCTTCGTTTTGTCAAAGTGAGGACCATGAACTATCTGCATCAGCATCACATAGGAGGAGCAGGACCTGAAGTTCTGAGGGAGAAACTCAATAATCTGCCATTTTAACCAGAACCTCAAGAAGTCTGGGCCAGGCTCGGTGGCTCACACCTGTAATCCCAGCACTTTGGGAGGTTGAGGCAGGAGAATGGTGTGAACCCAGGAGGCAGAGCTTGCAGTGAACCGAGATCACGCCACTGTACTCCAGCCTGGACAACAGAGCGAGACTCCGTCACAAAACAAAACAAAACAAAACAAAACAAAAAAAGAAGTCTGATGCACAGCAAGATTTGAGAACAGCTGAAAATGAAATAATAATATAATACAAAACCTGTATGCAGTGTACTGTTTGATAACCAGTAGAAACAGGTGGTGGGAGGGTGCTGGTTAGACCTTGCTGTCCTGACACCACACAGGCTAAGCCGCCTCTGGGGACAGACTTAGGCTTCAGCTGAGAAAAGCGGACAAAAGAATGTAAACACCCTGTTCCTGCACACCCTTTACCATCGGGGAAATGCACAGTGGCACCCAACTGATTCTTTCACTGAGTGGCCAAGACTGAGTCAGGTGTGAGGATGGGAAGGCATAGAGGGACTGGCTGGCTGCCAGGGGCTCTGGGCCCAGGGAACTGGCTCATCCTCAGCAGGGAAGCCATTCATTGCAGGCAGGTCTCAGCAGAAGTGAAATCTGGGATACACCAGGGCACCGGGTGGAATTCCCCTGAGCCTGTTGAATCATAATTTAATCCTATCCAGTTGACAGTGTATTTGCAAGTCTTCTTCTGTTGCTTTTTACAAATATTTTTAAACCAAACTGCTCTCACAAAGTTGGAGACCATGAGAGACATTGTCAAAAATTAGCCAAACTAAAGAGAGTACAATTTGTATTAGTAGAGCAAAATGAAGTCCCTGTTGGTGACTGTGGGCTCCTCATCTACTCAGGTGGGAAAGAATCCAGTCAAGGGGAAGAATCTGAATAGGAACAAGCCAGATTCACCTGCTCAGTTTTCCAGATTGACTGTCTTTTCACTTGAGTAGGTCAATGAGCTATGCCCCTGCAACACCCACCCACACACACACACACACACACTTCTCCCCCTCATGTGACAAGCTCTGGTTTCAGTGCTGCTGTGACCCTCTTCCAAGCACCCGTCTTGTGAACAGGTAAGATACCCTTTGAACATCAGACCCAAACTGGCAAAAGGATTTTAGGCTATACTCTGAATGGAGAGAAATAGGCAGAGGTGCCAAGGAATGAGAGTGTCTTTTGTATTTCATCAACATTTTTCAAGACCATACAGTATACAGTATAGCTAAGTTTAAGTTTTGCTTGTTATTTAATTACTGGTTTGAAGATCCTTTCATTCCCTGCAATACTAAACAAATACTGGCAGTGGTACTTACCTTAGACACTAATCAATTAATTTCCACTCACCAAGGTTTTTTTTTTTTTAATTTGTTTGTTTTTGAGACAGAGTCTTCTGTCATCCAGACTGGAGTGCAGTGGCATGATCTCGACTCACTGCAACCTCCAGCTCCTGGGTTCAAGCGATTCTCCTGCCTCAGCCTCCTGAGTAACTGGGACTACAGGCGCCCGCCACCATGCCTGGCTAATTTTTGTATTTTTAGTAGAGACGGGGTTTCACCATGTTGGCCAGGTTGGTCTCGAACTCCTGACCTCAAATGATCCACCCGTCTTGGCCTCCCAAATTGCTGGGATTACAGGCATGAGCCACCGCACCCGGCCTCACTATGAAGTTTTAGTTGCAAAACCCAACTTTCTCTCTCTCATATATATATATATATATATATATATATATATATATATATATATACACACACACATACACATACATATATATTCACATATATATGTATATATACACACACACATATATATACACACACATATATACATATGCAGGTATGTATCCTAGGATATATATGTACATCAGAGCAGTATTAAATATGGGTATGATAATGCTGTCATTGGAGAAATGCAAGGAATGTGTTTAAAACTGTTCCAAACATGGACTGATGCTGCCATTTGTTCTCAGTTTGACTCTGTGGCTGATATATCTGATGTGTCAAGCAATGTCACCCTAAAAAGTTACACCATGCACTTTGAGGTACCTCTGTGTGCTGCATGAATGCATGATCTTTTGCATGGTGTGTTGACTGCACAGTGAAAAGCAGGAACAGATCATTGATGACTTCCATATATCCATTCCTTGGAAAGCTGAACAACATGAGTGAAAACTCTACTGAAAAAAGAAAAGAAATGGGAGGCCGAGGCGGGCGGATCACAAGGTCAGGAGATCGAGACCATCCTGGCTAACACGGTGAAACCCCGTCTCTACTAAAAATACCAAAAATTAGCCGGGCATGGTGGCGGGCGCCTGTAGTCCCAGCTACTCGGGAGGCTGAGGCAGGAGAATGGCGTGAACCCGGGAGGCGGAGCTTGCAGTGAGCCGAGATTGCACCACTGCACTCCAGCCTGGGCGAAAGAGCAAAACTCTGTCTCAAAAAAAAAAAAAAAAAAAAGAAAAGAAAAGAAAAAGCAGAAACATTTCATTGATTGGACCAGCTAAATCAGAGCCCTCAGATATTTAGAGCAACTATAGTTTATCTTACGGCGCGTTCTAGGTCTAAATTATGTAGTGACTTTTTCTCTCTGATGTTAATATCAGACCTGATGTAATTTGGAGGCTGGAATCCTATAAGAAATGGAGGAATATGGAATGAGAAATGAGGGAGGGAGGAGTCAATTTCCCTACACAAATCCAGGACTTTTAAAGTGAAAGACAAACGGAGCTCACATAGTGGACCACCATGAAATAATATTGTTATCTTTGGCTGTTCTGGGGGAGGAGTGTTCTCAAGAGGGAGGCTCTGTGCTGACATGTATGAAGAAGATACCTTGTTCACCCATCATCCGTCTGCCTTGCCCCACCACTTTGCAATGCAGCAAGCCCTTGCCCCACAGGGAACAACAGCCAGAGCACCAGTGCATGAGCTCTCTAGGTGCCGAAAACACTGGCCACCTAACTTGAGTATTAGCTCATCATCTCATCCTTCTTACCAAGAAACCCAGGGTCACCGTGTTGTGGGTGCTCATAGCTGCTAAATTCTGTAGGTGACAGTTGTTCCCTTCATTGACAATGTGACAATTGTCAGGAGACAGTCATTCCCTTCACTGACAATGTGTGAGACACAATTCTCTGTCATATTTCAAGCCCATATTCTTTATATGTGAAATACTCACAGCAACTTCCTTCTCAGGGGTTAGCCGATACCAAAATTCCCCGGTCTGGGACACCTGTGAGTATCCGCAGCAACCGGAGTGCATGTGTCCTGCGCATCCCGAGTCAAAACCAAACCAGCCTAACCTACTCCCAGGGTTCTCTTCACCGCAGCGTCAGCCAGCTCATGGACATTCAAGACAAGAAAGTCTTGATGGACAACTCACTGTGGGAAGCCATCATGGGCCACAACAGTGGACTGGTGAGTTGGTTTCCTCATACAGGGCCTTTGCTAAATATCCCAGAAAAAATATTGGTACAGAGCTGCCTGTACTTCACCGAATGCTGCCCCATGGCACTCGCCTCTGAGCACTTAGCCAGTGAGGTAGTAACAACCGGTTTACTAATGTTACTTCAGTTGTTTGATAAGCAGGGTAGAAACTTTGTCTTGTTCTTCTGGTATGCAATAGATGCTTAAAAATAAATGCTTATTGGCTAGCCGTGGTGGCTCATGCCTGTAATCCCAGCACTTGGGGAGGCCGAGGTGGGCGGATCACCTGAGGACAGGAGTTTGAGACCAGCCTGGCCAACATGGTGAAACCCTGTCTGTACTAAAAATACAAAAATTAGCCAGGTGTGGTGGTGGGCACCTGTAATCCCAGCTACTAGGGGGGCTGAGGCAGGAGAATTGCTTGAACCCAGGAGGTGGAGGTTGCAGTGAGCCGAGACCGCGCCACTGCACTCCAGCCTGGGTGACAGAGACTCCATCTCAAAATAAATAAATAAATAAGCAGCAAACAGGTTATACTTCATATACTTGGAGCAGATGACAGGAAACATTGGAATGGGCCTAAAACAAGGCATAAAATACAAGCACTTGTTTTACTAAAACAAAAAGGTACTTTTTTTGTTTTGCCTTTTCCTATTGGTGTATGGGTAGACGCAAAAAGAATATTTTGTATCAACAGGTGAACATGGTTGCTTTCCAAAACCTTAGGAAATGATGACAAATGAGGGTGTTACTATTTATAAGCTTCATCTTTCATAATTTCAGTCCAGTGGGTACAAATCATTGGCTCTTTGAAAGGTAACCTCTTCGTGATATAACATTTATTATCAGTCTCTGAGCGGCTACAATAACAAAAATCCTAGAATTTTTGCCAACTATCAAATTTCATTGTGCTAACTTCCTAGATGCCCGCTGCAGTACCTACCATTCCACTGGGCCTGTTAGAAAATAAACAGATAGGCCAGGCACAGTGGCTTACGCCTGTAATCCCAGCATTTTGGGAGGCCGAGGTGGGCGGATCACGAGGTCCAGAGTTAGATAGAGACCAGCCTGACCAACATGGTGAAACCTCGTCTCTACCAAAAATACAAAAATTAGCTGGGCGCGGTGGTGCGCACCTGTAATCCCAGCTACTCAGGAGGCTGAGGCAGGAGAATTGCTTGAACCTGGGAGGTGGAAGTTGCAGTGAGCTGAGATGGCCCCACTGCACTCCAGCCTGGGTGACAGAGCAAGACTCTGAAAAAAGAAAAAAAGGAAAAAAGGAAGGAAGGAAGGAAGGAAAGAAGGAAGGAAGGAAGGAAAGAAGGAAGGAAGGAAGGAAGGAAGGAAGGAAGGAAGGAAGGAAGGAAGGAAGGAAGGAAGGAAGGAAGGAAGGAAGGAAGGAAGGAAGGAAGGAAGGAAAGAAGGAAGGGAGGGAGGGAGGGAGAGAAAGAAAAGAAAAGAAACATAACCAGCTAGGAAGTTAGCTCCTGTGTTTACTCCTCTGGGGTAAAATTATTCACCTCCACTTCTTTCAATCATCTGCTTCTGTTTTTGGATTTGCTCTCATCTTTCTCCTCCAAGTTCTCACTTTTCCTTCACTGAAAAGTTGATGACTTCCATGAAGCCTTTCTTGACTAATAGCAAATAATAAAGGGAGTTCGCTGGACCCAGGTTCCCTAACACTATATAAAAAAATGTACCATCCTTCTGGCCTGTTCAGAATGATTGTATAATATATACATATATATAATATGCATTTTAAAATCACAGGCTGTTTGATGTTGTTGTAACCTCAACTACATGAGTCCATTTCAGATCTAAAGTTTTTAAAAGGCAGGGATAATTATATTTGGTTGAAACAATGAATTGCTAACTGATCATTTTTGACATGCAAAACAGCAATTGCTATACATTCAACATAATACATTGAAAGTTCAGATGAATTATTACATCTAATCTTCACAAACTGTAGGAAGTAGGTTCTATTATCATCCTCATTTTTTACAAAAAGAACTGAGGTTTAGAGAGATGAGTGATTTAATGAGAGATTACACAGCTAGCAATTATTTTTATGGGTTTGGGTTCTTAAAAACATCATCTGACTACAGAGCTCCTATTTGTAACTATTATACTGTATTGTCATTTTTGCTTGCTTTTTACGGTACTAATAATGGGCAATGTGCAAAGGGACTCAATAACAAGCTTTTGAAGGTGCCAGTACTTGGCAAGTTATCTGTTTATTATAACATTATAACCAACATTACTAACCCTATTTGATAAATACAAAATACAGCACAAGAGTGGGAAGAAATGGAGCACAAATAGCTAGCATTCTGCCTCTTCCATTTACCGTTTGAACTAAATCCATATATATGTGTGTATATATATGTATATATACAGATCACCAGAGGTCAGGAGTTCAAGACCAGACTGGCCAACATGGTGAAACCCCATCTCTACTAAAAATACTATATACATACATACATACATACATATATATATATAGTGTATATATACACTAAAATATATAGTATATATATGTAGTGTCTATATAGTGTGTATATATATACTAAAAATATATATATATACCCCCAGCTAATTTATTTTTATCAAGTATATATGTACACACACACACATCCCACTCTACAGATGAGTAGACTGAGGCTTCTGAGGCTTAGGTTAAAATATGACACAATATAACCCTCAAATCACATATACATTTTGAATTAGTCTATAGTTCATGTGTGCATGTGATGTGATCCTTTCAATAAGAGAAATTTAAGGCAAGGTCTGTTTTAGACCCCACCATGGTGTTGAGAATAAAAAAGCCTTTAATACTTATTACTTTTTACACTTAATTGATATAACTATAAATTGATAGCAAATACTATTGATAGCAAGTATGTAGCCAATGATGATTGGCTTATTTTTCAGTATGTGGATGAAGAGGACCTGATGAACGCCATCAAGGATTTCAGCTCAGTGACTAAGGAACGCACCACATTCACAGACACCCACCTGTAAAGGATGGAAACCCAGAAGACGTAACCCTGGAATGCAAGGTCTGCACCCATTTCCTCCTGGGTTATCACTCACACATCATAAATGCTGAAAAGCCATTGTTTATTATCCTATAATTCTTTAAAGAAATGATGACTGTTTTTGAAAGTGTTCCTTCCTAATAGAGGTCTAAGAAATGATATTTTTCTCATCTTAAATGAGAGAGAATATTCATATGAAAATACTTGATTTGCTCTTATTTTGTAGAAGACAAAGAAGTATGTAATTGTCACTTGGTTCTGTTTGGCAGTGATGCTCCTGGTTAACTGAATAATCAGTGGCAATTTCAAGATGGCTCACAGTTGTTAGAAGTAGTAAGTTAGTTACTGGCTCAAAAATGATTCTGTTGAAAGGATGTCACTGCTGTTCATTTCTATCTGCCATTTCTGTCAGGGTTGACACAATCCTGCAAGAATAGTTATTCTAATGATCACAGCTGCTAAATGAATCCCAAACTTTGCACCAGGTCGACAAACTTTTCTGAAGGTTCTATTTATTTACCATACATAGGGTTACTTACCAAACTTTTTGACAAGGCTGAAGGTTCTATTTATTTACAATACATAGGGTTACTCACCAAACTTTTTGACAAGGCAACACATAACTTACACATAAATGTCTCTGTTCTTGCATTTATGAATTTTCCAAAAATCTAAGGAGTAAACAGCTTATTTATACATTTTGAGGAGAAAACAAAGTGTTTCACTAGGAACA
This sequence comes from Homo sapiens, assembly GCF_000001405.40. Taxonomy (NCBI): domain Eukaryota; kingdom Metazoa; phylum Chordata; class Mammalia; order Primates; family Hominidae; genus Homo; species Homo sapiens. The sequence goes on along the minus strand of NC_000001.11, from coordinate 215,625,030 downwards.
CCTCTACTTGAACCAATGTTTTTATTTCATATATTTTATAGTTTTGAAACTAGTTTCTCATAAAATTCTGTCAATTCACTGAATATCAGAGAATACTGACATCTTCAACCTAGCACATTTCAAATGGAAACTACTGTTCTATTTGCAATATTAGGCTGCGTGAAATTTTAAAAGGAAAAATGTATCTGTTCCTTCTAGCATTAACATATATACATGTAGAGACAAGACTATACCTATGTGTATATATATGTATATCATGTATATATTACTCTGCACTATATCCCTTCTTTTTGGAGAACTAGCCATTATTTTAGCCACAGAATCAGTAAGAACAGATGATATGCAACAGTACCAATTACGGTTCAAAAATGTCTGTCACCTGCTCTAGTTGGATTACAAAGTCATTGGTGAAAGTCCTATGGCAAGAAAAATTTTCTTGCAAATCATCCACATAAAATCAGATATTTAAATTTGTTCTTCATGGAAAACAGAGTAAGAAAACCTCTTGTCTTCCTTCATCCTTAAAGGTCTTTGTGACCCCAGGAAAATATTGACTCTGTCTAACACACAATAGTCACAATACTTTTTGTGAATCTACAACCAGAGACAGGCAAAAACTTGTAAAGTAAGGGATAGTCTTACTTATTCTGCCTGAAAACAATGTATTACCCCAGGGCCCAACAGTAAAAGATTGTGGACTTTTTGGGTATTGAGATTTCATCTAGCTCTGTGAGAGAGCAGCTCCTCAGACTGACCAACTCCTAGACAAAGTTTGCCAACCATAAGTGTCAAAAGCACAGGCCAGTATTAAGCAGAAGTTCTACCACCTTATTAGAACTGCTATAAACAAAAGCATCTGAAATAATTGTGCACATCTGGCAGTGACTGTAGAAAATACGAAATATATATTTCTCGCCAAGTTTTTATACTTTCTGAAATGAAAACATAGGATTGACTAGTTTACTGGTTTTTATTCCCATATGCCGATTCTGGGACAATAAAGTTGTTTAAAGCTGGCACAAATAAGCATTAACCAAGGCTGTGTCCACCTTCTGTGAGCTACTTAAGGTATATAGGAAAGGAGTGGTCACAAACTTGCATCCTAATCCTTGGTGGACTCTTCTAAGAATACAGTTTGCTAGTCACAAAGAATAGTCTACAAATATGCTTTGCTAGGTTCAGAAGATTGAGTTTATCCTGATTTTTGAAAAATTAACCAGGTATCTTTATCACTGTGTATTTTTCCAAGCACAGTATAAAATTTTAACAACGCACAAAAAAATACAGAACTGCAGGGGATTTTATCTTGGATCATTATCCATTTAATCATCTAATTAGACATGAACTCAGTTAGCTGAATCATTTACATTTTGACTCCATAGCTTAGGGCAGACAGAAGCCTGTATGGCTTCTGCCCAGAACTCTGTCCCCTGCTACATGTCTAAGTTTACTTGTATTTATTTCAGAGAAGAACTCTAAGATGTTGCTTTGCTACTTTAAGTGGTATTGCGTGCCAAGCCTCTATTATACAAACCATGCAGACTCGCCTCTAGAGATTCTGATTCGGTTGATCTGGGGTGTGTGGCTGAGGCATCAGTACTTTTTAAAGCTTCCAGGTGTTCTAATGTTGAGACCCACTGATGTTCCACAATCTGGAAGAAATCATGTACAGGAATAATATGCTATGCACAGGGACTATGCTCCTTGGCTCACCCCTTCTCCCTTATAAACAATGAGCAGTTCTTGATGAACCTCTTTAAATTTAAATCTCCTGACTCACATTTTACCAATTGTACATGCCACATTCTCAGCTTACGAACTACCATGTTTTGTTATTCTTAATATCAACTGTTTGGTAAGAGTACAGTTGTTTTTATACACTCTAAGAAATGTGTTTATAATCTACTGTAATTTCCACTAAATGGAACCCAAATATTAATGTTATGGTACCATATACTGATGTAAAAATCATGCTGGCATCCATGAACACACCGGTAAATAAAACATAGTCCAAGTGGAAGAATTCATTAATAAGGAACTTTTAATTATGTCACAAATGAATAGTTGGTTTCCAATGCACAAATATCATGTAAACTAATCTAAAGATGGTTTGCTTAATAAATATTTGAATGTGACCTAATTCTGGCTTAATCATCTATTTATTATTAAAAAATAATACTCTTAACAGCTCTGAGTTACACATAAATGATGATAAAGCTATACCTATTTAAGAAAGTAAGTAGGATGTTCTGGATAATTTCTCAACCAACAATGTACATTATTAGAATGAAAACTGTTTTATTTTTTTTTCCAAAATATACTATTATTATGTCTCAACCAGCAGAGATTCAAATTCAGCAGGACTGGAGTGGGAGTGAGGCCTGGGCAACCATGTGTCTAACCTCAGCCATTTCTGATACATAAGCCTGCATAAGAGCCAGGAACAGGACCATAGACTCTTGAAATAGAAAGATTTGGGTTCAGAAGTTGGCTCAGTAGGTAATAAGCCTTGTCACTAAGTTAGTTATTTAACCCCTGTGGGTCTCAGTGATCCCATCTGTGAAATGAGGATAACAACAACACTTACTTACTTACCCTATTGGTATGAAAATACTTCTTTCCATGAAAATAATTACAATTGTTTTCATTTTTCATCATCAATCACACAAAGTACACAGACTCATTTCAATTTTTTTTCTTCCCACCACAGCGACCCTAATGAGGTAGGTATAATGAAAAAATTAAGGCATAATGGGGGCAATCTGAGAAATTAGTGTCAGAGTAGACAGACATAAACCACTGCATCAAGGTTCAATCTCCTGTAAGCAAAAGAAAGAAACGATTTGACTTGTACTGTAATGCAATCTAGTATAGTCAGTTTCCTTTTTATGCGATTCTATTACATAATAGTTACTATCTTCTTTTTAATGGCCTTTTATTCCTGGTCACTAGAGTCTAGTTTTTTCTTTCATTTTCTTACTTGCCCACCCAACTTTCACATAACTGTCATAAAGAGGAAGAAGGGTGTAAGATAATTACAATCTTAGTAATTTTGAAATTATGCTTTGCCTAATATTTTCTTTCATTGATAATAACTTATTTTCCACATATATTAAGTTCTCCCTCCCCCCATTTTTTTTAAATTATGGGAAGAAGCAAAGAAATGAACAAACATATATAGCACACTTTAAACAGAACTGTTACTTAAATAACTGAAAACGCATTGACATAATCATTTTTATTTGATTTAATTGATAAATAAATACAAGAGAACTGTTGTGAAACCACTGGCAATATAGTAAATTTTAAAGATTTTATTTCAACTTCACTCACTTATATTTCTTGGAATGGGGATATATACATTATTCACCAATAAATGCTAATGCTTTAAATTTACAATTACCCTATTTGTAGAAACCTGAAGATCATTCCAATTAAATGAAAAAAAATTGTACAAAAACGTTCTTTTGCTCTTACAATTCAAAATACATTCAAATTCACATTCTTACAGCAGCCAAAACCTTTAACCCAAAATTCAGAACTGCAGTCCTACAAGTGAACAAACTAGTGTTTTAATTTAATTATCATGATTGTTGTTAACACTGAAAAAAAAACATGGTGGCTCCTGAAACAAGACAGGTTAGCAACTGGTACAGCTTTCCCTTCTGGGCACTCAAAGCTTTGCCCTTGATTATTATTTTTATTTCATCTTTTCAAACACAGACAATTGCTCCAACTTGAAAGTTTCAATGGAATTTTGGCATTTAATATTGCTAATGCTTGCTAAGATTTAAGATCTCCCAATGATGAGAATCAGAAAATGACGCACGACTAAATTAAAATCATCCTAAAAGACTTACTACATAGTGGTATCTGGTATTCAATATCAATAGTGTTTTTGAATTACATGATATGTTTTTCACAAACATAGCACCTCATCAAATATCTGGTAAACACTTTGCAATCACAATAAGTGTTGGGAGACCAAGTTCCAAAGACAATTATGTGATTCACTTAAAGGTAACATTGTAAGACAAGTCTCAGGCATAATGAAGATTAGGAATGCAGTCTGCTGGTTCCCATGATCTAAAGGGATGCTCACCTATATGGGCACCATCCTATTAAGACGTGGTAATATGTTTCCAAACCAAAAAAAGTCGGTAAGTGTTAAAATGGACTCCTGCTTTATAAATGATCTGTTAAATGTACTTGTAAAATTAAAAAAATTTCCAAAATGTCAAAAGAGATATGATTATTGTATCTCATTATTCCAAGTAATTCTGTTAAAAAGATACTAAATGAAGTCCAATTTTATCTTGTAAAGTTTTAGTGTAAAAACTAATGTACTGAAATTCAGTAAAGTTTAACTTTCATCTAAATGTAACGAAACAACTATTCATTTTGGTGAGTTTTCACAAGCTGTACTCCTGACCTGAAGAATCACTTTTTTTATGCCGAGGAGATGGAGTAGTCTTTGTAGGAGATGGGGACGCAGTACCAGGTGAGTCAGTTCCTCCATCGGAAGTACTTGGTGATGACGCCAGATAGGGAACTTTCTTTCTTCCAAGGAATCCTCCCCCTTCAAATCCTCCTTTCTTCCTAAACTCTATTTTATTTTCATTTTCATCTTCTGATGACCTTTTCTTGGATTCTGAAAAACCTTCAGCTATTTTATGCACTTCCAATCCACTATCCAATTCTCTCAAACTTTTTATTTCTACTCCAGGAGACTTTCTCTCAGATATATTACATTCCCCTGTTGCCCCTTTCACTTCAGCTTGTATTGGACCCAAGTTACCATTTTCAGGGACAGCTCTTTCTACATTTCTGTTCAAATTAATAGTCTGGAAGTCCCTATAACTGTGAAAGCTCTCAGTCCTTCTTGCCCTTGCTAATAAAGGACTTTCTCTGTAAGGCCTCATGGAACCGTAAGTAGCTGCTTCATGGGTGGTATCATGGTGCTGAAGCTGAAGGCTGAAATACAGTTTTTAAAAATGACAGTTCAGATTTCACTCTGTGATTTCTCAGGAACATATTAATTATACAACCAATAAAACACACTATATAAATACATAAAGTGTATTATATCCATATTTCTCTTTGTAAAAATATACTTATCAAGTACTCTTTATTATATAGATGGTATATAAAATTACCAATGCAAATAATACCATCATATATTCACAGACATGCTGAATTTTTGAACAGCTAAAAAAAAGATGGGAGGAAAAATCCTTGAAACCAATGTGAAACCATCATAATTCAGTATTTAGCCCTTGGTTCTTCAGACTTTGGAATTTATCAATATGATAACTAAAAAGACATTATGGAACTTTGTATTAAAATTACATAATGCTTAAATGTAAGACTAGACAACATAATAGAACCACAGATAAATATTGTCCCTGAGACAGGACAATAATTAAAGCTTCACATACTAACCAAGGTGACATGTAATTTTCCTAATTTCCTTTGAATAAATTCTTGATCACATAATAGGCTTCCAATTGGGCAGCAATTCACAAAATAAGTTAAAAGGTAAAAATGTTTTTCTATGAAAAGAACCAGATATGCCTATCAAGAAATTTGGTAAAACTGTTAAAAAGTTAACATAATGTCTGAATTTAAAATGTACCTTGAGAAGTATGGCTTTCTAGAACAACTATGTGATTACAATATTTCAGTCAATTTCCCCAAAAGAAATAAATTTTGTTTATAATACCCAACTCTTTAACCTACCTAGAATTTGATTCTCGTAAGTGGCTATGCTGAACTACGGAAGTTGCTGGACTGATGTTAGGAGTAGCACAGCGAGATGTGCTCAAATCACATTGATCGAGTAATTTGAGTAGCTCTTCTTCGGTTGGACCACCTACATCTTAGGAGAACAAATAGTCATTAAAATCACTTAAGTGAAAAGCTTAACCTTGTGACAAACATCTTTCTGTATGAGAACCTACCCTTATCTTCACTTTTGTTAACCATATCCATAGCAGTGGTCAGATCCCACATTTGAATACTGCCATTTGTATGGCCTGTGAACAAGTAGCGCCTTGGTCTTGAGCCCATCCTACTGGATCCCTCACATTCCCTCACTGTAAATGAGGATATTGTAGTACAGTCAACAGCCTGGATCTCACATATTCTGCAAAAGAAAAGCAGAAAGAGCCCTGATGGGAATGAGCAATTATTTAAAAAGAAGCTATGAAACTAAAAAGACAGAAAGAAAGAAAGCAAACATGTTATACTAGAAAAGACTTTTAAAAAATCATTTAAAATTTATGTGTAAATCTTTAAAATCTGAAACCAGAAAAAATATACAGCTCTATGGAGATGGCCCATATTGTATCCATCATTAGGATAATACTCAACTTCAAAAAAAGATTTTTATGACTTTTTAGTTGATTTTCATAAAAGATAAAAGAACCTGAGAGAGAACAATTTTTATCCACATTGACGGATCAGGAAACAATGGGATAACATCAGCAAATGATTGTTCCAAAGTCACGTAAGGGCTAACTGAATTGTACTTGACTGAATTAGTTATCCCAGCCTACTTCAAAAGAGTTGAGGGAGTTTATTAAAAAAGAAAAATCAGTATAGGCAAACGCAAGGTCAAAAAAATAGACAAAAAAAAATACAATCCACATGAATTTGAGAAGCATACAGGAATAGAATATGAAGCTTAGATGAGCTTCCTAGTAGGCCGGACAAAAAGGAGGGAAAAAGATAATTCCTACATGCCCACATGTAGTGATAAAGACTATCCTAGTCTCATTCTTGAGCTCAAGGTTTGTGAATACAGGAATAAACAAACCAAAGTATTTTTCCTGTACTCTCATGCAACAATCAACTCTAAGGAAAGTGAAAGTTTACCTCCAAATGCCCTTTTAGTTATGTGGGCTCTTGGCTGGATCTAGAAACCAAACTGACACCACACAGACTGACAAGAGAGAAGCATATACATTTTATTAGTTTTACATGTACATGGGAATCTTCACAAGAGAGTGAGGTCCAAAGAAGTGGCCACAGCAAGATGCTTTTATACAATTCAGACAAAGAATGATAAACTGTAGAACAAATGACAGGATAAAGAAAATCTGACTAGAGGCAGTAAATTTCTAAGGGAGTCACTAGAAGATATACATATATATTATATATATTTAATATATATTACGTATATACTAAATATATGTAATATATATTTAATATATATTAAATATGTATTATATATATACATTATATATATATATAGTGGGACAATGTAAAACTAGTGGAAGGTAAGCATATTCACTCAGGTCCACTGCAGCCCCCAGTTCCCACTCTCCTGTCCTGGTACAGGGAGGATAAAACTCCGAGAAAATCTTTTGGCTTGCTGCATGTAGGAAGAGAGAGGTCAGCTATCCCCTTCTGAAATGACAATTTCTCTAATGTTTTCACCTCAAAATAATCAATATACCAATTTGGCCTATTTTGGGGCAGAATGTCCTTCACTCCTTGGCAAAAAAAAGGGTTCTGTGACCAAATGGGGTGGAGGGGTTCACCAAACACCAAGCAAGCAGTCGATTCTGCAGCAGACACCAGCTAAGTGTCCTCTAACTCAATTTAATTCTGACACTATCTGTCATATCACACGGGTAGAAGACTCGGTCTCACAAAGCTGAGCCCCACTTCAGAGGCTGATCACAAGCCTCAGGTTATTTTGCCTGTGCTTCTAACTGACTGACTGTAAATCAGGGTTCCCACAGCCTCCTCCTTAGGTTCAACTAATTTGCTAGAGTGGCTCACAGAATTCAAAGGAAAGCTCGCATTTACGAGTTAATTACAAAGAATACAGATGAACAATAGATTCCCAGGGTAAGGTGTGTGGGAAGGAGCATAGAGCTTCCATGCCCTCCCTGGGCACGCCACCCTTCAGAACCTCCAGGTTTTCAGCTATCTGGAAGCGCTCTGAACTCAGTTTATTATTATTATTTTATAATGGCTCCATTATATAGGCATGATTGATTAAATCATTGGCCATTGATCAACTTAGCCTTCGGCTCCTCTCCCCTTCTCAAAGGTTGCTGGGTGGGGCTGAAAGTGCCAACCTTCTACTCCCATCTTGGTCTTTCTGGTGACCTGCCATCAGTCAACTCATTGGCATACAAAAAGACACTTATCATTTGGAAGACTTTAAGAATTTTTGAAGGAATATACCAGGAAACAGAGACAAAGACCAAATATGTATTTCACAATATCACACAAAGGAAATTATTATTTTTTTTCATTAGACGGAGTTTTGCTCTTGTTGCCCAGGCTGGAGTGCAATGGCGTGATCTCGGCTCACTGCAACCTCTGCCTCCTGGGTTCAAGCGATTCTCCTGCCTCAGCCTCCTGAGTAGCTGGGATTACAGGCGTGTGCCACCAGGCCTGGCTAATTTTGTATTTTTAGTAGAGATGGGGTTTCTCCATGTTGGTCAGGCTGATCTTGAACTCCCGACCTCAGGTGATCCGCCCACCTCAGCCTCCCAAAGTGCTGGGATTACAGGTGTGAGCCACCGCACCCGGCCTGGAAGTTTTTAATATTTCGCCAATATAAAGTTTGAAAGAATTATTTTCATGGGCATTATCAGATTTTAAAATTTCCCTTTTTTTAGTTGCTAGGGTTTTTTTAAATCATAAATAGGTGACAAATTATCAGATTTTATTCCTGTATTTATCAAGATGATCATAATTTAGTGAATTACATTTATTTTTAAATAATATCTGTAAATTGATTTAAAATGTTCAACAACTCCCTCCTCAGAGTCCTGTTTATGTTTCAAATAAAACAAATCAACATTTGTATGCATATGAAAACTTGGGTCTCAGAAAATACCCTCAGAAGCAAAGTTTCTCTCTGACCTGCAAGGCAAGCCATAGAGACAATCTTCTTTTTCCCCAAGGTGGCTCACAGAAACCAGAACGCTCTTTCCCCAAAGCTAGCCATGAAGCATAAAAATATTACCCTAACATGTCCCTATCTTTCTGTGAACAGCTAGCCATAAAGAAATTAAGGCCCTCACTACAGAGGGGTTCTGCCCCATCCCTGGGAGAAAGGAATGCCACACAGAGACAGTCTCCACTGGAGTTCCCTACTCAGTCTATTTCTGTTAACTTACAACTTTTTGTCCAGTCACAGTTCTACATGGCTGTCCCTGCTTCTTCTAACCTAAGCATAAAAATGGACACTTTTCCTTGTGTCTTTGGGTCTTCATTCTGAAGGCTCTCGTGTCATATAAAAGTATAATAAAATCAATTTGTAATGTTTTCTCTTGCTAGCCTATCTTTTGTTAAAGGGGTATCTGCTGTGACCCTTCTGCTTCCACAAAACAAACATAATTTTGAACTTTTTTCCCCCTATGCAGATTTCTTTTTTTTTTTTTTCTTGAGACGGAGGCCTGCTCTGTCGCCCAGGCTGGAGTGCAGTGGCGCGATCTCAGCTCACTGCAAGCTCCATCTCCCGGGTTCATGCCATTCTCCTGCCTCAGCCTCCCAAGTAGCTGGGACTACAGGCACCCGCCACCACGCCTGGCTAATTTTTGGTATTTTTAGTAGAGACAGGGTTTCACCGTGTTAGCCAGGATGGTCTCAATCTCCTGACCTTGTGATCTGCCCGCCTCGGCCTCCCAAAGTGCTGGGACTACAGCCGTGAGCCACCACGCCCGGCCGGGATAGATTTCTTAAAACTACTCCTTTATTTAAAATTTTCTACAAGGTTTTTTCTTGCTTCCTTTAAATAAAACCCTTTCATTTCACTTCTCACTATTAAGAGCCTGAACTGTCCTTAAACAAAATCTTTGGTTCACTATAGCTTTATAAAGGGCTAATTTTCTATTCAATTCTACAGAGTAATTTCTGCATGTTATTTTTGTAACTATAGCTTTTCCTTTGGAATCATAAACTTAAAAATTATAAAATTTGTTTTATTATGCAGAAATTGCACAGTGTTACTGTTAGAAATAACAGAAAGGGGGATATCAGAAATAACAGAAGAGGGGATATTAGAATTGAATAAGTAAATATGATATACTACATTGTTAGAGAATGTTATGATACCAGTTTTAATAACATTTGGCAGTTTCTTCACTATGCAGAGAACACTACATCACAGTCATTTATGCAATTTGATAATGAACTTTGATGTAAAAAATTCATCTCAAAGAATTTATTCATCAAAATATTAACAGATATGTTGAAAATGCAGCCATAAAATTTTAAAATGAACAGGATTAGTAACATTAAAATGAAAATAAAATGATTCTATACCTAGAAAACCCCACAGTCTCTGCCAAAGGCTCCTACATCTAATAAACAACTTCAGCAAAGTTTTAAAAAACAAAATCAATGTACAAAAATCAGTAGCATTTCTATACACCAATTAACATTAAAACTGAGAGCCAAATCAAGAATGCAATCCCATTCACAAAAGCCACAAAAAGAATAAAATACCTAGAAATACAGCAAACCACAGAGGTGAAAGATCTTTAAGACAAGAATTACAAAAACACTGCTCGAAGAAAGCAGACAACACAAACAAGTGGAACAACATTCCATGACCATGGATAGAAAGAATTAATATTGTTAAAATGGCCATGCTACACAAAGTAATTACATCAATGCTATTCTTATCAAACTACCAATGACATTTTTCACAGAATTAGAAAAAACTATTTCTAGGCCGGATGCAGTGGCTCACGCCTGTAATCCCAGCACTTTGGGAGGCGGAGGTGAGCGGATCATGAGGTCAGGAGATCGAGACCATCCTGGCTAACACAGTGAAACCCCGTCTCTACTAAAGATGCAAAAAATTAGCCAGGCGTGGTGGCATGCATTTGTAATCCCAGCTACTCAGGAACTGACGCAGGAGAATAGTGTGAACCCGGGAGGCAGAGCTTGCAGTAAGCTGATATTACACCACTGCACTCCAGCCTGGGTGACAGAGTGAGACTCTGTCTCTTAAAAAAAAAAAAAAAAAAAAAAAAAAAAAACTATTCTAAAGTTCCTATGAAACCAAAAAAGAGCCCAAATAAAATAGACAAAGCAATCCTAAGCAAATGAACAAAGCCAGAGACGTCACACTACCCAACTTTAAACTATTCTACAAGGCTACAATAACCAAAACAGCATGGTACCGGTACAAAAACAAACACATAGACCAAAGCAACAGGATGCAGAACCCAGAAAACAAAGCCATATACTTAAAACCACCTGATCTTCAACAAAGCTGATAATAAACAATGGGGAAAAGACTCCCTATTCAATAAATGGTGCTGGGATTACTGGCTAGCCATTTGCAGAAGATTCAAACTCAACCCCTTCCTCTTACTACATACAAAAATCAACAGAAGATGCAGTAAAGACTTAAATGTAAAACCTAAAACTGTAAAAACCCTAGAAGGAAACCTAGGAAATATCAACCTGGACATCAGCCCTGGCAAAGATCTCATGACAAAGACTCCAAAAGCAACTGCAACAAAAACAAAAATTGACAAGTGGGACCTTATTAAAGTAAAGAGCACTTGCACCACAAAAGAAACTATCAACAGAGTAAACAGACAACCTACAGGATAGGAGAAAATATCTGCAAACTAAGCATCTGACAAAGGTCTAATATCCAGCATCTATAAGGAACTCAAATCAACAAGTAAAACATGACTCCATTAGAAAGTGGGCAAACGACACGAACAGACACATGTCTGGAGGTTGCAGTGAGCTGAGATCACACCACAGCACTCTAGCCTGGCAAAAGAGCAAGACTCCGTCTCATTCATAAATAAATAAAATGAAAACAATAACCTTCCTAATGGACTATTAACAGGAAAGTTACTTTTTTCATTTGTTTGACATGCAAAAAACTTTTTCCCTGTAACTTTTAAGTTCTGGGGTACATGTGCGGGATGTGCAGGTCTGTTACACATGTGCCATAGTGGTTTGCTGCATAGATCAACCCATCACCTAGGTATTAAACCCAGCATCCATTAGCTATTCTTCCTGATGCTCTCTCTCTCCCCGGCCCCGCTCACCCCCAACAGGCTCCTTGTTGTGTGTTGTTCCCTTCCATGTGTCCATGTGTTCTCATCGTCAAAAAAATTTGTTTAATGCAGAGGAATGTTGAAGCAAAATCTGAGGTTATAAATAATAATTTTAAAAGAAGTAAAATTTCAGTCAATAGAAAAGGAAGAGGAAATTAACTTCTACTGTACATCTATTATGGTTAGGTACTATGAGAGATATTTCATTTTTGAAATTTATTTTATCCTATGAAATCCTGCCAAAGTCGTTGAACCTTATTTTATAAAGAAACTGGGATAAGGGAAATAAAATAACTTGAGTTGTATTTACATAGCTAGTAACAGGAAGTGCCAGAATTAGTTCAGCCGTCTGCCAGCAAATTCACTATGTTCTTTAAGTTTGAATAGAAATCATTTCTGAAGACAAAAGCAGAGGAATACTGCCAGTGCCATATAATGGAAGCATAAGTGCAGCATTCACAAACAAATACTGAGGAGACTGCATAAAGACAGGAATCCTACTCTCACGGAGACAGACAATTTCTCTCCATGTTAAAGTAGATGGAAATAGGTCTAAAATAGAAAAAAAAAATGTGTGCTATGTTGTAAGCTGTGCCAAGATTATGCAAATTAGTGTTATTAATATCATTTTTATTTTAAAAGGGGATACTGAATCAGGAAATCTGTAATGTTTTATTTGAGAAACATCAATAATGTATACAGATTTATATGGGATGGAAAATATTTAAGTTCCAGGTTTTTTAAAGATAGAAACTGTTTATAATAACAAAATTAATAAGTATTTATGTTTGGCCATGAAAAAAAGTTCACTGTGTTCTTATTCTATCACTAGTCCCTCCTAACTGTCCACAGCATCAGTGAAACTCTTAAATCCCAGAAAGTAAGCATAAAGTCTACTGTCTTAATTTTGAGTTATGATTATGAGATAACAGACTTCTGTCCCAACAATTTGTTTCTAGTAGCACTCTTTGGTCAATATGTCAAATTATGCCATATGTTTTGTAAGACAAAAGGTGGCTTCTGAATACAAATATTTTTACAATAAAGTGTTACCTTTTTCCAGTCGATGAGAGTCTTACAAATAGTTTGTTGGTGATGGGAACAACTTTCTGGATAAACACCTGTTGATCGTCTCGCTCTCCAAAAGGTCCTTGATCAGAAAACAAAAATGTCAAAAAATTAATTAAAATTTTATTTTTTCTCATTTTACAAAAGGAACATTAATATTAATATAAGAAAAGAATTTCTTATACGTACCAATATGGTATCACATTTCAGCTCAACATCAGACATGCAATAAATGTATACAAGTACTTCAATTTGCATTAGAACATTTTTAAAGAAATACACAATTATTTCTAAATTATATTTTATATATAACTAAGGCTGTAAAAGCTAAAAGAAAAAATTTCCTAAGGTGCCACATTAACAGTACTAGCAGGAGACCTGTTAAGATATTTACTATCTTTGGGGATGTGCTTAGATTCTTATAACTTAAAAGAGACGTATACATTAAGTCATTTCATGTAGTGATTTTACTTTTTAGAAGACAACACACAAAATCTTAAAATATAAAGTGAAACTTCATCAGATGGAATGTAATTAGTTGAAGCTTCTGTTAACCACATTTCTTCTTTTTAAAGATGCAAATTAAAAAAACACACACACAATTTTATATAAGGTAATTGGTAAACCAAGAGAAAAACACAGTATGAAGATTAAAGTACAGTATAAAATGTACTACTGAGTTGCACCCTGAAGCTTTTCAATCTAAAAGGAAAGATTCAATTATTTTCACTTTATTGTATTTGGCAAGACAGATAAATAGCCCATTATATTTTAGAAAGATCCTGAACAACAATGTAAAGAAAAAAAGTTTTTGTTTAAAACTTAAACATAAAATTTTAATAATTCTCTTTTCCCATTACACTTAGTAGCTAAAATAATATCAACTTACAATTCATAAAAAGTATTGTAAAAAGATTTACAATAAAAATTTTAAAGACAATATATCCCGTTATGTTACATGAATCATACATGTACTTATTAAATGAACCAATGTCATCTTTATTATTAGCTAATACTTACACTGTACTTACTATGTGCCACCGTAAATGCTTTCCAAATATATACTCATTTTAATCACCATAATAACCACATAAGGGAGGTACTATTATTTACCATCTCCATTTTACAGATGAAAAAAATAAGGCACCAAGAGATTAGTTAACCAAAGTTCTCATAGGTCCTATATGATGGAAGTGGAATTCAAACAAACCTGTCTGGCTCTTCAGTATATTATGCAGTTGCTCAATTACTGGAACCTTCTGATCTCTAATTTTATTAAAATGAAATGACAATCCTCATTCAATAACTCATAAACAAAGTCAAAATATTGACAATGAATAACTCAGAATAAAATAACTAGGAATGAGAAGACTATAGAACTGTATCTTCTCTCCCTTTGAACTTCATGTTGACATGAGACTGACCCATAACCTATTCTTCATACCTTCTTTGCCCTCGCTTCCCCCACCTCCCATTTATAGTTTCCCTTCCCAAACTGGCTCCTTTCCTTGGAATACAAAATATTCCTAGGTCTTTCTTAACTTTAATGAGGGAGAAAGTTGGAGGAATAAAAAAAAATGACCTTTGATCGCTTCTTGGCCTTTTGGCTAAGATCATGTGTAAAAATATGACCTTTGAACTTCCCTGCCTTCCAACTAGCTCCATTACTTCTTTATTTCATGGTCACCTCCAATATCTATTACCCCATTACCCATTACAATGTAGATTTCACCTTTACCACTCTACTGAATCTGGACTCTACTCTGTTCCACTAATCTGTATGTCCATTTGTCTATGAAGATATATATATTTTAAATACCACTATAAAGAGGAATGAAAAGCCTCCCTGTCCCCTTTATCTTACTGGGTTTTATAATTAATTTACAGGGCTGTTTATAAATATCTTTTTATTCACAATACACATGCTCTCCCTGAACAATACATCTACTCCTGGGGCTTTCAGGTGCTTCTTATATGCTGAATACTCATAAACATAACTTCTAGTTAAGTTCTTTCTCCAGAAACCAGGTATATCTTCATACCACAGAACCAGGTATATCTTCATACCACAGAATAGTATCCATATGCATCATCACTCAAAATATACAAGTCTGAATTCATCTTTGTTTTCAAAATAAGTTCTTCTTCCTATATTTCTTTATTTAGTAAATAATACTCAGCTACTCCATTTCTCAAGAATCCTTAGGGTCACTTTAGACTCCTTCCTCTCTCATGCCTGCCACATCTAGTCAATGACCACCATGCACTTTGGTTAATAAATTCCTCCTTTCTGGTTTCCTTGCTTCACTCTCTCATGTCTTCACTGTCAAGTCTTCTTGCATGCTCTTGAAAGATGAATTATATATATCACAAATCTAGTATCATTCTCAAAATTCTTCAAAAGGTCTCCATTACTTACAAGATAAAATCTAAATTTCTTAGTTTGATGTATAGATGCCTTCCACGATCCGGCACTGGCCTATTCACTCAGTATGTCTTACTATTCTTACCCACATATCCTATAATCCAACAATTAATGACCTTCTTGACATTTTCTAAACTTGTCAAGTTCCCTTGGCCTCTACCCTTTTAACTTGCTGTTTTCTCTGCCAGGAATGTTCCAACCTTAGAACCTTCCACACCCAACAAATGTCTATCCTTCATGTATCAGTTCAAACATTAAAACCTCTGTGTGTTCTCTGTCTGAATGTCAGCTTCTGTCAACATTAAGTGGGGTATCTACCTCCTAAATTGTCAAGATTAAACGAGAGCATATATTACAACCTCTAACATAGATCCTGGCACTATCTCCTCCGGGTTCTTTTTGACCTATGCCTTTAAGCAAAGTTGCAAAATGCAACTGTTTTATTTTAATTCCCACTGCTCACTACATTGTAAGTTGATGTTCACCGCACTTTTTAAAATTTCTAATATCTAGAACACAAGTACTCGATAAATATTTGTTGAATAAATAACAATATAAACTTCCAGTGCCTAGAATCATGCAGAGAACTGGGATTATATAACAACTGTTAAAACTGGTAACACTGCATATTTCTCTTTCTAAAAATAGTAAGGCTGTGGTAGTAGAATTCTCTTAAGTAGCTTATAAGGACAGTGAGATTCTTTCAAATGGGGCCGGGGGTGGAATGATCTATCTCTATGAAGACTGTATATGTGTATGCACACATGTGTGGATGTGTGAGTGCCCATGTGCACACGTATGTATGGTGTATAGAGAGAAAACCTAAACTAAACTTATACACCTTTTGCTGAAATCAGAGAATATCAAAGGAGACATACTACATTGTTTCCTAATGAATATTACGATGTCATCAAAATGACTCTCATTTATAGGGACCAACGTTTTTCTAGCTTCAAATTTTATTTTCAGTAGATTAACAAAAAAAATTTCAAATGTCAAATGTACACAGTTATCATAGTTTTAATAATAAATAAAAGTAGTTAACATGTGAAGATGACATTCTTTAAATGATGAAACATTAATAAGAGGAAAAATTTGCTCTAACATTTTAAGGAAAAACGCTGCAATAAAATAATTTTGTGAATTTATAGAATTTAATCAGAAAAACACACTAAAATTCTGTTTAGAATTTCAAAATTAAAATGGAAAATTTGTATTTAAAACTCATTTTTGTGGTTTTATTAGTTGATATGCTTCTTCTGAACAGTTAATATAGTACCTAAAAATGCCCTAAAATAACCTAACCCACCTATGTCATTTCCAGAGGAATAGCTACCATGACTTTCTGTCTCCTCCAGGGATAGTATCTTGAATGACGCTAAAGGAGTAGAACCTGGCTGAGTAGAGATCATTCCTCTGAATCGTGTTACTGTCCACGTCCGGACATGATTATTATCTGCACAGACTAGCAGAGAAAGAGAACACAAAAGAATACAAAATTACTTTTAAAAACTCATTTTAACTTTTTTCACTATCATCTATATTACACAGATCAGAGTATAAGTGGCAAATGACATATTTATCTTAAAACTATACTTGATTTGTGACTACTTAACAAAAGTGAGAAAACTGGATGTTTTACCTTGCTGCAAAATATAAGGTACATTAAGTAAACCTACAGATCCTCATAAAAATAGCTTGTAGGTTATAAATGTAGTAAAGGTTAAAAATAATGTGTGTGTAAGAAAAAAGATGCTGAATATTATCCTGTTCTGTGGCCAAACTACATAGTAAACAGTTTCCTAGTTTATTTTTCCTAACTATAGAAACTGTTTCTGCTTATGCTACTCAACTATTAACCTAGATCAGAACTTACCGAAAAATTATTGGCACAAATGACATTTGTCAAACATCTTGAGCAATCAGCTATTTATTGCCAACTCATAGTTACATTAAGGAAAATTAAGATTCTGTACTAAAGCTGAGCATTATTTTTATATAAAGTCTGTATTTAAAAAACATACTCCAATTAGTTTTATTTATTTTGTGAATAGAATATTAACTGAGCATATACTGAAATGTCTCCTCGTCTAGCTGTACTTTTTTTTGTCTGAGTAGATACTCTATTTGAAAATATACACCATAAAGTGTATCACTAATGCAAAAACTACTTTTTTTGGCATGCTTTAATAAAAAATATACTGATTTTGCCATTTATGATTTTAGAAAATATGTTATTATTAGCAATGAACTATGAACTCATCAGTAAATATTAGGAAAGTATCTAAAATTTCTTATATACACACATACATAATATTTACTACTGGGTAAAAATGTGTTACATATTCTACAGTTACACATATTTTAAACAAAACTTTAGAAAGAAATTTAATTTTGGCAAACAGCAATAAGTAACATCTGTGTACTTTCTATTCTTATATAACAAAATTCTCAATTATTAGACTGTCAGTTTTCTGGTGAAAAGGGGACATTTTGTTCTAGGCTATTTAGTTTCACGGGAAATCATTTCCTGATTTCACTACTAAGCTTACTAGGATTCAGAAAAATAATTTAAATATTTTTAGTTGATTCAATTGGACAATTACGTCAATTTTGCTAATATTAGTCATTATCCAAAGTTTTTCTTTAAGGGATTAAAATGCACTATAGGGAAAACAATGTCATTACATATGTGTTAATATCCACCAGGTGGCAGAATAACATAACTGAGTATACACAAAATACTCCAGATTTTTTGTTAAAAAGGATATTTCTCTTGACAAACTTACAAAAGTTTCAAACCTACATGAAATATCTGATGTTAAAATGCAAGTTTTACAAAGTAGTTCCTTGGTATCACATCCCACAATAACATTATAACCACCAAAATAATAGCAATTATTACAGAGTATCTCTATACATTATCATCTAAACATCACAATAACCCTTCAAAACGGCCCATTTTCTCAGAGAACTGAATTGCCTTATTTCATAACATTTATTCAGCATCTTTTACGTGTCAGAATTATGCTAAGTGCTGAGAACACAACAAAGTTTCTGCTATTGGAGAATTTTCTAGAAGAGATAGAGATAATAAACAAGCAAATAAATGAATAAGTGATAAAGCTATGAAGAACACAAAGCAAGGTACCGTTAGAGAAAGTTATTGTTGGACAGAGGTTTGGCTAATTTAATTTAAAGCAGGTGGCCAAGGGGCACTCATTGAGAAGGGCTTTGAAACGGCACCAGAATGACAAGAATGCAGTCAAACAAATACCTATGGGCAAACCATTTCAAATAAAAAGAACAAACACAAAAGTTCGAAGGCATTTTTAAGAAATAGAAAAGCCAACAGGTTAGAGTGTTATCAGCAATGAGAAAAGTGACATGGGATTGGGAAGAAATTTTAAAGGTAGGTAGAATCTAGAACAAGAAAAGCCATACAGGCTATGGTAGAAATTTAAATTTATTCTAAATACAATTAGAAGCCATCAGGAATCAAACTTCGTTTGTGTTTCTAAAAGATGCTTCTGGCTGCTGTGTGGAACATGTACCATAGAGAGGGAAAAGTTGAGAAGTTACTACAGTCATCTAGGGGAGAAAGGATGATGACGTGAGACACTAGACTGACAGCAATGAAAAGTGACTGGATTTGTGACATAATGTGGCAGCAAAACCAACAGGACTTACTGATGAATTGTACTATGTGGGAGGTGAAAGAAAGGGAGAAATCAAGGGTGATTCCTAGATTTTCAGCTTGAGTAGATAAGTAGATGGTGATACTGTATACTAAGATGGCTTTTGAGGGAGAAATCATTAAGTTTTATTTTGTCCAACTTAAATTTGAGATGCCTATTAAACATACAACCAGAGATCCAGACACTGGATATACAGGGTTTGGAACTCTTTGGATGGTCACAGGTGGAGGAAAGTTTGGGAACCACTGACATATAATTACTATTCAAATAACTAGGAAAGTGCAGATAAAGAATACAGAGTCCAGGAAAGAGCTCAAGGGCAATCCAACACTCAGCAACTGGGCAAAAGATGAGGAACCAGCAAGAGTTAGAAACTCCTCAGTGGGGCAGGGGAGTAATGTTTTATGAAAACCTAACAGAGACTGTTTTAGCAAGGCATACTTATACCACAAACAATTACACATTCAATAAAAGCATAATCATTCAGCTATGGACTGAATTTCAGCTCCACATGGTGTTTAATTAGATTGAGAAACTTTCACTACATCTTTCACAAAAGATGCATTATCTTCTAGCCAGCCTTCACAAAAACAAATCTGACACATGAAAACCATGTTTGTAAAAATTTTAAGTTGGGCAAGAACTGCTCTACAAAAGGAGTTAATGTAAGACTCCTCTAGAAAGCAAGCTTTACTGACACACCCAACTCACAATGCAATTTTCACAAAGCCTTTTAGAAATCATCTTCCATACACAATGAATTTCTTCAATAGAATTTTACTTTGTAATCAGAAAGTACTATTCGTTAAACTTGAAAATTAGTATTTAATTTTTTATGTATCCAATTAATATTTAATTAAAAATTTTATATTATGAAGAACTACAAACCCAAGAAAAGCTTATTTTCTTCAAATAATCTCTACAATTGTAATTTTTATTATTTTTGAGATGACAAAATATCAAAATACACATTTAAATCTACAGTTTTAGCATTAAACCATAATATAATCAACCCAATTTATATTAAAAGTAAAACTTGAAAAATTTAATAAAAATTCCTCTTAGCAGGGTCATAATAAATATTTTGCAATAAGATATGCCAAGAGAGCAAAAAAAAAAAAAAAAATCACATCTCCTAAATTTAAGTATATTAAAACCAGGTAAAATAAAAAACATCTTTTTTTTGTTTTCCTCTTTTTTGGTAGAGGTGGGGTTTCACCATGTTGCCCAGGCTAGTCTTCAACTCCTGGGCTAAACCAATCCACCTGCCTTGGCCTCCTAAACTGCTAGGATTTATAGGCATGAGCCACCACGACCAGCTCAAAGAAATCTTTAAAAGACAATCATAATTTCTTCAGTCATTAAACTTTTCTAGTACTTCTTTTAGTATATTTTTCTCACATAAACACTGCGTTTTCATTCTTTTAATGAAAATAACACACAGAGCCAAGTTCCTTACCAGTATAATGAAATCATTTTACCTGATACAAGATGCTTCTCTGATAGCATGATTTTTGTTACGGGACTTCGGTGAACTGTGAAAGTCTGAAAAAGCTGAGGACCTGACCCAACTGTCTCTGGGTGTTGTACAATCACTCGTACTGCTCCAGAGCTCGTACCATAGGCGATCTCGATCCAGTTACCACTGACACCTATATAAAGTCAAGAGTTGACAGGTGATACATTATGGAACGATAATAAAAAAGCTACCCTCGCAAAGCTTCCCTATGATAAAATAGGCAGAGCTGGATTCACTGTTTATATCAGCCCCAAATCCAGTTCAGTAAAAAAAAAAATCTTAAGACTTCTCCGGTCATCTTAAAATCATTATTTCCTTGATAAATCTTTTCCTAACCCTCACTCCAAGACGTAACTATTCACCTCCTGCCTTGCACTATTAGGTTCTATCACAGTAATTATAACACACTAATTCTGTACTTATTTCTATGTCTAGCTACTTCTATTCCTTATTGACAAAGACTGAATCATAATCATCTTTTTATCTGTCACCTCACAGAGTGCCTGAGACACCGCAGGTACTCAACATAGTTTAAAGAATTCATAAATCTGCCATGCCAAGAACACTACTGAAACAGCATAGTATTCCAAAAGCAATATTCCTTATTATGTCTAGCCTAGAATTACCATCTGCTTTACTTAAACTACAATACTAAATCATTCTCAAATAATCAAGCATTAAATATACTATTTAAGTTTCAAAACACTGTGCTAGGGAATAAACATACCCATTACATTGCTTACATCATACTTAAAATATGTTGTTTCTTCTAATCATCTAAGGTTCAGCTGTGTCTTTTGTTTTCTTTTTTTCAAAAAGTGCCCAGACCCCATTGCAAATTTAGATAGGAAAAAATTCAGTGACCTATACTCTTAAAAGCTTCATGGATAGAGAACATCTTAGCTTTACTGGCTGTTCTAGTTTTACTAACTGATTCATCTGAAAATACTTGAATCAAAGGAAAAAAAGCATGTCATGAAAAACACCTCCTAGAACCAGAAAGATGACTCCATTTTTCATGCCTTAAAATCCCCCTGCCACTACAAAAGAAGTGCTTTGATTTGTAAAACTTTCCCAGTTTTATGCCTGCCTTTTAACTAGATTTAAAAAAAAAATCCACAGCTCATTCTAGAGCAGGGGTTGGTACACTTTCCGTAAGGGGCCAAGTAGTAAACATTTTAAACTCTGCATGCCACACTGTCTCTGTCACAACCTCTCAATTCTGTCATTGTGGCATAAAAACATCCAAAGACAGTGGTATCAAAAAGAGCCAGCTTGGCTAGAAATCCGTGGTTTACTAAACCCTATTTCTAGAGCAATACAATTTAAGTCCTACTATGGTTTCAGTCAAATTCATAGGTATACTCTTGAATATTTCTTTCATACTAAAAATTATGGTTTCTTTTAATAACTTAAATGAAATGATGACTTATATAAGTAGCACATCCAAACCTATTAGTATTACTGAATACAAATTGTTTCTTAGAACTCCTTTCATTACAGATAAATTTTAAATTTCCCATTTGTGCTTATCTTTTACTCCAGAATACAAAAATTCTTACTACTTTACAGAACTAGTCTGTTACTTTTATTGCAATGGCCTCTAAAATGCACTGAAAGTTATAAAATGCCTTTTTTCTACAGCTTAAATTTTTAAATTCCCAAGAAAATAAGCTTAGTTTCCAGCAGTAGTCTAAGAACTTTTTATTTTTTAAAAAGCTCCTAATTTTTAAGTGAAAAATTAGTTATTTTAATAGGAAGACAAATGTGCAGAATTTTTTTTTTTTTTGAAATTTCAGCTAACATTATAATAATATGGCTCAACAAATGCAATTCAGCGTAAGGGGAGTTCCAATTTTCCACCTCAAATTATGTTTGTTTACTGGTCATGTTTGACTTCAGTATAAAACTGAATACAAATTTTAGACTTAGTAGAGATGAAATCCTTAGGCACTGCAGTTCTCAAAAAGAAATAAACCAGTTTAATTTGACCTAGTCACATAATAAACTAATGAATAAAAAGATAAAAAGTCAAGAATGTATATAATTGGCCATGTACTAACTTGTTTTGGGTGTGAGGTAAACACTCAGAGCAGTAATAGCATCATTTGAAGGATCATGATACAGTTCAGTTACAAGAAGATCATTATCTTTCATTCGCAAGGGGAACTTCTGCATATCTAAAACATAAAAATTTTAAACAGCATTAAAATAAATAGCATATCTATTTAAAACTGAAAGGTAATGTTTTCTTGTTCTCATTTAAAAAATTACATTAAGCAGGAGCATTTTAAGTGACTGAACACTTACCTATGTAATATATTGATCCATTGTTACATCCAAGCAGAAGGAATGATCCAGCAGTGTCATAACTAGTTATAGGAACAACATCTTGAACCTGATGTAGTGAGAGTATTATCAGATGTTAGATAGTAATTATAATTTCTATTTTCTGGTCAATTTCCTCAAAACTTTGATTCTTCTGGTAAAGAGGCAACCAATATCCAATTTTAGTAGGGCTTAGGAAATAAACTTTCTTTAGGTGCACGCGTGCACACACATATACACAAACATGCTACAGAGGAGAACCATCAATATACTTCCTTCAAAATATTTTTTTTAAATTGTATTTCCCACAGCAGTACTTTCCTTTCTCAATTTCGATTGGTTGTCTCCTCTTTTTTTGCATGTGATCACTAGATTGCAGCCCACTAGAACTGGAAGGCCGAGTCTGACCAGGTCCCTCTCTTTTCCCTTTCTCATACAAGAGATTAAATGACCTGTCCAAAGTTACACAGTAAGCAAGTGACAGAATCAGAACTAGTAAACAAAGCAACTGATTTCCAGAAAGTACTTGCTCCCTTGATAATTTATTATTTCTCTGAAAAGGTGGTATTCTCTATTTTTCATTCTCCTTGCTAAAGGTTACTTCTTTTCTAGGAAATGGCAAGGGAAACAAAGTCTCATTTGTATTTATTTTTTTAAAGTATAGGAATAAAAAAATTAGTTTTTCCAGGAAAATCAATCTAGTTTACAAATTAATACCTTCCCATATTTGTGCTAAAAGAAACCTGCCGAGGCAGGCAGATCACCAGAGGTCAGGAATTCGAAATCAGCCTAGCTAACACGGTGAAACCCTGTCTCTACTAAATATACAAAATTAGCTGGGCGTAGTGGCGCATGCCAGTAATCCCGGCTGCTCGGGAGGCTGAGGCAGGAGAATTGCTCGAACCTGGGAGGCAGAGGTTGCGGTGAGCGGGGATTGTGCCACTGCACTCCAGCCTGGGCAACAGAGTGAGACTTGGTATCCAAAAAAAAAAAAAAATGTGTTTGCTAGGATAGTTGCAATACTATTTTACTAGAGTGATATTCTACTATTCATCAAAATGAATCTTCCCTGTTTACAGCCAGGCCAGACAAGCCTGTTAAGCTTCTTCACAGATGACATTTGAATTACTAAGACACCAAGTTTTGCATACAAGTCTAAAAGATTTCCAATAATTTAAAAGTTAAAAATGTTAAGGGACTTTTACTTTTCATATACTATACCTGGCTTTCATTTGAAAAGTTAAAATCTAAACATTATCTGCTTAACATTTAAGTACTTTTTATGTACCACATATTATCCAAGAAAACAAACAATGAACTAGAGATAAGGGATGTGAGGTATCCCCTTGCTCTCTAGGAGCTGGTAACTTGTGAGAAAGAAAAATAACAGACAATTATAGTGTGACAGGCACTAAAATAGACTACAATACAATCACAGGAGAGAGGGGAAGAACTGCCATCTCAGTGCTGGTGGGTGAAGAGCAAAGATCAAGGAAGGTTCACAGAGGAAGTGAAGCTTGAAGACTGAAGTCAACTATGAGTTAGGTAGGGCAAGGGGAAAGGGAATATCTGAAGAGCAAGTAAAAAAAGCACAGAATCTAGGTTCATTCTAATTAAAAACAGAAATAACTAAAACTTGGAAATAATCATTCCTCTAAGCTCTTCCTGTATATAATCCTAATTTCTGTACCCTCTCAATGTCATGCAGTTATGAGTTACACAAGAAATATCTCAAAGAACTCAATCATCATGCCCTATCCTGAGGTCAGGCTTTTAATTAAAGCCAATGCCAAAACATTTTATACCAGGAAAACATTGAGTACTTTTCAGTGATATCAGTAAAGATGTCTAAAGGATGGAGGGGAGACTGCTTTACACACCACTAACCAATTTTCTTACTCAAGTTAGCTAAATCATTTTAGTTCTAGCACTAAAGGAAAGGGCTTCAACTCCTGCCCCAGATTCTTCATGGCAGGAAAATGGGGACAGATAAGGCCATGAGATTCTTCTCCCTTTGGATACATTCTTTTTTTTTTTTTTTTTTCAATGAAAGAGCAGCAGGAGCCTAGCGCTTCCCAAGGCACAAAGGCAAACATTTTTACCATTTATTCTCTGGGAGGATGGGCTCTAGGATTAAAGCCTTGCTACTTCTCCTTCTGTAACCTTTAATCATGATCTGCCTTTCTTTCCATGTCTACCCCTCCATACGGGAAAACAGAGAAAGCAGAGGATAAGCAGAGTTACAGTGAGTTACAACTGCTGAGTTCTTCTCTCCCAGCACAAGCAAGGAAGCAGCCACTGTGTGGCCTCCTCTTCTTCGTCCTAACAACTTCATGGCAAGAATCCAAGAAACCATACTGATTAGTATGCATGGTTCAGTCATGTGGTCACAAATATAAAATGGAAGTGGATTTTTCTCTTATAAGGTAGCACACAGTGATTACCACTAATTTCTACATGTAAATTTAAATTTACAGTTTTAAAATACCAGTCTATCTTCCCATATAAGGCCCCTAGAATCTTT
This sequence comes from Homo sapiens, assembly GCF_000001405.40. Classification (NCBI taxonomy): domain Eukaryota; kingdom Metazoa; phylum Chordata; class Mammalia; order Primates; family Hominidae; genus Homo; species Homo sapiens. The sequence continues at coordinate 215,599,412 of NC_000001.11, read as the reverse complement.
TAACTACAATCTCTATACCTGTAAACTTATCATTATTTTTTACAGGATGTTTTAACCTTCGTCCATTACTTTTTAAATAATCACTTATCTAAATTTACCATCGTATTTACCAACATCTTTCCTAATCACTGCTTAATGCATTCCATTTCTTCCCCTTCAAATATAACGTTCTTCTCAAAAGGCATTTTTCTTTAGTAGTCCTTTCAAAAATTCTCTCTGAAAAAAAACCCTTCTCATTCAGGTTTGAATGATAGTTTTGCTGTGTATGAAAACCTAGGCTGAAAGTTACTTTCTCTACCATTTGGAGAATGCCCGTTGTCGTCTTCTGGTGTCTACTACTGGTGATGAGAAATCTGATCAAAGTCTAATGACAGGCAAACTGTCACTATTCTATGAATACTTTTTATCATAATTTATCTTTTATTATAGCACATTTAAACATTCAGGCTGCCAAGACTTGGTACATTTCTTTAATCAATAAATTCATGCCCATTTTCATTTCTCCAAAATGTTAGCAGTTGTTATCTTTTTCAATATGGCTCCTCTAGTCTGTTCCTATCTGAAATGCTTTCTCACTTTTTCCTTCTTTTTCATATTTTCTATCTCACTCTTGGCTCAACTGGAAATGATTTTCTCAGACGTGTCTGTCAATTTACTAATTTTCTTTTAGCTGCGCTTCTATTTAACCATTAAATAAAATTAAAAATTTTTTTTCAATGACCTTTTAATTTTCAGTATTTTATTTCCCTCCATTTTCTGATTTGTCCTATTCCTTCAATACAGCAGCTTTCTAATTGTTCCATTATTTCCAATTTGGGGATTGCAAATTTTTTCTTGTTTAATGACTTTTCGTTATTTGTTTCCATGTGAAGTTTATAAGTTTTGGGAGGTTATTTTAGCAGAAATTACTCTTTCTACAGGATTCTTGTGTGCTCTCTTCTGAGAAAGTGTTCTAACTGGTGTCATATCTGTATCTAGAAATGTCAATAGTCCTAGATCAGTTTCTCAAATTGGAGTTCTCATAGAACAAAGGCAAGTCTTTGTGCTTCAATTCACTCCTAATTTGAATATGTTGGTTTCAATTTCTAATGGTTTCCTCTTGCATCTCCTTTTCCCATTCCAAGACACCAAACACACATCAAACTTTCTTGTTCCAAGATTACTGGGCAAACTTTTCCCAGTCTTCTCAGGGACTGAGAAACTTAAAACTTCAGATTTTTGTAGGAGGCTCAATTTCTACTGTCCCATGAAATCATGCCTCCTACTTTTGCTAAAATCCCAGATCCCAGAGCCTTTACTTTGGTATGTGGTATGAAAGTGTGTATAAACAAACTAGTCAATTAACTTAATACTTAGTATAAACAATATACATTGTTTCAATATTTGTATCTAGTATTTCTATATATAAATTTAGAAAGTCTAAATCTAAGTAAGTATCTCATATTTCTTACTATAAATTCTGTAAGTAAGCAAACAGACCACAGTTAAGACAGCAGTCAAGACAATACTGAAAAGTCAATCCCCTCTCTCCCCAACAAAATGTGGGCCTAGGATTCCTAGGATGCCTGCCTTATTCCTATTCCTAATATGCAGAGGTCTGTAAACCTATCACACACACAGAAAAAGTGTGCTTCTAACATCAGTGCTACAGGTGCCTCACAACAGGAAAGAGAGAAGCTAAATCAAACAAGTCTCCCAAATTCTTGTCCAGCCTAGCCCATCAGACCACAGAAATTCACTTTGAATTCTTGTTCCCAGAACCAATATTTCCTCCCCAAACTCAGCCTCCACTGTGTATTTAGAGGCTAGGCTATCACTCAGATGGTACTATGGCTGAAGATCTCTTATTTCTCAGAATACACACAGAGTTATCTGATTCTTTAGGAAGTAAAGTACATAATGCCTTTCTAGAGCCAACTTCCAAAGCTGTCTACGTTGATATGAGAATGAAACATGTATAACCTATGTTTCCAATATAAATCTAAATTTAAAATATCAACTTGGGAAGCAGTGCCTAAAAATTGCTATTAGGCTATGTAACAGCCTAGGCTACCTATTTGACAATACCAATTAATTCCTTATTAATATTCTTTTGTAACGTAATTCTGTGTGTGTGGGCGAGGGGGTGGAATTAAACAAAAAAAGGAAACAAGAAACTGAAACATTTCTTTTTTTTTTTTTTTACTTTTCTTACCCAAATCAGAGTCAACGCTTTTATAACATTTTCATTAATATTTTATTGAAACTGTCCTGATGATTTTGCAAAAAACTTTTAAGATTACATACAAACCTGGTTCATTTGACTCAAATACTTAAAATCTACCTTGATTATGTAACTAAAGAACTACATGGGATCCCAGGTCTACTGCAAATGTACGATTAATCTCTGCAGTATTTGATAATATTCTTCAACGTCTTTCTCTTTACTCCTTCCTTACCCTTCTGTCACAGAGAAAGAAATGTCTCTACTCCCTGTTGGGTCAAACCTTTCTAGCTGTGCTGTAGATCCCATATACACTCTTGACTTTTATGGGACCGGAAATAATCTCCATTCTTTCAGTCTTCAGGTCCTTCTGGCAACTCTCCTCTCTAGCTACAAGTGTGCTCAAGCCTGTCCTAACCTAGAGGAAAAATAAAGCACCAATTATCTTTTTTTTCAAACCAGCCTTGATCCTTAAGCTATCACTTGGATTCTCTGCTTTCCTTCACCACCAAACTTCTTGAAAGGTATTTGAATTTGCTGTCTCTCTTCTCTGATCTTTTACTTCCTCATTTCCTGCAACCTAGCTTTCTTCCACCAACACCTAACTAATATATATTTGCAAATGATATCTACTGCCAAAATTAATGTCATTTCTCCATCATATAATGTGTCCCTTTGGCTCTTGGTTGTCTATCCTGTCCCCTTAAATGCTAATGTTCCCCCAGAGTTCTAATTTTGACTTTTGTTTCTTTCTATATACCCACTCAATGGAAAATCTTATTAATTTTTTATCACATAAATATTATGGACTCCAAATATTTCTCACCCTTTCTTCTTTCCCAAATTCCAAAGGAGTACTTCCAACTATATACTTAACATCTACACTTGAACAACCATAGGGATCTCAAAGTAAACATATTAATCAATCTAATAATTCTTCACCCTACCCACCAGCCTCTCTGCTTCTCTTCCTATGTTTCCTATCAATTCAAAATACTACTAGCTACTGGATTGTCAAACTAGAAACCCAAAATTAGAAATACATTTCTCTTCCTTTAATTTCTCACATCAATCAGACAGCAGACCTGTCATTTTAGGAAGGTCTATGAAATATTCTTCAAATGTACTCATCTTTGCCACCTCGACCACCACTGCCATTAGTTGAGGTGCTCTGCTTCTTGATTGCTGGATTGCTGTAGTAAATTCCCTCCTGACCTCCAGTCCACTTTTCATTTTAGCAACCACTGTTATCTTTCTAAAACATGGATCTGATTATGTCACTCCCTGCTTAAAGTCCTTAATTTTTTCCTCTTTCCTTTAAGAATCAGGTATTAACCTTTTTAAAGTCTTATCTCTTTCTTATTCCTCTCAAGTACTTGAGAGTATTTAGCATGCTATCATCTCTGAACAGATTATGGGTTTTCACACAGATCTGTGCTCCTATTCTGGAAATAAAATTTGCCTGGACTACCATGCTCAAGGCATAGAACTTCGAACATTTAAAATAAATGGAGAAATGCAAAACCACAGTTTAAAAAACTCACTTATTTTCCAAAGTAACTTAAACTCTTGAAAATATGCTCAAATATGCATCTAGCAAAAAAATTTACCACTACATTTATTCAATATTTGTATAACCAAAACCAGAAACAGTACGAATTCTACAAGGAAAAAAAAAATACATAATCAGCATACATTTCAGAAATATTTTCACTTCTGTAATATGCTTTAAACTAACCTGCCAGTGCTGAGTGACAGCATTCCACACTCCCACTTTCCCTGTATGACTCGTGGCCACCAACTGGTTACCAATAAAGAAGAGAGCATCTACAGGAACACCCAGGCTGAACACTCCTTAAATGACAATAAAAAATAAAAAGGTTAATCAGTCACCATTTTTAGAATTAATCAAAACCTGGATTAAAAACATCTTAAAGGTGACTAATTTATATTCTCATTACTACAAACTATGTGCTATACGTGTTGGGGACTAGAAATAAGAAACTCACAAGCTCTTAAGCAGCTTACAGAACTACTAAAGCAAGGAAGAGTCTGCTCCAAGCCATCTCATACTGCTGTATAACACCTTATCCTGAAGCTTGGTTCCTAACCTCAGCTGATCATCAAAATAACCTGATTGATAGATTTAAAATAAACAAAACAAAACAAAAAGGATCCTGGGATCCATGCCAGACTCACTAAATCAGAAAACCCACTGTATTGTTACAAAATCCATAGGTGAGTTATATGCAGCTTGCTCATGGACCCGATATTTAAGAACTAGTGATCTGAACACACAGACTTGGCAGCCTTAACTATCTAGAATGTGTCTAAATTCTGGAAATAAGCAAAAAGGAGAAAAAAGCAGCAAGAAGTCACATGATACTAAAAACAAACATTCGGGCCTTTTACTCAGAGCTTATTTTTAAACCCCATGTGTTCCAGCACTGCAATCTCCATTTAATTAATTCAAAAGACACTATATCAGGCTTTAGGATTAAAAAACACGAGAAGACAAGACATTACTAAGAACTTACACTTTAGTAGAGAAAAAACTGCAACCAATTATAATTTGATACAATAATAACAGAAGGATGCACAGGGTATAATAGTATCTATGGGGTAAAAAGGGTATGGAAAGGGGGTTGAAAATATATCTTAGAAAAGAAGCCATCTGAGTTGGAGTTTTTAAAGGTTAATAGGAGTCCATCAAATTGGGAGACTGAATATGGGCAAGCTCAGGGAATCAGAGCAAACAGAAGAGTAAGTGTAGGTGAGAGAGGTTGTAAGCAGCACCTATCACACATCAGTAGCAAAAGACCCAGCAATGCCTAAGCAGAGAATTCTAGGCTCACCTTGGTGCGGCATATTGGCCTTATACACTTGTCTCTCTTTAGCAGAGTACTGCACTAGGAGTCAGGAGAACCAGGGTTGGGATCCTGGCTCTCAGAGTACCTTTGTTTGCCACTTTTTTGGTTCTTATCTCAACTACGAAATAGGGTCTAAGCTAAATGTTTCAATGATCACTTGAGCTTAAAAATGTTATAATCGGCCGGGCATGATGGCTCATGCCTGCAATCCCAGCACTTTGGGAGGCCAGGGCGGGTGGATCACTTGAGGTCAGGAGTTCAAGACCAGCCTGGGCAACACACTGAAACCCCATCTCTACTAAAAATACAAAAATTAGCTGGGTATGGTAGCACACGCCTGTAATCCCAGCTACTGGGGAGGCTGTGGCAGGAGAATTGCTTAAACCCACAGGCAGAGGTTACAGTGAGCCGAGACCATACCACTGCACTCCAGCCTGGGTGACAGAGCAAGACACTGTCTCAAAAAAAAAAAAAAAAAAAAAGTTGTATTCCAATTCTAGCACTTAAATAGCATTATCTTAATCATTTGAAAAACACTTTATGGGAAATATATTTTTATCTAATAATGCTGGGAAATAAGTCTCACCTCTACAATACTGTTTTATGTAGATCTTTGGCTGCTTCAAGTATCAGTTTATTTTTAAAAAGTACCTGTGCCAATACAGACAACTTCGTCAGCATTTAGCTGAGAAAAAAAATGCATGAAACCTTGAAGAACTCATGGGAAAAACAAAGCAACTAAATGCAAATATAACATGCTTTAAAAGCATAAGCCAGAAAGATTACTGATTTCTTTTGAATCTTATACTGGTGCTAGGTATTCTCTTTTTGTTCAGAACTGTACTATACTCAAGACCAGTGACAAACAACACCTTGAAAACTTTTAATCAGTCTTGTAAAAGCAAGGCATCTAGCAAGAAGACGATACATGACAAAAAGAAACCAAAACAAAAAACCTGCTAAGTATTGTTAGAAGTATCTTCTATATAAACATTTTTAATTATATGTATAAAATCCATATTTATACAAGCATGTGCATGAAACACATTATCTCAGCCCAAAAAACTAGAACAAAATAAAGTACAACACACACACACAAAGCTAAGTCCGTTGCCCAGAATTGGTTAAGAAATGAACCTGCCACTTCAAAGCATAAAGTCATTATTTTACGTTGTATACAATTTTAGGGATTCTACATAATAGTACTTTAATGATGATAACAAACAATGTGAACATGTCTTTTTAGAACATGTGAAGCCAACTATATTCAGTATTATGGGCTATGTGAAAGGCAGAAATGAAAACAGGAAAACCAACTAACATCGATTACTCCAGAGGAGGATGAGGTTCTAGGAAATCAACAAAGACACTCTGAATGGTCTCACGAAATTTAAAGTGTCACTCCTGCTTAGGCTAAACAATCCTGAGCACCAGTGACAGGGAAGACAACAGAAGTAATGACCAGTTCCTGTCTTAAGGGGCCCTCTTGGTAAAATATTGCTTATAGCAGAAACCCAGTAACTCTCGTCTTATCTAAGTTATAATGAAGGGAGTTCAGCCTCTGGGAGAGCTTTATCATGGATATACCAGCCCTAACAATTTTCTTTGGATAGTGTTGTCATGTTCTGAAGAATATTTGTTAACAACAAATGGCTCCTTTTACAGGGCATGAACAAATTACTATTGTACCAGCTCATAACATAGCTACCTATCACATTAGCCTTTGAACACCAAGCAAGTAATAAAATTTCTTTCACTTATTGGTATGTTACAAATAGCTACTTGAAAAAGGAAAAAGAAATCACAACTGATTTACCTTCTGTTTAATTACCAGTGTATTATAATTTCAAAATTTTTTATGTTAAATTTTCTTTTCTTAAAGTTGTTTGGGAGGACTTAAGCTGTCGATCACGATAGAATAAATGGCACCCGATTATTCTCCACTTTAAAACAGCAGTAACAACAAAAAAAAAAATGGACAAAATATATGAAACAACTGTTTTTAGGTATTGGACAACAGGCAGCAGAGGACCTGAGAGACAGAAACACACTGACAAGCCCCACATTCCCCCTGGCTTGCTGCATAAGAGTACTTTCTATCACAGCATAGAAAGGTGAGACCTAAGTGATACAGTTTGGTTCTGTGCCCCACCCAAATCTCATCTTGTAGCTCCTGTAGTTCCCAGGTGTTGTGAGAGGAACCCCATGGGAAATGACTGAATCATGGGGACAGGTCTTTCCTTTGTCGTTCTTGTGATAGGGAATGGATTGTCTCACAAGATCTGGTTTTAAAAACAGGAGTTTCTCTGCACAAGCTCTCTTTGCCTGCTGCCATCCACATAAGATGTGACTTGCTCCTCCTTGCCTTCTGCCATGATTGTGAGGCCTCCCCAGCCATGTGGAACTGTAAGTCCAATTAAACCTCTTTCTTTTGTGAATTTCCCAGTTTTGAGTATGTCTTTATCAGCAGTGTGAAAACGGACTAATATACCAAATAAAGACAGATGATTTCCCTGAACTGAGGAGGCGAAGAACTTGAGGCTAGAGTTAGTAGATACAGTACAAGAAGGAAGGGAACTGTGCCAGAGGGGTGGCATAAAAGTTGCATAAGCGTTTCCCTAAGACCTTGGCTAAGGCCTAACTGCACCTGGGCAGGGCAAGAATCCTCAAGGAAAGAAAGGCTGCTGGCCGGGCGCGGTGGCTCACGCCTGTAATCCCAGCACTTCGGAGGCTGAGGCGGGCGGATTACGAGGTCAAGAGATCGAGACTATCTTGGTCAAGATGGTGAAACCTGTCTCTACTAAAAATACAGAAATTAGCTGGGCGTGGTGGCATGTGCCTGTAGTCCCAGCTACTCGAGAGGCTGAGGCAGGAGAATCCCTTGAACCTGGGAGGCGGAGGTTGCAGTCAGCCATGATCACGCCACTGCACTCCAGCCTGGAGACAGAGTGAGATTCTGTCTAAGAAAGAAAGAGAAGAAAGAGAGAAAGAGAGAAGGAAGGAAGGAAGGAAGGAAGGAAGGAAGGAAGGAAGGAAGGAAGGAAGGAAGGAAAGAAGGAAGGAGAGAGAGAGAAAGAAAAGAAAGAAAGGCTGCTTTAGGACTAAGAGGTAACGGGAGATAGCTGCTTTAGGACTAAGGTAACTGGAGATATCAGATATCAGAGGTCATATGTGGGTAGATGGAGTAGTTCCAACTCAATAAAAGTAGAGAGTTCTTGCTGAGCCCCTCTGGCATTCAGTTAAATAAGATTCCAGAAAAGCAACATCTTAAAAATAAGAACTACAGCCTTGAAAAGGAGCCCTGCCCTAAAATTACAAATAAAGCTAGAAGAGGATACCTACTCCTAACAAAGTACTGAAACAAGCCTAACAGGTTCAAGATCCTTTAGTAATTTAATTGCCTGCCAGAACAAAGCTCATAACTTTTAAAGAAAGGTAACATAATTCATAACCCTACAAAATGTATCACACACAAGTACAGCACATAATCAAAACTCTCTAGACATGTGAAACAGGAAAATGTGACCCAAAATAAAAACATGGTAACCAGATATTGATATTAGCAGACAAATACTTTAACAAATTAAACAGCTGAACATAATGAACAAAAAGACAAGAAATCTTAGCAGAAGAAACAAACTAGAAAATGGAATCAAAAAGTAATACTAGAGCTAAAAAGTCCAACATTTCAGATGAAAATTCACTAGATGAACTTAACTGCAGATTGAATACTGTAGAAGTATAAAAGACATTAAAGGTAGATCAATAAAAGATATCTAAACTGAAGAATGGAGAAAAAAATGAAATAAAAAATCAGGGCTCCCACAACCCCAGGTTAATATAAAGTGATCTAGAAAGCTCAAAAGGAGGAAGAGGGAGCGAGCAAGGGAGAGATGGAGAAAAGAGGAAGGGAGACAGGTACAGGCCTCCCTCAACTGTGTCAACCAAAAATGTCTCTAGACATTTTCAAATATCCTTTGGTGGATAAGATTTCCTTGGTTGTGAAACACAAATCTAGAATATGTAAAAAACATTTACAAATAAGTAACAGGATGACAACCTCATTAAAAAGGGCAAATGATTTACAGAGACACTTCTCAAAAGAAAATATACAAACGGTCATTAAGTACAGGAAACGATGCTTAATATTATTAATCATCAGAAAAATGCAGTTAAAGCCACAATTAAAATCACTGAACCATTAAAATCCACAATAATGGCTCAAATTAAAAAGACTGACAATACAAAGTGTTGATTAGGATGTGGAGAACCTGGGACTCTCACACACTGCAAGTAAAAATGTAAAAAGGTACTTTTGGAAAACAGTTTGGCAGTTTTTCTTAACCTTAAACATACACTTTCCATATGACTAAGAAATTCCACTCCTATATATTTACCTTAAGAAAGTAAATGTCCACAGAAAGACTTCTACTTGAATGTTAACTGCAGCTTTATTCATAATATCTCCAAATTGGAAATAAGCCAAATGTCTATCAACGGGTGAATGGATAAACAAATTCTGCCGTATTATTTCAATGGAATACTACTCAGCAATAAAAAGGAACAGACAACTGATACATGCAACAACATGGATGAATTTCAAAAGCATTATGCTTAATAAAAAGCCAGGCACAAAAGAATAAATACTATATAATTCTACTCATGAAATTCTAGATAAAGGAAACCTAATCTATGGTGACAAAAAGCCTAACTGCATAAACAATGCAGTTTATGTTGGACACCTTCTTTCCTTCTGGGAATCTGGAATCTTCCCTCAACTTTATAGATCTTAATAACTTAACCTTATTGTGCTTTATGTAGCAAAACATTTTTGCATAGTATCTATCGGTTGTAGGTTCACTGAGACTGAATACCCAAGAGTTTAAACAAAAAGAAATTGGCCAGGCACAGCGACTCATGCCTGTAATCCCAGCACTTTGGAAAGCCAAGGTAGCAGGATCACTAAAGCTTAGGAATTCAAGACCTGGGCAACATAGTGAGACCCTATCTATACAGTGATTAAAAAATAATAGCCAGGCGTGGTGGTGCCTGCCTGTAGTTCTAGCTACTAAGGAGGCTGAGGTGGGGGGACTGCTTGAGTGCCTGGGCCCAGGAGGTTGAGGATGCAGTGAGCTAGGATCACATCACTGCACTCCAGCCTGTGTGACAGAGCAAGACCCTGTCTCAGAAAAAAAAGGAAAGAAAAGAAGAAAAAGAAATTAAGTATTTTAAATAAAGATGTAAAAAACTCATTTAATCCAGAAATTGTTTGGTATAGACCTTCAAACTAGAAATGAAAAATCTAATGAAGTATCTCAAAGGTAAGTTACGACATCACAGTGGCTAGAGAAGTATACCCAATTGCTGAGAGACTAATAAAGCCTTGAACAGATGACAATGCTGAATGCCTGCTAGATGAAAAGTCCATGAAGAAATAACATGGTAACTTTTCAATAATACAGTAACTCTTCAATCTAAAGATTTGGCAGAGAGTCAATCTCTTGTCTGTAGAATTGTATTTTTGCCTTGCAAACAGATGAATATATAGATGTGGCTGGACCTGGTATTTTACTTGTATCCAGCTGGTATTAGCTAGACCTGGTGTTTTACTTGTACCCATCTGGTATTAGCTCCAACTGATCATTAAAAATCCTTTATGTGAATGCATAGCTACAAACACAGGAAGTGCTGAAATAGTCAAAGTGTTGAAAACTTATATGAATTTCATGGCTTATTCTAGAACATCTGTGTTGACATTTACACTGATGATGCAAAGCAACGTTTGGTAAAAACAGCAGGTACCTTACTTAGCACAAACCAGGACAGTGGCACTAAACTTTACTAGTGACCATTGCATTCTTCTCTGCCATAGACTTTCAAGAACATAAAAGGCCAAATCAAAGATTTAAAGATTAAATTAAAGATTTGGCCTTTTATGTTCCCGAAAGTCTGTGGCAGAGAATGTAATGGTCTTAGTAACTAAAGAATGTCCTTGATGAAGCAGTAAAAATTTGTACTGATAAAAACTTAATTTCAACTATATATCTTAATATTCTGTATGACTAAGTACTATGGCTATGTCAAGGAAAAGCACCTTCACAAATGCTGGAGCAAAGAGCTACAGGAGCTGCTCTGTTCATTAAGTACCATTTTAATTTGAGATGACTATGGTTATTCAGAATTGGGTGTTTGGCAGAACTATCCTCAAAAAATAAACAAAGTAAGCCTGTTATCTAAAGGAAAACCACTGATGTTATTTGTTGCCAATGATAAAAATTCAACGTTTCAAGTGAAAATCTGCAGTTTGGAAAACTTTTATCTGCCACAGTGAGTGTGACAACTCCCTCACACGTAGTCAGCAGGGATACCAATGAATGCAATTTTTTTTCATATTATACAATGAAAGGTATCAACATTTGGTAGATCTACATAACTCAGCAAACCAACAATTTCCAAATGCCCAACATCTTATAAAAGCATGTATGATAAAAGATCCACTCAAAGTACAAAATAGTCTGATGGATTTTAATTTAACAGAATATGAAAAGTTCACTGATATGATTTTAGAGTTTTGATAAAGAATCAAAGAAGACTATGCACAATTTTCTGAAAAGACTGAAAAAAGTTTTTTCCAACTACATATCTGTGTAAGATCAAGTTTTCTTCATATACTTCAATCAAAACAATGTATCACAGCAGATTGAATGCAGAAATAGATATCACAGTTCAAAAAGAGATTTACAAAACTGTAAACCAATGCCATTCTTCTCACACATTTTTGGAAAATGAGGTTCTCATTAAAAATGTTACTTAAGTTATGCAATGGATTATTATAACTATATTAACATTTATAAAAATTTCCATTTTAATTTCTAATATAGTAAATACTGATAGAAAATAACCTACAGAAAGGCCGGGCATGGTGGCTCACGCCTGTAATTCCAGCACTTTGGGAGGCCGAGGTGGGCGGATCACAAGATCAGGAGATCGAGACCATCCTGGCTAACATGGTGAAACCCATCTCTATTAAAAACACAAAAAAATTAGCTGGACGTGGTGGCATGTGCCTGTAGTCCCAGCTACTTGGGAGGCTGAGGCAGGAGAATTGCTTGAGCCCAGGAGGCAGAGGTTGCAGTGAGCTGAGATCATGCCATTGCACTACAGCCTGGGCGACAGAGCGAGACTCAGTCTCAAAAAAAAAAAAAAGGAAAAAAAAGAAAATAACCTACATTCTTTCAGGTCCTGAGTAACTTTTTAAGAGGATTAAGGGGTTCTGAAACCAAAAAGTTTGGGAATGTCTGGTCTAGAAGCAACAATGAGGAGCAAGAAAGTGACTTACCCCACATTCAGGTTCAGTAGTTTGAGAGGGGTGGAGAGAAAACAGTGAAAACATCCACCACTAAGTGGGATTCAGGAAAAGCAATATTTTCATAGAGCAGCCAGGTTTCACTTAAAGTGGTGAAAAGATGTTCCCCATGTCTTTTCTAAAACATCATTTTTCCTTCATTATCAGATCATTCCTCCCACATTAAATACTGTGACAGCTCTAGCTAACTGACAGTCCAGGTTAATTTTCATATTCAGTGTCAATCTCTTTTATAAACTTCAAAATATTAATATCATCAAATTGCAACATAAACAAGATTCTTCCTACCAATTTCACTTCCACTTCCCCCATCCTGAACACTCCACAAGATGATGCTACTCTCTGAGGCAACAGCAACCATTTTGTCTTTGTCTCCATGTGGCCCTCCAACCACCTTTGCATTTAAAGCTACTCGTTCGATAGTCCAATCCAAATATGGGCTCGTAAACACTTGCTGCCATCCTGAAGATTCTTTGATTCTGTTAAGGAAGAACAGGCACATAAGGTAGACTCAGCAGCAATGAAGCAAACGGAATACACATCAATGCACCAAAAACAAAAAACAACAACAAAAAACAAAAAAAAAACTAAACAGTTACCCATCCACCTTCCTATTACAAATAAAATTTTGTTGATCTATATTGCCTATGAAGCCACAATATTATCCTTGGGGTATTGTATACTTGCATACATAGCACATATAACGACTTGAAAGAGACTACAGTTCTATATTTCCCCAAAGAATAATTTAGTAAAGTCCTCCAAATTTTAAAAAATTTCAGAAACTTTAAAAAAAGATAGTTTTATCTTTCATGTTTCTCTACACACACGCACACACACACAAATGATACTGTCATCTTCTGTGAGTATGAACAATCAGCAAAAATCTGAATTTCAGAATTATTATTCCTTTCAGTTATTAATCAGCTTTTCAGGGTTTATTAACTGAAATGACACATACTGAATCTCTTGCTTTTTGTACTTCAGATGGACAGTCTATCCAGAAACACTGAGTGTATCACATGCATTCCAATACATTAGCACTATTATATAAAAAAGGATAGGGTGCAGGATATCCTCTGAAGACTAGTTTTTAAAGGTCTAAATGCAAAACTCTATGGAACTACAGTTCCATATGACTACCCATATGTAAAAGCTAATGTATTCTTTAATACCTAATTTCTCTAATAAATATCCTGTCAGTTTTTAATAATTCTTTCTGCCCTATCTGAATTTAGGTTTTAAAGAAATGTTTTCTATGCGATTATATGTATAGCAGCCTTCATACATTTAGAGCTTTAGCAGTTACGTAATCATAATAATGAATGAGTTGAACTATGAAGTATCTATTTTTAAACTCAACAAATAATGCAAACATAACTATAAAATTTCTCTTTTGGCTTACCTAAAGAGAATATAGAAGATGAAGGAAAAGAAGCGTTCTTTTGCACACTACCTGACATTCGCTGCAAAAAGCAAACTTAGGTATTCATAAATGATGGTCACCTAAGGGCCTAAATAAAAATACATCAACTTCATTTTCCCTTAAATATGTATGCCAAGTAATACAACTGTAATTCATAAGAATATACAATTGAGCATATTAATTTGAAGAACTAATGATTTCCCTAAACTTCAAAGCAATAGAGAAAAATGTATCAATTTTTCCTAAGCATTGTGTAATTTGTAACCACCCTCTTCAGCCACCAGATGGGATTCATTTGTTAAGATAAACAAATGAAAATACTTAAATACTTACCTAATAAACACTAAAATTTGCTGACATTCTCTTATTCTTTTACTTTCTTAATGAACTTGCTTTCACTTTACTCTAAGGACTCACCCTGAATTCTTTCTTGTGAGAGATCCAAGAACTCTTTTTTGGGGGTCTGGATGAGGACCCCTTTCCAGTAACATCTTCCTGGGAAACCATGAAATGAGATAGTGGAGAGACCCCCAACCCAAAGGAAATAGACTGCAGCACCAATTAGCTGACTTTGGAGTCAAGAACACTTTTCTTTCGAGATTTTGCAGCTTTTAACAACTGAGTAAAGTATACTCTTATAAACAAAATTTGGAGCATATTTCTTTCTCTCTATCTGATTTCTCCAGAATTTGGAAACTATTTGTGAGTATTCTTAACTTACAGCAATATGTAACTACAATAAGAATCTGTTTTCTTTTGTAACAGGACACAATTGGAGAAACTGGTTATTTTACCAAGACTTTGACTGGAATAGCATGCTTTCAGATATGGACTTGTTTAAGGAATCAAATTTGACTCATAGAGCTGATAAAAGCCCCTGGGAAAAACTGGCCACATATCTTGTCTACACGGTCCCTGTACAAGGTTTCTGACCTGTCTGGGGTAAGTAAAGAAAGTCACTTTCTGACAGGCCCAAAAGCCCCAAGTTATCATGAAACCTCAAAAGGAAAGAAACTTACCCAACTCATACAGGTATTTGCAGGCAATGATAAACCCATGGCAAGGCTCAAGGCTTTAAGAAGTCTCATTTGAGATTCTTTATGGATCAAAGTTCTATCAAAGTCAATTTAAAAAGAGCCTATATAGGAACTAATTATTCTTGCTGCACTTTATACAAATAATCAGGCCAAGTATAATAAGACTAAAGCTTATTTTGCAAACAAATCAGTCCTACCATGATTTCTTTAGTAAAAATGAAAGACTGAAAATAGGAAAATTGTTTCAAAAACTATGGTATGCTTTTTATTAGATTTGTCTCATCAGTAGTTTTTGAGTTCTTTCTGCAATTTGGACTCATCCTGCTTATCCTTGTGGACCAAGCAGTGATCTGTGGCTGCTGTTCAGAAGAAACAAGAGGCATGGGTAACACAGAAATCTGGATCAGTATTCTAATTGTGGGCATGTATTGGAATTGGCTAGCACATCAGCTTGGTTCCAACTCCATATCAGCTTGGTTACAACAATTTCCCAGTTCATGAAAAGCCTTCTTATTTAGTTTACTTGGGATAATTTTACTTATTTTGCCTTGTTATTGTAGAATATACTGCTGTTGTTCTCTTTGTGTAGGAATGCAAGATAAGCTTACTCAGTGCTTTCTTAAATCGAACACTTATTAATTTTTCAGTCATCACTTTTTGTCAGAAATCAGAGTTCTCACCATACTGACAGTTTCTAACTGAGCTCTCCTCTACTCTGAATGCAGAAGACCCTAATAGGCAGAAATACCATCATCCCTATTCAGACTGCAGAAGTTACAGAAGATGAATCTTCCTCCCTCTGAAACCCTTAGGATTAAGAGTACCCTTGTAAAAGGGAAGGGGAAAACATGTCAGAGGTGTTCAAACCAGAGTTGAATGGGGACTGAGTAAAATAAGGCTGAGACCTGCTGGGCTGCATTCCCAGGAGGTTAGGCATTCTTAGTCACAGCGTAACAAGGAAGGTCAGCACAAGGTAAAGGTCACAAAGATCCCGCTGACAAAACAGGACGGAGTAAAGAAGCCAGCCAAAACTGAAACCAAGATGGCAACAAAAGTGACCTCTGGTCGTCCTCACTGCTCATTATACGCTAATTATAATGCATTATCATGCTAAAAGACACTCTCACCAGCCCCATGATAGTTTACAAATGACATCTAATGTCTGGAAGTTACCCTATATGGTCTAAAAAGGGGAGGAACATTCAGTTCTGGGAATTGCCTGCTCCTTTCTGAAACACTCATGAATAATCCACCCCTTATTTAGTATATAATCAAGAAATAACTGTAAGTATACTCAGTCAAGCAGCCCTCAGGGCTGCTCTGGCTATGGAGTAGCCATTCTTTTATTCCTTTACTTTCTTAATAAACTTGGATTCACTTAAAAAAAAAAACTATATAATCTCATCTTTTACAGACATATTACTTCTAAGTTGTTTTTCTCTATAGTAATTAGGGTATTACACAATAAAGAGATGTCAAAAAAGGATAAAAGAATCAGGACAGCATATTTAAAAATAACTATAACAACTACAGAATTTAACTCTTAATAAGATATGTGAATTTACCTGTTTTTTAAAAAATTACAAAGAAGGTACATATTTGCTCTATAACTTTCCATACAAGTAATACATTTAAAATATGTAGAACAAGGCCAGGCACAGTGGCTCACGCCTGGAATCCCAGCACTTTGGAAGGCTGAGGCGGGTGAATCACTTGAGATCAGGAGTTTGAAAACAGTCTGGCCAACATGGTGAAACCCCGTCTCTACTAAAAATACAAAAATTGGCCAGGTGTGGTGGTGCACACCTGTAGTCCCAGCTACTCAGGAGGCTGAGGTGGGAGAATTGCTTGAACCCAGGAGGCAGGTGTTGCAGTGACCCGAGATCACGCCACTGCACTCTAGCCTGGGTGACAGTGCAAGACTCTGTCTCAAAATCTCAAAAACAAAACAAAACAAAAAATATATAATAATAAATAAAACAAAATATAAAACAAGAATATGCTCTGTTATTTCACCTCTCCATCATCTTACTGCTGCCTAGTGAACCAACCCTCTGGTTAAGACAGCTATGCGAAGAATAGAGTTACGTCTAGTTATTTCCTACATGAAGACCTCAATAAAATACAGTAGAGAGGACATGCCCTGTGAGATTTTGAAACTTATTATGAACATACTTCACCTCAAGTTGTATGAGAATAGACATATGTCTTAAGGAAATGAGAGAACTGAAAAACAGATCCAAGTATATACACACACATAAAGCAAGATAAAATGGGCTATCAGATTCACTGACAAAGAATGATTTACGTAATAAATTGTCAGAACATAATTACCTACCCACTGAGAAGAAAATAAATCCTTAAATCTCATACCACATACAAAAAAGTAAACTCCACAAGGATTAAAGATCTAAAGTGGAATATAAGCCCCAAGGGGGCAGCAATTCACACAACTACTCTTCGTTAATAGAAGTAACACTGTCATAAACTCAGCAAGAAAAAGGGACATAAACATAAAACCTAACCATGTAGAAAATTAGTGAAGCTAGGAGAACATCATACAGGTCTTCACTGTACTACTCTTTTTTTAAAGGTTTTGTAACTTACTGATACAAAAACTTGAGGAAAAATAACTTGTAAAAAAGATTACACTTTTAAACAGTTTAAATATTTTTCTTTCTTTTGAAATCTTTTTATTGCCATTGTGTTGAATGATTTAACTATATGTGAGGAAATCCAAATATGTCCTCAATTGTCTTCCTTCGTCACTTTACATGAGTATATTGCTCTGAAATGTCAGACACTTGGTGAAAGCACAGAAAGATCGTGATCAATGCAAACGCAAAGACTGGAAAATGTAATAGCATCATCCTCCATACAATTATTACCCAGTGAGTTAAATTTTGCGTAATAATGTGGTGGTTCTGGAAAAGAGCAATCTTTAGTATTGTGTACAGTAACAAAACGGAAGTTATGCTGTTACACTTGGATCACTTATCATTTCACAATTCTTCTGGAATTCCTTATTGACAAAAATATGTACATAATATGTAAACAAGGGTCTACAAGTCACCTCAATTCAAATATATAAGATGATAAATTCAAAACAATGCTTCCTAAAAAAAAATTACTTTACCAAATTAGTCTTGCCTCATACAAAACCATCCCCAAAGAAATTATGCAAAAAACAATTTCCATGCTATTTCATAATTAAAATTACAAATCCACAAAACACTTTTTTTAAAAATTTGTTTATTTATTTATTGAGACAGAGTCTTGCTCTGTTGCGCAGGTTGGAGTACAATGGTGAGCTATCAGCTCACTGCAACCCCCACCTCCTGGGTTCAAGTGATTCTCCTGCCTCAGCCTCCCGAGTAGCTGGGATTACAGGCATGCATCACCACACCTGGCTAATTTTTGTATCTTCAGTAGAGATGGGGTTTCACCATGTTGGTCGGGCTGATCTTGAACTCCACCCATCTCGGCCTCCCAAAGTGCTGGGATTACAGGCGTGACCCACCGTGCCCAGCCAAAACACTCTTAAAACATAAAAGTCTGCACTTAATCATTACTACAAGGAAAATATAAACCTGAGATTACTGATATAAACAGCACTTACCAGACATGCCAAACCTTTCATAAATTCAGATTTTTAAAAAAAAAATACATCTGGGATTCTTTAAACTATATCTGTAAACTTTAGAAGACATTTTAGATATTTTTCAGCTTATTGTGACTATTTTTCTTAACCGAACTCAACAGTGATAAACAAATAGTTTATGTATCTTTGATTTTTCTGCAATTAAATGAAATAATAATCTAAGCTAGTATATTCCAACCACTTTTGTGCTTCTACACCATTCTCTGTCATCAACATTTCTCAATGAGTACAGTGATTTTGAACTAAGAGTCCTATCACTTTCCCAATTAAAAAAAAAAAAATCACCGGTCTACACTATTCTTCATTGCTTCTCAGGCTCTGAGAATGTAAGCATTAGTAAAACCAAACTACTTCTTTGTAAGTTTCACATATTAGATATTAAACTATACCACTTGTGCAATAACTGTCCTGCTTTACTACCTCACTTCCCAAAATGTGGTATTTATGACCAATGTACTCTCCCTTGCTATAGAATACAAAACACTGAATCATTAGAGATAGACCATCAGGGAGCTCACATTAATAATCCTGTCTAACATCATTATATACTACAGTCTCAGAAGCTAGGTATAAGCAATAAATAATACATCAGGATATCTCAGTTACATGACAATTCACACTTGTCTGCTAAATGTTTACAACAGATAAAGGCTATCAGAAACATTTACCAAATTAGCTGTGAAAATAAAAGTACACTAAATCTTAATCAGATGATACAGACATGGGTAAAATATGCAGGGAAAAAACTTGATGACTAAAAAAAAATAGCTTTTCAATCTAAAAATATAAAATCACAATTAATTTTCAAACTGCCACCTGTAAAAGCAAAGCATTATTAATTATACACTACCTGTAACACACAGCAAAATGGGCATATGCAGCTACAATCCAGTTGTGATGGCCAGCTACTATTAGCACCTTTCGTGGATCCACAGGAAATCCTGTTGATTTTGGAAAAAGAAATATTTTACATTCTAAACCGGGGGTTGGCAAATTACAGCCACCAGGCCAGTTTCAGCCTTCTGCCTGTTTTGGTTAATAGTTTTGTTAAGAGCCGGGCACAGTGGCTCACACCTGTAATCCCAGCACTTTGGGAGGCCGAGGCGGGCGGATCATGAGGTCAGGGGATCGAGACCATACTGGCTAACACGGTGAAACCTCATCTCTATTAAAAATACAAAAAATTAGTCTGGCATGGTGGCGGCCGCCTGTAGTCCCAGCTACTCCGGAGGCTGAGGCAGGAGAATGGCGTAAACCCAGGAGGCAGAGCTTGCAGTGAGCCAAGATGGCACCACTGCACTCCAGCCTGAGCGACAGAGCGAGACTCCGTCTCAAAAAAAAAAAAAAAAATAGTTTTGTTAGAACCCAGCCATGCTTACTTGTTACATATTGTCCATTATGTGTTCATGCTACAATGGCAAAGTTGAGTAGGTCTGACAGAGAACACGTGGCCCACAAAGCCTAAAATATTTAATCTCTGGCTCTTACCAGATAAATTTTGGCAACCCTGTTCTAAAGATTCAGAGAAGATAGAAGATTACACAACATTTTAAATAAAAATTAAGTGTTAAATGAGACCTTTCCAAGATATAAATGATAAATCTGGATAAAAAAGGAGATGAGGCAAAAATCTTTAAAAGTAATTACTCAATATCACCCAGC
The DNA here is from genome assembly GCF_000001405.40 of Homo sapiens. NCBI lineage: Eukaryota > Metazoa > Chordata > Mammalia > Primates > Hominidae > Homo > Homo sapiens. The sequence continues at coordinate 215,579,187 of NC_000001.11, read as the reverse complement.
ACTAAAAACATACGTATTTTTCTTTTTCTATTTCTGTAATCTTTGCTTACCTAGCCTAACAGTTTCTTCTCCCGTTCCAGAGAGAACAGGCTGTGTACCATTTCCCCGGGCTTCACCTTCTGTAGAATTTAGACCATTCCTAGAATCAGCAGATCTGACTGTGTTGTTTATTTTACGACTAGGAATACCTATAAAGAGAAGAAGAAAACAAATACATTCCTAAGTTCACCTTTCAAAAATTAAAAATATCACATTGTGACAAAGAAACAAAAATGTGAATTTCATTAAAGCCGAAATACATCTTCCAATATAGCAAATTATTACAAATAATTTAATTACAATTAAAAAATAAAATGAAAATGAAAAAAACAAAGACAAAGACAAAATTCTGTCAACAGATTTCTGGTATTGTCATACTGTTTACAATAAATAAGCTTTAGGTTACTGAATTAATGGGTAATTAATTCAGTCTGCCAGCCACTCTTTACAATTATGGTACAGGTATTATGTGTTAGGTACTATGTAATAATTTAACTGCTTTAGAACTGAAATTCCCCATACTTTCAAACATTTTTTATTTGACAGGGGAACATTTTTTAAAATGAAATCTTGCTCAGAAGTCCATTATAACACAGGTAAAATCAGGCTCTTCTAACTAAAGTGGGGCTGAGGTGACACTGACTTATCTCTGCAGAATTCCTTAAATTTTGCAAAAAAGCAGTTTGACAACCAGTGCTCTAACATATGGGTCAGCAAACTATGGGCCATGGAAAATCCAGCCCAATCAATGCTATTTATGTAAATAAAGTTGTAGTGGTTACAGTTAAACCTAGTCTTCATGTAGTATACACAGCGGAGTTAAGTGGCTGTCACAGAGATCCTCTGGCTCACAAAATCTATCTGGCTCTTTACAGAAAAAGTTTGCCAAACCCCTGCTCCAATATATAATGTGACTTAATTTCTATAAAAATCAAAAGTTCTTACCATTTCTAATAGATTTATAGACAAAAAACTCAATAATCAAGGAGCAGTTTTTCCTATTCATATGCTTGTACTTGCTTAATGATACAAGGAATTTTTTAAAAGATTTAATAAAGTGAAAATACCTGGTGGGGGCAAGTAACCATGAAAAAGGACACTGCCACAAGAGGAACGCTCCAATTCTTCACATAAGAGAAGCCTTCTTACTAAAAACATTTCAAAGCAAACTTGTCAAGAGTACATGCAAACAGAAAAACAGTACTCCATTTTTATTTTCTCTAGTTCAAGAGGATAAGGAAAGAAAAGGAAAATTTTAATTAAGTCAGAGTTGACAACATCTTTTTACTATGAAAATCCACAAAAACTAAGCACTGAACAAGTCCATCAAAAATTAGGACCTGATATAAACACATTTCATTTAGGGCAACTTTCATACATGAGTCAAATCATAAACACCAAATATTAAAAGAGCACATACCTAATGGAGTGATCCCGTAAAATTCTGCTTCATGCCTGAGAACATTAATACTCACTCCCCTACAAAGAAACAAATGATGTAAATTCTCTAACACTGGAAACCTGTATTATCATCTGACATGAAAGGAAAAAATTCTAGGTTCTTCATGTATATAGTCATAAGGCTTTAAAAATTATTTTCCTCCTAATACTCTTTATTTCTATTATCCTTAATCATTAAAAAGTGTAAATAAAAACTGCATGTGAACAAAAATATTCTGTTATCTACTTAAAAACCATTCATATATATACATATATATGAATTGGGTCACTAAAGGAGAGATTAGGGCTCTATCAGGCTAGTACAAATAAATTGTCTAGAAGGCAAACGATAGAATGGAAACCATTCTTTTATGGCATTAGTTGCTTTTAACTTTTTATCGCAATTATTTCTATACATATCTATCTTAATCTCCCCAATTACACTATAAATTCCCTGCGAGCATGATCTATTTCTGATCTATGTTTGTATACCTCACAGTGCCTAGCATAGTGCTTGTATAAAATAGTTATGTAATAAATATTTGTTGAACAAATAAAATAGAAAAAAAAAAAAGACTAGCCTTGGGAAGGGCTATGTTATCCAGATGAAATGATGCTACTTCATAGTAGTAAAGTTAAGTAACATGAAATAAAATTTTTAAAAAATGGAAGATTCAGAACTTATAATACTAATAATTCATCTTAGGTTTCAGTTGTAATTTGTCCTTATTTTAAAAATATTCCCCAGCCTTGATAAATATATACAATTACTATGTTAAATTGTTTTTATTTGTGAAACTGGTTATGACTAGTTTAACATTAAAAATGCTTAAAACTTTGTGTCTGGGGGCGGTGGCTCACACCTGTAATCCCAGCACTTTGGGAGGCCAAGGCGGGTGGATTACGAGGTGAGGAGATGGAGACCATCATGACTAAAACGGTGAAACCCCATCTCTACTAAAAATACAAAAAAATTAGCCGGGTGTGGTGGCGGGTGCCTGTAGTCCCAGCTACTTGGGAGGCTAAGGCAGGAGAATGGCGTGAACCCGGGAGGTGGAGATTGCAGTGAGTCTGGGTGACAGAGTAAGACTCAGTCTCAAAAAAAAAAAGCTTCAAACTTTCTTATTCTATTTCGAAACTATTTGTGTTAACAGTACAGCAGTACTGGCCAGAGGCATGATCATAACTCACTGCAGCCTCAAACTCCCGGCCTCAAGGGATCCTCCTGCCTCAGCTTCTTCTCTAGAGTAGCTGGGATTATAGGCGTGTACCACCACATCCAGTTTCAGTGTGAGGAAACTTTTAATCAAAGTCTTAGTAAAAAAAAAAAAACCTTTTCTGGCTGGGCGTAGTGGCTCATTCCTGTAATCCCTGCACTTTGGGAGGCTAAGGCGGGGAGACTGCCTGAGCTCAGGCGTTTGCAATCAGCCTGGGCAACACAGTGAAACCCCTTCTCTACTAAAATACAAAAAATCAGCCGGGCATGGTGGCATGTGCCTACAGTCCCAGCTACTCGGGAGGCTGAGGCAGGAGAATTGTTTGAACCTGAAAGGCGGAGGTTGCAGTGAGCAGAGATCATGCCACTGCACTCCTGCACTCCAGCCTGGGCAACAGAGCAAGACTGCAACTCAAGGAAAAAAAAAAACAAACAAAAAAAACCTTTTATTTCATAAAACATATTAAAAACACATATTTATCAGTAAGAATTTACTTTAAAAAGAGTGCATTTCTTACCTTAAGTCTAGTTCTTTTGTCCGAAGAAAATTTAAAATGGGTGCAAATGCTGCTGGATCTCTATCAATAAATATCTGTAAAAAAGAGAACAGTTTTATTTTCAAATTACAAATTAATCTTTTAACTTTAATATCTGTAACACTAATAGGGAATGAAGTCTTAATTACTTAAATACTACATTTCCTTGTTTCCACTCTTAAACTTTAATGTTTCTAAAATTGGAATGTAGTCTGTGTGCATTTCATGAGATGGTGTCTTTTTCTTGAGATGGTGTCTTTTTCTTCCTCTGAATAGTTATTATTAAACTGATATTTTAATACATAGAAAAAATCTTGTCTAATAAAATCACTTGTATTGATACCTTTGGTAAAAGTGACACCTGAGGAAACATTTTTATCTGAAACAGTCTAGAATTCAATTAATACTTCGAAAACATGAATAAATAATACTTTCTTATACTGTTCAATCATTAAAACTACAATGTACTTTAATAATGCACACAGGGGTACTTGAGAAAAGTAAATACTGCACACTGCTGTCAAAAGTGGAAAAGAATACTATTCTCATAATACTTTTACTAATCTCAATTTCCTTCAGAGCTGGGGAAAGGTAATGACAATTTTTTTTTTTTAAACTAAAGCACCACAGAATACATAAGAGGAAAACAAATTGCTTAAAAATGTAAAATACATAATTGGTAACTTTTGTTTGTTTGTTTGTTTTGAGACAGCATCCTGCTCTCTCATCTAGGCTGGAGTGCAGTGGCACGATCTGGGCTCACTGCAACCTCCACCTCCTAAGTTCAAGCAATTCTCCTGCCTCAGCCTCCTGAGTAGCTGGGATTAGAGGCACCTGCCACTATGCCGGGTTAATTTTTCTGTTTTTAGTAGAGAGGGGGTTTCACCATGTTGGCCATGCTGGTCTTGAACTTCTGACCTCAGGTAATCCACTTGCCTCGACCTCCTAAAGTGCTGGAATTACAGGCATAAGCCACCCCACCCAGCCCATAATTGATAACTTTTTATGGAAATTTATACCAACACCTATTTTGAATCATTTACAAAAGATCTGGCCATAAAAACGGAACATCTTTTAAAGCTTATGTAAATCAATTAGAAAGGGAAATGGCAGCCAGTAATAAAACTCTTCCTACTATGATCAACTATATATATACAATCAATGAGATTCTTCTAAGCTTTATAAATTTTCTTTTGTTTTCATTAGAGCACATCAAAAATCGAAGAGACATCACAGATTTGTGGAGATCTTATTATTGATAACTTTTTATAATTTCACATGGACATATCTGCATTTGTTGCCTTATTTCATCTGCAAATCTCACCACAGCAAATAAATACCATTGGTCACTTTGTTGCCTCCAAATGGATAAACCAATTTTTTTGCACTGAAACTTTACAATTCTTTCCTTCCCTCACTGTACCAATGCTGTATAAACAAATTCGCAAGGTTATTCTCCAAAATAAAATAAAAAACTGTAGGAGTTTACTAATTTAACCTCTTATATTCTAATATAAAAATATTAGAATATTTACATTTATCCACTTACTGTTAAAGTTTCAATTATTGATCTAAAAAAATTTCTTCTAATGCCAATGTAAGCTCATATCCTACAATCTCTCTAATCATGAATACTTAAATTGCCATATATAGTATTCCCTACTTAGGGATCTTCTCTGATTATAAAAAACTACATATGACAAGAAATAAAATTATGCCACTTTCATTCAGTGATTATTAAAATATCAGTTCTCCTATATTCTTAGAGTAACTATATGTTAGGACCAAGCACTATAAGCATTAATTTAGGAATATGTATCAATTATTATTATACTCACAGCACCAGTTTCATCTCGAAGTGTTGAAATTCTCCCACTCAGCAAACTGGAAGTCATTAATAATCTAAAGTTAGTTTTTAAAATCTGAGTATAAACAAATGTGCTAATTCTTTACCAAATGTTAAAGACCACTAAAAGTAAGTTATCTATCTTCCAAGTTCAAAAATATATAATTTTAAGAGTTAACCTTTTTTATTAAAAAAAATTTAACTGACAAACATTATTATATTTTGGTAAATAAATGTATTAAAATATACACTAAAGAATTATAAGACATACCTGGAAAAAAAAGAATCTGGAATCCACATAAGAGTTTGTCTTGAGGTACTAAATCTGCAATTAAAAATCATCTGGTATTATAAGTGAGAACATGATTTGAAATTTCAGTATTAGTTAACTTGTTTTAATACACTGGCTAATGATTTACAAGATGTTTTATAGTTATAGCTGTACCAATATATTTATTACAGTTAATATTTTTAAACGTTGCTACTTTCAATTCAGAGTTAAGATTATACAAGCAGCTCTCAATAACAATAAACAACTTGTTATCCGCCATATAATGCATCTTAAAACACTACTTTCCAATAAGCTAATCTCTGCTGAAGAATCAACAATTAGCCCATCACACCAAGTCTCAACTTCTCAGTATAACATTCAAAATTACCTTCAGGTTCCATCTCATCTCTCCAGTACAAATGCTGGTTTTCCCCTCTAATAGGACAAAACTTCTTCATATCCCCAAAAAATTCATGCTTACTACCATTTTGGTATCTTTATTCAGCTAGATCACTCTCTTCATGTCCAATAATTCAAGATCCGTCCATCTTTCTTGATACCACTCAGGTTTTACCTTCCCTGTAATAGTTTTTCTAAATATCCAATCCTGTATTATCTCTTTTTAAGCTCATAGTAATTTCACTGTAAATTACTCATTTAACACCTTCTTTATAGGCAGTCTTGGGCTATCTGCAACTGCTGACTTCATTCATTCAAAAATCATTCAGCCAAATACATCACTGTTCTGAGGTTGTCATTTGATCAAGCTTGTATATTACCAAGGGAGGATCTTTACCAAAGTACAGTATAATAGACTGGGACAACAAACCAATAATTTATGTAAACTGATATGGCAAACAAAGCAATATAGTACTTGTTCAGTCCAGCCCTTCTCTGAGTATTTTCATTTTAAGATATCACCTTGAACTACAATGTTATCTCACCCAGCCTAGCAAACCTCTACTTTCACTCCACATTTATTTTCTGGCATTATATGAAATCCCTAAATTTATTTTTACCTTTCATACTTAAACTAAACAAGGTGACTGAATAGTGGCACTAGTTACCATGCACTATCACCAGGAAACACAGGCCAAACCCCAGCCAAAATGGCTAAGGGATGTTTCCCAGGCTGTGCATGTATACACTGTATCATCCATCTATTGTCTGCCATTACCTAAATTAGCAGCCTGGAATTATCAAAAACGTGGAAGTTGCTTACTTTTTTTTATTATGCTCACTGCAGCATAACAAACCTCAAAATACATCCTACTTCCCATTCCCATCTTCTAAGTGGGCTATTAAATAGCACTGGATTGCAGGCCAGGGTGACTGTGACTACCAAGGCTTATACAGAGTAGTGTCAGAAGTCTCACAGATCTCTCAACTTTGCAAGTCCATCCAGGCACCTGAGGCAACAATGGCTCATAATATTTTACATATCTTGATAAATGGATTATCTGTAAATTCACTTTTCAAACTCAGTTTCAGAAATGGATTTTGTATTAAAAAAGTAGATGTTGTTTTTTCTTAAAGCCAGAGAGGACCACCTAAAAGCATTGTTCTTAGCACCTAGCACACACCCAGTAAATGTTTATTGAAACTTATGTGTGATAAACAGAATCACACTCTAAAACTCAGTTAAATGTTCTGTACAAAACGGAGACTTGATTCTTCTGTACGATCTGCAGGCATTTTATGGTTACAACAGAGCACTTTCAGAATACACTGGTGTTGACACACAGATGTCACTAAACTGCCCACTTAAATCATTTAGCAGTATCAGTCTCAGTGTCAGTAACAGCAGAAGCCGTGTATGCACTGTTCCATAAAAAGTGCCTTAGTCTCCAAAATAAATTTTCTATCATTATCAAAACATGCTTTCCAATCACAATTAAAAGTTTATCTCGGCTAGGCGCGGTGGCTCACGCCTGTAATCCCAGCACTTTGGGAGGCCGAGGCGGGCAGATCACGAGGTCAGCAGATGGAGACCATCCTGGCTAACACGGTGAAACCCCGTCTCTACTAAAACTACGAAAAATTAGCCAGGCGTGGTGGCGGGCACCTGTAGTCCCAGCTTACTCAGGAGGCTGAGGCAGGACAATGGCGTGAACTCAGGAGGTGGAGCTGGCAGTGAGCTGAGATCGCGCCACTGCACTCCAGCATGGGCGACAAAGCGAGACTCCGTCTCGGAAAAAAAAAAAAAAAAAGTTTATCTCCACTTCTTCCCACATACAACTTTACAATTTGTAAGGAAAAGTATTCTTTCATTGGCTAACTGAAGGAAAGACAGTAAAACAATTCATTTATTAAAGACATTTAAATGTAAACTACAGTAAGGGGTACTTTAGGGAACACATAGAAGTTGACTACTAACTAATTTCACAGGTTATGGACAGTCTAGGTGTTTATAAGCAGTTCCTACGCCCATTTATCTGATTAACAAATGAGTCACTTTAAGAAAACACTGCAAATGCTCCTAAATGCGTTTCTTAATAGACTCTTAAGAAAAATAAAAAATACACAGATTACCCCAGTCACAGAAAACTGACTTGGTCCAAAATCAAAGCAAATCCACTCAATGGTAAATTGAAGGATCCAAGGATTCATACATTGCAGATTCACTGTTTTGGAGGCCATCAAATTCATTCCAAATGAGGACAGCTTATAACTTGCAATCTTTTATATTCACCACTTATTCACCAATTGTATTCCAAATAATTAAAATTATGTGCTACTTAGAAAATCACAAAGGTCTGCTTAAAATCATATTATCAGTTTCAATTTTAATCAGCATTTTGGGGAAAGGTTAGTAACCTGGAATTTCTGGGCAAAGGAATTAGACCCTCATCCCCACCAATTTTTTTTTAAACTTCTGGCCCCAAAACCAGTCTCGAATATAACTTCATGAAAACTAACACACTTAAAATTACACATGATGAGCATAATCATTTGAAAGCCTTTTCTGTTTTGATTTGTTTTTTATCCCATACCCATAGTGTCCCAAGAACAGAGTCATGTACAATCTGGTTTCAGCAAAGGACTAAAGAAATTTGCATACCCACAGTTATACTTCATGCAACTTGCCTCCTACTAAATTAACTTGGTAGCAATCTAACTAGTTATTTATTCTGCACTGTAAGTACTGATAATGCCACTAACCCTTGCATTTCACATTTATTACTTCAAATTCCTATAACAATCTGATAAGATTGGTACTACTGTCTGTCACTTTACATTTTAATAGACTAAGTATCAAAATATTTGTCCAAGGTTGCTAGGCTAGTTAGAGATAAAGCCTGGGAATTGGAAACATATACCTGACTCAAAAGCTCTTTGTCCAGGAGTCCTCAATGGCTAGTCCCAGCCCTCTTGCATGAGGCCCAAAATCACACTTGCCCATAACAGAATTAATCATAAATTCAGTCATAGTGAATTCACTTCATTACTTTTTGTAAATAACGAATACTAACAATTCTAAATGAAACTTCATCTACTCTACTTTCTGAATCACCCACAAAGTATTAAACCATAAAAATTAGTCATTTCTATAATTCCTTTGAGTATATCCATTTTCATGTCTATTCTCCTGAGGGAAAAAAAAAAAAAGACCTTACCGATAGCATATGCTTCTCTGCTCCCAACAAACTCTCCTTTTGAGTTTTACTCTATCACTTCAGAACTTCAATTCTATGCCACAGCAGTTCCTGAACTTCAGTGGCAATCATATCAGGATTTTTCTCTTACAGTGGCTTAAGTGACTATGTTACACTGTGTTTTGTACAAGATACAGGTGACTTCTAGATCTCATCTAGCTCTAAAATGCTGCACGAGTGTAGGATTCAAAGCAAATCTAGAAAATATTCTTAGAATATGGAGTCGGATGTTGTTTTCTACGGGCCATACCATTACTACTTATTTTATAAGCCATTTTATCTTAACAATTTTCTGAAGTTTTTTAATGTTTCCATTCCCACTAACAATTTCATGTCTTGTAAACTGTTCAAACCAGTAATATATGTACTATTTTGTATCTTTGCTAATATCACTTAGAAAAAATTAGAACCTGATAAGCTCAAGTTTCATAAATAATGTAAACACAAGATAAAATGTCACAGTGCCAGGCTGAGACAGGAGAATGGCGCGAACCTGGGAGGCGGAGCTTGCAGTGAGCCGAGATCGCACCACTGCACTCCAGCCTGGATGACAGAGCGAGACTCTGTCTCAAAAAAAAAAAAAAAAAAAAGTTACAGTGCCAAGATAACTGCCTTATGAGTTAAAACTTTTAAATGAATTCTGCAGTCTCTAATAAGAGTTCACTCAGTATTAAGCCATCCACATAGTAAATAACAATACTGCTTAATTTTTACAATAATACTGTATGTCCTTGTGAATGTCTGAATAGAAATATATTAACTATCGGCCAGGCGCGGTGGCTCACGCCTGTAATTCCAGCACTTTGGGAAGCCGAGGCGGGAGCATCACGAGGTCAGGAGATCAAGACCATCCTGGTCAACGTAGTTAAACCTCGTCTCTACTAAAAATGCAAAAATTACCCGGGCGTGGTGGCGCGCGCCTGTGACCCAGCTACTCGGGATGCTGAGGCAGGAGAATCGCTTGAAACTGGGAGGCAGAGGCTGCAGTGAGCCGAGATCGCGCCACTGCACTCCAGCCAGGCGACAGAGCAAGACTCCGTCTCAAAAAAAAAAAAAAAGAAAATTAAAGAAAAGAAATACATTAACTATCAATAGCAAGTAGAAACCAGTGTAGGGATTGTAAATGATTATACTGCTACTCTTCAGTATAATCAACACACATTGCAGGCCTCCTCTTTAGGGGTATTCCACAAGTTACCAAACTTCCAATATTTTAACGTGATTTTAGGAAAAACTCCATTTCTTACATTAGGAGACATAAATCTCCATAAGACTGGTTTCTATACAACTGCAATAACGTTGTAAATTATCTAAGTTTTGATTTGGGGGAAGAGGAAAAACCCTAAGAACGAAGTACCATGGTTTTCTGTGTTAAATTCTAGAAAGCTATCAAATGTTTAGGATTAAAGCACTACAGTAGACATTTTTTATCACTATGGTTCTAAGACATTAAAATACTTTTAAAATGCTGGTTGAAAATCATATTCTCAAGCACAGAAAAATTAACTGTATTCCAGAGCATTTCCTTGTTTATCTCCTTACCAAGCCTAAAACTCAACTAATCCTTCTTTCAAACAGCTGGCAAACTCCCTTTTCTGAGAGGAGTGACTCATAAGTTATAGGAAATCCACAAAAACTACGATTTTTTCCCCCAACAAACTTAATAACAGGCACAGAAGGGGCGGGGGGGGGGGGGGGCGGAAGGCCAGAAAGAGAACAGACAGAGAAGAGCATTCAGTCTGTTTACTCCAAGGGCGTCACACCGTGCCAATATCCAGAGCTTCCTAAAAGCAAATGTTCAAACTGCAGTTTCTGGACACACTGTCCTAGAAGTTGAACAGATCCTTCAAGCCCATGCACCAAGAAATTCTGAAAATAAATAACTAGGTACTGCAAACCTACTGCACTCCCATCACAGAAATCTTTCAAATTACAAATCCCCTAATTAGGCGCGGAAAAGAACACCGCACTCTTCCCTAAGAAAACCGACACCTCGTTGACCAAAGAGAAAGGAAAGCAAGTTCATCTCCAACATCCAAACCACAAAGCCAGGTTTCTACTAAATAAAGTCCTCAAATACACTCTAATCTGAGATGAGGTAAGGAAGGCTGTGTAATGGTTCTCCTTGCCTGTTGGGAGGGGCAAAGGTTGGCATTCTAGGACAGCAGCTACTCTGCCACATGGGCCTGGTCCTCGGTAATTCCAAGCGTCCCTTCTGCCTCTCCCTTCCCAGAGCAGATGCTTCACCAGCTCCAAAATCCGCCCGACGTTCTTGCCGCCTGGAGGCCCCCACGTTCCCCTCCAGGCTTGGCCTCCCACGCTCGCCCTCGTTCCTGCGACTCTCGGTCCCCGTCGACACCAAAGGAGGAGGCCGCCAAGGCATCCCCGCTGCAAGCCCGCTACCCGCCGACTCACCTGGTCCCCCCTACGTTCAGTTGGACGATCTCGCCGCTGCCGGCCGCCGCCGCGGGGAAGCTGCCGCAGTGCCCTCCCGCCATCTCCGGCGGCTCCGGACGCGCTCGCCGCCCTCCTTCCCCAGCCGGGACCGCCGAGCCCGGGGCTGTAGCCCGAGGCAGCGGCGACGGCTGCAGGGCCAGCGGGGCGGCGGCGGCCGGAGGGCGGGGGGTGCACGGGGCTTCCCCCACCTTCCCGGCGGCCGGGCGGGGCTCGCTAGCTTCTGCCCCTTCCCGGGTCAATCCTGCGGTGCACAAGGGCGGCCCGGCCTCCACCTTTCGCGGCCTCCAGGCCGCCGGGCCGCCCGGGCCTCTTCTCCGTGCTCCGCTGCCACCGACGCCGCCGCAGCCTGCCTGGGAGGAGGGGTCACCGTTCGGGACAAAATACCGCAGCGCTCACGCTTCGCCCGCCACTGCCGCCTAGAATGAGGAGGAGGAGGAGGAAGGAAAGGTCAGGGAGGAGCTTCCCAACGCCGCGGGGCTGGCGCGTAGGGAGGCTAGGGGAATGTGCTCCTGGCCAGCCGCCTGCCCACGCGGGATTCCATTTCGTTCCTCCTCCCCACGCGATCCCAGCCCCTTTCCCTTTTACATTTCAGATTTTCTAAAACGAGGAAGCTGATTCGCAGATTGAGGGCAGATCTGGGCAAACGATCTACGGATCTTTATGACCCACTTTGTCAACATGGATTGGGAAAGGAAAAACTAATCCTAGAGGTAGTAAAAGTTGATGCCTAAATGTAGACAGTGCAAATGCAGGGAACATTTGGAGATTTTAAAACCTTACAGCGTTTACCCCAGAAAACTGCTTACTTTACCCTCTTCAATTTAATCCCCAATCTCCCAAGCAGTTTTTTTGTTTTGTTTTTTGCTTTTGTTTGTTAAGCAGGAAGGAAACCAAAGGACAAAAACCCCTAGACTGTGTAATGCCCAGCAACCTATTTCTGGAATATAGTAAGCACTCAACTAATGTTAGACACACGCAGAAAACACACAATTTTATGCGCTTGTTTATTTATTTGTTTTTGCTTTAAACGGTATCTATTCAAACCCAAAACCTTAGTGGCTATTAAAATATTTTTTAAATCGGAATACTATAATACTTGATGCCCTGCTAACAAAGACTAACAAAGATAGTGCGTTATGTTTCAGAGGTCATTAGTTTGTGGTACTAAATTCTTAACATGAATTGTTTTGTCATAGTTGTATCATAATAATTCAAACTGATAATGTATCTGATGTTAAGTTTTTATTGTCATTGTCATAATTTTTACCAAAAAAATAAAAAATAGCCTCTGGCAAGCATACTAATGTTGTGATATGCTCTATCTAGATTCGACTTGAAAGATGTTAATAGTACATATGGATGTAAGATAAGTATTATTTCTCCCAGTTGATGATAAGCTTAATAATAGCTAATTTGTGTTTATCATATACCCGGTGGTTTAGATATTTTGTCATCTTTCTTCGTCACAACTAATGTTATAATTATTTTTAAAAAAGGAAATTTGGGAATGAAAATGATCAAAAAAACTTGCTCAAAATTACATAGGTAGCAAGTGGGATGGCAGGAATTTCAAGGCAAGCAGCTTGAATTCAAGGCCACTGTTCACCATCCTTACCACTGCATTGTACCTCATTATCTTCACTTTAGACAGGGAAGATGAGTAACAGTTCAGATTAAAGCAGCAGCAACTAGGAATCTAAACCAGGGTGTCCAATCTTTTGGCTTTCCTGGGCCACATTGGAAGATGAATTGTCTTTGGCCACACATAAAATACACTAACACTAACGATAACTGATGAGCTGAAAAAAAGAAAGAAAGAAAGAAAGAAAGTTTATGAATTTGTGTTGGGCCACATTCAAAGCTTTCCTGGGCTGCATGCGACCCATGGGGCTGCAGGTTGGACAAGCTTGCTTTAAACAATGTTAACTGCCTTTGCCCTAACACATAATATCTGGTTCTATCAGGATCTGAAACTTTGCTTTAAAATTTGCAGCGAAGATTTAAGTGGTAAAAGGGCCATTTAATTTTCCTTAGGTCCAAACCTTGGAAGAATATGAAAGAATAGTTGCTAACAGCCTTTGAATCCAAGAGGCAAGTTGGAGTTAGAATAAGGCCTTATAAATTTAAAAATATATATATTTGTGAAAGGCTTCTTATTTTTCCTGAAATAAATGAAACCGTGTTCATTTTATTATACTGTACTTAAAAATTAGGAGAACATCTCTTCAAGAGAAGGAAAAGTTCTCAGTATTTTATAAGACAAATGGTCATGACTTCTTGATATGTCCAGAACAATATAGAGATATCTGAGGCATTTCTTGCTCATAAAACTTAAAGTTAGGGTGTGACTTAATTTTTAAGAATAAATTGGAACACCATTAACAAAAACAAATAGCAGAATGAGAAAAGATATTTGCAACATATATCAAATGATTGAAAATATATAATATCTGATCATATATGTATATATTATTCTACAAATAAATTGAGAAAACAAGTAATGAAAAATATGGAAAGAATATCAACAGCCAATTGATAAAAACACTAAAATGCTTATTAAAACAACAGAAAGCTGGGTGTAGTGGCTCACACCTGTAATCTCAGCACTTCGGGAGGCCGAAGTGGGTGGATCACGAGGTCAGGGGTTCGCGACCAGCCTGGCCAATATGGTGAAACCCCGTCTCTGCTAAAAATACAAAAATTAGCCAGGCGTGGTGGTGCGCGCCTGTAGTCCCAGCTACTGGGGAGGCTGAGGCAGGAGAATCGCTTGAATCTGGGAGGCAGAGGTTGCAGTGAGCTGAGATCGCACCACTGCACTCCAGCTGGGACGACAGAACGAGACTCCATCTCAAAATAAATACATAAATACATAAATAAATGAATAAAACAAAAAATGTATTTTTACTCATGAGATTAGCAAAAATTAAGAGAGGTTTGATAAAATTCAAGGACAGTGAGAGTGTGAAATGATCATACTCATGCATTGCTGATTAAATTATGAATGGGTACAGAGTTTCTGGAGGGCACCTCAAGAATATCAGCATTTTAAATGTAAATACCCTAGACCCAGCACTTTTCTTCTAAAAATATATCCTATACACATTTTGCTCAATTGGCAAAGGTACATGCAAAGAAGTAAGTGCATATTCATGGTAGTAGTGTTATAATAGCAAAAACATGGAATATTCAACAACAAGGGAATAATTTTTAAAATTATGTTGGAAGCTATTACTATTTTGGGGGCAAATTCATGTGAACTGACCAGAAATGATCTCCAAGTATATGATTTAGTGGGGAAAATAATCAGATTACAGAATAATACATTATGAGTACAATCTCATTCATTTAAATAATGGAAAAACTAAAATCATGTGTATATCCACTTATATTTCTATATAAAAATACATATTAAACTACGAAGAAACATAACCTCTAGACAGATCATTAGAATCAGTGAGGAGAAGGTAGCAGTGGTGAATGGACAAAACCTTTTACCCCTATGGTCTTTCATATTGTTTAACTGTTTACAGTGAGTTTTCTTTCATGTACTACCTGTATGTATGTATGAATGTGTAAATAAATAGAGTAGATACATTCAAGGTTGTCCCCATGACAGCTTTTTAAAGTTTATGTTATTTTAATATTTAGGCAATACAAAGTAAATAAAACATTATTTAAATAATATTACCTTCTTTAGTGACTATATTGAATTTGTGATGTCTACTCGACCAGTCCTTGTCAAACTATCTCAGGTAAGAACTAGTTCAATTTCCAATTTATGGGGTGATTTAGTCAGGACTCTCTAGAGGGACAGAACTAATGGAATATATATATGTTTTATAATATATGTATTTATAAATATATATTATATATATGGAATATATATATGTATATTCCATTAGTTCTGTGATGGGTAAACTCCCCTTTATATATATATAGCTCGGGCGGGCACTGTGGCTCACACCTATAATCCCAGCACTTGGGATGCCAAAGTGTGCGGATCACCTGAGGTCAGGAGTTCGAGACCAGCCTAGCCACATGGTGAAACCTTGTCTCTACTAAAAACACAAAAATTAGCCAGGCGTGATGGCACGCTCCTGTAATCCCAAGTACTCGGGAGGCTGAGGCAGGAGAATCACTTGAGCCTGGGAGATGGAGGTTGCAGTGAGCTGGGATTGCAGCACTGCACTCCAGCCTGGGTGACAAGGCAAGAGTCCATCTCAGAAAAAAAAAAAAAAGTTTCCAACCTCTTAGTCTCATTTTTGTGCTTATTTAATTGCAGACTATTCACAGTTTGTGGATGGGCATCAATTCATGAACCACACTTAAGTGGCCACACTTAAAGTAGTGTTTATTATCACTTAAGTAGCACACTTAAAGTAGCATTTACTTGAAGTGTGGTTATACTAAAAGTAGTACACTAAAAGTAGTAACCACACTTAAAGTAGCGTTGTATTAGATATCCAAGTAAGATGTTGAGTAAGCTGTTGTATAAAGGACCTAGAAGTTTCAGAAAGAGAACTAAGCTAAAAATTCTCTTATTTTTACTGAAATAAAACTTTGGGAATGAGTAGTATATAGATGGCTGTTAGAGCCATGAGACTGCCTAAAATCATAAGGAGGTGAGTGTAGAATGAGACAAAAATAGAAATCAGAATGGAGCCCTTGACTATCCAATATTAAGAGACTGGGGAGGAGTTCCAGTGAAGGAAACTAGAAAGGAGTTTCAGCCAGATGGGAGGAAAACCAAGGGAGCATGGGGTCCTATGAGATCACAGGACAAGTAAGATAAGAACTAAGAATTGACTTTGGATTTAGTGACATGAAGAAAAATAGTGTGGTGGAAGTAAGGGCAGTTCTAGTGCAGAAGTGGGAGAAAAAGCATAATTGGTGGGGTTTTGCTATAAAGAAGAGCTAAGAAACAGACAGTAGCAAGCTAGGGAAGTAAGGCCAAGAGAATGTTTTGTAAAGATGTTTTAAAAAAAAATAACCACGTTGATGAAAAGCAATCAGTAGGTAGCAAAAATCTGACCATTCAAGAGAGGCAGAAGATAATTATTAGAGTAACGTCTTTGAGTAAATGAGGAAGATATCTAGGCATCAAGTAAAGATAAAGAAACTGAGCCACAAGGAGGATCAGTAATTTGCCCAGTGTTCGTTGTTGCTGCTATTATTGTTATCTTCTAACCCACTCTATATTTAGATATTATTATTATTATTATTATTATTTTGAGACAGCGTCTCACTCTGTTGCCCAGGCTGGAGTGCAGTGGTATGATCTCGGCTCACTACAACCTCTGTCCCCTGGGTTCAAGAAATTCTCCTGCCTCAGCCTCCCGAGTAGCTGGGATTACAGGTGCCTGCCACCATGCCTGGCTAACTTTTGTATTTTTAGTAGAGATGGGATTTCACCATATTGGCCAGGCTGGTCTTGAACTCCTGACCTCAAGTGATCCATCCACCTCGGCCTCCCAAAGTGCTAGGATTACAGGCGTGAGCCACCACCCCCAGCCTATTTTGGGTATGATTCTAATGATATACTCTGCAAAAGAGCCCTTAAAACCACAGGCTTGAGATTGGGAACAAAAACAGGGAAAACTTTCTGCCACAGAACTGTCAATATTTAAAGGCAGACGTTGGCAAATAGGAAGAAGACTAGAAGGTTTGCTGGATCTCGTCTATCAAACCTAAACATATGAATATACATTTCTAGTCTGATAACACAGTCACCAAAAGGTGTGGATTTGGGACAGGTGGGAGAGACAATGATTTGGAAGTAACAGTGAAAGGCCAGTGTGCTATCTATCTTCCAGGACAATGTTATAAAGCTCATTGGAAAGAAAACATTTGAGAGAGAAGTAAAGAATTAGCATCCACAGGGAAGTGCCGGCTTCCACTCTGTACCCGGAACATTCAGAAAAAGAGTATGAGGATAAAGGGGATTTTTGTGATAATGAATCATGAATTTCAAAGGGCACATTGGAAAGCTCATATTTTGGGGAAGGAAAGAGAATGATGAATGAGTGACGACCTGGGTACTGGACTTTTGTGCAGACCATTATAAAATGGGCAAATAGGCATAAACAGATTAGTCCAGAGGTTATATTAGGCAGATCGTGGTGGTGATTCGAAAAAAGCTTCATTTTACTTTGTCGGAGTAGGGGGATGGCGGCAGGCACCTTTGCTTGAAGCAATGGAAGTTCAGAAAACTCTATTCTTCCAAAGACTTCTACGTGCCCAGAAATGAGCTTCTAACCCACCCACAAACTCCCAATCCCTCTCTACTGTCTCCTCCCTATGTTTATTCCTACCTCTCTACTCCATTCCGGGCACACCAGTCACCTGTTATTATTCCATAATGTCAAATATACTTCTGCTTCAGGACCTTGCACTTGCTCTTCCTTCTATCTATAAAGCTTTCCCTTGAGAAAACCAAAGGGCTTGCTGCTTCACTTCTTGCAGGTCTCTGTTCAAGTATCACCTTATTAGAGAGGTCTTCAGTTTTCTAAACCATCAAAATGGTTTAATAAAAATGGAATAATAAAAATAATCCAAAAGAAGGCAAAAAAAGAGGAAACTCAGAACAAAGAACATGAGCAGCAAAGAAAACAATGAGCAGAATGATAGATGTAAACCCATCCATATCAATAATTACACTAAATTTAAATCGTGTCAACACAATTAAAAGGCAAAGTTTTGCAGACTGGATGAAAAGGCCAGACCTAAGTATATACTGCTGTATTCATTCATTTTGCATTGCTATAAAGGAATACCTGAGACTGGGTAATTTATGAAGAAAAAAGTTTTATTTGGCTCATGATTCTGCAGGCTGTACAAGTATGGCGCCAGCATCTGTTCAGCTTCTGGTGAGGCCTCAGGAAGCTTTTATTCATGGCACAAAACAAAGGGGAAGCAGATGTGGCACATGGTGAGAGAGGGAGCAACAGAGAGCAAAGGAGGTGCCAGGCTCTTTTTAACAATCAGATCTTGTGAATTCACTCATTATGGAGAAAACAGCAACAAGCCATTCATGTGGGATCTGTCCCTATGACCCAAACATCTCCCACTAGGCCCCACCTCAAAGATTGGGGAATCACATTTCAACATGAGATTTGAAGGGAACGAATATCCAAAAGATATCAACTACCTAAAAGAGAACCTGGCCAGGCGCAATGGCTCACACCTGTAATCCCAGCACTTTGGGATGTTGAGGTGGATGGATCACCTGAGGTCAGGAGTTCAAGAGCAGCCTGGCCAACATGGCGAAACCCTGTCTCTACTAATAATACAAACATTAGCTGGGCATGGTGGTGCATGCCTGTAATCCCAGCTACTTGGGAGGCTGAGGCAGGAGAATCACTTGAACCCAAGAGGCAGAGGTTGCAGTAAGCCAAGATTACGCCATTGCACTCCAGCCTGGACGACAACAGTGAAACTCCATCTCAAAAAAAATAAAAAATAAAAATTAAAAAATTAAGAAAGGGAAACCTTTAAATATAAAGTCACAAATGAATTAAAAGTAAAAGAATAGAACAAAATGAGCCATTCTAACACACATCAAAGGAAGTCTGAATAGATATCTTAATATCAAAGAAAATAAATGTCAAAGCAAAAAATATGATCAGAGATAAAAAAGGTCATTTTATAAATGAGAAAGGAATCATATCTTTCAGGAAACATAACAATCTTAAACATTTATCCCTTTGATAACTGAAAACTTAAAAATACAGAGAAAAAAACTAGTAGAACTGCAAGGAGAAAAAGACAAATCCACAATTATAGTCAGATGTTTCAATATCCCTCTCACAATAATTAATTGAACAAATAGATAAAAAATTAGTGAAGATATAGAAGAGTAAAACAATGCAAATAATACTAGATGTTACTTTTGACGTTTACAGAACATTCCACCAACAACAGAATGCATATTCTTTTCACGTGCTCATGGAACAATTTCCAAGATAGATCCTATTTTGAGTCATAAGACAAGTCTAAATAAATGTAAAAGGATTCAAGACATATAAATTATGGTGTCTGACCACAATGCAATTATATTAGAAAAATATCTGGAATATCCTCAGATACTTAGAAATTGCATAACATAGTTCAAATAATGTATAGATTATAGGGAAGTGTAAAGTGTTTGAAAGTGTTTTGAAACAACACAAAAATCTATAGGTATCAAAAATGTATGAGATGCTACTAAAGTAAAACTTAGAAGAAATATTTAGCATTGAACTCATCTCCGAAAAGAAGAAAACTCTAAAATAAATTCCCTCTGGGGAAACCTTTAGAGAACAGAAAAACAAGAGCCAAGTAAACCCAAAGGAAGCAGAAGAAAGAAAATGACAAAAATCTAAGTTGAAACCAGTGAAATAGAAAACAGGAAAAAAATTCCAAAAACCTGGTTCTTTGAGATCAATTAAATTGATAGACTTCTAGCCAGCCTGATTAGGAAAAAAGAGAGAGGGTACAAATGACCAATCTCAGGAATAAGGGTGGTGACATCACTACTGATTATACAAATATTAAAGAAAAATATTAAATGTTATGAACAACTTTATGCCAATACATTGGACAACTTAGATGAAATGGCCAAATTCCTTGAAAGATATACACTACAAAAATTCAAAAAGAAACAAATAACCTAAATAGCTCTATTTCTAAAAAAGAATTTGTAGTTTAAAACCATCCCAAAAGAAAACTGCAGGCATAGAAGACTTCACTGGTGAAGTCTACTAATATTTAAAGGAAAACATTGTATTCCTTCTATAAAACTCTTCCATAAAACTTAAAAATAGGGAAGAATTTCTAAGTCATCCTCGGTGGTCAGTATTACTCTGATGTGAAGATCATAAAGAGACATTATAAATAAATTAAAAACCAATATTATTCATGAAAGTAGACACATAAATGCTTAGCAAAATATTAGCAAAATGAATCTAACACACGCAAAAAGAATAATATATCCATGACCAAGTGAGGTATATCCCAGGAATGCAAGATTGGCTTAATTTAAAAATAAATCAATGTAATACACCATATTAAGAAATTAAAAATTAAAGTCATTGTTTATGACACATAAAAAGAATTTGAAAAAAATCCAGTATGGGCCGGGAACAGTGGCTCATGCCTTTAATCCCAGCACTTTGGGAAGCTGAGGCAGGACGATTGCTTGATCCCAGGAGTTCAAGACCACCCTAGGCAACTTAGTGAAATTCTGCCTCCACAAAAAGTAGAAAAAATTAGCTGGCCATGGTGGTACATGCTTTCAGTCCCAGCTTCTCAAGAGGCTGAGGCAGGAGGATTGCTTGAGTCCATAAAGTTGCGGGTGCAGTGAGCTGTGCCACTGTACTCCAGCCTGGGTGAAAGAGCAAAAACCTGTCTCAAAAAAAAAAACAAAAATTTCATTAAAAATCCAGTATCTTTTCCTGATATTAACCCTCAGTAAACTATGAATATGAGGAAACACCCTTAACTAGATAAAGGACATCTATGAAAACCCAGCTGTTATCATATTAATGGTAAAAGATTAACTGCTCTCCTCCAAAGGTCAGGAACAAAACAACGATTGTCTTTCCTCACCACTTCTACTCAACATTGCACTGGTAGTTTTAGTCAGTATAATAATGCAAGGAAAACATACAAAAGGCTCCCAGAATGAAGAGAAAGAAATAAAATTTTCTTTGCTTAGAAAAGCACAACCACTTATGTAGAAAACCTAAAGGAATCTATTAAAAAGCTACTAGAATGTATAGGTGAGTAAAGCTACTAGAATGTATTTGTATTTGAGAAAAGATGGGAAAACCTTGTGTTGGTAGAGGGGCTTCAAGATGGCTGACTAGATGCATCTGGTACTTGTCTCTTCTATGGAGGAGAAACAAAATAGCAAATAGATAATCATAACTCAAATAGATTATTTAAGAGAGAACACTGGCATTCTACAGAGAAGTGCTGGGAAGCACTGAAAGCATGGAAGGAGAGGTCAGCCAGGTAGCCTGCTTAGCTGGGATTGGCTGGGATCCTGGTGAGCTCCCTAAAATGGGGAAAGGGTAAGAGAGAGCCCTCAGTGGTCCAGATTCCTTTCACGGACTCCCACAATCCTTGCCACTGGAGAGTCCCTCTACCCTTGCAGGCCCTGAGATTAACATAGGGAGCTTCCTGGAGGCTGCAAATGACAATTCAAAGAGAGAGCCCAGGCTGAGTCCCACAAATCCCTGAGTCCTGAGCAGCTGCAGCACGGTGCCTTTTTGAGAGCCCAGCTCTCATCAAGCTATGTTCTAACCTAGGGCCCCAAACCCCTGCATCTTCATAACCCTGGAGCCACAGTGATATTCCCTTCCTGCAACTGCTGCCACCAGGGCTTAGGTGGGAGCCACTGGTTGTTATCCTGACTCCCAGCCGAAGGGCAGCCATGCATTTTCATGTGCCCTGAGGACAAACTCCACTGCCTGCAGCAGCTGCCACTATAGGCTACAGAGGGGCCGAAATATGAGCAAAGCATGCCCTGCCAGCTGCCTGCCTATAGCTGCTCCCACTGAAAACAATGCACCTCTCCTCAGTAGCAAGGCTGCAGCACACCCATTGCTGCTCCCACCAGAGCATTCTTCTGAAGGCCAGGGAATCACCCCACCTCTGCCTACCACAGCCAGTGCATGCACACCTCACCAGGGGGCCTAAGGATGGGCCCACTCAGCCCACCTCTGCCACTCCCCTACACACAGTACAAGGGCATGCCATTTAGGCCTCTGAGAATTGCTCAGCCCAGTCCAACACTGTTGGCAACTGAACATTTTTCCAGGGTCTGAGGTCAGGCCCACCCAAACTACCACTACAACCACAGCTTGCACCCACCCACATGTGTCACCTGCAGGCCTGGGAATTGACCCGCCCAGCCTATTGCAGCCACTGACAACAACAGCACTGACAGCTTGGGTCCCAGAGCATTGTTCCACTACTGCAACTGCCATCACTCACACCATGCCTACTACTGAGGGCTCAAGAATCTACCCACCTGCCCACCCCACTGCTGCCATTTCTGGAACTCACACAGGCTATCTGGAGGCCCAAAAATTGACCTGCCTAGATCTGCTAAAACCAGTGTCAGTGTATGCCAACCTGGGACAGAAGGACAGGCATACTCAGCTCACTGATGCCGTCACTGGTGCCTGAAGACTAGACATCGTGGCATCCCAAAACTTCGCCATAGCCTCCGTTAACAACACCATCCTGAGCCACCAAGGAAATCACAGACACCACTGACACTATTTATAGCCAAAGAAATCATGCAGAGATTGCAATACTGCACACACCCAGAATATCAAAGCCAAAGTGCCCTACCCATCCAATACCATAGGTACACCTTTAGGAAAAAATTCTCCCCTATAAAAGCAAATTCAGGCCGGGCGTGGTGGCTCACGCCTATAATCCCAGCACTTTGGGAGGCCCGGGCGGGCGGGTCACGAGGTCAGGAGATCAAGACCATCCTGGCTAACACAGTGAAACCCTGTCTCTACTGAAAATACAAAAAAATTAGCTGGGCATGGTGGCGGGTGCCTATAGTCCTAGCACTCCAGCCTGGGCAACAGAGTGAGACTCCATCTCAAAATAAATAAATAAATAAATAAATAAGAAATAGAAGAAGCAACTGTTACCACCAGAGGCATAGATATTAACATAAGGACATATGAAACATGAAAAAAAGCAAATATGACACCTCCAAAGGAACACATTAATTCTTCAGCAACAGATCCCAATCAAAAAAAATTTTTGAAATCCTGGTAAAATGACTCAAAATATTGATATTAAAGAAGCTCCAGTGAGATAGAAGAGAATACTGAAAAGAGATACCAAAAAAATCAGAAACACAATTATGGATATGAATGAGAAAGTAACCATTAAAAAGAACCAAATGGAAATTCTGGAACTAGAACTGAAGAATTTATTGAATGAAATACAAAATATATTTGAAATATTCAGCAATAGACTAGATGCAGCTGAAGGAAGAATCTTTGAACTTGAAGGTCTTTTGAAATAACCCAGTGAGACAAAAATAAAGTGAAAAGAATGGGCAAGCCTATATGACATATGGGACACCATAAAGTGACCACGTTTTTGAATTTTCAATGTCCCTCCCAGAAGGTGAAGAGGAGACAAAGGGTTAGAAAATCTATTTAACAAAATAACAAATGAAAACTTCCCAAGTCCAGCAACAGGTTCAGACATCCAGATACAGGAACTTCGGATCTCCAAATAGATTTAATTTAAAAAAGATCTTCTCCATGGTGTATTATAGTCCAACTGTGAAAAGTCAAAGACAAAGAATTCTAAAACCAACAAGAGAAAAGTATCTAGTCATTTATAAAGGAACACCAATCAGACTAACAGAGATTTTCTCAGCAGAAACCTCATAGGCCAGGAGAGAACGGGATAATATATTCAAAGAGCTGAAGGAAAAAGAAAGTCAGCCAAGGATATTATATCTAGCAAAGTTATGTTTCATAAATAAAGAAGAAAAAAAGTATTTTCCACACAAGCAAAAACTGAAAGAATTCATCACCACTAGACCAGTCTTACAAGAAATGCTTAAGGGAGTCCTATGCTGGGAACCAAAAAATGATATCTACTCTCATGAAAACACACAAAAAAATAAAAACCACTGATTCAGCAAATACTTAAATAAGGAAAAGACTCAAATGTTACCACTACAGAAAACCACCAAACTGCAATGATAAGGAGTAAGAGAGAAAGAAAGGAGCAAAGGATATGCAAAACAACCAGAAATCAATTAATAAAATGATAAGAATAAGTCCTCACATATCAACAATAACATTGAATAAAAACTTACCGCTTAAAAGATATAGACTGTGAGTGGATAAGGGAAAAAAGGCTCAACATAGAATAAACTAATCTCACCTATAAAGACACATAGACTGAAAGAAAAGGGATGAAAAAAGACATTCCATGAAAATGGAAATCAAAAGTGAGCAGGAGTAGCTATACTTATGTCAGAATAGAAGAAAGGCTTTAAATCAAAAACAGTAAAAACAGACAAAGAAGGTCATTATATAATGATAAAGAAATTAATTCTGCAAAAGAACATAATAATTCTAAACATATATGCACCTAACACTAGAGCACCCAGATGTATAAAGCAAATATTATTAGATTTAATGGGAGAGACAGATTCCAATACAATAATTGGTGGGAAATTCAATACTCTAAGCATTAGACTGTTGATCTAGAATATTAACAGAGGAACACTGTATTTAAACTGCACATAGGACCAAATGGACCTAACAGATATTTACAGAACATTTCATCTGACAGTTACAGAACAAACATTCTTCTCATCAGCACATGAAACATTCTCCAGAAGAGAGCATATGTTAGGACACAAAGCAAGTCTCAACAAATTAAAAAAATTGAAATCATATTGTTTCTTCTCAGACCACAATAAAATAAAACTAGAAATCAATAACAAGAGGAACTAGGGAAACTGTACAAATACATACAAATTAAACAACATACTCCTGGATAACCACTGGGCCAAGGAAGAAGTTAAGAATAAAAGCAAAAATTTTATGAGACAAATGAAAATGGAAACACAACATACTAAAATGTATGGCATACAGCAAAAGCAGTGCTAAGAGGGAACTCTATAGCAATAAACACCTACATAAAAAAACTAGAAATATTTCAAATAAACAATCTAACAATGCACCTCAAGGAACTAGAAAAGCAAGAACAAATGAAACCGAATATTAGTAGAAGAAAATAAATAATAAAGAAAAGAAGAATTAAATGAAAGAGACTAAAAAATAATAGAAGGGATCAGCAAAATGAAAAGTTGATGTTTTAAAAGAGAAATAAAATTGATAAACTACTTAATAGATTAACCAAGAAAAAAGAGAAAAGATCCAAATAAACAAAATTAAAATGAAAAGGGAGACATTAAAATTGATCCCACAAAAATAAAAAATTTTATTGAATATCATTAGGAACAAGTATACATTAACAAACATGAAAATTTAGGGAGAAGGGATAAATTCCTGGACACATACAACCTACCAAGATTGAATCAGGAATAATTAGAAAACCTGAACAGATCAATAATGAGTAATGAAATAGAGTCAATAATAAAAACTCTCCCAAAAATGAAAGTCCATGAATGAATGGCTTTACTGCCAAATTCTATCAAACATCCAAAGAAGAGCTAACACCAGTTCTTTTCTATTCCAAAAATTGAAGAAATGTGACTTCTCCCTAAGTCATTCTATGAAGCCAGCATTACTCTGATACCAAAACCAGATAAAAAAAAGGAACCCACAGACCAATATCCCTGATGAACATAGATGTGAAAATCCTCAACAAAATAGTAGCAAATTGAATCCAATATATCCCAAGAATAGAAGGGTGGTTCCACATATGCAATTCAATAAATATAATACATCACATCAACAGAATGAAGGTCAAAAACCATATGATCATCTCCACTGATGCTGAAAAAGCATCAGATGTTGTATAGAATTCAACATCTATTCATAATAAAAAGCCTCAACAGACTAGGCATAGAAGGAATATATCTCAATGTAATAAATGCCATATATGACAAACCCACAGCCAATATTATACTGAATCGGGAAAAGATGAAAGCCTTTCCTGTAAGACATATAACAAGGCAAGGGTGTCCACTTTTATCACTCTTATTTAACATTGTACTGGATGTCTTAGCCAGACCAATCAGACAAGAGAAAGAAATAAAAGGCATCCAAATTGGAAAAGAGAAAGTCAGATTGTCCCTCTTTGCTGATACCATATTATATCCAGAAAAACCTAAAAACTAAACCAAAATACTTCGATCTCATAAATAAATTCAGTATAGGCCGGGCATGATGGTTCATGCCTGTAATCCCAGCACTTTGGGATCTGCCCGAGGCGGGCACATCACAAGGTCAGGAGTTCAAGACCAGCCTGGCTAACACGGTGAACCCCATTTCTACTAAAAATACAAAAAATTAGCCAGGCATGGTGGAGGGCTCCTGTAATCCCAACTACTCAGGAGGCTGAGGCAGGAGAATCGCTTGAACCCAGAAGGTGGGGGTTGGAGTGAGCTGAGATCACGCCATTGCACTCCAGCCTGGGCAACAAGAGTAAAAACAGTGTCTCAAAAAATTAAATAAATAAATAAATTCAGTATAGTTGCAGGATACAAAATCAATGTAAGAATATCAGTAGTGTTTGTATATACTAGTAACAAACTAGCTGAAAAAGGAATCCAGAGAACAATCCCATTTACAAGTGCTACCGAAAACAAAACAAAAAAAAAAACAACAAAAAAACACAAAACAAAAAAACGTACCTAGGAATAAATTTAACCAAGAAGATGAAAGATTTCAGCAAAGAAAACTACAAGACACTGATGAATGAAATTTAAAAGGGAACAAACAAATGGAAATACTTTCTACGTGCATGGATTACAAGAATTAATATCATTGAAATCACCATACTGCATTAAGCAATCTACAAATTCAGTGCAATCTCTATCAAAATACCAATGACATTTTTCACAAAAATAGAAAAAAACTATCCTAAATATTGTATAAAACCAAAATAGAACCGAAATAGCTTTATTTAAGTAATCTTAAGTAAAGAGGGCAGGGCCAGGTGTGGTGGCTCACGCTTGTAATCCCAGCACTTTTGGAGTCTGAGGCAGGCAGATCATGAGATCAGCAGTTTCAGACCAGCCTGACTAACATGGTAAAACCCTGTCTCTACTAAAAACACAAAAATTAGCCAGGCATCGTGGCATGTGCCCGTAATCCCAGCTACTCCGGAGGGTGAGGCAGAATTGCTTAAACCCAGAGGCCAGAGGTTGCAGTGAGCTGAGATGGCACCACTACACTCCAGCCTGGGTGACAGAACAAGACTCTGTCTCAAAAAGAAAAAAATTAAAAGGAGGGCAAAGCTGGAAGCATCACACCACCTGACTTAAAAATATATTACAAGGCTATAGAAACCAAAAAAGCATGGTATTGGTATAAAAACAGACACATTGACCAATGGATAGAGAATAGAGAATCCAGAATAGAGAATCCAGAAATAAACCCATATATTTATAGGCAGCTGATTTTTGACAAAGGCACCAAGAATATACATTGGGGGTAAAAAGTCAACCTCTTCAATAAAAGGTGCTGGAAAAATTGGATATCTGCATAAACCTAGACCCCTAACTCTCACCATATATAAAAATAAACTTATTATGGATTAAAGACTTAAACATAAGACCTGAAACTATAAAATTACTAACAGAAAACATAGGGAAAACACTTCAGGATGTTGGCCTTGGCAAAGATATTATGGCTAAAATCTCAAAAGCAACAACAAAAAAATTGATAAATACGACTATATTAAACTGAAAAGTTTCTGCAAATGAAACAATCAGCAGAATGAAGAGACAACATGTTGAGTTGGAGAAAATATTTGCAAACTATTCATCCACCAAAGGACGGATATCCAGAATACACAAGGAACTCAAACAACTCAACAGTAAAAGTAACAAATAATCCCATTAAAAAGTGGGCAAAGGACATGGATAGACAGTTTTCAAAAGAAGACATACAAATGTCCAACAGGTTTATGAAAAAATGCTAAATTTCACTAATCATCAGGGAAATGCAAATCAAAACCACAATGAAATATCATCTTATCCAAGTTAGAATGACTATTATTAAAAAGACAAAAAAAAAAAAAAGATACTGGCCAGGATGCATAGAAAAGGGAACTCTTATACACTGTTAGTGGTACATAAATTAATACAGGCACTATATAAAACAGTACAGAGATGTCTAAAAAAACTAAAAGTAGAACTACCATACAATCGAGTAATCCCACTACTGGGAATTTATTCAAAGGAAAATAAATCAGTATATCAAAGGAATACCTGAACCTTCATGTTTATTGCAGCACTATTCACAATAGCCACGGTATGGAATCACCCTAAGTACCCATCAATGAATGAACAGATAAAGAAAATGTGGTATATATACACAATGGAATGCTATTCAACCATGAAAAGAATGAAATCTTGTCATTTACAGCAACATGAATGGCACTGAAAGTCATTTTGTTAAATGAAATAAGGTAGGCACAGAAAGACAAATATTACATGTTCTCACTCAGACATGGGAGTTTAAAAAATTGACCTTATGGAGCTAGAGAGCAAAACAATAAATACCAAATACCAAAGGCTGTGAAGGGTGTGTGGGTGGGAGCAGGGTTAAAGAGAGGTTGAACAATGGGTACAAATACGTAGTTAGATAGAAGGTATAAGCTCTAATGTTCAATAGCAAAGTAGGGTGACTGTAGTTATCAACAATGTATTTTATATTTCAAAGTAGCTTGAAGAGAGAACTTGAAATGTTCCCAAAATAGAAATGATACATACTCAAGGTGATGGATACCCCAAATACCCTGAATGGATCATTACACATTTTAGGTATGCAACAAAATATCACATGTACCCCATAACTATGTAAAATATTTTGTATCAATAAAAAAACTTGTACTGATAGTTATAAAACACTGCCAAAAGAAATTATAGGGGACCTAAATAAATGGCTAGATATACCAATCCTTCTCAATATATTAATTCTCCTGAAATTGATGTGTAGATTCAATGCAATCTGAAAAAAAATCCTAGCACACTTCTTCATATATATAGATAAGCTGATTCTAACATTAATGTGGATATGCAAAAGTTCTAGAAAAGCCAAAAAAATACTTCAAAAAGATAAAACAAAGTAGGGGACTAACACTACCTCATTTCAAGACTTAGTTTTTAAAAATGTGAACATAAAAATGTGTGATATTCTTGTGAAGATAGACCATTCAACCAATGGGACAGAAGAGTCCAGAAATAGACCCATAGATTTTTACAAAGGTGCAAGTTGCAAGGTGCCAGGTGCAAGTTTTAAGTAGAAAAAAGGTCATTTTTTAAAACTAATTATGCTAAAACAGTTTGATATTTATACATAACAAAAATAGCTTTAATCTATTTGCACTAACAAAAATTATTCAAAATTGACCATAGACCTAAATGTAATCTAAAAATGTAAAATTTTTTGAAGAGAACATAACAGGAAAATTTTGTGACCTTCATGTAGGCCAAGCTTTTTTTAATACACCATAAAAAAGAAGTTGATAAATTGGCCTTAATCAAAATTAAAAACATCTGAATTTTGAAATCAACTTTTAAGAGAAAGAAAAGGCTAGCTACCAATCGAAAGAACACATTGCAAATCACATAGCAGAAACGGACTTGTATTCAGAATGTATAAAGAACCCCTGAAGTCAATAATAAAACAACAAAACAAAAAAATTAAACATGGACAAAAGATGTGAATGGACACTTCAATGAAGAAAGTATATCGAAGGCAAAGTAAGCACATGTAAAGATGCTCAACACTGTTAATTGCTTAAAAATGCAAAGTAAAACTAGAGTCAGTTATCTCTCGACGTTCCTAATCTACTGGCTAAAGTTGAAAAGTCTGACATCCCAAGAGTTGGCAAGGATGTAGAATAACTAGAACAGTGCTGATGAGAATATAAAATGGTACAACTTTGTAAAAAAAGAGTTGGGCTGTTTCTTAAATAGTCAAACATATATCTGGCATATTATTCATTCATTTTACTCCTAGATATTTACCCCAAAGTAATGAAAGCATATTGTATTAGTCTCCTATAGCTTCCATATCAAATCACCACAAACCTGGTGGCTTAAAGCAACAAACATTTATTCTTTCACAGTTCAGAGACTAGAAAATCAAGTTAAAGGTGTCAACAGGATGAGCTTCTTCTGAGGGCTGTGATGCACTGTTCTGTGCATCTCTCCTAGCTTTTGGTGGCTGCAGCATTTCTTGGCTTATAGATGCCTCACTCCAAACTCTGACTCTTATTTTCACATGGCCTTCTGCTCACTCAGACTGTGTCTTTCAAATCTTCCTCTCTTCTCTCTTATAAGAATATCAGTCTTTGGATTTATGGCCCACCCTAAATCCAGGATGATCTCTTCTCAAGATCCCTAACTTAATTACATCTGCAAAAATCCAATTTCCAAATAAGGTCACATTCACATTTGTTTGGAGGCTAATACTTCGATATATCTTTTTGGGGAACAATATTCATTCACCCCACTATACCTACGTTCCTACAAAAACTTTCACAAAAATATTCATAGCAACTTTATCTGCAATAGCCAAAACCTGATAAAACCCAACTGTTTATCATCAGGTGAGTGAATAAATAACTTCCATTCCTTATAATGAAATACTTCTCAGCAACAAAATAAAATGAACTATCTCTACACACAAGAACCTGTATGAATCTCAAAATAATTATGCTAAGTATAAGAAGGCAGACAAAAAGGAAAACATACTGTACTGTTGATTCTACTTAAATAAAATTCTAAAAAATGTAAACTAGCCTTTAGTCATAGAAAACAGGTAGATCAGTGGTTTTCTGGGGATGAGAGTTGG
The DNA here is from genome assembly GCF_000001405.40 of Homo sapiens. NCBI lineage: Eukaryota > Metazoa > Chordata > Mammalia > Primates > Hominidae > Homo > Homo sapiens. The sequence continues at coordinate 215,548,191 of NC_000001.11, read as the reverse complement.
AAAGTATGGGAGGGAAGTTACAAAGGGACTTTAGGAAACTTTTCCAGTGATAGATATGTTCATTATCTTGATTGTGGTGATAGTTTATGGATATATATGTATGCCAAAGCTTATAAAATTGTTTACTTTGCATAAGTGCATTTTAATTATGCTTCAATAAAATTAAAAAATAACTCTTCTTCATACATCTTATTATGCTCTTTTAATCATCAGTGATCGTTCCTGGAAATAATACTGAGTCACCGTTGCACTCCCCAATTTATTCCCTGCCTTTTTCTTCCTTTCTATTTGCCATGGGAGACTGTTATAGACTGCAACACCTGGAATCCCTTGCTCTCTGGTTTCCAATTTGTGTCAGCCAATGGCAGGTACCAGCAAGAGAATAAAGGACACATGGGTGGGGGCATAGTGGTCAGAGCATTTATCATTCCATGTTTCTACATAGTTCTGGAAGTGCCTGTGTGCTTTTATGGCCACATATCATGTAAGGGACCCCTCTTGGAAATCTAGCTCTGACCAGGCTCCTGCAGACTATGTCCTTCCCTAATAAAGGGAAAAGAGTTTCCTGTTATTCCCAGATCTTATGTACTTCACCATCACTTGATGGTCCTCTCAAATCTCCCCACACATCTCTGAACAGTGCCTTTATTTAACTGTCTGTAGTTAATTACTACTCTCTCTCTCTCTCACACACACACACATACACACACACACACACCTCCTAAGGTGAAACAAAATATTTTCAGTGATAATACTTATAATAATGAAAATATTATCTGCTCAGATTTTCTGTGGAGATAGAATTTTAAATTATTAGGTAGATCTGTTTCAATTCTCCCTTCTTTATATTCTTGTTTCTGGACCAGAAGTCAGCAAACTATGGCCCAAAGGCCAAATGCTGACGCACCACTCTTTTTCATAAGGAAAGTTTTATGGGAACATAAAGTTGCATTGGAATATAGCCACACCAATTTGTTTATGGCAGTTTTTGCACTAAATGGCAAAGGTGGGTAGTTACTACAGAGACCATATGGCTCATGAAAGCATAAAATACTATTTGGCCTTTTAGAGAAAAAGTCTGTTGATCTAGCTCAGTGGCTGCAAATGAGTAATGGATGAGGTCCATGATTGTAACTTTCCAAAGAACAGAGCTATTGCCATCTTTAGACAAATAACTGGTAGAAGCTTTGAAGTAAAAGTTTGTATTTACCTTCAATCAATTCCTTAGGCAGAATTATTTTCCACATTGTCACCATAAATAGAAAAGAAGTAATATAATTCTCTCACTTTGTTCAGATAAAACTCTCTGGAATTAGGTTGTTTCCTCATTTATTTCTTATTCTGTGCTACATTATATCAAAAATGTGTGTTGGTTTATTGTAATAAGGCACAGTAGATTAAAGAGGCTCATAGTGTTTAAAACCTTGAACATAACCAACTATAAATATTTGGTTCCTATTTACACAAAATTAAGTGCCAACTGTTGTAGAAAGCATAGGAAGAACTAAGATGAAGACTATTTTGGCTACAATGACATTTCTGTTTTGGAAAAATCTCTTTAATGAGTATGTCAATTCATATATTTAATACATTACTTTAATAAATCTTATACTAGTAATAAGCAAAAGCCTTTCAAAACCATTAATTTATATATACTGAGTTTTCATTAAAAGTCAGTAAATTATAATATATAGAAGTGCTTTGAAAACAAAACTATAAACCCAAATCCTATCATCAATAGGTTTGAGAAAAAGGGGAAAGAATCTGAATAATTCCAGTGTTCAAATTGTAACCTTTTCCTCTATGATCTAGTTTTTCCCTATAAAAACACCAAATACAGAAACATTACTCCTGTAACTGATAAGATTCCCTGTTTATCACTTAAGAGGGCATTAGTTTTACTGTCACATTCTTGGAAAAAACATTAACAAATTTCATTATTTCAGAGGTGTTACTTTTTAAAATATGTTTGCTAAAGGCTTTTTGTGGTGAGGGCTACTTAAAAAAACAAATAACAACAAAATACGTACTTCCTTATTATACTTAATTTATCAGAATATATGTGAACCAAGAAATCTGTACAGTTGTGTTGTACATGAAATTTTGAGAAAGCACTTCTTAAGTCTATGGTTTAGATAGGAAATAATATCACTGTAATTTGAAGCTATGGTTGCTTTTTTTCTGTCAGAAATATTTTTTCTTTAAGTCTCAGTCTGAGTTCATATGATGAATAGAAAAAGTGAATAAAATAAATAAGATTTTCTTAACATATCTACCAATGTGCTAGCCTACTTGAAAGAATAAATATATCAATGCTAAATGGAATTTGACTATCAAAGTTTTCATGAAATCTTTATTCTATTTTATCAGAATCATTATTTGAAAACCATTAGGTATAGAGAAGACTATTACTTCAAACATTTCTCAACTCATTACCTCCTAATTATTCTTTTTTGGTTGACTAAATTGCTCAGACTCAATATAAATTTTTTTATTGTAATATGATAGATAATGATGCTGTTTTTGAGGTTTCTAAAAGCCATTGAAGAGCCATTTTACAGATAAGAAAATGAAACTTTCTCCAAATTTACTGAGTGTTAGTAAGTGGGAGATTTCAATCTATTTAATATTTTCTCATCACAGGGATCATTGTTTACATGAGTAATATATTCACTTTATTCTATCAGTAAGATAAAAATATTTTGTTCACCATATAGCTGTGGCAGAGATTAAACAAATAATTGACACATCAAACAATCTAAGTTGCACTGTAATTCTCCATTCATTCTCAATACAAATGGCCTTTCTCATGTATCACACATCCTAGTGATCTGGGTGGTAATGAGAGGCCACCATGGTTCAGTGAATTCTGGATTACATCTGGTTTGTGAACAGAACTATATCTCAGATATTGTAGTAAAGGTTTGACATACATGAGCTTCCAGGCATCATTATGTAACATAGAGATGACAAAATAGAGATGTCACAATGATTTTTTATCTGTCCTGCCCCAACATTTTGCACCTCAAGAGATGATAAATTCCTTTCCTATCTTTGGCACTTGGGTCATTAGAGAACATTACTAAAGGTCTCACTGTCCAATAATGTGCTGCCATCACTAGTGTTTATCATAGTTTACACACAAATTAATTTCTTTATCTTGATTTCTACCAAACCTGGCCACTGACCTTTAAAAACAGAAGATGTTATAGTGATTAAAATATCCAATAGTTTTTCTCCGGGGTGAGGGAATAAGAAACTCATTACCAGCATTATTGAAGGGAATGGTACTCCGTTAGGGTCATTATTCAGTTAACTATTCAATTAGAGATTTGCTGTCTTTCCAAACTGGTTTCTAGCCACAGCCAACTTTTGGGCAGGTGGCCACAATCTGCTTTCCATCATATCCAGACAGCTGTTTTAGTAACATATCATCTTGATTTATGGTCACATATAGTGCAAACGCTCTGCTGCTCAGCATCATCTCCCATATCCCATTTATTGGAGTAATTTTTTCATGCCATCTAAAAATAACCAGGTGGTAAGTATGGTCTGGAAACGGTGAATGGAGTAAATAGCTGTAATTGATTACCGGAAAATGAAATCATTAGCAGTGCTGTGTCTCCTTTTTTATCCATGTTACGCAGGTAGAATCTTTAGGTAGAGCTTGTAGAACACCAGAAATACAATCTTCATTCTCTGGAGAAAAGTCCCAAGGTTTCTCCCAAGACTGGTTATTAGTCAGCTCCAAATCTTGTTCATAAGAAATATATCTAGATGGGTCAAACTGATAGATAATTAACTCCCCAAACCTTTGTCTGATCATTTGTTTGGAATGGTGATTTTTAGTGCAAGATAGAAACATGTCTCCAGCTCCATGACTTTTCACTCTTAGGAGAGTAAAGTGTGAGAATATTGCAACCATTTCATTGATTAAATTGGTGCAGAATACTTCAGCAGTCACCCAGTTCGTATGTTTAAATGGACACAACTAAATCATATAAAATGTTTAATCGACCCGAAAAAAGTAAAAAAAAAAAAAAGGAACAAAAAAATAAAATAACTAGTTAATAAGAAACAATTTGCTGGAAAACAACTAGAAAAATAGTAGGGTTAAATCTAACCCTATCAATATTATATTAACTGTAAGTGGCCTAAATATCCCAATTAAAAGGCAGAGATTGTCAGATTATACACAAAAAATTAAAACCCAACTATTTGCTGTCTGTAAGAAACCTGCCTTAAATAAAAATAAGAAGACAAGAAAAAGATTTTAAAATGAAAAAAGACATACTATACTGTCATTTATCCAGCTATTGCCTCTCCACTCTAAATTTATATTTTATTGCATTATTTATGAAAATAGATCTGGGCCATTAATATACATATTTTTGCCAAATGTTATAACATTAAGATTTTTGTCAATAGAGGGCAGGAGGAAAGGGCGAGTTCCTGGAGAGCTCATCTTTTCTGCACTTCTCAGCTAATGCAATTTCTCTTGTGAGGGTTGCCTGCTGAGTACAGTTTTTTCCAGGATTTCACTGTATCTTGGGCTTTTGCTAGCTCTTGATGCAAGCAACAGTGGCATAGCCAGGAACTCCAGATAGTGTGACTTGCAGTCCCTGCCTGCCAGTACACAGAGATAACCTTTATCCATGCACTTGCCCCTCCTCCAGCAATTGGCTGCTGTTTTTTGTGGGATTATGGTGAAGGGAATGAATTATCAGTTGCCCTGATTCAGCCTCAGTCATAGGCTAGCCCTGTACTCTTGAACTTTGCGGGTGAAGGTTTCTCAGTATTCCTACCACTTCCTTGTTACAGTACCCAACTCTGCTATGTTTCTGTGAAAGGTTGTGAGCAGTACAGAGTTTCGCAACCTCCTTCTTCTCACTATTCCTGCCAGCATTAATAGATTTTCACTTTGTAACTGCAAGGTCTGAGCCTCAGGGATTTCCTGCTCCCTTGCAGGGCAAAAGCTTTTGCTTCCTTCAGAATCAGTAGACCTTTCTCTGGGTTATGGGGGAAAAGGGAGGGTTTCCTGAACTTCCCACGGGACATCAACAAGAAGTACTCTCCTCCACCTTCTCTTTTGCCCCCAGAATTTATTATAATCATCCATTTGAGGCCTGTGCAAAAGAACTTGTGAGCTGGTTATTTCTGGAGCTCCTAGTAACTGTAAATTATCACATTTGCCTACACTCAGCCTTTAAGAGTTTTTAAACATTTCAATTTCTTTCTTTTTCCTTGCTTTAAGGTGTCTCTTAGAACAACCACCTTATCCTTTCCTGCTCTACCATAAGTGAAACTGTATATGGGTCACCTTCTCTCTTCATAGGGCTTTTCATGCCTTCAACTTTAGCTTACCTAGTTGCTTTGTGGACTCAGCTCTATGATGGACTCTATAGAAAAATATTACTCAGCTTTTTCTCATTGTTAGAGTGGGAGCAACATTATCTTGTGGTTCTTTACATCCTATGTGGAAATGGAACTTAAATGTTATTTAAATTATAATATCAAATTTTATATTCTACATTCCTTAGGCATCCTTCTATTCTTGATTTCTGTATTCATTAAATACCATTTGGAGAGGACAAGTCAGTGTTGGTTCATAATTAGCAATGTAGACAAGCTTGGGTAATCTGGGAATACTCTAGGTTAGAAACAAATGAGAAAATTTACTTTTATAATTCAGAAGTTGTCAATATTTAACAGGATTCGCTGGCCAGAGAGAAGATGAGACATCTTTTTCCCTAACAGTGATCAAATTCATCAGTTATTTTTAAAGGACAATGAATAAAAGATGTAGAATTCTAAGAGATGGGCATTAGTCAGAAAGCTCAACAAAGTCTCTTTATGTTTTATTTAATATAATATTAGGAATAACCTTATAATAGCCACATTGTTTTTATGGCTTCCACTGATGAGGTGTTTTTCTTTTAACTTGTTAGTAGTCAGGGCAGAACTAGAAAGCAAATCTCTCCTTACCTTAGGCCAAAAAGATGTTCATTCATGATCAAGCTCTGTAGGCACATTCTGGCCATTTGGCCATTCTTTCTCTCCTTTCAAAAATCCAGTATCTGCAAAATGCAAAATAATTGATAGTCGTTACTCCACTGGCAACGTACCCTTTCTCATTCAAGGCACTGAGAGGTCAGCTTCTTTTCTTCCCTGACAGAGGTAAGCAAGCATGCTGAATTTCCCATGACAGAGTGGGAGGTATGAAAACTGTGAAACACCTCATTTTTTAATTCTCTTTACTTCTTCTAACTTATTTAGAGTATCCTATGAGGATGGAATGGCCAAAGCCATTTCTTTCTATCAGCCTATGTGTCGGTAGATGAAGGAAGTATTGTCTCATGCAAATGGACAGGGAGCAACTGACCTCCAGGGGTAAGGTTGTTCAAGTCCCTGGTGCACAGACTCACAGAATTTGAAAGTCAAAGTACTAGTGATACAGTAGTGAAACATAGGGACATTCAGAGTTACTGAAAGCCAGGAAAATAAGTGTTCAAAAGTTCAGAATCAGAAGCTAAGAGCACCACAGAAACAAAAGAATCAAAGCAAGGGAAGAAAGAAAATGGATTTGAGGTTCTAAGCAAGGAAAATTGGTCTTGAGGCAAATATTTATCTCAGTCAGAAATTTCTTTCTTTAATGGGCTTTCTTTTGAATTAGAGGCCAATTTCAAGTCATAGCTAACCCAGGATACTTAATGATCAAATCTGAGTAATTGGGTTATCCAACTGATACCTCTCTTTTTTGGTATAGTGGAGTGCTCGGTATTCTTATCAATAGTGCAACACAAATATCTAATCAAACTCTTGTGGTAGCCAAGCACACAGCTCCTAAGTAAGAAAAAAGAGGCCTTTTACAATGAAATAGAATGCTTAAAAAACTCATATTTCATGGTGAGGTAAACGAATTAGTTTGAAATTAAGAACTGCCAAGAGCTTCACAGCTACCACATTTCATACTTTAATTTGAATACTCTGAATTTTCTTTGCTTTTACAAAAACATGATTTAATATTTGAGAGAAAAGCCCCAAACAGAACTTAAAAGTAGCTTGAGAGTTGAAATAGCTCTTATGAAACAATGTTTTCATGAATTAAGTTTAAGCAAATCAGAAACACATAGCAAATTTTGCTTGAAATGCACGTCAGTAGCACAATTGCACAATTCATTATAAATCTGGAAGCTGTTTATTGATTTCTTAGAGTAAACACAATAAGCCTCTAATCACAATAAGCAACACATGAGCTACTTATCTTCCTCATATATATATTACACACACATGTGCATGCATGCATACACACATCTGCATACAGAAATGGTCTCTTGACTCTGTAATGCAATGACATTATATCACCTCTGACAGTAAAGTTGTGTCACCACATTAAGCCAACACCTTTAAAATAAATAAATTGAACATTTGGAGGAGCTTTAGTATTAAAAAAAATAGAATGTTGGATTTTTATAAACTTAAGTTATTCTCCAATGTGTAATGTATGGACTTCAGAAATGATGGCTTCATGTCAGGTTCTGTTTTAGAATTACCTACTATGTACTTAATCATATTAGTTGTGTCAGCAGTGTATACAGATGGGATAAAAGAGTAAAAAGATGATCTCCCTTCTTATGCTTTCACATAGGTCCAAACCATATCTTTCTTTAAAGAAATATTGTTCTGTGATAGGTCCTCCACCAGGTTACTTAAGGTTGTATTTCCACCGCCTAAATCTTGAAGTCTGGGCACTGAGCCAAGGCCATGGTGCCCAGCCAAGGAGCAGATGTCCCTGAGAACCCAAACATCCTGGAGAGTATCTGAAAATCTACCAAGAAAAACAGTCTCATCATTCAAACACCACAGGCAGAGAGCCAGAAAACTAGCTTAAAAGCAGTTTAGAGAAGGGAGGTGGCACAGGTCTCTAGGGCTGTCCTGCCACCAACCAGGAATGTCCTATATATTAAGTTCTAATAAACGCATCTATTCATCATGCTGGATTTGCCCAAATGATTCTTTGGTGTCTCAGTTTTTTCCCAGTTTGTGGGGGGATGTTACAGTCCCAAGCTTTTCTTATAACAATTGGCATGATGAACAGGATCCAAGAGACAAAATAAGGAGTCAGGAAGAGGTATCTGTGGGAGGAATCCCAAGGTTGTTGGCAACATGCACGTAGGGTGGAGTTGCCTGACTGCTCAGCCTTTGCGGAACGCCACATGACTATAGGGATGCTCAGAAAAACCTGGCAGGGACTGAGCACATCTTGGAAGAAGTTAAGATATTAAAGTACCATGAGGGTAGCAAGCACACTGTTGTTGCAATAAGGCTAGCTACTGATAAATAATTAGATCAAGAAAAAGGGTAGAAACTCCTGCAGAAGTTCAAAAGCATCCCAGGTTTTCTGTGACTCCAGATGGTTACATATTTTGGCCCGTTCCTGTGCACATTTTAAAATTGATGGACAAATTATAACAAGAAAAACTTAGAGCTCAAATGGTTGACCTGTAACTATAGAGTTATGTAAAGTCTTCTAAAACTGTCATCTATTTCTCTATTTCCTTTGTACCTGCTTTGAATCTCTTATTATTAAGCTATGGTATTTACATAAAACTCACAGTTTATGGTATTGCCAGTTTAAGGCCACTTGGAAACTTTGGTTTTTTATACAGTTCAGCCAGTTCTTGCCAAAATGTAAACATTAAAAACTAAATGAAACGGAAGGGGAAAGAAGGGTAAGGATGTTTTTTAAGATAGAATTTCTATAGAAACTGCTTTACCCAAAATTTTGCTCTACAGATTTCACTGGATTACCTAACAGTGCAAACAAAGTATAACCATGTGAGCAGGTCCCAATTGTATCAGAAATAATTTGGACCCAGCTGTCTTTTGTAAAACAGTGAGTTTGTAATGCTGTCTCATAGCTAGAGTTCTGAGGTAAAGCCTCTTGGATTTTTGTTTGTGTGTGTATACATGTTTAAATATATTTGTGCCTGTACATGTATTATGTTATGTGTCGTGTCTAACATGGCTACCAAACTGGCTTATAAGTAAATGAGTACTCATAAATTCAGTCCAAATGCTTTTCACAAGGTTCGTGTGAATTCAGTAATCTTTAATAAATAAGCTGGCTTTAAAATTATTGGTGAAATAAAAATAGAAATGTCTTCAAAATTGTCAGCATACACTTTTGTCTGGGTTTACTGATTAATTAAGTTTTATATTTGCCTCTGCTAGATATTTCAAGGTGTCAGGGTTTGATTTAAAGATTAAGAGACAGGGAAAAAAGGAGAAATACACAAGAACCTGGCTGGGCAGTTGTTTTTCAGCAATGAATCTACATTGATGGGAATCACACGTATTTGGTAACATTTAGCTATCTCTGCCACAGGAATGGAAAACGATTGTTCATGGATTAGGGCATATTATGTTTCTTTTAGTACTTTAAGATACTGCTCCTTTGTCTTCAGTCTTGTTGCTGTCTTTATTTTTATATGTAATGTGTCACTAATTCTCTATCTTTAAGATATCCTCTTTATCATTGATTTTAAGCATGTGATTATGACATACTTTAGCATGATTTGCATTGGTTTATACTGTTTGGAGTTAACTGAGCTTCTTGAAGTTGTTGGTTTGTAGTTTTTATCAAAGGTAAACGGTTTTGGCCATCATTTCTTCAAATATTTTTTCTACCTCCTCCATTTCCTTTTCTGGGATGGTAATTATATGTATATTCAAACATTTATATTGTACTACAGGTCATTGAGGCTGTGTTCATTTTTAAAAGTTTTTTCTTAGGTGCTTTTTAAAAATTATTTAGTTATTTATTTTTTATAATTATACTTTAAGTTCTAGGGTACATATGCATAGCGTGCAGGTTTGTTGCATATGTATACATGTGCCATGCTGGTGTGCTGCACTAGTTAACTCATCATTTACATTAGGTATATCTCCTAATGCTATCCCTCCCCCGTACCCCCACCCCAAGACAGGCCCCAGTGTGTGATATTTCCCACCCTGTGTCCAAGTGTTCTCATTGTTCAATTCCCACCAAGAATGAGAACATGACGTGTTTGATTTTCTGTCCTTGCAATAGTTTGCTCAGAATGATGGTTTCCAGCTTCATCCATGTCCCTACAAAGGACATGAACTCATCATTTTTTATGGCTGCATAGTATTCCATGGTGTATATGTGCCATATTTTCTTAATCCAGTCTATCATTGATGGACATTTGGGTTGGTTCCAAGTCTTTGCTAGTGTGAATAGTGCCGCAATAAACATACGTTTGCATGTGTCTTTATAGCAGCATGATTTATAATCCTTTGGGTATATACCCAGTAATGGGATGGCTGGGTCAAATGGTATTTCTAGTTCTAGATTGTTGAGGAATCAACACACTGTCTTCCATAATGGTTGAACTAGTTTACAGTCCCACCAACAGTGTAAAAGTGTTCCTATTTCTCCACATCCTCTCCAGCACCTGTTGTTTCCTGACTTTTTAATGATTGCCATTCTAACTGGTGTGAGATGGTATCTCATTGTGGTTTTGATTTGCATTTCTCTGATGGCCAGTGATGATGAGCATTTTTTCATGTGTCTGTTGGCTGGATAAATGTCTTCTTTTGAGAAGTGTCTGTTCATATCCTTCATCCACTTTTTGATGGGGTTGTTTGATTTTTTTCTTGTAAATTTGTTTAAGTTCTTTGTAGATTCTGGATATTAGCCCTTTGTCAGATGGGTGGATTGCAAAAATTTTCTCCCATTCTGTAGGTTGCCTGTTCACTCTGATGGTAGTTTCTTCTGCCATGCAGAAGCTCTTGAGTTGAATTAGATCCCATTTGTCAATTTTGGCTTTTGTTGCCATTGCTTTTGGTGTTTTAGTCATGAAGTCCTTTCCCGTGCCTATGTCCTGAATGGTACTGCCTAGGTTTTCTTCTAGGGTTTTTATTGTTTTAGGTCTAACATTTAAGTCTTTAATCCATCTTGAATTAATTTTTGTATAAGGTGTAAGGAAGGGATCCAGTTTCAGCTTTCTACATATGGCTAGCCAGTTTTCCCAGCACCATTTATTAAATAGGGAATCCTTTCCCCATTTCTTATTTTTGTCAGGTTCGCCAAAGATCAGATGGTTGTAGATGTATGGTGTTATTTCTGAGGGCTCTGTTCTGTTCCATTGATCTACATCTCTGTTTTGGCACCAGTACCATGCTGTTTTGGTTACTGTAGCCTTGAGGTACAGTTTGACGTCAGGGAGTAATGCCTCCGGCTTTGTTCTTTTGGCTTAGGATTGTCTTGGCAATACGGGCTCTTTTTTGGTTCCATATAAACTTTAAAGTAGTTTTTCCAATTCTGTGAAGAAAGTCATTGGTAGCTTGATGGGGATGGCATTGTGTCTATAATTACCTTGGGCAGTATTGCCATTTTCATGATATTGATTCTTCCTATCCATCAGCATGGAATGTTCTTCCATTTGTTTGTGTCCTCCTTTATTTCGTTAGGCAGTGGTTTGTAGTTCTCCTTGAAGAGGTCCTTCCCATCTCTTGTAAGTTGGATTCCTAGGTATTTTATTCTCTTTGAAGCAATTGTGAATGGGAGTTCACTCATGATTTGGCTCTCTGTTTGTCTGTTATTGGTGTATAGGAATGCTTGTGATTTTTGTACATTGATTTTGTATCTTGAGACTTTGCTGAAGGTGCTTATCAGCTTAAGGAGATTTTGGGCTGAGACAATGGGGTTTTCTAAATATACAATCATATCATCTGCAAACAGGGACAATTTGACTTCCTCTTTTCCTAATTGAATATCCTTTATTTATTTCTCCTGACTGATTGCCCTGGCCAGAACTTCCAACACTATGTTGAATAGGAGTGGTGAGAGAGGGCATCCCTGTCTTCTGCCAGTTTTCAAAGGGAATGCTCCCAGTTTTTGCCCATTCAGTATGATATTGGCTGTGGGTTTGTCATAAATAGCTCTTGTTATTTTGAGATACATCCCATCAATACCTAATTTATTGAGAGTTTTTAGCATGAAGGGCTGTTGAACTTTGTTGAAGGCCTTTTCTGCATCTATTGAGATAATCATGTGGTTTTTGTCTTTGGTTCTGTTTATACGATGGATTACATTTATTGATTTGCATATGTTGAACCAGCCTTGCATCCTAGGAATGAAGCTCACTTGATCACGGTGGATAAGCTTTTTGATGTGCTGCTGGATTTGGGTTGCAGTATTTTATTGAGGATTTTTGCATTGATGTTCATCAGGGATATTGGTCTAAAATTCTCTTTTTTTTTGTTGTATCTCTGCCAGGCTTTGGTATCAGGATGGTGCTGGCCTCATAAAATGAGTTAGGGAGGATTCCCTCTTTTTCTATTGATTGGAATATTTTCAGAAGGAATGGTACCAGCTCCTCCTTGTACCTCTGGTAGAATTCTGCTGTGAATCCGTCTGGTCCTGGACTTTTTTTGGTTGGTAGTCTATTAATTATTGCCTCAATTTCAGAGCCTGTTATTGATCTATTCAGGGATTCAACTTCTTCCTGGTTTAGTCTTGGGAGGGTGTATGTGTCCACGAATTTATCCATTTCTTCTAGATTTTCAAGTTTATTTGCATAGAGGTGTTTATAGTATTCTCTGATGGTAGTTTGTATTTCTATGGGATTGGTGGTGATATCCCCTTTATCATTTTTTATTGCATCTATTTGATTGTTCTCTCTTTTCTTCTTTATTAGTCTTGCTAGTGGTCTATCAATTTTGTAGATCTTTTCAAAAAAACCAGCTCCAGGATTCATTGATTTTTTTGAAGGGGTTTTTTTGTGTCTCTGTCTTCTTCAGTTCTGCTCTGATCTTAGTTATTCCTTGCTTTCTGCTAGCTTTTGTGTTTTCTCTTGCTTCTCTAGTTCTTTTAATTGTGATGTTAGGGTGTCAATTTTAGATCTTTCCTGCTTTCTCTTGTGGGCATTTAGTGCTATAATTTTCCCTCTACACACTGCTTTAAATGTGTCCCAGAGATTCTGGTATGTTGTGTGTTTGTTCTCATTGGTTTCAAAGAACATCTTTATTTCTGCCTTCATTTCGTTATGTACCCAGTAGTCATTCTGGAGCAGGTTGTTCAGTTTCCATGTAGTTCAGCGGTTTTGAGTGAGTTTCTCAATCCTGAGTTCTAGTTTGATTGTACTGTGGTCTGAGAGACAGTTTGTTATAATTTCTGTTCTTTTACATTTGCTGAGGAGAGCTTTACTTCCAACTATGTGGTCAATTTTGGAATAAGGGCGATGTGGTGCTGAGAAGAATGTATATTCTGTTGATTTGGGGTGGAGAGTTCTGTAGATGTCCCTTAGGTCCACTTGGTACAGAGCTGAGTTCAATTCCTGGATAGCCTTTTTAATTTTCTGTCTCATTGATCTGTCTAATGTTGACAGTGGGGTGTTAAAGTCTCCCATGATTACTGTGTGGGAGTCTAAGTCTCTTTGTAGGTGTCTAAGGACTTGCTTTATGAATCTGGGTGCTCCTGTATTGGGTGCATATATATTTAGGATAGTTAGCTCTTCTTGTTGAATTGATCCCTTTACTATTATGTAATGGCCTTCTTTGTCTCTTTTGATCTTTGTTGGTTTAAAGTCTGTTTTATCAGAGACTAGGATTGCAACCTCTGCTTTTTTTGCTTTCCATTTGCTTGGTAGATCTTCCTCCATCCCTTTATTTTGAGCCTATGTGTGTGTCTCTGCACGTGGGCTGGGTCTCCTGAATACAGCACACTGATGGGTCTTGACTCTTTATCCAATTTGCCAGTCTGTGTCTTTTAATTGGAGCATTTAGCCCATTTACATTTAAGGTTGATATTGTTATGTGTGAATTTGATCCTGTCATTATGATGTGAGCTGGTTATTTTGCTCATTAGTTGATGCAGTTTCTTCCTAGCCTGGATGGTCTTTACAATTTGGCATGGTTTTGCAGTGGCTGGAACTCGTTTTTCCTTTCCATGTTTAGTGCTTCCTTCAGGAGCTCTTGTAAGGCAGGCCTGGTGGCGACAAAATCTCTCAGCATTTGCTTGTCTGTAAAGGCTTTTATTTCTCCTTCACTTATGAGCTTAGTTTGGCTGGATGTGAAATTCTGGGTTGAAAATTCTTTCTTTAAGAATGTTGAATATTGGCCCCCACTCTCTTCTGGCTTGTAGAGTTTCTGTCGAGAGAGCCGCTGTTAGTCTGATGGGCTTGCCATTGTGGTTTACCTGACGTTTCTCTCTGGCTGCCTTTAACATTTTTCCCTTCATTTCAACTTTGGTGAATCTGACAACTATGTGTCTTGGAGTTGTTCTTCTCGAGGAGTATCTTTGTGGCGTTCACTGTATTTCCTGAATTTGAATGTTGGCCTGCCTTGCTAGGTTGGGGAAATTCTCCTGGTTAATATCCTGAAGAGTGTTTTCCAACTTGGTTCCATTCTCCCCGTCACTTTCAGGTACACCAATCAGATGTAGATTTGGTCTTTTCACATAGTCCCATATTTCTTGGAGACTTTGTTCATTTCTTTTTACTCTTTTTTCTCTAAACTTCTCTTCTTGCTTCATTTCATTCATTTGATATTCAATCACTGATACCCTTTCTTCCACTTGATTGAATTGGTTACTGAAGCTTGTGCATGTGTCACATATTGCTCTTGCCATGGTTTTCAGCTCCATCAGGTCATTTAAGGTCTTCTCTACACTGTTTATTCTGGTCAGCCATTCATCTAATCTTTTTTCAAGGTTTTTAGTTCCTTTGTGAAGGGTTCGACCATCCTCCTTTGGCTCGGAGAAGTTTGTCATTACTGATCGTCTGAAGCCTACTTCAGTCAACTTGTCAAAATCATTCTCCGTCCAGTTTTATTCTGTTGCTGGCGAGGAGCTGCATTCCTTTGGAGGAGAAGAGGCACTCTGATTTTTAGAATTTTCAGCTTTTCTGCTCTGGTTTCTCCCCATCTTTGTGGTTTTATCTATCTTTGGTTTTTGATGGTGGTGACCTACAGATGGGGTTTTGGTGTGGATGTCCTTTCTGTTTGTTAGTTTTCCTTCTAATACTCAGGACCTTCTGCTGCAGGTCTGTTGGAGTTTGCCGGAGGTCCACTCCAGACCCTGTTTGCCTGGGTATCACCAGCCAAGGCTGCAGAACAGCAAATATTGCAGAACAGTAAATGTTGGTGCCTAATTCTACCTCTGGAAGCTTCGTCTCAGAGGGGTACCGAGCTGTATGAGGTGTCAGTTGGCCCCTACTGGGAAGTGCCTCCCAGTTAGGCTACTCGGGGGTCATGGACCCACTTGAAGAGGCAGTCTGTCCATTCTCAGATCTCAAACTCCATGCTGGGAGAACCACTACTCTCTGCAAAGCTGTCAGACAGGGACGTTGAAGTCTGTAGAAGTTTCTGCTTCCTTTTATTCAGCTATGCCCTGTCCCCAGAGGTGGAGTCTACAGAGGCAAGCAGGCCTCCTTGAGCTGTGGTGGGCTCCACCCAGTTCAAGCTTCCCGGCCACTTTGTTTGCCTACTGAAGCCTCAGCAATGGTGGACGCCCCTCTTCAAGCCTTGCTGCCACCTTGCCGTTTGACCTCAGAAGGCTGTGCTAGCAGTGAGCGAGGCTCCATGGGTATAGGATTCTCCAAGCCAGTTGTGGGATATAATCTCCTGGAGTACCATTTGCTAAGACCATTGGAAAAACACAGTATTAGGGTGGGAGTGTCCCGATTTTCCACCCTACCCAGTGGAAAGAGGACAAGGAAACCTGTGTGTGAACTGTCTGTCACAGCTTCCCTTGGCTAGGAAAGGGAATTCCCTGACCCCTTGTGCTTCCCAGGAAAGGCAATGCCCTGCTCTGCTTCGACTCACACTCCATGGGCTGCACTCACTGTCCAACAAGCCCCAGTGATATGAACCAGGTACTTCAGTTTGAAATGCAGAAATCACCCATCTTCTGCATTGCTCACGCTGGGAGCTGTAGACTGGAGCTGTTCCTCTTTGGCCATCTTGGAACCTTGCCGCTGAGGTTCTTGAGCCACTTGCTTGAGCCAGTTCCCTCTCTGTGGAGTGTACTTTCACTTCAATAAGTCTACATGTTTGTTGATTCTTTCATTACTTTGTCCTTCTGTTGCATTGTTTGTGCCTTTGTTCAAAACACCAAGAATCTGGACTTGTAGTTAGATTGGTAGTCAAGACCCTCCACCAGTAACACTTGCACAGTGCCTGGCACATAGGAGGAATTCAATATAATGTTTTCTGAATAAATGATCAAATGAATTAATGAATAACCCATCATTTATAATCACAGATGACCTGGAATGAATGGGAAATTTACCTCAACATAGACGAGTGTTGAGAATAAATAGGTTTCTTCATTTTGTTTAGCTTAAGTCAGTTCTATAGCTCTTCTGTGCACACATAAACATTTGAATCAGATTTCATACAAGCTTCCCTGTGGAATTTCCCTCCCCATTTCAGAATACTTGCAGATGTACATTAGTAATTCACTAGTCCTTAGTTAATATCACTTTCATGTTTTCAGGGTCTGAGATGCATTTCAGGAGGCAGAAATGGATCTCAGGTGCATATGGCTTTGAACATATGATTCCACTTCGATTATAGTATTATTACTTAGACATAGTCTTGATGTTTGCCCTTGAGCATCATTTGCTAAAGATGACTATTAGGTTTTCCTGCATCATCCATTAAGCAACCCCCAACCCCATCTAGCCCAGCTAGCCTCTCTTCTACAGGAAGGGAGTCAGATATTCTCGGCCAACAAGATGAGTACCACACTAATGCCTTCCCAGTCTGGCCCCTAGAGAATTTGGTATTGTTCTTAACCAGAGTAACCTGTGTGCCTAATTGAGTAAGGACATCTTCTGAGTGTTCAGTCATCTAAACTTGGTTGAAAATCTAGTATTACTATGATAAAACATCTCTTACTATGTTCTTAGGTAAGAAAGAGCTGTAATTTTTTGCAGAGAAGTTGAAATGCAATGCAGTGTGGGTCCCTTGGAGAATGATAGAGAAAGAGGGAGTTAAGGATTTCTCCATTTGCTACATACACATATCCAAATAAGCACCAGCCAGATCTTATAACTGCCTAGTGCTCACGGAATAGGAGCCCCAGAAATACCAGTAAGAGGGAGCTTAAATCCTCTAGCCCTATAGCTAAAACCTGCCCCCTGGATTTCTTTCTTCATGACATCGGTAGTCAATGAGAAACATAGGTTACGATAAAAATTTTTTAATATGGTAAAATACACATAATATAAATATATCACCTTAACCACTTTTAAATGTACAGTTCAGTAGTGTTAAGTGTGTTAAGTACATTCAGATTGTTGTGCAACCAATCTCCAGAACTCTTTTCATCTTGCAAAAGTGAAACTCTGTATCCATTAAGCAACTCCCCATTTCCCCTCCTCTCAGCCCCTGGCAACCATCATTCTATTTCCTGTCTCTCTGAATTTGACTACTCTGGGTACCTCCTGTAAGAGGAAACATACAGTATGTGTCCTTTTCTGACTGGCTTATTTCACTCAGCATAATATCTTCAAGGGTCATTCCTATCGTAGCATACGTCAAAATTTGTTTCCTTTTTAAGGCTGAGTAATATGCCCTTGGGTGATATAACACATTTTGTTTACCTATGCATCTGTTGATGGACGCTTGGGTTGCTTCCACCTTTTGGCTATTGTATATAATGTATTATGAACCTAGGTGTACAAATATTTATTTAATACCCTGCTATCCACTATTTGGGGTATATGCCCAGAAGTGAAATTACTAGATCTTACGGTAATTATAATTTTAATCTTTGAGGAACCACCATACTATTTTCCACAGTAGCTGTACCACTTCCACCAACAGTAGACAAGTGTTCTAATTTCTCCACATCCTCCAGAACACTTGCTATTTTCGTTTTTTTTTTATCATAGCCATCCTAATGAGTGCAAGGTGGTATCTCATTATAGTTTTAAGTTGCATTTCCTTAATGATTAGAGATGTTCAAAGGCTACATTAAGGAAGTAATTATACTATATATTTCATCTGGTGACCACTTGGGCTGTGAAAACACATTTTTAGGAATAGGTACACTGATTCTGAAAGTGCTATAGCTGATCCACAATATTCTTGGCATGGGGATAATACGTAGAAGGCTAACAGTACACATATTCTTTTAAAGAACATGTATAAAATAAAAGCCCTTTGTCATTAAGAAATTTATGATGTTATTTTGGATTAAAAAACAAATATAAAATACTTTCAGAATTTCTGAATTATATGCTAATGATGATATAAGTTTAGAAAAGGGGAAGATGAGTATGGGCTTGAAAATTTAGGGGTGGATTCGTGCATGACAGCAGAGTTGGAAGACAGTCTAAGTCAGAGTAATCGCATGAACAGAGGTACAGAGATAAAACAGAGCTTTGCTCATCTGGGAGCCATGAGATAACTTACCCACTAGCTAGGAGAAAGTGTGCTAGTCATTCTGCCCAGCTGTTTATTGGTGCATATTACTTACATGTAGGACTATGCTAGATGCTGGGAGAAATACAAAGATGCAGACAAACAACTTTTCTTCATAATACATGCTATCTTGTGGATGGGGCAAGCCACAACTAACTGCATTAAGAGTCAGAATAGCTCAGAGCTTGCCAAAGGGCACAGGCCCTGGAGTTTCCCTGAACAACTCCATCACTCTTGAGGGATGACCTCGGGGAAGATAGTACTTCACTTCTCTAAGCCTTGGTTTCCTTACCTGCGTGCACAGTTGGGGTTAATCTCAACTGGTCTGGATTGTTCATGCTCTTATGCAGGGAGCTACTGACCCTTGGCTAATGCTATAGTACTTATTAACTAAAGACAAATGCTATTCTGTATGGGTCTGTGAGTTGTTCTGGAGCAGGATGTATCAGTGTGTCATCATTGTTTAGAAATAACCGGATTTATGATTTGCATCTGGTTTCAGTAGAGGTTGGGAGCAGGGGGTGATGTTTCAACAGTTAAGGCTGGTCACATAGCTGAGATGTGCCTAGTGACCAGGTTATGGTGAGAGATTCCTTACCAAGAACGGACTTTGGACTTCCAGATGCTGATGGTGGTTTGAGACCTAGAGACTAAGTGAAGTTGGTATGACCCTACCCAGTGGAAAGAGGACAAGGAAACCTGTGCCTAACATTTTGGGACCATTTTGAATGCATGTCCTTCTCCTGCCATTGCCATAGGTATCTCTTGCCTGGTGATGATAAACGGAGCCTTGAGTCCTTTCAGCAATCAGACCCTTAGAATGATTAATGTGTAATTACTGGACTGAAAAATAGTAATAATGATAATCCCCACATTATACTGTTGTATTGAGAAAGAAATAAAACGATCTAGGGCTAGTTCTTGGATTCATGTCTGGCATGTTATAGGTGGTTAATGAATGATTGTTATAATATTTACCAAATAGTGCGTTTGGGATAAAACATGTTTTATCCCAAGCATTCAGAGGCAAAAACCAATCCTACAAATTATAGTGGTAATCGGAAATTTCATAGAAAGGGTGAAATTTCATACTGGCTTTGGATAATGTGTAGAATTCATGTGCAGAAAGAAGTGTAGAGGGACAGACAAAATAGGAGCAAAGTGCAGGATCAGGAAATACAATGGCATTTTTAAGAGACAGGTGAGGATGTAAGCTTGGCCAGAAAGAAAATATTATTAGGAGATGAATCCCCAAAGGTACATGGAGATCTTGTCTGACATTGTTTACAACAGCAAAAATTGGAGAAAATCCCAAATTCACATCCTCAAAGACAGTAGATGAATGATCTGTTATAGTCACACAAAATACTATAATGCGACACTCAGTGAATGAACTGTGATGATGTGCAGCAACACAGAGGAATCCTAACATAATATTGAGATAAATAACTAAAATAAAAATATATGCCTTTAAAAAACAGATAGACAGATCGAATAAGACCATGTTAAAAAGAGAGAGAAGGAAAATGCACACCATATTTAGGATGGTAGTTACCTTGGGAAAGGGGTAGCAGATAGAAGGGATGGGGACCACACAGCTAGATGTGACTGATTGCCAAAGTTTCAGCTTCCATATTGGCTGTTAGGTCCACAGGTGCTTGTTACATTATTAAAATACACACATACGTACATGCATAATTAATGGAGGAGAGATATGCAGAAACCATCAATAAGTGTGCCATGAGCCAAGGATTAAGATTAATACAATTCTGTGATCTTGAGGTCCCTCAGAGAAAAAAAAATACAAATAAAAGCAAAAGCAGGCCAGATGCAGCGCTCATGCCTGTAATCCCAGCACTTTGGGAGGCCAAGGCAGGAGGATCTCCAGAGGCCAGGAGCTCAAGACCAGCCTGCACAACAGAGTGAGACCTCTGTCTCTACAAAAAGATTTAAAAATTAGCTGAGTGTCATTGTGCAGTAGTAGCAGTAGTCCCAGCTATTCGGGAGGCTGAGGCGGGAGGCTAGCTTGAGCCTAGGAGTTTGAGGTTACAGTGAGCTATGATTATGCCACTGCCCTCCAGCCTGGGCAACAGAGCGAGAAGCTGTTTGAAAGGGAAAAAAAAGCAAAAGCACATAAATGTTTTTCTAACCCACACAATCCAAAATATTTATACTTTGTATACTTAATATTTGAAAAAATATTTATATACTTTAATATACTTAATATTTGAGAAAAATGGAATCCATCTCTGCAGCAGAGCATAATCCTCCCCAAACCTTCAATTTGCTACCTTTTATTTTACATTTCCCTTCAGCTAGACAATGGAAGATGTGAGTTTATTGCTGAACCAAAGTGCGAAATACACTTCCATCATGTTAAACTACTGAGATTTAAGAGTTGGGTTTGTTACTCCATCATTAAGTAGCCTGTACTGACTAATTCATCTACATTATGAAGACCTTATGCATTTCACATTCCAAACTTACAAAACAGATGTTACTCACATCACATAAAGAACTTGTAACTTTATCAACAGAGTTAATGATAAAATAATCATCTTTAATGCATCAAGAGAAAAGAACACCAGAACTGAAGTCATCCTGACAAGTTAATTCTTTGCATGGTGGTGTTAGGTGAAATTACTGACCCTGTTATGTTTCCATTTCTTTATGTATAAAATGGAATAATAGTAAAAGTTTTTATTTTTTTACAATGTGGCTCTGAATATTGAATGAGACAAGGTGTATGAAAGCTTTAACAAATATGGCCTTCTTTTGAGGATCTTATTTTTCTTTGGAGACACTACCTCCTTGAGAACCAACAGGCCAAATAAAATTAAATTGTTATATCCTCCAATAGTTAAAAGTAAATGAGAAATTATTAACTATTAATGAACAGAAACATATTGATTTGGTATATAACAGATTAACAAATATTTTTAAGAAATATAACGAATACATGTAAGTGAATTTCTCAATTTGACCACTAGATGGAAGCATTCTCCCAAAAATTGTGCACCTTTTTTAGGCCGTTTGTCTTCTAATGCAAACACGGTACCTCTCCAATGCAATAGCTTGAAGACACGTCTTACACTTAGGAATAAACACATAATAGGATATCCCTGGATCACAATAATGTAATGCATGATTTTTAAAAAGTGATTCAACCATTCTTTTCCTTGTTTTATTTTCTGCTGCAAAACACTTTAAAGATACACGATAACAAAACAGAGTAATGGAAAAGACATAATGGAGACCTAGAAATGGCCTACCAAACACACTAGACAGAATCACCTCCCAGTTTCTAACATTGTTTTCAACCACACCTTTACTTGTTATCCTTGGGCTTGGAATTTCTTGAGATCCTGTTTCCCAGGTGTTACCTTCTTGGTCAGGTCTTCCACTTCCCCTTTATCCTAAGGGCAGAGAAGACCATCTCCTCTGTGATTCTTCCCTACATCTCTGCACCCTGCGTGCACATCTCCAGTACAGCACGAGCCCATTGTCCAATAGTTTATTCATGTGTCTGTCTCCCAATCTCTCTGGGCACTTCTGAGCACAGGGAATGGGGTCTTTAGCCTGGCAGAGGTGCCTGTTACATACAGGGAACCAATAGCAGTTTGCTGAATGAACCTTAATCTTACCTGAATATGTATAAACACTGCTACCCATTGGACTAAGATATTGTCTGACTGGTCCAAAATGTATCAAAAAAAGCTGTCTTCTTCTTCCTCTCCACACTTTTCCAATGTTGTCCGCACCCACCCAGATGCAAGTGTTAAAACAATGCTTAAAGACAAAGTTTTAAACTTCCTAAGTTAATTACATTGTTTTTGTGAATGTGGAAAACGTTTTTAAGTTTAAAGTCATTATGTTAATTTTATGACAATAATGTAATATAGAATATGTAGACAATCTTATTTAAGAACTTTCTAGAACTTATTTTATGGTTAAAAACTAATGACGTAAGCAAAACCAAATATGGTGAGTTATGGAAATTGAAGAGCATCTGAAAAGTGCATGAAATATACCATCTTGATGATCCTTTTTTTTTTTTTTTGAGACAGAGTCTCGCTCTTGCTGTGTTGCCCAGGCTGGAGTGCAATGGTGCGATCTTGGCTCACTGCAACCTCCATTTCCCAGGTTCAAGCAATTCTCCTGCCTCAGCCTCCTGAGTAGCTGGGACTACAGGCACCTGCCACCACTCCGGGCTAATTTTTGTATTTTTAGTAGAGACGGGGTTTCACCGAGTTAGCCAGGATGGTCTCGATCTCCTGACCTCGTGATCTGCCTACCTCGGCCTCCCAAAGTGCTGGGATTACAGGCATGAGCCACTGCGCCAGGACCTTGATGATGCTTTTAAGAACATCTTATGAAGTTAGAATTTTCACCTACTTCACAAGAGGTAGTTTTCTTTTCTTCTAGCCAATTTTAAAAAGCTAACTAATCTAAGCTTGTTATAATGCTAAGTCCTGTGAGCTATCTTGATTTCCTTTGTGTACAACATTTGAAGGTTTTTATTAAGATTTATCTAATATCAGTAATTACTATAAAATTGTATTTAAAAGCTACCTTTTTGGGAATGTAAATTAGTTCAGCCACGTGGAACGCAGTATGGGGATTTCCCAAAGAACTTGAAACAGAGCTACCATTTGAACCACAATTCCATTATTGAATATATATTCAAAGGAATATAAATCATTCTAGCATAAAGACACGTACATCTGTATATTCATCCCCATGCATCACAATAGCAAAGACGTGGGATCAAGCTAGGTGCCCATCAATGGTGGATTAGGTAAAGAAAATGTGGTACGTATACATCATGGAGTACTAAACAGCCATAAAAAGAATGACATCATATCCTTTGCAGCAACATGGATGGAGCCGGAGGCCATAATTCTAAGCAAATTAATGCAGGAACGGAACACCAAATACCTCATGTTCTCACTTATAAGTGGGAGGTAAACACTGAGCGCCCATGCACATAAACGTGGGAACAATAGACACTGAAAACTACTAGAAGGGGAGGGAGGAGGGCATGGGTCAAAAACCACCTATTGGGCACTGTGCTCACTATGTGAGTGCAATATACCCATATAACAAACCTGCACATGTAGCCCCACATTTAAAGTAAAAGTTGAGGATAAGGGAAAACTTCCTATACCACAGATTCTGTTTTAACACATGTAAAATACATATATTATATATGGTGAAGGGTCTTCACTAGACCAAGAATATAATTTGCATCCTTAAGGGAGTGCATACCAATAAGAAATTGATCATTAGTATTTTTCAGGCTGACATAAAAATCCCAATTTTGAATGAATAATTTAAGCAGGCATTTTAGCTTAGGTTACAGTTACAGTGTTTACTGGATTTTCTTTACTCCTAGTAATTCTTAGTCTATTGTGGAAGCATTTTCATATTGTGGTGGTAGCAAGGAAGTAATAAAAACACTAATGTTTATAGTGCTTCACAGTCTGTAAAAAGATCTGTTATGGACTATATTTCATTTGATTGATACAACAGTCTCCAAAGATAGGCACGGCAAATACCATTTCCTTTTTCTATTTATGAAAAAGAACTAGAACTTACGGATTTAAGTGACTTGCTTAATAGCACACAATTAATCATGTGACAGAGCTTAGTTGGCAGCCCTGGACTTCTGACCCCTAATCCCACATGTTCTTGTATTCATCAAGATGTACTCACAAGGACCCAGAAGCTGAAGGTTTAGTCTCATCTCTGTCATTTAAGTGCCTTATAAACATTAACAGCCAGATATTTTGAGTTTCAGTTTTTCTTGTTTAAAAAATGAAGGTTTTAATATCTGTCCTTTGTAATTGACAAGATAGCTATGAAGTACTTTGTGAGCTATTAAAGTGGTCTATTGAAAATATATGCGTGAGCAATATAACTGATTGTGTAGACCTGTGAAGTCAGGATCATTGATATTGGTAGAGAAGGGAGTTTTTTAGATTACAGAAGTCTTAGCTTGGATTATCGGTTATTCAAAGCACAGGAACTGAAATAAATTATCAATTGTAACCACACTGTGGCACTACTTACTCACGTAAGATTTTTCATTTCAAATTTTCTCCCTAAATTGAACTTTATAAAATGGAATATCACACTATGCCTGAGGAATTCATTGTGTTTTCTTACATATCTCTAAGTATTTTAATTATTTACTACAAACTTTCATAAAGATTAACGTAGTAGTTCCAAAAAATTGAAAAGTAGAAAATTATCGTCTTGATATTCTGATACCAAATTCAGAAAACATTGTAGCTTCTCGCTTTGATTGTGTTAGAGTGTGCGTGCCCATGTATGCCCAAAGCTGCTGAGTAATACAAGTACAAACTCCAGAAGACTTTAGCAAACTGCTTGACTATTATTCCCCTTAAACCTGGCATTAACCAGCTGATTTGGTTCCCAGAGGTGCACTGCCCCAGTCATATGCTATAATGAGTTGTCAAACGCATGACTTACCAGGAACAGAAACAAAATGATAGGCTTAACTGAGGAGAGATGGACTCAAAGAACAAATAAAACTTACTGAGGGCATATTATATTCAAATTACTGGAATCCATTACATTTGCATGTGACCCAAAAAACCCTGTAAATGAAAGGCTGCTTAGAAGTAGTTCAAGTTTTCTTTCTTTCTGGAGATGGGGTTGGGGGCAGGTCTTGTTATGTTTCTCAGGCTGCCAGGCTGGTTCCACTGGAGACTTAATTAATTACATGGAAGAATATGCAATGGCACTGGGAATGTCTAAAACATTCTAGACAGGAAGACACACAGGTTTGTTTGAGGGTGAACCATCTTGGAGACTGACTTCCTTGGGAAATCTAACCTAGAGATACCCTGGTGCGATGGAGAGGATGAAGCAGGCCACCATGTCCCTCTTTACCTTGACAAGTTAAGGGAAGGATGGAGAAGGATCATGTGAATTTATCTGGCTCCGAAAAAACCCACAGACATCTGTGAGACCCAGTTGCTCACACTCTACACATTTATTGAGCATCTACCTTTTCAGACACAGACCATCAGAAAAATTACCTGCTTGTAATTCTAATCTCAAAGAATACACACTCTTGAGTAAGAATAGACACAGGCACAAATAACCATCATGCGCATCCAACCGTGGAAAGTTCCTTACAGAACATAATAAATATCTGTTGAGTCTGAAATTATTTCCTCAAATGCTTGAGCACATAGAATAAATGTAAATTTATAAATTAAAAATCCTATTATATATTTACTGTTTGCTGGATATCATGATAAATTCTTAATCTAACAATCGTAATTCTCACAAAACTCCTAAAGGTAGATATTATCATCGCAATTTTACAACTTAGAAAAGTAATATTGACTGACTTGTCACAAACTGAGGTCTGTCTGATTTAAAAACTCATGCTTTGAAAAACACAATTTCAGGCTGGGCACGGTGGCTCCTGCCTGTAATCCCTGCACTTTGGGAGGCTGAGGCGGCTGCATCACCTGAGGTCAGGAGTTCGAGACCAGCCTGGCCAACATGGTGAAACCCTATCTCTACTAAAAATACAAAAAATTAGCCAGGCGTGGTGGCGTGCACCTGTAATCCCAGCTACACGGGAGGCTGAGGCAGGAGACTCGCTTGAACCTGGGAGGTGGAGGTTGCAGTGAGCTGAGATGGTGCTACTGCACCCCAGCCTGGGCAACAAGAGTGAAACTCTGTCACAAAAAAGAAAAGAAAAATACAATTTCAGGTATTCTGACTTCAACTGCAGTGCTCTTTTCATGACCCAAAGGACAGAAGGATCACTGCGTACAATTAGTTACTTCTGACTCCAGTGGTAGGAGAAAGGGACACAGATGTGGAAAGTACATTCTGGAGTGAAGGAACAATGGCACAATGAACACAGCTCATCAGGCTTGCTTCTAATTGCCAGTATTGTTCATGAATAGAATAGGATTGACCCAGGCCTCATATGTTGGGCTACACCCAATCATTCATTCATTCCCTAAGCCTTTTTAATTGCATAATAAATTTTCAATGGCTCTGTGCTTGGGGTAGAGCCAAAGCATCCACACAACATGATCCTCAGGGCCTGGCAACAAAATCAGCAGGGCTTTATTAAGGTGACAAAATATTTGATGGATGAGAAAAACTTCAGTAGAATTGATTCACCAAAGGGAGATGCTTCTCTAATGATTTCTATCAAACTCTGAATAACACCCAGTGGCCTAAAGCCATCACGTGACCGGGCCACTTCTTTAACCTAATTTCCTACCATTTTGTTCCTATGCATGTTCTCCTCCAGCCACACAATGAGGAAGCCTACAAAGTCCTCTCTTGCATGAAGATCTTTGCACATGACTTTCTCTCTGCCTAGAGTGCTCCTCATTCAGATACCTGCTTGGCTAGTCCCCTGACTCCCTTCGGGTCTCTGTTCAGATGGCACTCATCAGGGAGTGTGACGGTCCTATGTAAAGGAACTACCACACCATTCCAGCCTGCTCCCTTAGCCTGCTTGGTTTTTCTCCATAGCTAGCACTCATCACCATCTCACATAATGTACTCTATATTCATGTATTTGTTTGATGTCGGAAAGTTCTGAGATGGCAGGGAGTTTGCTCGCCTTGTCCATTTTAGCAATATTGGTACTCAGAATAATAAATATTTGTGGATGGAATGAATGTTATTCTTTTACTAATAATGTGGAATGTGTGTGTTTTTTTCCCAAGTCTCCATTAAAAGACCATGGGGTATTCAGTTAAACAAATAAATTTTGAGCACTTTGTGTTTATGCTAGACACCATAATAGGTGCCGGCACAACAGCAGAGATCAAGACTGAGTCCCTTCAAGGACTGCAGGCAAGTATAATCAATAGGTAATAGAAGAATAAGAGGATTCATTCCCAAGGTGCTCTGGGAACCATTGATGGGCACCTCACCCAGGTCTAGGGAATCAGAATAGATAGCTAAGAGAAGCTGCCATCAAAGCTGAGATATGAAGGACAAGTAACAGTTAACTATTAATTTAAAAATCACACAGTCTATAAATTTGGAAAGGAGATTTTTTTTTTTTTTTTTTAAATAAAGGGTTACGGCCTGCAAGGTACCCATCCTGAGAGGCTAGGAAGCATAGCCTCTGGCAGAAGCAGTTAGCAGGCACTTTGTGGGAGGAGAAGGTGGAAAAGGGATTTATGCTGATGGGTTTGCTAAGTATACATACTCAACAGGTTATAGGAGGAGCTATAAATGAAGTGGGTCCTAATGAATGTGTACTGAAATAAACATGCATTTGCATGCAACCCATGTTCACTTTGAAGTGGAGACAACATTTAAATGTATTACAATTAGGCCTATACATCAAAAGGTGAAGCAGGAACATGAAGACACTCAAGTGGGCAGCCTTTGTAAATTGGCCAGAACCAGTCTATAATCAGTGGTCTTCTTATCAGGATAAAGTTATTAAAATTAATGTCTTGTCCAGTCAAAGCTGCAGTTATGGCTTGTGGAAGAGGGAGGTCAGTTAGTCAGTGTCTGGTAGTGGTGAAATCCACTTGCTTCAGTATTGCTCATTTCTAGGCCAGTGCTTATTTAGGTGATAGAGAAGAAGAAGAAGAAGAAGAAGGAAAAAAAAAAAAAAAAAACTCACGGCAACTAGAACATAGTTTATTCTTTCTTTATTTTTTAATTTTTTTTTGAGACGGAGTGTTGCTCTGTCACCCCAGCTGGAGTGCAGTGGTATAATCTCAGCTCACTGCAACCTCTGCCTCCTGGGTTCAAGCAATTCTCCTGTCCCAGCCTCTGGAGTAGCTGGGATTACAGGCACATGCCCCCACGCCTGGGGGGGTTTCACCATGTTGGCCAGGTTGGTCTCGAACTCCTGACCTCTGGTGATCTGCCCGCCTCGGCCTCCCAAAGTGCTGGGATTACAGGCGCGAGCCACTGTACCCGGCCCATAGTTTATTCTTTAAGTATAGGGATGCATCACTTAACCATTGTCTGGCATGGCCTTGGTCCTGTTTATAATTTGGTAAATTATTGCCCCAAGAGTCCATTCTATCAGTCTTATGATCTCTATTTTAACGTTAATGCTGGTCAGTTGTGTCTAAACTGCAAGAGGGTGGGAGTGTAATGAGGCATGTCTGACCTCCCATTCCATCATGGCCTGGAACTCACTTTTTTACGGTTTCTCTGAGGTCCCCTTGGCCAAGAGGAGGTCCATTTAGTCAATTGGGGGGCTTAAGATAGTATTTTTAGTTCTCATAACTAAGCAAAAAGAGAATAATATTGCAAGCATGTGTAAAGATGAGTAGTTCTAAACTGAAATCTTGTGAAAAATGCAATATTCTTAATTATATTGTCACTTTCTATTAAATATGGTAGTTATATTTTTAGTAACTCATTTTAATAGATAGTAGGAACAAATTTTATCTTAGATCATCTGTCACTGACCATTGAGGAGGCCATTGAACTTGGTGGGCACACATACTCCAGTTGCTAAGGATTGTGGCTCTGACCACCAAATTTCATCAACCCTAAGATGCTATCATCTGTAAGGTGTGCTAATGTTTGCTAAGTTGCACTAAGAAAAAAAACTGCAAATAAATGCTTTTTCAAATAGTGTTCACTTTTATACTCACAAAAGATATTTTTTAAACTTATTTAAACATAAACTTTTATTACATATTACTCTTGTACAGAGAAAAATGTAAGTGAAATAATTGCTTAAGGCATTCCTAAAACCTCTTCACCTTTACAGTTTATTTTTACAGTTTTTTTTTTGGTCTCAAAATCATTAAGATCAGTATCTCCATCAAGACTTCACTACTGTCAGTAAGATTTTCTTACAAGCTGCTGCAGAAAGTATTGGTGATGAAGCTTTCTTGATCTGACCAGGAAGTGCCGAAAGAAGGTTTTTAGATGTCAATCAGGAAGGACACACCTTCCTCAAATGGCCCTTAAGTGATTTATCAGCTGAAGCATCAAGATTGCAGTTATTCAGTCATATTGCAAGGACCAACAACCATGTTTGTGGGTAGATAGTTAATAATAACTGGATCACGATTGCAATTTGGCTGAGAGTGATGTGTGAGAAAGCACATGTTGGTAAGATACCAATTTTAGGAATCCTCAAATTTGAAAAAGTGTGCCTTAAAAATGATGAAATATGCCAATTTTAAGAATTCTCAAATTTGAAAAAATGTGCCTTAAAAATGATGACCTATGGAAAGTAAAACAACAACAACAACAGTTTATCAGGCTATTCCAGATAGAATTTTGCTTATATCTATATAATTTATTCTACATACCAAGGAATCTGATTTCTTTTCTTTCAAACTTTGATGCCAGGAAGGTGGTCCTGCATTGTAGACTTGCATTTTACAGTCATTAGAAAGATAAGTTATAAAAGTGCTATCAGCTGACACATACCAGTAT
The DNA here is from genome assembly GCF_000001405.40 of Homo sapiens. Lineage (NCBI taxonomy): Eukaryota > Metazoa > Chordata > Mammalia > Primates > Hominidae > Homo > Homo sapiens. Next base: position 215,518,296 of record NC_000001.11, on the reverse strand, counting down.
TTAACATACGCTTGATACTGTTTTAAGTGCTTTGCAAATATTAACTAATATCATTCTCACAACTACCAGGAGAGGTATATATTGTTATTCTCATTTTACAGACGCAGAAACTGATGAATAGAAATTAAGTTGGCCAAAATTGCCGTGCTAGTAAGTGGCAGGACTTGGATTTAATCTGAGGGAATCTGGTTCCCGAGTCTTCACTCTGGTGTAAATACGTTATAAATGCAAAAAATTAACATTTACAAATCTATTTATATGCGAGATATTATGCCACAACATCTGATCTGGCTTTTAGTTCTAAGTCTAGCTTAGCATCTGACTCCTATTCTGTCCCTGGATTTGAGTTTAATTCCTTGGTAAGAAAACAACTTCCTGTGAATAATAGAATCTGGGAACCAGTTTTGAGGTTTCTCAACTTCCGCACTATTGACATTTTGGGTTGAATAATTCTTGTCGTTGGGGTTGTCCTGTGCATTGTAGGAGGTACAGCAGCATCCTTGGTCTCCACCCACTAGATGCCAGTAGCACTCCAAGCTGTGAAGATGGAACAGTCTCAAGACATTGCCAGGTAACACTTTAGGGAGCAGAATCACCTCTGGTGGAGAACCCCTAAGTCAAAAGTACAGTGGGTACAGAGTAGTTTTCATGGGTCTGTTAATTGATGGGGGATTTCTCACATATGGTGCGTAGGATTCTAACTTTGCAATGACTAAGCAGAAAAGAAGGGTTTATATAATCTACATAAGTATGTCTTCGTATAGATTTCACCAGTGAGGAAAGGGGAAGAGGTGAATTATGATTCATGCTAGCAGATGGAGGAATAAACAGAGGCATTGCTAACATTTTCCTGCTGGACTTCTGCAGTATTTGAATACATGAATTTTTAAATATTGGAGTTCAAAAAAAGAGTTTCATAAAATTGTGATTTCTTTTTAAATATTTAATCAATTTATTAATTTATTATAGGTATTTTTGAATATCTCCTTTGTACATAATTGTGCAAGTTCTCAGAATATAGAAATGAATACAATATGATCCCAGTCATCAAAGAAGCTGAACTCTAGAATGACAAAGCATAACCTTGTAGCATTGAGCTATTTTTCTAGTGAGTCTACAGAGTCCTGCTTTTAATATCACAATGCCACTGTCAAAAGATGTACAAAATTAGATAATATTTGAAAAAGCAAAACAAAAAAATACAGTTAGGTGAAAGGAATAAGATCTAGTGTTTGTACTAGGAGCAAGATCTAGTGTTAACTACAGGGTAACTATAGTTAACAATAATTTATTACAAATTTCAAAATAACTAAAAACATGAAATCAAACTGTTCCTAACTAAAAGAAATGATAAATGCTTGAGGTGATGGATATCCCAGTTACCCTGATTTGACCATTATACATTGCATGCTTGTATCAAAATATTATTACATGTGCCACATAAATACATGTAACTATTATGTAGCCATAATAATTAAACGTTAAAAAATAATTTATTGTGAAAGGCTATTAACTCAAGGCATCTGAAAAGTTCTTGTATATGCCTATTATAGAAATGGTATTTGTTTGAGTTTGGTGCTAGGAATATGGGGTTGTTTTTGCTTTTTCAAGTGAAAGTCTGATTTCTAACTACGTTACTGTGACCGAAGGAAAAAAATCATCAAAGTTCATTCTTGCCAGTGGAAATAGACAATAATTCTTGGTAATTTAATTACATATCCCTTTAAAGAGCTCTAAATACATTAGAATAAGAGAATTAAATAAAGACAAGTAGATTCATTATCATCTTTATGCTAGACTCATGAAAGAATACATATTGCTAAACTTATTGACAAAATACTGCTTAATAAAAGTAGCATATACTAGAACCTTTCTACTACGTTTCATTTTTAATCTTTTACTTCTATATATTTAAAATAACCTAAGGTAAGGAAAGAAAGTAAGATACCATTAGAGGGGACATTATGATGGACTGTTCCAATGGGAAGGTACCACCTTGTTAGCAATTAAACACTGAGCCTATGGAGTCAGAATCTGTAGGTTCAAACTGTGAGTCCATTTCTTAAGGATAAGAAGAAGTCTCGGAAAAATTACTTAATCTTTATTCATTTGTGATATCAGGATAATAATAAATACCTACCACCATAGTGCCTTTGTGAGAATGAAATAAGAAACTCATGTACGGCTTAAAATATACTGTTTCTGGCATATAACTACATATACACAAATAAAAGTTATTAACATGACTGACAAATTGATATCTTCAACCTTAAACGAGTTGGAAACCGAGTAGATTTCACACCAAATACCTAATTATATATTTCACCCATCATCTTCTGGCCTGCCTAAATCAGGGCTTCTTCCCCCTCCTCAACCATGAAGTTTCTACTAAAAATGTTAAATAGTTCACTTTTTTCCAGTATCCTTTCTAGACTTTTCTCTTGGGCTTTTCAGTATTCTTCGTGGAGTGCAGTGGCACAATCTTGGCTCACTGCAGCCTCCGCCTCCTGGATTCAAGTAATGCTCCTACCTCAGCCTCCCAAGTAGCTGGGATTACAGGCATGTGTCACCATACCCAGCTAATTTTTGTATTTTTAGCGTAGACGGGGTTTCACCATATTGGTCAGGCTGGTCTCGAACCCCTGACCTCAGGTGATTCGCCCACCTCGGCCTCCCAAAGTGCTGGGATTACAGGCATGAGCCACTGCGCCTGGCCCTTAAATTTTTTTATTGATACATTATAATTGTACATGTATCTCATTAACATGATAATGTTATATATGTACATGTAATATTATATATGTACATGTAATATTTGATTACAATTGTACATGCGATATTTTGATAAAGCATATATTTTGTAATGATCAAATCAGGAAAATTGGGATATTCATCATCTTCAACATTTATCACTTCTTTGTGTTGGGACATTTCCAATCTTCTCTTCTACATATTGTGAAACATACGATAAATTATTGTTTAGGCTCACCTTAACTGGGCTATCACATATTATAACTTATTCTTTCTATTTATCTCTATGTTTATCTCCATTAACCAACCTCTCTTCATCCTCCCTGTTTTCCCAGCCTCTGGCACCTATTGCTTTATCATCTACCTCCAGGAGATCTACTTTTTTAGCTCCCACATATGAGTGAGAACATGCAGTATTTGTCTTCCTGTGCCTAGCTTATTTCATTTAACATAATGTTCTCCAATTTCATTCATGTTTCTGCAGATTACAGGATTTTATTCTTTTTTATGGCTGAATAGTATTCCATTGCATACATACTACATTTTCTGTATCCATTCATTTGTTGGTGGACACTTAGATTGGATCCATATCTTCACTATTGTGAATAGTATTGCAATAAACAGGAGGGTTCAAATATTTCTGTGATTCACAAATTTCCTTTCCTTTGGACAAATACCCAGTAGAGAGATGGCTGGATCATCTGATAATTCTATTTTTAGTTTTCTGAGAAACTTCCATATTATTCTCCGTAATGGCTGTATTAAATTACATTTCCACAACAGTGTAAAGGAGTTCTCTTTTCTTTGCATCCTCATCATCATTTGCTATTTTTTGTACTTATGATATCTCACTGTAGTTTTAATTCACATTTCCCTGATGATTAGCAATGTTGAGAATTTTTTATATACCAGTTGACCATTTGTATGTCTTCTTTTGAGAACTGCCTATTCACATCCTTTGCCCACTTTTTAAAGGCATTATTATTATTACTATTGAGTTGTTTGATGTCCTTGTGTATTTTGCATATCAGCCCCTTGTCAGATGAATCATTTACAAATATATTTTTCCCGTCCTGCAGGTTGTCTCTTCACTCTGTTGATTGTTTCCTTTGCTTTGAAGAAGATATTTAGTTAAGTAGAGTCTCATTTGTCAATTTTTTTTTGGTTCTTGTGCCTATGAAGTGGTAGTCATAAAATCTTTGCCTAGATAATGTCCTGTAGCATTTCCCCTATTTCATTCTTGTAGTTTTATAGTTTTGGCCCTTACATTTAAGTCTTTAATCCATTGAGAGTTGGTTTTTGTATATTTAGTTTTCCTCTTATCATTTGTTGAAGAGAGTAACCTTTCCCCAATGTATGTTCTTGGTACTTTTGTCAAACACCAATTAGTTGTAAATACATGGATTTATTTCTGGTTTCTGTATTCTGTACCATTAATTTATGTGTCTATTTTTATACCAATACCATATTGTTTTGGTTTTTATAGCTTTGTAGCATATTTTGAAGTCAGATAGTCTGATGCCATGAGCTTTGTTCTTTTTGCTTAGGATTGCTTTGGCTATTTGGCATCTTTTGTGATAATTTTAGGTCTTTAAAAATTTTCTACGAACAATGTCACTGATTTTTTATATACCAATTTCCTTGAATATATTGGTTGCTTTGAGTCGTGTGGTCATTTTAACAATATTTTTTCTGATCCATGAGCATGAGATGGCTTTCCATTTGTTTGCGCCTTCTTCAATTTCTTTTATCAGTGTTTTGTAGTTTTCGTTGTAGAGATCTTTCACCTTCTGAGCTAAATTTATTCCCAGGTATTTTATTTATTTATTTTTATAGCTATTATAAATGGAATTGTTTTCTTGATTTATTTTTCAGCTAGTTTGTTATTGGTTTATAGATGTACCAATTGTTTTTATATGTTGACTTTATATCCTGCAACGTTACTGAATTTGTTTAACGGTTCGAAGAGTGTTTTGGTGGCGTCTTTAGGCTTTTCTATATGTAAGATCATGTCATCTGCAAAGAGGGATAAATTGATTTTCTCTCTTTCAGTTTGGGTTTTTAAAATTTCTTTCTCTTGTCTGATTCCTCTGGCTAGGACTTCCACTCTTACGTTGTGTAAGAGTAGTGAAAGTGGTCATCTTTGCCTTGTTCCAGTTCTTAGAGGAGAATTTTATTATTGATTCAAGCTCATTACTCATTACTGGTCTGTTCAAGTTTTATATTCCCTCTGGGTCAATCTTGGTAGGTTGTATATGTTAAGGAATTTATGCATTTCCTCTAGGTTTCTCAATTTGTTAGTGTGTAATTGTTTATAATAACCTTTAATAATCCTTTTATTTCTGTAGTATCAGTTGCAATGTCTCCTTTTTCATTGTTGATTTTATTTATTTGGGTCTTCTCTTTTTTTCTTGGTTAGTCTAGCTAGCAGTTTATCAATTCTGTTTACTTTTCTAAAAACCAACTATTTGTTTTATTGATTTTTTGCATTGTTTTTTAAGTCTCTATTTTGTTTGTTTCTGGTATAATCTTTATTATTTATTCCTTCTGCTACTTTTGGGTTTGCTTTGTTCTTGCTTTTCTAGTTCCTTAAGGTGCATCAAATTTGAAATTGAATTTGCAATCTTTTTAATCTACTTTTTAAAGTAGATATTTATTGCTATGAACTTACCTCTTAGCAATATTTTTGCTGTATCCTGTAGGTTTTGATATATTGTTTTCACTTATATTTTTTTCAAGAAACTTTTTGATTTTATTCTTAATTTCTTCATTGATCCAATGGTCATGCTGGAACATGTTGTTTAATTTCTATGTATTCGTACAGTTAGTTTCCAAAGTTCCTCTCGTTATTGATTTCTACTTTTATTCCATTGTTGCCTGAGAAGATACTTGATATGACCTTGAGTTTTAAGAATTTGTTGACACTTGTTTTGTGGCCTATTTTATGGTCTATTCTGGAGAATGTTCTGTGTTGATGAGAAGAATGTATAGTATATAGCTGTTGGATGAAATGTTCTGTAAATATTTGTTAGGTCCATTTGGTCTATAGTACAGATTAAGTGCAATGTTCCTTTGTTAATTTTCTGTATAGATTATCTATCCAATGTGGAAAGTTGGATGTTAAAATTCTCAACCATTATTTTATTGGGGTCTACTTTTATTGGGGTCTACCTCTTTCATTAACTCTAGTAATATTTGCTTTATATATCTGGGTACTTAAGTGCTGGGTGTGTACGTATTTATAGTTGTTATATCCTCTTGCTGAATTGCTTCATTTATTATTATATAATGACCTTCTTCTCTCTTTTATATTTTTTTGACTTAAAGTCTGTTTTGTTTGGTATAAACACACACTCCCGCATGCTTTTGGTTTCTGTTTGCGTGGAATATCTTTTCTATCATTTCACATTTAGTCTATGTGTCTTTCCAGGGGAATTGAGTTTCTTGAAGGCAGTATATATTGTGTCTTGTATTTTTAATCTATTCAGCTAGTATATATATATTTTAATTGCAGAATTTAAACCATTTACACTCAAGGTTATTATTGTAAGTGAAGACTTACTCCTGCCATTTTGTTAATTTTTTTCTGATTGCTTTGTATATCCTTTGCTTCTTTTCTCCTTTTATTGTTCACCTTTATACTTTGGTGGGTTTTTCGGTAGTGATAACTTTGACTTCTTTCTCTCAGTATCTTTTCTACCAGTGACTTTTATGCTTTTGTGTGTTTTTATGATGGCAGATATTATCCTTTTGCTTCCAGGTGTAGAACTCCCCTAAGCAACTCTTGTAGGTCCAGTCTCATGGTAATTAATTCTCTCAGTTTTTGCTTGTCTGGGAAATATTTCATTTCTCTTTCATTTTTGAAGGATAGCTTTGCTGGATATAGTATTCCTGTTATGACTTTTTTTCTTCTTTCTACACTTTGAATATGTCATCTTCTTATCTCCTGGCTTGCAAGGTTTCGGTTGAGAAACCAGTTTTTGTCTGATGAGAATTTTTTTATATGTGACTTGATGCTTTTATATTGTTGTTTTAAAAATTATCTTTGTCTTTGAATTTTGACTATTTGACTATAATGTTCCTTGGAGGAGACCTTTTTGAGTTTAATCTATTTGGGAATCTTTGAGCTTCCTATACCTGGACAGCTATATCTTTTGGGACATTTGAGAAGCATTCAACTATTGTTTTTCAGACAGGTGTTCTATTCCATTTCTCAGATCGTCTCTTTCTGGAAGTCCCCAAATTTGAATATTTGGTTGATTTTTGATGTCCCATATGTCATACAGGCTTTCCTCATTCTTTTTTTATTCTTTTTTCTTGTCTGACTGGGATATTTCAAAATATATTTTTTCAAGTTCAAATTTTCTTTCTTCTGCTTAACCTAGTCTGCTGTTGAAGCTCTCAATTGTATTTACTATTTCATTCATTGAATTATTCAGTTCCAAGATTTTGTTTATTTTTTAAAAATGATATCTATCTTTTCATTAAATTTCTAATTCAGATCATAAATTGTTTTCCTGATTTCTTTGTATTATTCATTTGTGTTCTTCTGTGTCTCATAGCATTTCTTTAATATCATTATTTTGAATTCTGTTTAGGGAAGATTATGGATTTCCTTTTCTTTAGTATCTGTTGCTGCAGAATTATTGTGTTCTTTTGGAAGTGTTATGTTTCTTTGCTTTCTCATATTTCTTGGATTCTTATGTTGGTATCTGTACATCTAGTATAGCAATCATTTCTTTTAATTATATGGATTGGCTCCCTTAAAGGAAGACTTTTTCCTATAGGTCTACCTACAGTGTTGGTTGGGTAGAGTATTTTTGCTTTGATTTCTGGGTGGGCACAGTAGTATAGTCTTCGTATAATTTATTCAGCTGTAGTCAGCATCAGTGGTCTCTGTGAGTTCCTCAGTGGCTTAGGCTGTTGTTGTTAGTGGAGGTCCTTGGGTGATGTATATGTTTACTGGCTGCCTCCACTCTTTTATATCTCTTCTCTAAGTGGGGTATTTATGAAATACTATTTGAACTTTTTTGAAATTTATTTTTTGCTTTATTGTTTGGGTTTTCTCTTCCTTGGGAACTCCAATTATGAGCAGGTTGAATCTTTTTGCTTGTCTTTTTTTTATATATATATTTTAAGTTCTAGGGTACATGTGCAGACGTGCAGTTTTGTTATATAGGTATACACGTGCCATGGTGGTTTGCTGCACTCATCAACCTGTCACCTACATTAGGTATTTCTCCTAATGCTATCCCTTTCCTAGCCCCCCACCCCCTGACAGGCCCCAGTGTGTGATGTTTCCCACCCTGTGTCCATGTGTTCTCCTGTACAACTCCCACTTATGAGTGAGAACATGCAGTGTTTGGTTTTCTGTTCTTGTGATAGTTTGCTGAGAATGATGGTTTCCAGCTTCATCCATGTACCTGCAAGGACATGATCTCATCCTTTTTTATGGCTGCCTAGTATTCCATGGCATGTATGTGCCACATTTTCTTAATCCAGTCTATCATTGTTGGACATTAGTGTTGGTTCCAAGTCTTTGCTATTGTGAATAGTGCTGCAATAAACATGTGTGCATGAGTAATAGGAACATCTGATGCAAGCTCCTAAATTTCTGGAATTTTCTGTGTGATATGTGATAGGAGTATCTTTTGGTCTAATGAGGTGACTTTGGTGAGCTCCTGGATGCGGGCTGGTCACTGGAAAGATCCAGCCATGATTATAAGCTTGGAGCTTTCTGCCTCAAACCCCATTCTCTGGAGACGGGGGAGGCCTGGAAATAAAATTAAGTATCAATCATGCCTATGTGATGAAGCCTTCAATAAATCCCTAAACTCTGAAGTTTAGGGAGCATTCAGGTTGGGAAACACATTCATGGGGTGGAAGAGTGGTGTGTCCTAACTCCATGAAGACACAAGCTCCTGTACTCGGGACCCTTCCAGACCTTGCCTTATGTATCTCTTCATCTGGTTGTTCATCTCTATTCTTTGTTATAGTCTTTGTTAATAAACTGGTAAATAAAAGTAAAGTGTTTCCCTCAGTTATGTGAGCCACTGTAGCAAATTAATCAAACCTGAGGAGAGAGTTATGGGAACTCCAATTTATAGCTGGTCAGTCAGAAGTACAAGTCACAACCTGAGACTTGTGATTGGAAGTAGGGAGCAGCCTTGTGAAACTCAGCCTTACCCTATGTGATCTGATGATACCTCCAGGTAGACAGTGTCAGAATTGAATTGATTGGAAGGCACCCAGCTGGTGTCTGCCAGGGAATTGCTTGGTGTGTTGTGAACCCCCTTCCAATATCTTGTGTCAGGACAGCTATGCTGAGTGGTGAGTGATAGTAGGAAAAACACTTTGGTTATTTTTATATCTCAGAGTCCCTTCCCCTATGTTAAAATTCTTTTTTTCCTTATTTTAATTTGTTTTACTAATTTGGTTGTTACACTTTTCTATTTCTGTTCTTGTAGTATTTACCCTACTAATGTAGTTAACAAGTTCTAAAGTTAATTAATATTTTAACCATCCTTTCAATTAATAAAAAGACCTTAGATCTTTGTACACCAAAATGTACTTCTCTAAATTTGTACTCTCCTTGTCTATAATTTTTGTCTTGCATATTAAACATTTTGGTAACTGTTTTATATAGTCAACTTGTTAAGCTTACATAAGTTTAACACTTCTTTTTCCTTTTCTTTTTCTACTCATATTATTCATGGAATGTTTGACCTTACTTCTAGGATCATTTTCCTTCACTCTTTTATCCTTGAAGATTCTTTTGGAAGCATTTTTTTTTCAGTACTTTTTCTCAGTTTTTATTTACTTACTTTTTGAAAATGTCTTCATTTGAAATGTTATTGGAACACAGTTTCTATGAATATAAATTTCTACGTTGAAAGTTACTTTATCTTAGCATTTGAATATACTATTTTTTATATATATATCCGGCTTTCATTGCTGCCAATGGAAAGTCAGCTGTCAGCTGTCAAGCTATTCATCACTTTTTTTTAGCCACTGGGATGCTGCACAAAGCTTCTCAGAAATAGCATTGCTCAATTCCCAAGGACACCATTCACATAGACCATAAATGACTAGTACCATCTCTGGTAGCGTACAGCTTGCACAAATGTACATGGCAGGCCTCAGAATTTATCTTTTCTTTCTACTACTTTTAAGATTTTCTCTGTCTTTGATTTTCTGCATTTTTAATACAGATAACTTATTTAAAAGTTTCTTTTTATTTACTCTGCTTGAATTCATCCAGGTGCCTAAATCTAAATGCTGAAGCTTTTATTCTGACAATAACCACAGACATTCCTTCTTCATATATTGCCTTTCCCTTATTCTTTTCTTCTGCTCAGAGCACTGATTAGATTTACATTGGCTTTTCTTCCTCTAGGCTTCATTTCCCTCAATCTCTTTTTCATGTATTATTTTATCTCCCTATGCTGCATTTTTTGGTAATATCTTCAGATTTATTTTCCAGTTTATTAATTTTCTCTTTGGCTTTGTTTAGTCTTCTATTTAACATATGCATTGAATTTTGAGTATTTTCAATTACAGTATTATTTATTTATAGAAGTACTCTTTTTGATATTTGCTTGGTTAATTTTAATATCCTTTTAAATTTAATCATATTCAAAATCTTTTTTCTTTCTTTAATTTATCAAATATATTTACTTTATATTCTATATTTGATAATTCTACTATGATATTTGTTTGTCTGACCCTGCATTTTGAATTTCTGCAGATTCTTGCTCATGGTGCCTTGTTTCTCAGGTGTTTAGTGAATTTCCAAATTGTAATCTGTTTGTTCTATCTTTATATATTGGAATTTTAATGATCTAATAACCTGGGAGGATTATCAAACTGAATCTACTACAGAATAGACTTTTGATTTGCAGTTTTTTAGTCCACACTAATAAAATTTGGTACATAAGCGCCAACTAATGGCTTATGATGCTACAGAAAGATTGCCTTTTCTCCCAGTGCACCCGGAGCCAAATTAGAGATCAGTAAATCATCTTCTTTGGAATGCATTTTACCTGAATCTTTCACTGAGTCTGGAATACCTTTGAGCACACCAGCTTTACACAGGGAGTCTTATTTTAATTTCTACCAAGTCAGACCCCTATGTTTGTGTGGTTTTATAGTCTCAAGCCATCAAGAATTAGCAGATACTCTTTTGTGGTTTTATAATCTCAACCACTAAGAATTAGCAGATGTTCTCTGGAAAAATAAACCGCATTCTTCTTATTCCTGTGATAAGGGATAATTTCCTTTTCTTTACCACAGTCCACTGCCCACTGATCAGCACACTTTCCCTGTAAGGTCTTCTTTGAAACTTCTCTTTAAGTGTGTCTCAGAATTAATCAAATATTCCCACCTACTGCCCTTACTATTCTTCTTTTCATCATGTCTTTAAAAATTTGTAACATTTATTTGTTTCCTTGTATTTTCTCAATTGATGATGAAGTCCTTTACAGAGACTGTGCTTTGTTCATCTCTGTGTCCACAGTACCTCATACTGTATCTGTCTTATAACTTGTTGGTGAATAAATGAATGAATTAATGAATGAACACCATCCTTTTCTGCTTCCATGCCTTTGCTCATGCTGTCCATGTGCTTGAAAGGTCCATTTTTAATAATATCTTTCTGGTTTATCATTAACTTAGATGCCGTGTCTTATAACCTTATTTGGCAGCAATCTGTTCTTTATTGTTGTGGTAATCAATTGCTTTCCTTTCATATAGTTCTGTACCTTTATGCCTTATCCTATAGTGACTATATCATTTATCTCTATATTCCTTACAGTGCCTGACATAGAGCTGTACAGAAAATAGGTGTTCAATAAATACTGTCTGATTGAATAGAAAAATACAGTCATCTTAAGGGCTCATCTCAGGCTCAAATTCTGAACTCCATTATATAGACCATTTGTTTGACTTCTGTCTCAAATATCTTTTCGTCCACACCTAAGGGTTTTCAACTTTTTAGAAGCTAAAACTCTTACGATTATGCACAAATAGGAATTGGCTCATGTGATTATGGAGGCTGAGAAGTTCCACAAACTGCCATCTGCAAGCTGGAGAACCAGGAAAACCAGTGGCATAATTCAGTCTGAGTCAGAAGGCCTGAGAGTCAGTGGAATCAATGGCATAAGTCATAGCCCGAGTCTGAAGGTCCAAGAACCATGAATGCCATGTCCAATGACAGATATGGAATTTTCCTTAAACGAAGGAAAATTCACCCTTCCTCTGCCTTTTTGTTTTATTCAGACTGTCAAGAGATTTGATGGTACCCATCACATTGGTGAAGGTGATCTCTTCCAGAAACACTCTCATAGTTGCATCCAGAAATAATGTTTTACCAACTATCTAAGTTTCTCCGTCAAATTGACATGTAAAATAAACCATCACAACAAGTAAACTAGTAATTAAAATAAAATTCAAAAAATAAAAATATAATAATAAAAATGCTAACAAACAAAGGTAAAAAATATATACTACTAATAGGGGCATAGTGGAGAAATAATCAAATTCCCAGGAATATAAATGAAGGTTTGGGAGAGGATAAAACATTTTAACTGAATCTTAAATAAGTTATTTAGTAGGAGAGGTAGAAAGTCATCCTCACAGAGAGACTATTATGGTTTGTTCTTTGAAATAAAACTTTATTTATTAACACTGAAATTTGAGTGTTTTATAATTATCAGATGTCACAAAATATTCTTCTTTCTAATTTTTTTCCAGTCAAATACAAATGTAAAAAAAAAAAAAATTCTTGGCACGTGGGCCATACAAAAACAGATAGTGAATCAGCTTTGGCCTGCAAGCTATAACTAAATGAATCCTAATCTTTTTGCTCCAAATGCTTCAATCTCCTAATTTTATATTATGGGTTGTTTTGAATGTAGCAAATTTCCAGAGGGAGAAATGTATAGGAAGGGGGGAATCAAAGAGAAGGATATTGTTTGCAACCATTATAAATTAGATTTTAGCACTCCTTGGTCTCTTCCACACCTTTTCACTTGCTCCTTCTTCTGTTTCAGACACTCTTCCCCCACTATCCCTTTGGCTAGCTCCTTACATCTTAGATTTCCATAGTTAGATGTTAGATTAAAAGTTATTTTTCCAGATACACCTTCTTTGATCACCATAGGTAATTTAATTTCTCCTCCCCAGTCTTTATCTTCATCCTGTATTTATTTCTGTAATTTTGTATTTTATTTTGTAATTGTTTGTCTGTTTAAATGTTTAAAAGTCACCTTTGTCTGTATCCTTTCAAATGGAAGCTTGAATGTCTTGTTTACAATTATGTCCCAAGCATAATCAGTGGTTATTAATCATTTTTTGTGCGATGGCTCAGTTTGACAGTATGATGAAACTCCTCAAAGTGATGTTTTTAAGGCCATAAAATAACATATATAATATTCTAGAGGAAGCCAATTATATTAAAACACAATTATTAAAATACTAGAAAATCAAATTTGTGATACAGTAATACATGGAATTTTTCAACAATATCTAGAGATGTATCTAATAACTACTGTACATTTGAAATTGTGATTAGCATAAATGAAATTTCAAAGTTTCTACAACAAATGTAATGTGAAACAAAAAAATATTTGTGACCTTTTATTGGTGACAAAGTCAGAGGTACTGCTAATGATTGTGCTGGAAAGCCATTTAAGCAATGGTGACATGATCTACTTTGTCATGGTTTGCAACACCATGTTGGTCTTGACACCATTTTTGTAGGGATCCATTGAGATTTGCTCCAGGCAAGACCTGCCTTGTCTCCCTAGCCACTTATGCCATGAGGCAGGGAGGTGAATAAATATTACTATTTCTTTAAAAATGTCCAGCTCTTTTGAAGCTTATGCCAGTAGATGACACCAAACATTCCCAATTCTTATTTTATACATTTATTGAATTATTTTGGAATTTTCCTTCATTTCTTGAAAATTTTAGATAATGGCACCATGTTTTTCTTTCCAGTAATACTTCTGTTACAATTTTTGATGATGTCAATGTGTATGTAGATGATTTTCTGATACTTTAGGATCTTGATTCCTTGACCTCTTCATCCTCAATGAATTTGTACTCCATGCCACTTCAACCATTCATTCACATCATCATAACCTTGCTGTGAATAGCAAAAATACCCTCTCCTTAATGTCCCTGAACTCTATCATCTGCCCCCTCAAATATGTAAGACTGCAGTGTTAGCTGGTTTGGGCGTTCAGGGAAATGTCTCCAAGCAGGAAAACCATCAACTTGTAGTTCTTCCTTGATTCAGAGGCATTCTTTCAGTTCAAGTTTCTACATTTGTTTTTATGCTTTTGTCCAATGTATATTAATTTTTTCAGGATGAATCACCAGACCTCTTCATGTTGCCATTCTTTCTATTAAATTGTAATTTCAGTTAGGGTATTTTTGTATTTCTAGAATTTCTGTTTGTTTCTTCAAATCTAAGCTTTAACATAGTTTTAATTAAAAGTATTTTCCCATTTTTGCTCATATTTTCGAGCTTTTTATTAATTTCTTTATATAAAGTGAGAAAAAATTGTTTTACAATCTGTGTTTGATAATTCTAATTTCAGAAGTCTTTCTGGGCCTGTTTCTGTTGTCTGATGCTTCTGTTAGTTCTGACCCATTATGCTTTGATATAGTTTACACACACACACACACACACACACACACACACGTGGTGCGTGGTTAGTTTTAACTTTTTTTTTTTTTTTTTTTCAGAGTCTCACTCTGTTGCCAGGCTGGAGTGCAGTGGTGCAATCTCGGCTCACTGCATCCTCCACTTCCCGGGTTCAAGTGATTCTCCTGCCTCAGCCTCCTGAGTAGCTGGGATTACAGGCACATGCCACTACCCCGGCTAATTTTTTTATTTTTGGTAGAGACGGAGTTTCACCATATTGGCCAGTCTGGTCTTGATTTCCTGACCTCGTGATCCACCCATCTTGGCCTCCCAAAGTGTTGAGATTACAGGCATAAGCCACCGTGCCTGGATGGTTAGTTTTAACTTTGTGGTGCTCATTTATTTGATAAAATGTTTATGAGCATTCTTAGAGACCTTAATAAAGACATATTTACTAAAGAGATTATTTGCATTTACTTCTGGTAAGAGGCTAGTTGACTACCTATCCGAACCACTTAAATCTGAAATAATAACTTGAACTTTAAAAAAATAACCTAAATGATGTGGATTTGGGCACCAATCTGGGCAAGGTAGATTTGTGGTTACAACTCACTAGTGATAACTTCTCTCCATCTGCTCCCCAACCCCTGCTCTGTTGAGTGCCAGGATAACTCTCCTTGCAGTTCACTGGAGGTGAGGTGTAGATCAGGTTTATCTGCACCTTCCTAGTGTAGCCCTTAGGCTACCAGCTTTAAAGGGGTAGATCTCCTATCAAATTTTCTACCTCAATTGGGCATTACTTCTTGTGAAGCTATCAAAAGCCAGCTGTCACAGCCAAAGCTCAAATTCCTCTGGATTGGTAAAAACTTTGACAACAAAAGCAGCTTCAGTTCTCTGAATTCCTTTCTGGTTTCTGCTTTCATTTATATTTTCAACTTTAATTGTTTAGCATCTTGTTAGCTTTTTAATACTCTTAAGATTTTTAAAGTATCCATCTTTTATAATATTTTAAAGTTTTTTTCCAAGCAGAATTATTGGTCCAGAAACTTAGCCCTCAATATTCCTTTACTGCCTATGCTTTTTCTGTATTTAAATGCACAATCAGCATCTCAAATTTAACATTTCAAAACATGCTTTAGACTCTTGGCCCCAAGGCCAAATGTGGTCCTCCTCTACAACTTCCCATCTCAGTAAAACCAGCTCCATTCTGAAGAATTTCAGGTAAGGCTCTTGGCTTCATCCTTGAATCTCTCATTATCTTACACTCCATATCTAATCCAGGAGCAGGTCTTGTCAGCCATATTCTCAAAGTAGACCCAGAATGTGACTAACTGTCACCAGCTCTGCTACCACTACTCTGATCACATTATGGTTACATTTTACTGAATTTAACATAGAAGCCTCTTATTTGGTTCTGCTGCTTCTTCCCTCTCCCAACCACTCCATTCTCTAAGAATCAGCCAGAGTGAGGATCCTTTATGGATTTCATTACTCCTGTTACTCCTCTGTCCTAAAATTCCCTCTCTACAGACTACTCAGCTTACTTAGATTAAAGTTCGAGGCTCTTACAGAGCATGCCAGGCTTCCACCATCTACCTGCCCACTAACCCAGAGGACTTGTCTGATCTTGTAAACTACCACTTCCTCCACCCACCCCCAAACTCTTCTCTGGCTACACAAGCCTCCTTGCTGCCCCTCCAATGTGCTTCCACCTCAGGGATTTTATACTTTGTAGCATAGGATCACATTGGGAATAGGGTCTTTGGAGGTGTAATTGATTAACAATCTTGAGTAGAAGTCATCCTGGATTTTGAGTGGGCCCTAAATTCTATGAGTGTATCCTTATGAGACAAGGAAAGGAAACAGAGAGACACTAGAAAAAAGAAAACCATGCGAAGATAGAGGCAGAAATAGGGGCTATGCTTCCAAGAGTCACTAGAAGCCAGAAGAGGCAAGGAAGAATTTTCCCCTACAGACTTCAGAGAGGGCATGGCTCTGCTGACACCTTAATTTTGAACTTCTTGCCTCCCAAACTGTGAGAGAATAAATACCTATTATTTTAAGCCAGTGAGTTTATGGCACTTTGTTGTGGCAGCCCTAGGAAACTAATACTTCCTGTTTCTTCTGCTTGGAACACTCTTTCCCTACGTGCCCCTACTTGGCTTACTCTTGATTTCTTCAGGTCTCTGCTCAAATACCATTTTAGCGGAATGGCATGTATGACTACGTTAAATAAACAGCACCCTTTTCAGTCACTGTCCGTCCCTTACTCTGCTTTATTTTTTTAATGAAACATATTACCACTTGTTGTATTATCTTTATTCTGTTCACCACCTGTTCATTTTCTGTCTCTTTCCACTAGAATGTAGGAGCACAAAAACAGAAATTTGTCTTTCTTGTGCACTGCTCCATCAGCAGCACTTAGAACAGAATCTGGTACCTTATAGACCTTTGGTGAATACCTTTGCTATGTATGAATGTGCAGTATGGCTTACTTGTACAAAATTATTGGTGAATAAGCTACCAATAAGTCAAAATATGTTAAAATATAAAATACCAAGTCCCAAATATTTAAAATATGTTTAAAATACCTATACCAAACAAAACACAAAATACCAAAATAAGTTAAAATTGCGCATTTGAAGTGTTTTATCATATGATAAAAAGAACACGGGCTTTGGAGTGAGAAACACCCAACTTGTAACATCAGCTCTTTATTTTATGACCCTGTGATCTTGAGTAAAGCACTTAACCTTACTGAGTCCAAAATTTGTAAGATAATCTTTACCATGTAGAGTTGCTGTGGACTATAAATGAGAAAATTATGTGTAAAATACCTAGCCCTGTGCTTTTCATACAGGAGAAGCTTATTGAATGTTCTTTGAGAACTATTATATGAAAATAACAAAACCAACCAAAAACAAAAACCATGACAATAATGTCATGGACATACATTTTGCGTATGTCATACACACACCCACTAGATGTGTGTGTCTGTATATATATGGGTATGTGTATGTACACAGATATTCATATATAGGTATGTATATATTTGTGTATATACATATATGTGTGTAGACATATATAGGTATGTATATGTGCTCACATATACCTATATATGTATAGAATTTTGTGTATGGCCTATCTATCTAGAGAGATTGAGACTAGATTAGTTAGGAAGGATATTGACTTTACAATGTACCTTGACAATTACACCTTTGGCCCACATTGAAATGTGTTTCTTTGTTTACTCAATGATAAGAACAAAATCACTGTCTCATGAAACACATATCTTAAAGTTCCTACCTTTAATTTTGTGACCTCTACATGTCACATAATTAAATCGATGTTACAGATTAAAGAGAGATTTCCTTCTGAAATGTAGTGTGCTAATATAATCACAATAAACAAGTTCTGGCTTGGAATGCAAGTCATATGGTGAAATAGGAACAGAAATGGAGTGGAAATCAACTTCGTATTTGAATTTGATGAGTGATTTTAAGTAAAAACTTCTCTGTATTTTGGTACCCACATCTCTAAAATTAGAAGACTATTCTAGCTTCATGGAACTTTTGTTCACCCAAAGAATATATTTTTATAACCTGCTTCTTCTTTTGTGAAATGAAAGCAACACACACTATTTTTGTGAAAATTAAAGTACCTCACTTGAAAAACTCTAAAACTGTGTTTGGCACGTGATAGGTACCAAAATAATCCTTGTCGAGTTTGATCTGACACAAAAATTCCTTCGTTTCTGGAATCCAAATTCATCTTCAAACTTTTAGTCTCACTGAGATCTTTTTTTTTTCTCTGAAAATGTGAAAGCTGATAAGAGGTCTGTCCATGACTACCTTCCTCAATGACATATTACTTATCAACTTCTGCATTAAAGAGGTATATTGAACCACTAATCTTAAGTAAATAAATTGCTTTATTTACTCTTTGGTAGAAGTCTCATAGTAGGGGTACCAACTAAGCCAAATAATTTGAAGATAAACAAAACTATTCAAAGAAAATATAACAGCACGGCATAAATCTATACAACTATAGACCCTTTCTCCAGGAGTGGGACTTCTAGGGGATTTAGCGGGGTGATGCCTTGAAAAACTATAAATAAATCGTCTTTACTCCCTACTGAAATTCAACCACTGACAGAATAAAGAGCTTTGAGCAAAATCGGTTTACGAAATTCTCAGTGGAATAATTTGCTTCTTTTGTGTCCTGGGCACTGTCCTAAGCTTAATAGAGACATACATGGAATTTAATATCTATGTTTCCACTCCCTCCAGTATGCCTCTTAGGGTCTCACCCTCATGCAAAGCTGCTTATCAACATATTTTCTAAAGATACCACTGGGCTTTCTTCAAAGAATTCCAAAATGAATTGCTAAGAGAAGAATGTTTTTGACTCTAGTGTAAGCCAAAGGGTTTTTGGAGTCTACTGCTTTTGTGGCACATTGATTAAAGGAAACATAAGCAGGATCAGCACTAGGGCAAGGCTTACATTTATTTCATTACTGGTATGTATTATAAATCTGAATTATTTTTTGCCATAGAACAGGTTCTAGATAAATTTATATATGGTATAGAGGAGACAATAAGTATTTCATAAATAAGTCAATTAAAAATAATTTGTCAGTTGGAGGTATCATACCCTCTTTCCTCTTCCCATTCAGGCTCCCGACATCTCAGTCTATTGTGTTCTGCTCTTGACCTCACACTTCATGCTTTGCTCTCTTTTCATCAAGGTTTGTCATCACCTTGCTTCTCATCATTGACCCCACTAAAACTTCCAAATCCAGTATGATGTTACCCCTGGACCTGTAATACAAATTAATTAGTCAAATAAACTCCCCTTTATGAAATTGCAAATGATATTTTAGCTATCTGATCACTCCACCTCCACTCTTTCCTGCTCAGTCCAATAATAACTAAATCTGTAAGACCATACAAGCTGGTGGGGTGATGTTTTGTGGTATACAAGTTTTGTAGTCCCTTCCAAATCTCATTTACTTCACTTTCAAATAAGGTTAACGAAGTTCACTACCTTAACAGGGTTCTGGCAGAAAAATATTGTAATACTAGAGGTCTGAGTACTAATATGAATGTTTTGCTTGCTCTAACCTGTATTAGTAATGGAACGGCTTATTACACATTAAGCCTCCTCTGAAACCCTTTTCTAGCACCTTAAGGAAATAATCAATATGGTCTGATTAAAAATGGTTGGTTTTTCCTCTGCATACAACTTGGGTTTGTGAATGATGATTTTTAGTTTTAGTTTTTGTGTTTTTCAAAACATATATATAGTGCTTACTATCTGTCAGTCTCTGCTCTAAATATTTAGTAACTTGAAATGCAAAGCAATCCTATCGGATAGACACTGTTACTCTGCTCATTTTACAGACATGGAAATAGAAGCTTTATTGATGTGCATAAAAAGTACGTAATTTGTTTAAGGTCATTGGGTAGTAAGCGGTATAGCTGGGCTGTAAATCCAGGGAACATGTCTCTAAAGTCCATACTCTTAATATTGTGCTCTCCTGCTCTTAGAAACAAGAGAAGATTCTATCCTCCTCAAGAGGATGCCTGGCTAAAAAAAGCTGATCTCATGGAGGTAGAGAGTAGAACGATTGATACCAGGGGCTGAGAAACGTTTGTGGTTAGAGGCAGGAGGGATGAAGAAAGGTTGGTTAGTGAGCACAAACATACAGTTAGAGAGAAGGAGTAAGTTCTAATATTTGATAACAGAGTAAGGTGACTATAGCTAACAACATCGTATTGTATATTTCAAAGTAGCTAAAAGAGAGGACTTGACATCTTCCCAAAAGATAGAAATGAAAACACTGGAGGTGATAGGCACTCTGGCCTGATCATTACACATTCTATGCATGCAATAAAATACCACATGTACCCCATACATATGTACAAATATTATTCGTTAATGAAAACATAATTCTGGGCAATTTAAACAGAAAAGGAATTTGCTTAAGGGACGTTGGCTAGGTGAAAGAACCAACAAGAATTTTGAAGGATTGAACATGGAAATGGGGCAGGAAGAAAAGAGACCAAGCATCAAAATCATACTACAGAATAATGTGGTGAAGTCCCTGCAGCTGCTTCTACTGCTGCTGGACCTGGGATTAAACAGCTTTCATTGTTGTTACTACTGGGACGGAATCGTCATTGTTGCCATGGACACCTGCTGCTGCCTCTGCTGCTGCTACTACTGACTACACGGGGTCTCCACTGTTCTTGCTTCTTAAGATTCCAAGTTTGGGCCAGCCGTGGTGGCTCATGGCTGTAATCCCAGCACTTTGGGAGGCCGAGGCAGGTCAATCACCTGAGGTCAGGCGTTTGAGACCAGCCTGGCCAACATGGTGAAACCATGTCTCTACTAAAAATACAAAAATTAGCCTGGTGTGGTGGCGGGTGCCTGTAATCCTAGCTACTCGGGAGGCAGAGGCACGAGAATTGCTTGAACCCGGGAGACGGAGGTTGCAGTGAGCCGAGATCGTGCCACTGCACTCCAGCCTGGGCAACAGAGCGAGACTTTGTCTCAAAAAAAAAAAAAAAAAAAAAAATTCCAAGTTCGAAGCAGTGCATCTAATTGGTCGGTCATCCTAGGTCACATGCCCATCACATGTCACATTCTCTTTTCACAGGAGGCTGGAAAGCCAATATCTTGTCTTCTAGTATTGCAGAATAAAAAATAGGAGCCCCGATGTTTGTAAAATTTGACATACTTGTTTGAGACACACTTATTTGGGACGTACACTAACAAATCATTTGCTGTTTCTGTACAATTCAACTTTAACTTGGTACCCTGTATTTTTATTTGTTACACCCGGGAACCCTAGGATCTTCATAATTTCTATATCCAGGGAAAAACAAAGATTCATATGATGGAAAGTTCTCAAAACATAAGAATACGTTCTTTATCGATCAAGGAACAAAACGACTAATATTCACTACACACACTTCTGACATTTTTATATATAGTCACAGCATGACAACTGTGTGGAAGGGGAGAAGTGCTCTCTGGCATTCAATCAACCCTCAGCCTTTTAACCAGTGTTTTTTCTCCCAAAGATGTGTTACTACCATTTACTTTTTCTACTAGTTTGAGGTGATATTTTGAGTATATGCTTTTATTTTTAAAATGGATTCACCTTTTATTTCTCACATAAACTTCATTTCTCAATAATAAATGGAGCTTTCATTCCTAATCCTGAGAAAGAAGTTTCATTGTTGTAGCCTATTCAACCTATATACAAATATATAAACACATTCAGAGAACTTGTAAATGCAACATAAATAAATCAACAAATCTGTGTTGTAAAAGGCTCACTATGTGACATTCACTGCCTGCATTTTATTGTCTCAGCTTTACCTTCTGGCTAAAAGTATTTATGAAGCTCTCTGATCCTTCTACCAAAAAAGGTAATTTTAAAGCGCACAAAATGTTAGTGGCTTAGAACAAAACTTACTTCATAATTCTTCTTAAAGAAAGTATTTCTGATAAATTCACCCTAGAGAAAGGGAAAATAAAATAATTGGCAACATTTTTATTTTGTTTATAATATTCGTATAAATTTCTAGTTTATATATCATGCATATTCAATTTTAAGCCTTCAAGAATAAGAGTTGGAAAAAAAAGCTGTATTCTGGCAGTCAAATAGATCCTTGGCAAAAGCTGCAAATGGAAAGAGAAATTAATTTAATTTTTTCATTATAGTGCTACCATAATCATTTAGACTTCCTGTACTGATTTAATATGAATATATAGATTATATCAATATTAATTCATTCCATAATTATTGCTGGAAGAATACCAATAACTACTACCAGATTTGATAAATAGTGCAAAAAAATCATTTGGATTTTAGCAGGAGAAAATGGCCTCTTAAAATTTCTTTGTTTTTTTAAGCCTAAAAGTAATAATAACTTATTAGAGAATTCATGTATGCAAACTTTGACTTTTTGGTTATAGACAGAATTTTAAATTTTTGTCCTTATTTATTTGCCCAAAGCAAGAAAGTAGATTAGTTTTCTACAAAGAGTGATTGAATGGGAAGGAGAGCGGTGGGCTGCCATATGATTATTCTAGTTCATTTCTAAGGGCGTTGAGATTGTAAGAAAGATTCAGAAAATACTTTGGACTGCAGAATAAGCATAAATTCAGATTCTCCATTATTTGGTTTATGCTATCATATTTCTCTGAATCGTACATATACCTTATACCTTATAACCTCTATGTCAGTGTTTCATTTCACTTTTTTACTCATAGAAACAATCACTAGCTAATGACAGTTCAAGTCACATTACCTTGAAAATTGACTCTTCATGTGATTTAAATTACAGTTTGAAAATAAGGCAATTATTTACATATCCTTCTAATTAGTTCTACTTTATTGTTTTGTTTTATAGTAAAGAAAAATATGTAATTATTAAAATTCCATGAAATACAGAACATTTATATGAAAACATAACAGTCCTTTTTTTACAGCCTCCAATAACCAATCCTGAGGGAACCACTGATAATACTTTGGTATGTGTCCTTGTAGAATCCTCTTTTTGGATGCAGAAATAACATGTAATAGTAGAATTTTAAACATTTATCAAAGAAATGGGATTCTACTACATAGATGATTTCTAGCTTTTTAAAATTTAAAAATATTAAATCATAAGTATCTTTTCATATAAGTGCATGCATAGCCACCTTACTATGTTACAGTATTTACATAATTTTACAAAATTAAAAACACTTTATGAAATTAATTTATATTTGCAACATATTTAAACAACACTAAAATATACTTGTTGTGCCATAATTAATGTCACCATTCCATCATTGGTAAACAGCTTCATTGCTTTCAGTTTTTTACCATTAGAAAATATTTCCACCATGAACTCTTTGTATGCATAGGTTGGAATGTTTGTGAATGCAGTTCATTAATTTTAAAATCTTGAGTGATTCATGCTAATGTTCAAATACAGTCAGAGAATATCTTTGAATATTTTAGGCACAACCCTCCTTCAAATATTTCAATCACATTATAAATTTTAATAGTGCCTATGCATCACTGGAAGGCTAGGTGGATATATTTTTTCTCCCTCTTTCATACCTAGACACGTGAAATGAGATTTGGAATTAGCAATGAACATAGTATGTCTATTATTCAGCAAAGAATGCTTCAGCACATACTACACACACACACACACACACACACACACACACACACACACACACACACAGACACGTGTACAGGTGCATGCATAAACCCTTCTCTTCTCCACCATGAATTGACTGAAAGGTGACACCATAGCTAACCAGGGAAACAGTCCAGTCCTGCTTATAAAAAAGTAAGATACTCTCATTGTGAAAACCAGCTGATTCCTCTAACACCAGAGATGAGAAAGACTGCAAACTCTACAAGGGTTTGGAAAGTGCCTCTTTTTAGGTAGCTCTTTGCAAAAAGTTCTCTTATCCACTGTATTTGTTCCAGCTTTGGGCACGGGGGTGGAAAGGTGAATTTTCAAAGGAAAATCAGTGTTGTTGCCAAAAGAAAGAGAAAAATGATTGTTCTCCTTATTATTCTTGGCAATATTTCAATTGTAATTTTGACCTTGTTAATTTCATATTTATACCTCCTTGCTGTCTGTCCCCTTTTCATTCACCAATGGAATAATATAGCACTCTGACAAAGGACTTAGATTTTTCCTCCTCCATCCAAATTTCTGCCAGCCTTGTAGGAGATTTTATTGTTCACATAGATGATCATATTATAGTTCATATAGTTTATATTTTCTTGACCTCTTGAACTTAAACAACTCTTTATCTACCTTCACTGAATGCAAACTGTTTAAATAACACTTTGTGTACTTAACTAATTGCATGCACTTTGTTTTTCATCAGCTGCATGTTCTTGAGATTGGGGTTGTATATCCTCATCCTAACATATTAACTACTGCATAGCAGCTACTAAATAAATGTTTAACATTTATTTAATTTAAAATGTACTAACTTAATTAATACCTCTTTCAGCAAAAATTGCTGCCTGGGATTGGAGTGGAGATAAAAGACAGTTAAATTGAGAATGACAAATGAGCAAACTGGTTGTAGCAAATCAAGGGGTAAAACAACTGGAAATGTAGTTGTATTAGCCTGTTTTCATGCTGCTGATAGAGACATACCCAAGACTGGGCAATGTACAAAGGAAAGAGGTTTAATTGAACTTGCAGTTCCATGTGGCTGGGGAAGCCTCATAATCATGGTGGAAGACAAGGAGGAGCAAGTCACATCTTACATGGATGGCAGCAGGCAAAGAAAGAGAGATTTTCAGGGGAACTCCTCTTTATAAAACCATCAGATCTCATGAAACTTATTCACTACCACAAGAACAGCAAGGGAAAGGCCTGCCTCCGTAATTCAGTTACCTCCCACCGGGTCCCTTCCACAACACATGGGAATTCAAGATGAGATTTGGGTGGGGACACAGCCAAGCCATATCATTCCACCCCAGCCCCTCTCAAATCTCAGGTCCTCACATTTCAAAATCAATCATGCCTTCCCAACAGTCCCCCAAAGTCTTAACTCATTTCAGCATTAACTAAAAAGTCTAGTCCAATGTCTCATCTGAGACAAGGAAAGTCCCTTCTGCCTATGAGCCTGTAAAATCAAAAGCAAGTTAGTTACTTCCTAGATATTAATACAATGGGGATATAGGCGTTGGATAAATACAGCCATTCCAAATGGGAGAAATTGGCCAAAACAAAGGGGCTACAGGCCCCATGCAAGTCCGAAATCCAGCAGGGCAGTCAAATCTTAAAGTTCCAAAATGATCTCCTTTGACTTCATGTCTCACATCCAGGTCACACTGATGCAAGAGGTGGGTTCCCATGGTCTTGGGCAGCTCTGCCCCTGTGGCTTTGCAGGGTACAGCCTCTCTCCTGGCTGCTTTCACAGACTGGCATTGAGTATCTGAGGCTGTTCCAGGTTCACAATGCAAGCTGCCAGTGGATCTACCATTCTGGGGTCTGGAGAATGGTAGCTCTCTTCTCACAGCTCCACTAGGGACTCTGTGTGGGGGCTCAAACCCCACATTTCTCTTCCACACTGCCCTAGTGAGATTCTCCATGAGAGTCCCACCCTTGCAGCAAACTTCTGCATGGCCATCCAGGCATTTCCATACAACCTCTGAAATGTAGGTGGAGGTTCTCAAACCTCAGTTCTTGCCTTCTGTGCACCTGCAGGCTCACCACCATGTGGAAACTGCCAAGGCTTGGGGCTTGCACCCTCTGAAGCCATAGCTGGAGCTGTGCTTCAGCTCAGCCCCTTTTAGTCAAGCTGGAGCAGCTGAGACACAGGGCAACAAGTCCCTAGACTGCACACAGCATGGGGAACCTGGGCCTGGCCCATGAAACCATTTTTCCTCCTAGACTTCCAGGCCTGTGATGGGAAGGGCTGCCATGAAGACCTCTGACATACTCTGGAGACATTTTCCCCATTGTCTTAGGGATTAACATTTGGCTCCTCCTTACTTATGCAAATTTCTTCAGCCAGCTTTAAGTTCTCCTCAGAAAATAGGATTTTCTTTTCTATCTCATTGTCAGGCTGCAAATTTTCCACACTTTTATACTCTGTTTCCCTTTTAAAACCTAATGCCTTTAACAGCACCCAAGTCACCTCTCAAATGCTTTGCTACTTAGAAATTTCTTCCACCAGTACTCTAAATCATCTCTCTCAAGTTCAAAGTTCCACAGATCTCTAGGGCAGGGGCAAAATGCCACCAGCCTCTTTGCTAAAACATAACAAGAGTCACCTTTGCTCCAATTCCCATCATGTTCCTCATCTGCATCAGAGACCACCTCAGCCTGGATCTTATTGCTCATATCATTTTCAGCATTTTTGTCCAAGCCATTCAACAAGTCTCTAGGAAGTTCCACACTTTCCCATATTTTCCTGTCTTCTTCTGAGCCCTCCAAACTGTTCCAACCTCTGCCTGTTACCCATTTCCAATTTTTCTGTATTAGTTCATTTTCATGCTGTTGATAAAGACATATCTGAGACTGAGTGATTTACAAAGGAAAAAGGTTTAATTGGACTTACAGTTCCATGTGGCTGGGGAAGCCTCACAATCATAATGGAAGGAAGGAGGAGCAAGTCATGTCTTACATGGATGGCAGCAGGCAATGAGAGAGAGCTTGTGCAGAGGAACTCCTCTTTTTAAAGCCATCAGATCTCATGAGACTTATTCACTACCATGAGAACAGCATGGGAAAGGCCTGCCCCCATAATTCAATTACCACCCACCAGGTCTCTCCCATAACATGTGGGAATTCAAGATGAGATCTGGGTGGGAACACAGCCAAACAGTATCAGTAGTTGTATTATTTCATTAGTGAGATTCAGGGAGTGAAAGAAGGGAATTGAAGACAAATTGAGAAAATAGTGACTTGTGAAGAAATTAAAAAGTGTGGTGATCTTGAAAGGGAGGTTTAGTCAGATTGACAGATGGAAGGAAAAATGTTGGTAGTTAGAGCTAGAAATTTCACAGTTCAATATTTCAAAAGTGAGTCAAATTAGACAATGATGAAGTTTATGATATAATGACCTATAAATGAGGAAACAAATTCTAATTGAGATTATTAGGAGGTAGCATACCTTAGTTGTCAAAAATTCAGCTTTTGAAATCAGACAGACTGGTATATATCTCAGCTCCTTTGCTTAGCACCTGTGCAAAGTGAAAATTTAAAAGAAAACCTTCTATCTCAGTTTTCTCATCTATAAATGGGGTAATATCTATTTACAAGATGCTAGCAAGGATTCATATTCGGCTAAAATCTAGGTAAAATTGATTTATCATTTATAACTATCATTATTATAGTAGAGTGGTTGAAGGAGCTTTGAGATTAGAGACTTGAATCATAGTTAAGTCTCCTTAGATTTTAGAAAAAGCCAAGCTAGAGAGTAAAACAGCAATCCAGCTGCTGAAATCCTCAATAAATACAGGAAACTGTCCTACAAAAGTAGAAAATGAAGCTAAGTTGCTATCAGTTGGAAGCAGGAGGTTCAAAGAAGGAGCTCTTCTTGCATGAAGATAGTTGTCAAAGGCCTAGAAGCCACAACTAGGAGCCAGGACAATGTGAGCCTTTCCTCGAGGCCTCATGGTCAGGTGGAGCATGACCAGCACAGATACAACTGGTTTTTAGTATATCAAATGGTATGACCATCTAAGGAGGGAGGAGAGTGTTAAATGAAGGTTAAAATAAAATGAAATGAAAGGAGTAATGGGGGTGGGGGTGGGGGTGGCTAGAAGAGTGCTTATCAGGCATTTGGACCCTGCAGTTCATGGGACATAAGAGAGTGAGAGCTTCACATTGAGAGGGTTGTACAAAAAGCAATACCCTTGAAGGATCCAGGCTCAGTTTAAGGAAAGGTAGTGGAGGGATGTTCCTTGAAGAAGTGAAAGTCAAATGTAGATATATTCCATTGCAAATTCCTTATTTGCAACATTTAAAAATATTGTCTAGTCATCATTTTTTCCCAGTTTTTATCCTCCTTTCTTCTTAGATTCTCCCTTACTTTCTACTGCTCCAAATGGATTTTTTGGAAGAAGGATAAGGAACACTCTGGTACCTTATATATCCTATCTCAGATCTTGAATTGCGTTAGTCCAAACAAATCATGATCTGATCATTCTTTGCCACAGGCTAAATACATTCCAGAAACCGAGTCCTAAAATACTTGAAAAAAGTAATCCTCTAATTATAAAGGTCATTTCCTCAGATTACTCAGAATTGATTCGTGACTCCCAGCTGTAATGTTAAATGTAAAGTTCTCATCAGTCATTGTTCCAAGCTGAAAGAGCATAGCTTCTATAACTCAAGAATAACAAGAAACCACTTACCCTGAAACAGAATCAGCCAACTTGTTCATATGCTCCAGCACCTCTTGAATAGCACAGAGCTACTCAAAACATGTATTAATTGTTTCTTTTTGGAAGGCCCAAGAATTATAATTGTCATGTATTAAACAGACCTTTGCAAATGAAGCCCCTTCTTTTTATATTTAAATCTTTTTTCTTCCACTCCTTAAAAGGAAGATTATCTTTACAATAAAGAGCTAGTTATTTTCCAATAACATTTTGAGTTACTGGAGTTCAGGAGTTAGATGTTTGGTTTCAAAAACATCTGGATGCAGTGGCACATGCCTGTATTTCCAGCTACTCAGGAGGCTGAAGTGGAAGGATTGCTTGAGCCCAGGAGGAGTTTGAGACCAGCTTGGGGAATATACTGAGATCCCATCTCAAACAAAATAAAACAAAACATCTGAATGTGCATATATTCATGGAATAGAATAAAAACAACAATAGTAACAAAAAAACTTCAGTGACTCCTGCTTATCATTATAAGAATAAACGTCTTCAGATTTTATGGGTACAATATGGTTGCTTTTGATACTTCTGTGATGGAATACCACACTAATATCTGATATTAAGAGTTAGCAATTTTGAGTACCACTACATGCTGTACTACTCTGATTTTGCAGATGAGAAAATCAAAACTCAGAAAGCTTAAATAACTTATCCAATGTAAGATATCTAGTGAGTTGTAGGTTCAGAATTTTAAGCCATGCATTTTTTTTCTCAGTTCTATACTGCTTATAACCAAAATGTTAATGATTTCTTCCAGAAACATAATTAAAAATACCATACTGTTATGTTAAAAACAGTAGTGGAAAGAGCAAACAAGTTTTACAGACATTTATTTAAATTAATGCTGGTAAACTGGAAAGATTGTTGACCAGGTATTTACATTTAGATGACAATCTTCCCCTTATTATGAAATAAGTAGAGAAAAATGCATGATGACTTAATTTCCAAATATTTTCCTTCCAAGATATTGAGTGAGAATGATACATTGGAAAATTTATCACGAGTTAACAATTTGCATCAAATTAGACAGCATTTAGGAAGCAAAACAATTGGCTTTAAGACAAAAAATTTCAAATTATTTTCATATATCCTCAAAGATTGGGGGAGAATTACTAAGGGTTTACAGACGGGGCTTTTCCAGCCAACATTTTCTCACTCAGCCATGTTTCTAACCTGCTGTCTCTGTTCTAGGGTCTTCTCTGACTCCAGGCATTAAGTCAGTTGTTTCAATGTGATGTCCTAAGCCATTTCCCCAGAGTTTTGTCACCATCCGCACCACCCCATCAATTGTGACTTCCACCCAGCCACCTGTCACTCTGAGTTCTGAACTTGACTTTGAATGCTAAATTTGGAATAAGAGGTCGTCCCAAAATACTTTTGAAGGATCACAATTTTAGGTGGCTACTCTTCAAAAATTAAACTCTGCTGATTTCAAGTACAGTTCAAGTAACACCAATTACTGAGAAATAGATCAATTCTAATAAATTTTAAGTTGCTATTTTGTACAGCTAAATTGATAGTTACATAAATTCTTGCAAGGCTTATAATTAGTCGTCAGAATCGAAGTTTGCCCTAAAGCAATTCAAAATGAGCTCTGATTCTAATACATTATTGGTGTTTCTGTGATCTTGCCTGAGCAAGGTGAACTATACCACCTTCAGGAATATCTCTCTCTTCTTTAAAGCACAGTGACATGATAATTCATGTAATCTGTCTAGATATCTTCCTTAGGTCCTGGCTTTGGATGTGTCATTAAACCTAATGGTTTGGATGCATGGGAAAACTTGAATGGATCTTCACACTCTAAGGTGTGAAGATAAAAGTTGTTACAAGCATATTGAAAAAGCTCGTGAGTCAAGTTTAACTTGTTTTGGTTTAATATCTCTTAAAGGAAAGTAAAACATTCACCTCTATTCAATCTTTTGGCTAAACAGTAATCTAAATAATTTAGCTTTCATTATCTTTGTATTTAAAGTAAACCATTTTCTGACTTGAATTTTCTGTGTTTTGGGATACATAGGCAAAGTCAGCCATTGTCAAAAAAAACTGCAGAGAGAGAAGACTGAAAGTAAAGGTAACAGGAGATAATGGTGGGGATTTAGAGTAGAAGGAAGAGGGCTAGAATTCAGTGAAGGGTACTGGAAACAGTTTTTGGATAGCAATTTGGGCTAATGCAATGTTGTACACCTTTTTTAAGATCTTCATTGCTTAGGTTAAAAATTAATGTTAGTCTCAAATAACTCAGAAAGAATGAGAAAGTTACAAGATGTGAGTTTGTTTCAAAGAAAATATGCAAGTCATCTTTCAGTCTATTTCAGAAATGTTTGCCTTTCAAAATTATTTGTTATCTTCTTGCACCTTTTGGATATCCTCTGGACATAGTGTACTTTCTAGCAATTACCCAGAAAATATCTTCCAACTCATATCCTTTTCTTACAATGTGACTTTTTCATTTCCTAGCAGGAGGTAGTGCCTGTGTCGTTTCTTCTTGAAAACCGAGTGAATCCATGTGCCTATCATTATCCCGTGTAGATGTGTTGCTATGTGACTTCTAAGACTAGACAATAAAAGGAGAAATAGCTTCCTTCTGGCTCTTTTTCTTGGGACACTTGCTCTTGGAACCCAAACCTCATGCTGTGAGGAAGTCCAGGCTACATGTGGAGGCCTTGTATACATGGCTCTGGCTGATAGGCCCTGCTGAGATCCTAACTGAGACACAGGTAACTACTGAGGTAATGTGAGGAAGGAAGGTCTTGCAATGACAACAGTGCTGGACATCATCTGGTTGTAACTTCAGGAACATCTATGGAGTAAGAATTGCTTAGCTCTGCCCAGTCAACTCCTAGAACTGGAAGAGATGAGAAATGATTGCTGCTGTTTTATGTTTCTAGGTTTGCAGTTGTTTGTTATGCAGGATGTCAGAATTAGACTCACCCAGATGAAAGCCTTTCAAATAAAAGCAAATGCACTAATTGTAAAAAAAAATGCATTATTGAAATTAAAATTTAAGAATACTATATTTCATGTTTAAATAGAGGGAGGTTAGAGGGCATAAGAAAAATGGTGGATGCATTTGTTCTGTCTTCCCACTTAGTTTTTTCCTTTTCAGTAAATGACTAGGACTGATAAACATCGCCAACATCATGGCTCCATCAGCAGCCATTCTTGTCTGCTATTGCAGCAGGGCTTGGGCTCAAAATAGGGCAGCCAGTTTTTCTGGGATAGTCTTGGTCTATATCTGCATGGTCTCAAGGTTATTACTGAAGACATTCCCCTGTCCCTCCCTTTTGTTCTCAAAAGGGTCCTAGCTTGGACAGTAGACTATATAGTTATTGTGGTCTAAGGGGACTGGTCAAATACACAGCCACATAGCTTATTATTCTCTGCATTTTTCTCACACAAATTGAAGTGATGGTAAGTGTGTGAAAACTGCTTTGTGTTGATTAACCTAGTAAGAGCACATCCACGGATCATGTCTCTATGGAGGGCACAATGGCTAGGCTTTCCCACATCCTGGTCAGGGAACCCATGAACATTTGGGTTACATGGTTGTCCATCATAGTCATACTGAATTTACAAAGGTTATATATCCACTGCGAGGTTTTGCTCTCATGAAGCATCATTTGAGCTGTGGGCAATAATCAACAGAGTACCAAGGACGGCATGCAAGGTTCATTTGTATACAAGGTAAAGCTCAGAGCTTCCTTCTGTGAGGCATTGCCACATATCTTACTACATGCAGTAAAAAAAGTAAGGAAAAAATTCTTGAAGTACAAAAGTCCTCAAGCCATCATATACTGCCTAGATTGTATTCTGACTTGCTAAAGAAAATGGAAATAGGAGTCCAAAGTCAAGACAACTTGCAGAAACCAATATTAATCTTGTAGTCTTATTAGACAGTCTTACACAAAGGCAGAATGAAAAAGAGCCTCAAAAGTTGTGCAGAATAATACTCTCTGTTCAGGAAGGGGTCCAGACAGCTCTTTATTCTGGTTTAAAAAGTATACAGAGAAAGAAATTCCACTGTTTTTATCTTGCTGAGCTGTTCTAAGGTCTAAAAATTTTTACAATCAGCAAAGTTTTGTTTGGACATTCACATAGATTTTTCAAAGTGCTTTCATATATGTCATCACTGACATCGGGTAGACAAAACAAACTGATTGAATTTTTTACTCCAAGTATATAGTTAAAACCTATAATAGATCTAGTTACTCTTAAATTTCATGAGATTCAAGTCTCTCACTCTCATATCTCCTTTTTTCACATTTAGATCATTTTGAATGACTTTTCAAATCAGACATTTTCCTCAGCTTTCTGCTTCCTTCTGGCAAAATACACAGAAGTCCCAGTCCATGTTTTTATCAAGCATTTTAATTCATTATTTTAATGTAATATAATTTCCCATTATAAAATGTACATAAATGCAACTTAGGTTATTTTACCTTTCATATGAGTAAATTTATAAACAGGATATGCTGGTCACAGAGAAGGTCTTGAATTCATGAGTATGCACACAAAATAATGTACAACTGAAATAGTCTCAGCATTTTGCTGCTCTCACAACCTGCTTCTTTCAGCTCAGCTATTTAAGTAACATGTTGATCATTTTCAATAGAGTTTTAAACTGTTAAAAGCACTCACATTTTTATAAATCTTTTAAAATAACAAATATCCTAAAATTATATGCTTAAAATTTATATAAACACTAGATATACACAGGCAGTTTAGAATTATTCACATTTACATGTTTATACACATTTTATATTTGGCGTATACAGGCAGAACATGATAGCAAAAGAACCTAGATATTATAAAAAGAAAAGTAAGATTTAGCCTATTTTCTATATTTGTGCTTTCTTAAAAATGTCAAAATCTATTGCCGCAAAAAATACCTCTATTGATAAACATTGGTCCATATCTGCCAGCATCTGTAAACCTAAACTATAGTATCACAAGCATTTGATTTAAAAATTATTAGAGAAGCAATTTCTTATCTTTAGCCCCTTGCTTGCTCTATATTTCTGATGATATTGGGTAAGCTGTCCTTTTTCTAGCATAGTTCATAGGCCAATGTTATATTAATCCACTTTTAGTTCTTTATTTATAGTAGGAGAGGATAATAAATAATAGAGCTAAGAAAGTGAGGAGAAGGAACTATCAACAGCACAGTGTTGGTAGGGAGAGTGATTTATTTCTCATTGTTAAACATCACTGTTGAAATGTGTCAACCAGCTTGAAGGTCAACTATAAAATGTCAATACATATGAAATGCAGACCTCATGCAGGAGAACAGTAGAGAATAATCAGAAAACATTCCTTTCCATGGCTGAGATAATGAGGCACTTGCAGAGACATAATAGTTTCACGCGATTTCCTTTGACAGCTCCAAGTTCAAGGATAACCCTGCTCTCACACTACGGGAATAAGAGGAGCTTTGTAATAACTTTAGCCTAGGACCCCATAATACTAGGATTAAAACAGTATCAACTTTGTTTAGTTGAACAACATACACTGAGGTTTCACTGTGAATAGAGAGCTTTACACTAGGCTAGAACACATTCCTTAAGGAAGAAGTGGAGAAGGAGAAGGAGGGAAGGAAATCAATCAGCGGACAGCAGAGACCAGAGCAAGTCATGAGGGAGGCACTCAAACAGAGCTGGAGGATTCAGAGAAATTCTTATCCAGTGAAACCACCCCCAAGTCCCAGACCTTCCTCCTGTCCTGCTCTTTGTTCTGGCTTTTTTCAATCTAAACTTCAAAGGAATCTCCATTTCCTGACTTCCTTCTCTTCCCTCTTTTTTAGCCTTTATAGAAGATTGGAATCAGGATCAGATCAGGCGCACAAAGAAAATTTAAACCTATGTAAAAAAGAAATCTGCAATTTCTCCTTGTCACCTGTGAACCATATCCCACAAACAAATTCTAATGGCGTAATTTAATGAGGTTTCCTTTTTAGACTTCTGAAAATCCTTTAGCATAAGAAATTTTTAAATTGAGATTACTGTTCTTTTGGGTCTTGTGTCTCAAATTTGGCATTTAGAATTGATCTCCCCAAAGCCATCCTTCTTTTAAATAGAGAGAATTTGTTAAATATACAACTATATTTGATTTTATTTTTATTTCAGTGTGAGGCTTTTTATATAAACACAAGTCAGAAAAATATTTGTAGACTGTAGGCATTAATTAGCTATTTAGAAAACGTATATAACAATGTAATTGGTCACGTGAGACAGTAGACTAGAAAGCGTGGTTCCAGCACATTAAATCCACTTCCACTCATGGAAATTCACAACACATGAATTGCTGCTGAGTTTGTTCTGGTGTCTTGGTGTGATGGTTAATAGGTGTCAACTGGATTAAATTGAGGAATGCCTAGATGGCTGGTAAGGTATTGCTTCTAGGTGTGTCTGTGAGGGTATTGCCAGAGGACACTGACAGATGGGTTGGTGGACTGGAAGAGGAAGACCTACTCTCAATGTGGGTGGGCATCATCCAATCTGCTGCCAGTCTGTTAGGACAAACCAGGCAGAAGAAGGTGGGATAAGTTTGTTTGCTGAGTTTTCTTGTCCTCTTTCTCTTCGTGTGCTGGAGGCTTGCTTCTGTTCCTCCTGCCTTTAGATATCAGATTTCAGTCCTTAAACTCTGGGACTTGGGGGCTCTCAGGCCTTCAGCCACAGACTGAAGGCCACACTGTTGGTTTTCCTGGTTTTGAGCCTTTTGGACAGGGACTGAGCTACTATTGGCTTCTCTCTTTTCCAGTTTGCAGACAGTCTGCTGTGAGATTTTTCCTTGTAATTGTGTGAGCCAATTCTCCCTAATAAACTCCTTTTTATTCCTATACATACTTATATCCTATCGGTTCTATCCCTTTGGAGAACTCTGGTCAATAATACACTTGGCTTGATATAAAAAGACAGGAGGGTAGGGCATCCTTTATTAGTGGAACAGGAGTTCCCCTCTATGATAGGTTTCTAGAATTCCAGTGGACTCCCCAATGCTTCATTACAATTTATAATTTCTTTATGGAAAGAGACTCTTCAATCTCATGGTAAGAAGTCAGGCTTTAAGGCCTGATGCACTGTGAGGTGTAAACATACTGACATTATAAAAGATATAAGTATTTTGAGATCAAATGTTAGAGCTGAGGACTGCTTAGAGGCCATCTAATCTCACTTACTGTGCAATGTAGGAATCCTTCATTCCTTCCAGTTGTGGATCATAACTCATTTCACAGATAATTTTGAGAATCCGATGAAAAATATGGACCCTTGCCCCAACATATGCATATACAATATGAAACGTCGGACAAAATCATTGAATCCAAATTGTCATTTATTCTGCCATTAAGCAGATGTTTATTGAGCACTTACTATGTGTGAACCAGGTAGTGTTCTAAACATTTGGAAGACATCAGTAACTTCTTGCCTTCACAGAATTTATATTCTCTGTTCACACTGCTGGATTATCTTTGTTTTAAATTTAATGTTTTGAAAATAACTGACTGTTGGAACATGCCACCCTTGCCAAGTTGTGAACTGTAAAAATAAGAGCTATGTCATGATCTCGTAGGGGCTCCTTGCTGGATACAAGAAGCCATCTGCTCAGTGTAACATGCCCTGCCACACTCATCAGTAATCATGCTGTTGAAGTCAAGCATATTTCCACTGAACAACCTGTCTGTCCGGATTGGTAGGTTAATGTCTCATATGGTTATTGTGAGGATTAAATAAGATGCTCTTCAGATAAAACATGCAGCATAGTAACCTGGTATGGCTCTAATGCTATCTGGTCATGAAGTGCTCTAATGCTGTCTGGTCATGAAGTCCCTTTAAATATAGACTAGCATATTTGAAATAAAAAAATATGATTCAAGCTAAGGAATTCAATCAATAAAAATAAAGGACAGTGTGGGATATGTGTGTGTATTTATTTTTTTTAAATTTACTTTCCCTCTTTTTGCCAATAAGAGCTAATTTAGAAGTATGTTTCCTCAAGTTTCACATTTACTTATAATTCTATCCTATAGGACTTATCCACACTGGATTTTATCTAATTACTTTTATAATACTGAGAACCTCAGTGGGTGTGCCAAGACCAGCTCGGTTGGGGAGACCCTAACCCAGTGGCGCTAGAGGAATTAAAGACACACACACAGAAATATAGAGGTGTGAATTGGGAAATCAGTGGTCTCACAGCCTTCAGAGCTGACAGCCTCGAACAGAGATTTACCCACATATTTATTAACAGCAAACCAGTCCTTAGCATTGTTTCTATAGATATTAAATTAACTAAAAGTATCCCTTAAGGGAAACGAAGGGATGGGCCGAATTAATTGCAGCAGGAACACACCCTTAAGACACAGATGGCTCAGGCTTTTGTTTGTGGCTTAAGAATGCCTTTAAGCGGTTTTCTCCCCTGGGAGGGCCAGGTGTTCCTTGCCCTCATTCCCGTAAACCCACAACCTTCCAGCTTGGGCGTTATGGCCATTATGGACATGTTACATTGCTGCAGAGACTTTATTTATGGCCAGTTTTGGGGCCAGTTTATGGCCAGACTTTTGGGGGCTTGCTCCCAACAGGGTGAAATAAAACCCATTTTGAAATAGGTTGACCAGACATGTCTGTATAGTCAATGAATTCCTCAGGTGCAATGTCTTGACTTCAACAACCTAAGGTTTTCTGTAATTGGTTGTCGAACATGCCCCATCCTTTGGTTTCAGAAGCTCAGGTTCTCCAAGTTTGAATGGAAATCTTAGTATTTTAAGAACACAAATGTATTTGGTTGTCTCAGGTCCTTCAAGGTGATGAAATAGTTGATCATTTGTTCTATACCCTACCTTTCTATCATTTCTCTATCAATTCCAGGACTTTGCAATAACTAAAACAATTTGTAGGATCTCAGTACTTTCAAACACAATATTAAGATAAATTGCATTTGTTAAGATTGTTATAGTGATAATTTTTCTTCATCATTTAATGGCTGTGACATTTAATAGAGGAATGTAATCTGAAATTGGTAATCATCTCATATTTGCATATTATGTGATCTAGGTCCCATATTCTGTTGATCTTTTCCTTCACTTTCAGTTCGATCCAATTTCAATTTTCAAGAATCCTTGTTCTATTCTAACCTGAAAAATGACCCAGATTTTGTAATATGATTTTCTAGCCTTACATTTATCATACTGCTGACAAGCCAAAATGTATTAAACTGTTTAAGTCAACATAATTTAAGTTTAGGAACTTTCCTTTACCCCCTCTTTGTTTTTTACCTAGCTCTGGGCCTTGCTCATTGGGTGCAGCTTTTTGAATTTAATATATGTCTTGTTATGTGTAAATTGTCTCCTGACATCTGCCTTATGCAGTGTGGCACCATTCTGAGTAGCTGACAATCTACCCAACACAAAACACCTGACATTGCTTGTCTGTTTTGAATGAGCTCAGGCACGCTTCCCAAGAAGTCCATGATTCTTTGGAAATGAATAGCAAGAAACTCTTAAGAGGGAAACGAAACATTTTGTTGTTCTTGGGGAAAAAAATACAGAAACACACAATAAAAACTTCTCTAGTATGAACATGTGCAAGTTTCACAATCATACTATTAAATTTTGCATTCGCAGGTTGTTCAAAGTGTAGTTTACCTGATCAGCCTGTGTCAGATAGCTTGGTAGCCAACAGCAGTCTTTTGAAAACATAACCAATAAAAAATACTAGATCTAAGCCCAAGGCTAAACTGACATAGGGGTCTTCTCAAACTAAATTATGGTAGAAAACATGAAGATGAGGTTTTGATAATTCAAAGCAAGACTCACCATTATAAAACTGCATGATGATTAGGGCTAAATAGTTACTTTCATTTAAATAAAAATATTCATATACTGTTATGTCATACAGTCTTATAGTACTGAGAATTGAAATGCCTATCATGTACATGGTGAAGATATATGTAATGGAATACATTTGTAGGGTTTTTTTTTGGCATTTTGAAAATGCATTTTGTATTATTATTGTCCTTTATCTTATGTGGTAAAAAACACAGAACATAAAATTGACTTTTAACCAATTTTAAGTGGACAGTACAGTAGTAACTATATGTACCTTGTGTAACAGATCTCTAGAACTTTCTCATCTTGCAAAACTAAAACTGTACACATTAAATAGCAACTTCCTTTGTCCTCCTTCTTCCCAGCCCTTGGCAATCACTATTCTACTTCCTCTTTCTAAGAATTTGACTGCTTTAGATATCTCATATAAGTTAAATCAGGTAGTGTGTGACTGGCTTATTTCACTTAAGGTAATGTCCTTTAGGTTCATCCATGCTGTAGCATGTCATAGAATTTTCTTCCTTTCTAAGCTGAGTAATATTTCATTGTAGGTATATATCACATTTTGTTTATTCATGCATTCATTGTTGATGAACATTTAGGTTGCTAGGTTGCTTGCACTTTTTAGCTATTGTGAATAATACTGCAATGAACATAGGTGGGCAAATATTGCTTTGAGATCTTATTTACAATTCTTTTAGATATGTCCCCAGAAGCGGGATTTTTGGATCATATGGTAATTCTATTTTTAAGTTTCTGGGGGAACTTCTATGCTGTTTTTAATAGCAGCTACATCACTTTACATTCCTAAAAACAGTGCACAAGGATATAACAAGTGTCATAAACAACACTTGTTATTTTGTATAGCATAAGTGTTATAACCAACACTTGTTATTTTCTGTTTCTTACTTATTTTTAATTATTGAGAGTGCCCATCTTAACGAGTGTAAGGTGTTATATCATTGCAGTTTTGATTAAAATTTTCCTGGTGACTAGTGATGTTCAGTGTCTCTTCATATGTCTTTTGACTATTTGTCTGTATTTTTTGGAGAAATGATATTCAAGTCATTTGCCCATTTGTAAAAATCAGATTTTATTGTTGTTGTTAAGTTATAGAAACTTTGAATATATTTTAGGTATTAACCCTTTGTCAGTATATGGTTTGCAAATATTTTCTCCCATTTGGTAGTGATATGGTTTGGATCTGTGTCCCCATACAAATCTCAGGTTGAAATCTAATCTTCAATGGTGGAGGTGGGCCGGATGCGAGGTATTTGCATCATGCCTACAGTATATCATGGTTAACATCATCCCCATTTGTGCTGTCATCATGAGAGCGAACTCTCATGAGATCTGGTTGTTTAAAAATGTGTGGCACATGCCCCCACTCACTTCTTTCTGCTTTAGCCACATAAGATGAGCCTTCTTCCTCTTCCCCTTCCACCATAATTTAATTTCCTGAGATCTCCCCAGAAGCTGAGCAGATGGCCAGTATCATGCTTCCTGTATAGCCTGTAGCATTGTAAGCCAAATAAGCTTCTTTTCTTTATAAATTACCCAGTCTCAGGTATTTCTTTATAGCAGTGTGAGAATGGACTAATACAGAAAATTGGTACTAAGGAGTGGGCATTGCTATAAACACACCTAAAAATGTGGAAGCGACTTTGGAACTGGGTAATGGGCAGAGGGTGGAAAAGTATGGGGGACTCAGAAGAAGAAAAGAGGATGAGGGAAAATTGGGAACTTCATAGAGACTTGTTAAATTGTTGTGACCAAAATTCTGATAGTGATATGGACAATGAAGTCCAGGCTGAGGAGGTCTCACATGGAAAAGAAGAATTTATTGGAAACTGCAGTAAAGGTTACTGTTGCTGTGCTTTAGCAAAGAGTCTGGAGGCATTGTGCCCCTGCCCTAAGGATTTGTAAAACTTTGAAATTGAGAATGATGATTTAGGGTATCTGGTGGAAGAAATTTCTCAGCAGCAAAGTGTTCAAGATGTGACCTGGCTGTTTCTAACAGCCATGCTAATACACATGAGCAAAGAAATAACCTGAAACTTGAACTTATATTTAAAGGGGAAGCACAGCATAAAAGTGGAAAATTTGCAGCCTGGGCATGTGGTAGGAAAGAAAAACCTTTTCTTTCTGTGGAGAAATTCAAACAGGCTGCATAAATTCACATAACTAAAAGAAATGCAAGTGCTGATAGCCAAGACAATGGGGAAAAAGCCTGGAAGGCATTTTAGAGAACTTCTGGCAGTTCCTCCCATCACAGGCCCAGAGGCCTAGGAGGGAAGAGTGGTTTTGTGGGCCAGGCCCAGGGCCCTGCTGCTCTGAGCAGCCTTGGGACACTGCTCCTTGCATCACAGCTGCTCCAGCATCAGCTGTGGCTAATAGGGGCCCAGGTGCAGCTTGGTCTCCTGCTTCAGGGGCTGCAAGCTATAAGCCTTGGTGACTTTCATATTGTGTTAAGCCTGTGGGTGCACAGAATGCAAAAGGAGAGGCTTGGGAGCCTCTGCCTAGATTTCAGAAGATGTATGGAAAAGCCTGAATGTTCAGGCAGAAGCCTGATGCAGGGGCAGAGCCCTCATGAACGTCTACTAGGGCAGTGTGGAGGGGAAATATGGGTTGGAGCCCCCACAGAGAGTCCCCACTGAGGCACTGCCTAGTGGAACTGTGAGAAGAGGGCTCCCATCCTTCAGACCCCAGAATAGCAGATCCACCAACAGCTTGCACCATGCACCTAGAAAAGCCACAGGCACTTAATACCAGCCCCTGAGAGTAGCTGCAGGGGATGGACTCTGCAAAGCCACAGGGATGGAGCTGCCCAAGGCTTTGGGAGTCCACCTCTTTAACCAGTGTGCCCTGGATGTGGGACATGGAGTCAAAAGAGATCATTTTGGAGCTTTAAGATTTAATGACTGTCCTGCGGGATTTCAGACTTGCATGGGGCCTGTAGCCCCTTTCCTCTGTCTGATTTCTCCCTTTTGGAAAGGGGAAAATTACCCCATACTTGAACTCGCATTGTACCTTGGAAGTAACTAACTTGTTTTTGGTTTTACAGGCTCATAGGCAGAAGAAACTAGCCTTATTTCAGATGAGACTTTGGACTATGGACTTTTGAATTAATACTGAATTAGTTAAGACTTTGGGGTACTGTTCATTGCACTTTGAAATGTGAGAAGGACATGAGATTTGGGAGGGGCCAGGAGTGGAATGATATGGTTTGTATCTGTGTCCCCACCCAAATCTCAGGTTGAAATGTAATCCCTAATACTAGAGGTGGGGCCTGGTGAGAGGTGATTGGATCATGGGTGCAGTTTCTCATGATTAACATGATCTTCATTTGTGCTGTTGTTGTGATAGTGAGTTCTCATGATGTGGTTGTTTAAAAATGTGTGGCACCTCCCCCCTTCTCTGTCTTCCTCCTGCTCTGGCCATGTAAGATGAGCTTGTTTCTCCTTTGCCATCTGCCATGTTTGTAAGTTTCCTGTGGAACCCTGAGCCAATTAAACCTCTTTTCTTTATAAATTACCTAGTCTCAGGTATTTCTTTATAGCAGTGTGAGCATGAACTAATACAGGTAGGTTGCCTTTTCACTCTGTTGATTGCATCTTTTGTTGTGTAATTGTCTTTTGAGAAGATACTCTTGCTTGTTTGTGCAGCTGTGGCTTTTCTTATTGAATGTATGTTACGTCAATTTTTTGATGATTGATTGTGTTCCTGTTTAAAGCTGTTGAGGATATTTAAGATTTTTGCTTGTTGGTTGGCCTCAAGATTTGGAACAATGCCATTCCTCCAGGCTGCCACAAAATGCCCTGTCACTATTGCAATTTATAATCTATCCACATACCATGTAAAGTATTTTCTGTTTTCCAGTTGTGAATCACTTCTTTTTGTCCACAGTTAAACAGCTCATTGGACATTGCCTATAGCTGATTCTTTACATTCTCCAGTGCAGATTGGTTTTACCATAAAGTACTGGAAAATTGTACATATCAAAGATCTCATTCCTGGTGATTTTGTGCTGTCATTGATTATAAAGTTAGAAATACTTTTTAAAGCCATAAACTATGTAAATTCAGAATCTTATTTTACTTTTTCTGGAAGATGTTTAGTGAATGCTGAATCACTGTCATTAATCACTAAATATAATCTTTGTGGTCAGCCCAAGGATCCTAGCTTGGAACACTCTATCCTTAGTTGCCTTCATGGCACATTCCTTTGGATCTCTGCTCATTTATCATCTTTTCATTAAAGCCTTTCCTTATCCTCACTTCACCCAACTTCCAAGCTGGCACTCCTTATAAACCTCACTTTGCATAGTTTTTGACAATAGTTCATATTCAAAAAATGACCTATACAGTAGTTCCTCACTTAACGTTGTTGACAGGTTCTTGTAAACTGTGACTTTAAGCCAAACCACCTATAACAAAACCAGTGTTACCATCAGCTAATTGATATAAACAAGAGCTAAGTTGCTATGGCATATTTCTTGTCACAAAAACACCACTGAACTTCTTAATAAGGACCAAAACACTTCTAATATTAAATATTGAAATAAACATGAGCTGTTCATACATTTAAGAAAATTTAATCAAAACAATCAAGGTAATTATTTACTGAAGTTTGGTGAATCAGTGATTGATGGCGGTCATAATGGTGGTGGGTTAAACCAAGAAATAAATGTCTGTGAAGTGAAAATTGGAAGGAGAACCTCCTAACACCATGTAGTTCAAAAACAAACAATTGCATATAGGCAGGCTCACTAAGGGCCTGCCTCATTTATTGTCATGCATTAGTATGTTTATCTTAGACATGAAAATTTATTTTTCGACAATAATTTGTACTCATTT
This sequence comes from Homo sapiens, assembly GCF_000001405.40. Taxonomy (NCBI): domain Eukaryota; kingdom Metazoa; phylum Chordata; class Mammalia; order Primates; family Hominidae; genus Homo; species Homo sapiens. The sequence continues at coordinate 215,475,280 of NC_000001.11, read as the reverse complement.
TCTGTCACACTTAACTCCAGTTCAGGGTTGCAGGTGGCTGGAGTCCATTCCAGTAGCTCAGATGCAAGACAGGAACCAGCCTTGGACAGGCTGCCATTCCACTGTAGGGTGCACTCACACACACCGACACACTCTCACTGGGACCATGCAGGAACACTGATTCACCTAACGGGCACAGCTTCGGGATGTGGGAGGAAACCGGAGTACCCGGAGAAAACCCACACAAATGTGGAGAGAATGTACAAACTCTGCACAGGCAGAGTCCTCCTCCGGGAATCCAGTTCTTTTCTCATCAACCTTATAATCAAATGACATTGAACGAAGTGATACAATTTGAGGACATGCTGTATATTTATTACTTATTTGTTTATAGCCTGACAGGTAATATATTGTAATATGTACTACTGTCTCTAGTGTTTAAAATGTTTAAAACAATGTCTGTAGTATTTAAGGAAGAGGATATTTCATTTTCTGCTCTATTCCTAACCCTTAGAACTATGCCTGGCAAGTAGCGAATATCCAGAGTATAACTATTAATTAGATGAATGAATAATAAAAGAGACTAATTACTCACAGACCCATACTTTTGCTGGAGCCTGCCACCATACTATGGACCTTTTGGTTCATTCCTTGCTTTGAGGATAAATGCCTCAGTGGACAGAGGGTAGCTTAAGTAACAGAATTTAGTGCTAGCTTCTCAACCTGTAGTCTTGATAGAAATTCAGTTTGAGTGTTTCATTATTGGAACATATGACATATAAGATATATCTTCTTCAGATTTATCATCTAATTCAAAATATCTTTTTGTTTTGGTAAAGTCCAACAATAAACAGATGTGACTGGCCTTACGGATTAAACTACCTTTTGCCTACTTAGGTAGGTGTCATGGTATGTATTTAGGCTAGGATTATAGAGATTTAAGCAAGAATAAATGGGCTTAAACTGAGTGAAAGAATTTTATTAACTACAGCAAGCTTCCCTGATTATCATAGTGATTTAAAAACTGCAAACTGCACAGTAACAGTTGTTTCCTAACGAGTCCTCAGCATGTGCCAGACATGGTGGGAAGAGGCTTATATCTCACGTAATACTCGTGACAGCCACATGAAGGAATTCAAATGTGAACTCCCATTCACATCTAACAGATGAGGAGCCAAGGCTCAAAGAATGGTATGAAACTTGTCCATGGCCAAGGTCTGGGACCTGGCAGAGCTGGAATTTACAATCTGATGCTCTTGACTGCAAATTTTGTCGTCCTGACCTCTGTGCATTTCTGTTTATGCTATTACTGAGAGAGAACAAAACCTGTCTACTCTCAAAGAACAACTCAACAAAATAAATAGAATTGACCTGGAAATATAAAAGAGAATGACTTGTTTTAATTAAAAATCATCCTTCTTTTATAAGTCTTGACCTATACAGACCACTACTCTGTCTTTTATGGTTCTCATAACCTCCTCACTTTCTCTCTGTGCTTTGTGCAATTTCTGCCTGAGACACTGTCAGAAGAGCAGTTTCCTCAAAAACCAGAAGACACTGTACACCGAGAAGATGACTTTAATAGAAGTGGGAAAGAGGGCAATTTGTCTTATGTTTAATTTCATGATAATAGACTGATCCTATTGATGGAAAAGTTTACCTTAAACCTCTCCTTTCCCCATCCCATTTTTCTCACAAAAATAGCATCCCTCACTCCAGGCTTTCCTAAGTATTCTATAAAAAAATAGTCTTTTTGAAACTCAGACTTGAAGACAGTGCTTAAAAATCAATAAATAAAAGATAGGTTATGAACCTGATCCATTAGTAGCCAATCAGGGGCTTTCATCCATGAACTTGCTCTGAAGTAGGCCATTGGTATTTTAAGTGCTTTTTCATGATGGAAAATAAATTACTAATAGGAGACATTAATATGGAAAAATATTGTCAGTAAAAAAAAAGTAGTGAATTTAGTTGCTCAATCTGATTTTAACAGAAGCTAAAATCAAACACGTATTTAAAGATACTTTAATTAATATTTTAAAAATCTATATATATTTTTTTCTGTTGTTAATTAAGAAGACAAAATTGCTGAGGGTGACCTGCAATGTGTGCTGAGGACTTCCTTTCCCCTGAGAAACAGATGTCCTGTGTAACCTTGTATATCTGTAACCTGTCCAGGGGGCTGAAATACCTTTCCATGGAAGAATTTTGGGGGAAAAATGGTACAATGTTTGTTCTAAATCTCAATTCAGAGCAATATCTGATAAAAAGATGAACAGGCTGGCAAGTAAGATAGAATATCTTAGAATGAAGGAGGGCTTATTTATAGCTAATACTAAAAAGTGTCTCTACAACTTGACCAGAAGCAAGATAACATCACTGGAAACTTACCTGGCAGGAAGAAAAATGTTATAGACAACTATCTTTGATGAAAATTGTTCCTGATGTTAATAATCTGGATTTACTCTTAATCCATATTTCAATGTACTGTCTTTGTTTAGAAAATTTTACATGTATCCTGAAATTAATATCTTTGTTTATGAGATAGAATAGAAGCTATTTAAAAAGTTAAAGTAGATTCTCTTTTATTTGTTGATGTCTGCATACTGCATATTTACTGACTCATAAATTATCTTAACTGGTTGTATTGGTTTCCTATTACTGTTGCAAAAACTAGCACAAACTTAAAGGTTCAAAACAGACACAAATATATTCTATTACAATGCTGAAGGTCAAAAGTTGGATACGGATATCAGGGCTGAATACTTCCTGGAGGTGCTAGGGGAGAATCTGGCTCCTTGTCTTTTCCAGCTTCTAGAGGGTGCTTGTATTCCTTGACTCTTGAAAGCCAGCAGTGTAACCTCTTCCAGTCTCTATCTCTGCTTCCGTTGTCATATTGCCTTTTCTGACACTACCGCTTCCCTCATATATGAACCCCTTATGATTACATTTGACTCACTCAGATAATTCTCCTCATCTCAAGATTCTGAATTTTACACATCTGCAAAGTCCCTTTTGCCCCGTAAATTAACATATTTACATGTTCTAAGGATTAGGGCATAGACATCTTTGAGGGACCATTATTCTGTCTCTCACACTAGCTAAACTGCTGGATATAGATATCTTCTTAATCCCATTCCAGCTGAGTCTGAACATGCCAAGATGTTTTTCAGTTTTATTTTTACTACATAATTAATAATAAATATATGAATGAATTCTCACTGTAAAATATGCAAATATTATGATAAAATCAAGTTTTACTTGATTACCACCACATTTAATTTCCAGTCCCTTCCCTCAAGTAACCATTATTATCAATGAGCAACTTGTATGCTACTAGGACTTTTTACATATTTGCATATATATTGCTATTCAAAAATGGTACATAGAATTGATTTTTGAAAGTATAAATGAGATGCTGTACATTTTTATGTTCAAGCAACTTTTTTCTCACGATATATTGGAAGTTCATAGAATGAATATACTATTAATTTCCATTTCTCTGTTGATGTTTTTCTTATTTTTTTAAAACAAGCACTTTTAATTCATGCTGCAATACATTACATATGCCTCTTTGCAGACTTGTCTGAGTAGTCCTTTAGAGAAAATCTCCAGGACTGGAAGTGATGAGGCCTAGGATACATGTTTTAAATAATTTAACAAATGCCACATAGGACTGGAAGTGATGAGGCCTAGGATACATATTTTAAATAATTTAACAAATGCCACAAAATGTCTCTCTGAAGTAGCTACACCAATCTGCCACTAGCAATTTTGGGGAGTTTCTTGTCTTCCTTAGGCGAAACAGCATTGGATATTACAATGCTTTTTTACATTTTCCTAATCAAATTGTGTTTAAAAAAGCTATCTCATTCTCATTGTAATTTTCATTTTTTTCCTAACCAATGAGGCTGCATATCTTCTCATGCTTACTGGTTATTTAGGTCTTCTCTCTTGGAATTGTGTGTTTACATTCTGTCCCATTTTTGTGGGTCTTTAAAATATTAATTTGTAGGAGTTATTTTCACATACTGTATACTAACTTTTTGCTTATTATATACATTTCAAATATATTTCTCCTTTTTATTGTTGGGTTTAATAATCTATTAATGGCATCTTTTAACATAAATAGGTTATAATTTTTATGTAGGCAAATTATTCTTTTAATATTTTATTTTTTGTATCTTGTTGAAGATGACCTCATTTATTCCATGTTTGTAGATGTATTTTTCATAATTACCTTAAACATTGCTTTATATTTGTATCTTCAATTTAAAACTTGTTTTTATTATTTCTGTGAGGTAGGGACTTCACTTTTTATTATCAAAGTTAACATTCAATTACCCCAACCCAATTTTTTGAATACCATATCATCTCCTCAGTAGCTTGAAAAGTAGTTTGAATTATGTTAGTCTGTTTCTGAAGTCTGTATTCCGATTTATTGATATCCTATTCTATTCTTGTTTTAATACTAGCCAATTTTGATTTCTTATGTTGTTACTATGTTTAGATATATTTTGATAATCCCTTGTCTTTGTTCTTCTTTTTAAAAATGCCTTTTATATTCTTATGGTGAAGACCTCCTACATGAATTTTTGAATAAGCCTGTCAAACACCTTCAGAAATCCTGTTGGAATTTGGATTTGGATGATACTAAATTTAGGACTTGTTTTTGGAGAATTATAATAATAAATTTCTCCAGTTATTCAGAATGTCACTTCTGTTATTATTGATAATTTTATGTTTTTTTTTATAAAAGCCTCAATACTTTTAGCTAATTTATAACTACTTCAGAAGGTTTTAAAAATACTTTTATTTATTGTCTTAGCACTCCATTACAGTGTTTTAATTAAGAAGTGATAACAAAGAAAAAATTTTTTCCCGTTTCTGATTTTTTTTTTTTTTGGAGATACAGTCTTGCTCTGTTGCTCAGGCGGGAGTGCAGTGGTGGGATCTCAGCTCCCTGCAACCTTCATTTCCTGGAGTCAAGCCATCCTCCCACCTCAGTTTCCCAAGCATCTGGGACCACAGATGGACGCCACCATGCCTGGCTACATTTCTTTTCTATTTTTTGTAGAGGCAGGGTTTTGCCATGTTGCCCAAACATGGTCTCAAACTCCGGAGCTCAAGTGATCTGCCCACCTTGGACTCCCAAAGTGCTGGAATTAAAGGCGTGAGCCATAGCAGCCGGCTTGTTTCTAATTTTCATCAAACACTGTGATGTTTACTTTAGGTATTTTGTAGAGACCTTTTATCAGTTAATGAAATTCATTTTTAGTTTTCCTGAAGAATACAGTGGTGACTTCGTTTGTAATAATTTGTTTAGGCTGTTTTATTATAGTTGTGTCATTGGCATTTAACTGCTGTGGCCTCAGTGAGAAAGTTTCAGCACTGTGATCTTCTGACCTGACCTTGGCGAGTGCCACCAGATACCAAGGAGACCATTCTGCCTTTCTGAAGTCTCTACCTGCAATCTTGGTTCCTACTTGAGGGAGATACCTCTGTGGCCTGCTCCTTTGCCCGTGTGTGGATATGATGATGAAGAGTAAAACTGCTGGGCTATTTCTACTGAAGTGCCCAAATTAATCACCCAGAAAGTGATTAAACCTGGCCATTCCTTTAGCCTTCATCATCTATGAGAATTTGAAAACTGTAGTCTTCTTTAAATCTACTCCATGTGTCAAAGAAGATGAAGTGCATTCAATGAATAAAAAAAGGTACAAATCCTTTTTTCTCTGGAATGTTACATATTTGTACATAATAAAAATATATTTTCTCTCCTTTGTGGTAATTAATGGTGGGAAGGGGAACTAGCAGCATGTCCTCAGTTTGTTCTTGAATTAAAAATACAGAGTTCAGGAGAGCTTGGAGAGTTGTTCCATTTAAAGTTTTTGAATATATGCACAGCTGTTGCCCTAAATAAATAGATCATGTGGCAAACATCTAATTGCCCCTCTGAGACAATGCTTCAGCATCTTTGTTTTGCCAGTCACATTCATATCACTTCTGCTGTCATTTGCTTAGCTATAATTCAGTCACCTGTAGCCTTGAGTAACTGTAATGGAAACTGGGAAATGGAGATACCACATTGTGGTATCTCCTCTTGCTATCCAGAGGAGAATGCTGTTGCATCCAAATGTACTCCTAAGGGAGCATTCTTTGCTTTGATTGTGGTTGAAGGTTGCCAAGACCACAAGAAAATATACCTTACTGAACAAGATGTGGGTATTCCAATCATTTCATAGTGGACAAATTTTACTCCTCAGGCTTCTGTATTATATTTTGAATAAGCTACTAGAACTTGATGGGAAGTCCTAGGATGACAGAAGTCTAACTCTGAAAACATGACTTTAAATAGAGTTTGGAAAAGCTTGTTTCATTTTAATTTTTTAACAGTATAAATCATGCAAGCTCTTACGCAGATCACCAATCAAATAATCAAATGCTTTATTGCTCTCCCAGATTACCCCACCATTATCTTTGCTAGCTCTCTTTTTGTTTAATGTTAGATGTATCATCATTAGCTATGTTTATGAAGTAGCTGAATAAGAAAAAGGCCCAGTCTGTATATTCTGAATTACCAAAATTTCTTAACCAATGCATTACTAAACTAGCTACATCTTCTTTAAAAAGTCTTGATTGCCTTTTCAGTCAAATTACTGGTTATTTGTGATAACTTTTGCCATTTTAACTTTGTGGCATTGCAACAAGCATCTTGAGTTTTCTGTAGAATTTTTTTCTGAATCATTTTAAAAAAATGAGGTATGTGAAATGCAAAAGTTTTCTTTTGTTTGTATTTTTTCATTGTCATCATAAAGAAATTCTCCTTCAGTAAGTTGAAACAGTGAATAAAAACTGACCTAACTTATTACCTCACACATTATGAGGCTGGGAAAATATAGTACTAAGATTCTAGATGTATATCTTACAGTTCATAAGAGCAGTTTAGGACAGTAAAACTCTGATTTTCTAGGTCTCATGGTAAATCAACATGCAAAGCCATGAACTCTAGGCTCCAAACCTGAGAGTTAAAAGGATCTCAGATAAACTATTTTTAACGAAGTATCTTATTGAACATGGTTGAAGGACAATATTTTATATTTTTAGACATCCATTTAGGTACTCATGCAGCACTGTGAATATTTTCAGCTGAAGCCATTAATATCTATTAATATTAGCACTTACTACTGTAGTAATATTAGTGGCTATTGCCTTAGTTCCTACCTGATCAATTAATAATAACCATTTATCCTCTGGGTGCCTTCTATGAGCCAGGTGGCATTTTCCTGCTGCCATATGCCCATCAGTCTGTAAGTATTGTTCAATATTTAAGTGACATTTAGTTCAATTCACTTATGAGGTTGACTTTGGTGTCATGTATAAAAGGCATTTGATTTTAGTGATTCTTCTTCCTTCATTAGCACAGTCTTATTGAAGAAAAACAACTAATGCTTGGTCATGCATCACAATTTAAATGTGGTAATAAGGCACATATATCTACTGAATGAAAACATTTTTAAAATCATGGCTTTGTGTATTTTTCTTAAGAAACAAATTCCTTTATTTAGAAATTATTTTCCTAGAGGTGTTAGAAGAAATTTACAACCCGCAACATGTCAAAGCTCTTCATCTGTTCTCAGTGCAACCAATTAGGACTATCCAATAAAAGTAATAAGATGCTAAAGAAACAGCAGGGAGAAGATACCATGGCTCTGCCATGTTTAGACACCAAAGCCATCCAATAGTGTGAAATTGCGAGCCTTAAATGGGTCTTATACTGGGCCCCTATGACTTAAACAGATGAATCCTGTCATACTAGTAAATGTAATTACTTTCACGTTTTTTAGCAATTGAGATTGGAAGATCAAACTGGAAGTCAAAGTAATTGTATCAAATGACTGTGATAGTATTTTTCCTGAAGGTATACAATTGTGGCTAGGATTATTAATTCAGAAAATGCTTGCCATGGTGAAAGCACCAGCAACTTGCAGTTCTGAAGTATGTTCCTCTTTTTTCCTTTTCATTAAATTCTGTCTTTGGGGAGCTCCTTATAGGGGTGAGTTTCTACCAGTTGTGTGTGGGTCCAGAGAACTGATAGAACTCTTGCCCCACTGAGGGGATGGTTATGCCAAAACACAAAGAGACGAACCAACAATTGTCTTTGGTTGAAGACTCAAACCAATAATATATGCTTATTGTAATTGATATTTTTTCATTTTATTCCAAGAATTTAGTTAAATAAACCATATCTAAAGTTTTATACCAGTTGGAATAATCTAGAAATTCCAGGAATTTATTAGTCAAAACCAGAGATTAAACAAATAATATTCTTCTAATATTTGTTTTATAATTGAAATTTAATTCTGAAAATGATAAATAATTAATATAGGAAATAAAATTGGTCTTACTTTTTCATCTTATTTTTTTTCATCAGGTTTATTGAGTATAATTTACGTGAAGTAAAATTTACTAAGTTTTAGTGACAGTTCTATAAGTTTGACAAAGCATACAGTCGTTTAATCACTACCACAACCTAGATAGAGAACAATTCTATCCTTCTATCACCACCTTCCCTGCTCCCACCAAATTTCTTCTTGCCTCTTTATAATTAACCTCTCTGAACTCCTAATCTGAGGTAACCCTGATCTGTTTCTGTGACTATAGTTTTGTCATGTAAATGGAGCCGTACGGTATGTAGCCTTTTGAATCTGGCTTTATTTAGCATCATGCATTTGTGATTCACCACGTTGTTGGGCATATTAGCAATTTGTTCATTTTATTTGCTGAGCAGTATTTCATTGTGTGAATGTAACTCTGTTTGTTTATCCATTCATCTTTCTGCCCATGCTGAAAGACATTTTAGTTGTTTTCAATTTTTGCTGACTGTGAATACAACTACTATAGACATTCACATACAGGTTTTTGTATGAATGTAAGTTTTCATCTTTCTTTTGTAAATATCTATGAGTAGGATTGCTAGTCATGTATAACTACATAGGAATCATTTTGCATACTAAACATACAAATATAATAAATTATATTTATATGTCCCTTAGTTAATTACTTTAAATATATGGTTTTTAAAAAAATGTCATTAGTAACTCCAGCTAATCTGACTCATACGTATCATTTTTTTGTCACATTATAAAAGTTGCCCAGGTTAGCTTTGTTCACTAACAGTATCTTTTTGTCTTGATTAATTTCAGAATTAAAATGTAGAAAAGATTTTTTTAAACAAACCACTACATTTTTAAACTGATTTATTATGCTACAATATACTTTTCTTACCTTTTGACACTAGTGTCATTCATTGCAAATTTAAAAAGTCAGCTTTGATAATGGAAAGACATATTGGATAATGGGAACACACAAACAAAAAAACTCATCTTATGTCCTTTGTCTATCAAGTAAGTCCTTATAAGGACTACCAACATGTTGATGGATGTCTCGTGTTATCTTCACATGTTTTATATCTCCTGATCTATTTGATCACATAAGAGGGAGGGATGGGAATGGAGGGGATCCAGAGAGAGAGAAAGAGAGAAATAGAAGAGAAAGGAGGGAAGGAAGTAAGGGAGCGAGGAAAGAAGAGGATAAAAACCTGAATAGTTCACAGATTACACACTCAATGTCTGTTTGCGCTACACTGAATGACCAGTTAGCTAATAATATCAGTATATTTAATGTTAATAAAATGATAGAAATATTGGTACTTTTTCTATTGATTTGTATTTTATTTTTCTGCTCTTCAAGAATGGTAGGAATAGAGGTCATTTCAACTATGTTTATAACGTGAATGCTTGAAAGAAAATGCTTTACTTCAAAATATGAATTCCACACTGAGATATAGTCGTCAAGTATGATTTTTATTTCCTAGGAGATTTTAACAAATTAGAATGAAATGAAAGTCTTGTTGATTTCTTAGCACAGCCACGACACATTTAAGTTATAATGATTATAGTTAACAATAATAATAATTTCCCGTGTGAGATCCCCCTCCTTGCACTACATCCAGAAACTGCCTCCAGGCAGAACACTAGAGTAATCATAGCGCTCACCCTGCTGTCTTCTCTTATCATGGAACTTAGTCCTGCACTATCCATTGTACAAATTAATGTTGTATAACAGATTTTGTCCAATTTTTCAGGTGTCTACATGAAAAGGGTAATTTTAATTCTAGTTATTCATCATGGTGGGAATCAGAAATTAACACAAAACTTTTTAATGAAGGATACTGCTGTTCTTCCCCTTTGCGCACAGGACCCTTTAGTGTGTTTCAAAGTGTGGTCTACAAATCACCTGCATTATTATTTCCTGATGAATCTATTGAATGCAGATTCCTAGGCCCTAGTCCAGTATTTGAAGGGAAAGGTAGAAATCCAATCTGAAAAGCATTCTAGGTGATTCTTAGCACTGGCAAATCTTGAGCACCCCAGCATTGGACTGTCCATTTATCTTCTGTACTTAAGACATCACCATTTTCTCAACTTGCTAAAATAAAATGTATAGGATGCCAGAGTGGGACTTCACTTAAAGAGCTCAGGCAAAGCAGCTCATTTACATAGAGAGCAGAGCCCTGGAGATCAAAGCAATGGGTTTATTCCTTGAGTACCTTTCACAACTGCTCCCTGATGTATGGACATTCAGTCTGTGTTGTAGGTATACAGGTAGCATCTCCTTTATATCTAAAGATAGCACATTTTCACTAGGATTACCAGCTCACTGTGATGCCTAAGAAAAATTTCCTTAAAGTAGCCTGGGGGGTGGCATCAACTACTGAGTGATGCACTTAGATGACTGTAGAAAGAGCCACCTGGTGCCCTAGAGATGAAAACATAAAAAACATAATACTAATGTAAACAACTGCTCAGAAGACAATTATAATGGCCAAGGTATCTGTTTTGTTCCCTCCATTTCCCTTTTCTGTCTTCTTTCTTCAATTCTTCCAGATACCAAGCTTCAGTATTAGTCACTTATCGAGTTACTGACTGAAGCTACCTGCATTTGAACAGAACACATCCACAAATAAAGTATTTTAATAGTGAAAAGATAATAATAGTTTCCTGGCAATAATAACAAGCACATGGGGGCTATTTCATCTATGAGAGAGTGTGTATGTGTGTATACTGTGTGTATGTTAGTGCTTCAGAGATGCTTGATTTCCTAACAGGTAAATAAGAATTACATGTATTATTATGTATAGTCCCACAATAGAATTCTATACAGTCATTACAAAGAATAAGGTACATTTATACATGTATTTTTTTTTTTTTTTTTGAGATGGAGTTTCACTCTTGTTGCCCAGGCTGGAGTACAATGGCATGATCTCGACTCACCACAACCTCAGCCTCCCAGGTTCAAGCAATTCTCCTGCTTCAGCCTCCTGAGTAGCTGGGATTACAGGCATGCACCACCATGCCTGGCTAATTTTTTGTATTTTTAGTAGAGAGGGGGTTTCTCCATGTTGAGGCTGGTCTAGAACTCCTGACCTCAGGTGATCCGCCCATCTCGGCCTCCCAAAGTGCTGGGATTACAGGTATGAGCCACCGCTCCCAGCTATACAGGTATGTTTGTGTAAAAATAAATAATAGCAATAATAATAGATAAGCATATACATAAAAAAAGATGAAGGGATATGTTACATTCTATTATCAGTGGTTATCTCTAGAAGATGGATTTTTTGGTGGAAAATTTTCCTTTTCAAAGTTAATTACTTCAGTCATGTTTGAATTTTGTATAAATTGAGTAATCAGAAAAATAAATACTAAAACTCAGGAGGACTGTCAACTTTGCCTAAGTAAAGGCTTGTCTGATAGATCCATAAATTAAGAAACAAAATACGGCCAGGCGCGGTGGATCACGCCTGTAATCCCAGCACTTTGGAAGGCCGAGGAGGGCGGATCACTTAAGGTTAGGAGTTTGAGACCAGCCTGGCCAACATGGTGAAACCCTGTGTCTGCTAAAAATACAAAATTAGCCTGCCGTAGTGGTGGGCACCTGTAATCCCAGCTACTCGGGAGGCCGAGGCAGGAGAATTGCTCGCACCTGGGAGGTGGAGGTTGCAGTGAGCTGAGATTGCGCCACTGCACTCCAGCCTTGGCAAAAAGAGTGAAACTCTGTTTCAAAACAAAACAATACACCAACAAACAAACAAACAAAAAACAGAAAATACATCAGCTTAAGAGTTTAAGTATTTACCATATTTAATTAAGAGAAAAGGTGTCTTATCTTAAGAACGTGAAGCTGAAACACGCGAGTTACAGTTTCTGTTTCACAGATACTGATCATCTCATTCCCAGTGAGTTAAAGGGAGGTTTGATAGAGAAAGGGAAGGGAAAAACTTATAAAGTGATGTCTGGGAGAGAGGAAAGAAGAGAGTGTGACATGAGTATGCAACTGGACTAAAGTATTAAAAGCCAATTTGGGGAAGGTAATTAATATAGATGATGACAGCAGCAGCAGTAATAACTGTTGCCAAACAGTGTGTGAAACACTTCACTATTTTATTTCATTTAATCTTCACATTGATTCTTGTGAGGAAACAACCTCTCTGAACCTCAGTATCCTCCTTTGTAAAAATGAGTATTACAACAGTGTCTAATTTGTAAGCTTGCTGTGAGAATTGAATGACAAGGTGGGTATAAAACAATCAGCACGGTGTTTGGGACACAGCAAGAACTCATTGCTTGTTGCTTATGGTTATTATTATCCTTATTTTATAGATGTGGAAACTGAATTTGAACCTTGACCAATATCCAAGAAATAGTAGGTGACACAGATGTGGATATTGAATCTGAACCTTAATCAATGTCCAAGAACTGCTAGGTGACAGAGCTGATATCTGTGCCTGGGCTTATCTGTTTCCAGATCTGCTTCAATATTCATGGACAACAGTGACACTTTGGAGTCCTGTATAAACTCCCTGCATATTTCATCCATTTCAATTATTGTCTTTAGAGCGGTAAAGTACAAAGGTATCTAATTAAGATCTATGGTAGTAGTGTTGGTGATACATTCATTAGAAACATCAACAAAAACAGATCGTACATTTTCTAAAGACAAGATCATGTTCTATAGGTAGAGTTTTAGGTTGGAACTAATTTTTTATAGAATAGTACCTAAGTTACTAGGTACTTAGGGTGTGATCACCTTGCTTTCAAAGGTTAGTTAGGAGAGATCAGCGTGTTGCCTGTGCAGTGACTCTGGCACCAAAGTGACAGATGGCCCAGTCCAGGGCTCTGACCTGCTTCCTCCTGTCTGCTGCTTTCCTGGCATAGTAACTTTGCCAGTATAATGGGAACTGCTCCAAAGCAGAGCTTATAGTGGGGTTAAGCAGGGCAGGGCATTGCCTTTGCTAGCCATGATATGTAAGGATAAATTGAGACAAGTCACCTTGACCAGGGAAAAGTTGAAGCTGAATGTTGGGCTGCCTGGCCAGGAAGCATTTTTTTGTTGTTGTTAAACAGGCAAATCTGTTGTTATGTGTGCCTTAATGGAAAATGCAGAGCCACAGCATAGCAATATAAGGTGGTGTTGACTCCAGTTCAGCTTGTCCTGAACCATTGATTTCCTAGCTTTGGATGCTAAAGAGAAACTCCTGGCTCAGTTATTCAAACTGAAGACATATCCCCTGATGGAGGAGGGGGTGAGACATGAAGTTGGAGGGAAAAGGTAGCAACAATGGGGCTCACAACACTGACAGTTTAGAAGCAGCCCATATGCCTGACACAGGATGACTACACGATGGGAAGACAAGCCTCACTTGAACACAACCCCAAAACCAGAGGAGTTGAGTTTGACCTACTCATCTCTCCTGTCTGGCACCACCATCTGCTTTGAGCCAAAGTTGCTGTGGGACACAGTGGTTGGTATATGTGTTGATGTGTATCTATCTGTCTAGGGTTACTAAGAGGGAATTGGAAGCAGAAAGCAAATTCTTGAATGTCAGTCACCCATATAAAGTAGGTTGCCATTCTACCAAATCTCTGAACAGAGGAAAGTCATGGATTTGTAAAGATGACAAGAGAATGTCCATTCACTTAGCCCCATAGGAAGGTCCTGGTTCTCTCATCACCAGGCTGGATCTATGATGAAGAGCAGAACTTTGAGCCAATGGGCCTACAGTGAGAATGGCTATTGCTGCATACTCAGAGGGACAACATTTTTCTGATATCAGGAGGTAGCAGGAGTCGGGGAAGGGTTGAGGAAACAAAAAAGGGAAAGGAAAATCAAGGAGTGAATCAATAGGGAGGTGTGTTTGCAGGTGAGGCCTCGAATTTTCTAGAGTATGCAGCTGCAGCCACTCTGTAACTACTTAAAAATTTGATAACTCTTATTATGCCACCACGTAGCAATGGCTATCTCTGGTGGTAAGATAATCAAATTTTTTGGGGGGTAGTATGTTTACTTTTCTATGTATTCTAGCTCTTCTACAGTAAATATATATTACTTACATAAGTAAATAAATGAAGATCCCCCCAAAATAACTTGTATTGAGTGGTAGCTATAAAGAAAAATAAAGCTGTGAGCAATTGTCTGGTATGTAGGCTTTAGAAGACGATCTGAGATCTCATTTTCCTCACCATGTCCTTTGCCTCCCTTGCCAGGTACACAGACACATTGCTCCCAATCAGCTTTCAAAGAGCACATTTGTGCAAATGGAGAAAGACATGTAAAAAAAGACAGTTCAGTAATCTCACTTCAATTCTAAATGAGGGATTTTGTTTAGACCTCTTAATACAATTTTACAGTGGTTTACTAGGCATTATCCTTGAGTGACATCAAAATATCATTGTCTTCTAGTACTTGGTAAGGAATTAGGTATGCTTGCTAGCAGCCGGGTTTAAACCACACAGAAAGTGAAGGAGACAGTATTTCAGCTTGTGAATGGCTCCTGCTGTTGAAGATCAATATGCTTATGTGTACCATACACACACACACACACACACACACACATGCATTTATATAAATGCATGTATATTATGTATGCATGTATATTATATGTATATTAGTTTTAAAAGCAAATTCAGAGATAAGGCACTATAGTTTGTCTTTACTATTTGTGTTTTTTTTTCCATTTTATGGTGCCTTGAAGCAACAAAAGATGTTGACGAAAACATGTTTTTTTATGCCAGCTAGGAAACCTAATATGTGGAAAATTAAACTGGCTGTTCCTTTCTGAGCCTTTTTGGATATCATAGATGCATGATTCTTATTTGAATGAAAAGAGAAAAAAGTTTTTCAGAATGCTCAAAATACTAGGGTTTAACGGTTGCTTTGATTTAATTTCCTTTAGGAAAACAACATTGCCATTGCTGAAAATTAACAAATAGATGAATCCATTAAAATTCTTCCATTAATTGGAGGGAAATTGTTTCTCTATTACAAACTACCGTAAAGTCACTGTAGTAACTACCAGAAAAATCACTGTGCTTTTAGTCTTGCCTGCCAGTGGCACAGGGAAGACAACACCATTCCTCTTCTATTCAAGCTACTCTCACAGGCAGCAGCTTGAATATTTCCATCTCTATTAAGACCACAGAGAAAGGCTTCCTTCTATAAGATCCTGTGAAAAATCAGTGTTGAAGAACTCCTTGTAGACTGAGAATTCCTTAGTGTCAGTCAATGGAAAACTCATTTGACCCTTCAGAAATACGTACTTTTAAATTTTGACTCTTCTGCTCCAGCAGGTAGCTTGTAGCAAAAGACAAACTAGTGGGCGTCTAAGAGGACAAGGAATGGTACAAATCCAGGCATTAATGCATTGCTTTGATCTGGCTTTACAAGTGACTTACCATTCCATTAGATTTTCCCCATGGGAAATTGAAAAAAAAAATGCTTCCACTGGCTCCTGGCACAGTGCTTGTTTCCTTCAAGGATGACCATCTCAGGAACACACCTGCACTCTAGCAAAGATTTTGTTCACCGGAACAAAAGGGAGGCACAAAGTCATTCTGAAACATTCCAAACTGCTTGGAACATGCCACGTATTAACAAATCCTCTTGTATGTTAGATCATTCTAATTGGAATGTCTGCTAATGCCTTTTGTGAACAGGAACCTTTGTAATTTTAGTGAGGGGAAGAAATGACATCAACAGCTTTCATGAGATCTAAAACATATATAATTGTCATCAACATGATAAGTTTTTTACATCAATAACAAAATGAGTTTTGGGGGGTAAATAAACTACAGGAAGATGTTTTTACATTTATTTGAAAAACAAATATTAAAACAAGCAGAGATGTGCAAAACTTTTTTTGGAGCTGGATTTTAGCTTTTTGTACAAGATCATGCAAATCAAATCAAACTAAAAGCAAAATGAACATTATATAAACGATGTACATTTCTAGTGAAAGGAGGTGTTAAGAGCTGTGAAAGGTCTCAGATTTTACTCTATTTACAAGTTAACAAGTTTCATGGATGCTGGCAGAAGACATGAGACTCCTGAGTCAGATTTGAAGGGCAATTTATTATTCACCTCAATAGCAGTAGCCAGAGTATCTGCACTTTGTGCTGATTCTCTGAGTCTTCATTCTCACAGGGTGATGCAAAGAGAGCCAAATGATATCAGTACATACAGAGCATTGTATTATAGGGAAGGAATTCTGAGCTTTGGGTGCCTGAATTTTTTATAAAGGGTAGTAAGTATACTTTCATTTTGCTCTCAAGTAAGACATTACCTTTATTATGCTGAATAGTAATTATACCTGCCCTTTGCTTCAGAATATTACATTTATCTTACAAGGCCATAAGCAAACTGTCTCTTAGGCCTGGAGGGAGACATTATATTCCAAGGCTGTTTGCTATGTGAGTACACTTGAACTAATAGTCCAGAACAAAGGGCAGCTGGTGACTTACTTGCAAGATGTGTAGAAATGTGAGAAATCCATGAAGAATTGTCCCCCAGTGGAAGTATTTGTTTGGCAGCGACGTTACATTCAAGGCTTAGCATTGTTATAGGCTGGCGCAAAAGTAAGAGCGGGTTTTGCCATTTAAGTCATGGCAATTACTTTTGCATCAACCTGATAGTACACTTCAGACAATCAACCATTTATTCGGTGAGTCAGTGAGTCACTCATTCATCCAGTCAATGAGTTAGTCCGTCACTTAATAAACATTTATAGAGTGCTTGCCATGTGCTTCATATTGTGTAAAGAACTAGAGAAACAAAACAGATGAAAAAAGTTGAAAACTGTACTTTAGGAGTTTACATGCTAGTGAAAAAATAGTAATTAAAAAGAGGACATTAATAATAATATTTAGTGGAGATAATGTTGCATGTTCACCGTAGTTTTCTTTTCCTGGGTACACATAAAGTCTGTATTTCAGCCTTCTTTGTACTTGTCATTAGGTTGGAGCCATGTGACTGAGTTCTGGTCCACTGTATGTGTGTGTAGTGATGTAAAGTAGTAAGAGACCATGTGTTTCAAAATATCCCATAAGACCCTGAAGTTCTATCTATTTCTGCCATGGAATCCATGGAAGCCAACCAGAGCCACAAAATATTTATTATCTCCTGTTCACAAGTGAGGAAACAGCATCATAATACAATGTACTAAATATGATAATGAATATGATACAGGTTGAGCATCTCTAATCTGAAATCTGAAATGCTCCAATATCCAAAACTTTTAAGACCAACATGATGCCACAAGTAAAAAATCCTACACCCGACTCCGTGTAATTGGTCACAGTCAAAATGCAGATGGATAAAACATTTATTCAGTGTTCTCAAGGGAAGATTCATTAACAAATTTGCCAGCGTCATTACTAACGATAGCCTCATGTCAAAACAAATCTACAATACTGATAAGACATCACTGTTTTGGGGTTATTGCCTCAGAAAGACACTGACTACAGTTGATGAGACAGAACCTATGGGAATTAAGGCTGCCAAGGACAGAATAACTGTGCTGGGATGTGCTAATGCAACAGGCACACTTAAGTGTAAACTTGCTGTAATAGGCAAAAGCTTGCGTTTTTGTTTTTTTCAAGGAATGAATTCTCACCAGTCCATTATTATGCACACAAAAAGGCATAGATCACTGGGGACATCTTTTCTGATTGGTTTCACAAACATTTTGTACCAGGGGTTTGTGCTCACTGCAGGGAATTGGACTAGATGATGACTGCAAGATTTTGTTATTCCTTGACATCTGTTCTGCTCATCCTTCAGCTGCAATTCTCACCAAAAATAATTTATGCTATGCACTTTCCCCTACAAGTGACCTTATTAATTCAGCCATGTGACCAGCGTATCCTTAGACCAATGAAGCATAAATATAAAAACAATTTCTTGAACAGCATGCTAGCAGCAATGAACAGAGGCGTGGGGGTAGAAGGTTTTCAAAAGGAGTTGAGCATGAAGAATTATGTTCAGTGATGATGAACAAGTGGTGATTTTGGAGGATTCTGCACACCAGTTGAGAAAAAATGATATCTGACCTCCTGAAATATGCAAAATTATACCTTCAATATGCAAAAATTATACGTTCAGAGTCCATCAGTAAGCTGGAAGAAGTGAATATCAATAATGAGGCTCCAGTTGTTCATTACCAACAGTGAAACAGCCAAAATGGCTCTAAATCAAGGTGATTGTGATAATAATGACAATGAAGATAACATTGATAACCCTGCTGAAAATGTGCCTAAAAACAACATGATGAAGATGTGTGATGGGCTTATGGAAGGACTAGCTCAGTCTGCAATCATAACAAAACAAGAAATCATGTCAGTTTATAAAATCAAATAGAGACTTCTGAGAAAAAACTGTCGTTAATGAGGCAGATGACTCTGGAGGAAACATTTAAAAAAGCCATTTAGCAGAGTGTCTCCTTATCCCTAGAAGACTCACTTTCTGATTCATCAACTGCTTCTGATGTTTCTTCTCAACTGAAAAAATAAAATAAAATACAGTGTATAGTACACTTTTAATTAAAACACAGCATCATAGGTGGAGACTGCCATTGTTTGTTGTTGCTGTTTAACAGTTGATACAGGTATTTTGGGGATGCTACTGTGCTCCTTAGTTACCCTGGATGCATATTTTTTTCACTGTGTTAATGATTTGACATATAATTTACTGTTAAGAATTTATGTATGAGTAAGTACAAGAAAGTGGTTGCTTATTGGTAGCAAATATATTTAGAGTCAGGAATAATGGTGACGCCAAACAACCACAGTTTGTCCACATGGGTGGCTGAGATAGCAACATCTTTGCTTTCTGCTGGTTCACTGTACACAAACTTTGTTTTATGCACAAAATTATTTTAAAATATTGTATAAAATTACCTTCAGGCTATGTATAGAAAGTGTATATGAAACAAATGAATTTTTTGTTTAAACTTGGGTCTCATATTTAAGATATCTCATTACGTATATGCAAATATTCCAAAATCCAAAAACAAATATTCGATATCTGGAACACTTCTGGTCCCAAGCATTTCAAACAAGGGATACTCAACCCGTATATCTTTTCAAATACCATGACCAATGACCAACTTCTGGGTAAGAATCCTGACTTATTCATTTGATTTACAATTCTTACCAAAGGGCTTAGAGGAAGACATAAACTTGTCTTTCAAGTCAAAAAGGAGATTGTTCTATTATTTTAAATTTTAGACTCAGGGGGTACATGTGCCGGTTCGTTACATGTGTATTTTGCATGATGCTGAGGTTTGGACTTCTATTGATCTTGTCACCTAAGTAGTGAACATAGTACCCCATAAGTAGTTTTTCAATCCTTGTCCCCCTTCCTCCCTTCCCATTTCTGGAACCCCACTGTCTACTGCTCTCATCTTTGTGTCTGTGTGTACCCAAGGTTTAGCTCCCACTTTTAAGTGAGAGCATGAGGTATTTGGTTTTCTGTTTCTGCATTAATTCGCTTAAGATAATGGCCTAAGAAGGAGATTGTTAAAGTAATGAAGGGCATAGAATTAAGGGGAATGTTTATTTTGTTTGCTTAATTTAGTTTTTCTTCTAAGATAAGAAATGCTTAAATATGTTCACAGGTAAAATCATAGAGAGGAAGAGAATCCAGTTATTGAAAGAAAGGTCTTGAAGGGAGGGTAGAAGAATAAGATCTAGAAGAGCTGATAAGTAGGTGAAAAACTTACCTGGCCATATGAAAAAGAAAAACACAACAGGAATAACCATTTGAATGATAGCTTTGGGGAGAGTTTGTTTTTATTTAAGATAAAGAAGGTAGAGAAAACACTGAAAAACAAGCTTAGGATATAGATTCCAGGCATTACAGAAAAACAATAATCAGGTGTTGTCTCTCTTTTACATACCAAACTCCTTGTTGGGGCATTCACAAATATCTCATTTAATCCACCTAGCATTTTATAAAGTAGCTATCATCATCACTATTATTTTATAGATGAAGTCACAGAGATTCATAGAGGTGAAGTCATTTACCAAGGTCATATAGCTATTAAGTGTGAGAACCAGGGTTCAGATCTGATCTGATTGACTCCTCGCAGCTTCCACACTAGAATAATCTGATAGGGGAGACAGAAAGAACTAATTATGTCCGCACTTTTGGGGAATTTAACTCAAGTTACCTGTCAGTGGCCTTCATGTTATACCACCTAAGTCAGGGGCAAAGGAATCTGCCCATGCACCTCCACTCAGTACCTCCACAAAGGCACTGAAAGAGTTTTTATGAGGTTTGAAAATTGGACAATTGGTCAATTAACTGATTGTTATAGAGGTCAGCTCACCAGTGTTTACCAATTTAGGTTCATGATATTAAGTGATTTGAA
The DNA here is from genome assembly GCF_000001405.40 of Homo sapiens. Taxonomy (NCBI): domain Eukaryota; kingdom Metazoa; phylum Chordata; class Mammalia; order Primates; family Hominidae; genus Homo; species Homo sapiens. The sequence goes on along the minus strand of NC_000001.11, from coordinate 215,454,534 downwards.
AGGTAGTTTAAGCATCACTTAGTTACAACCTCCCCAATGTGAATGCAAATACAGAGAGAATTAAAAGGTGATGCCAAACCTTCAATATCTTAGCAGTAGCATTTCCTTATTATTCTTTTCAGAGCCATCCTGATTTCTTTGAAGAGGTAAGCATATATTGCATAACTACAAGAGATTTATCAAGTCTGAATTAAAATTGTGGAAAACAATTATTATCTAAACTTATTAAAAAGACCCTTAGGATCTAAAATTATAGCTCCAGAATTTTATTTGTTATAGTTTCTAAATCTAAAAAGTACATTAGTTCACAATAAATTCCAAAAGTAACCTATAAAATAAGTCTTTAGAATGGAAAGAAATAAATAATGATAGTGACATTTTCAACCATGCTGGGAAGCTGGCAGGATGATGATAGAAGAGGTTTGGTACAGATTTCCCGTAAGGTACCTGAAGCATCACAGTGAGCACTACTCAGCAATGGAAAGAGATAACAGATTACGAGGCAAGGTAAGTGAACAGCATTTATAATATAGGCTTGGAAGATATTCTGCTTACTCTGCCTTTCTTCCACAAGGCACTGCTTGCACACTCTAAGTTTTTGACCTTGATGAGACTCTGGTTAAAGTGGCCCATCTAATCCAACATTATGCATTTCAACAGCTGCCCAATGAAGGAACCACTTTTCTGCTTCCAGGAACACACTTTTCCCAGAAGAGTTCTCCTGTCTGGCAACATGACTGAAAAATGTCTACAAAAGCCTTTCTCTATTTTGTGGCTTAGAAATAGGATCTACATGCTAAGTACAAGCCCTTCACTGAAAGATGCCAGAGTCCTCCTTGAACTCTAAACCATCTCTCAAAGAGTCTTCCCCAGGTGCTTTGGGGACTGTGCAGCTTCACTCTAAGGAGGAGGAAAGCCTGAGAGTTTTCCTTGTTTCAACATCTGCCTTCCTGTGTGGTCCAAGTATAATGGTCTGTTCTTAATTTTTCAGTCTTCAGTCTTGCTTCCTGAAACTTGAGTTCTGATTCTTGCTTGGTTAACTTTCTCTTGACTGGTGGGGACAGTGCTCCAGAAATGTGCTACACACTGCAGCCTTGCCTATGGTTCTAATTCTGGAAGTTATCTGGTCCTACCAGGATATGCCCTATGTTCCATCTCCTACTTCTGGCACTCATTTAAAATCTCTGGAGATTTAACACCACCGATATATATCAAGAACCCACTAGATCTCGGCTAACCTCTGCAAGGCATCCAAAACATCTGAGTAAAACAGTCCTTTTAAAATTTTTATCAAATAAGCTTATAATTAGAAATTCGGTAAATCTGCTTTAAAACAACCCTAGGATCTGAAATCATAGCTTCAGAATTTTATTTGTTATACTTTCTAAATCTAAGAAGTACATTAGAACTACAGTCCTTAATATAATCTAATATACTTACTAGCATTCCAATAAAGCTCTTGAACACATAATAATTTGCAGTATTCTTTATTAATTCAACCATAGAGTGTGACAATGCAGACTTGGAACTACTCCATCTCATCCATAGCTGCTGGGCCGCTGCATTCTATATTCTGCCCATGATGACCCCCTTTGATTCCTCAGACTGTACTTTTCCATCTCTTGATTTTATTTCATCTGTGTTAGAGTTCTCCTTCTCTAGAAAGACTTCCCTGACCCTCTATCTCTCTTCCAAATCTGATTTTGACCCTGCTCACTTGTTCTACAACTCCACACTTCCCTCATCAAAGACTTTATCACTGTATATTGTGATTATTTGATGATTTTCTGATTCTTTCATGATTTGTAAGTTCTAAAACAACAGTAATCACTGGTTTTATTCTTGTATTATTGTTCCTATCACAGATAATGCCCGTCATTTGTAAGTAGTCATTACTTATTAGAAGATTTTGTGAATGTCTCAGAAGCCTGGCATTTGAGCTCAGGTTCCCATTTTTGTTGATTCTGCCAATAGAAGTTTCAATAATAGCACTGAAGATAATACATTACTGCAAGTGGTGTTTCCAGGATCAAATGATATAGTGTAGGTGAAAGTGATTTATAAGCTATAAATATGTTAATTATTACTCAGTCTTCTTAGCTATGTTTGTATTCCTCTTACAGTATGTTAATTTCTACTGCATTATATGTTCCTCTTATGATTTGCTTAATTATTTCATGGGAAAATGTTGCTTTTTTCTTTACCCTGAAAATTATAAGTAACAGAAGATTTCATTTATTTTTTTCCTATGTACAGCCCCCACTATCACCTGAAGAAAGTTATAGAAAATTTAGGGCAGAATTTTTTGACCTACCAATTGGTTTGCTGTTATAATTTCCACACCAAGAAAATACTTAACCAAACTGTATTTTAATTCTAAGACTTTATCTGTTTCTGTTTAACACAGTTAACAGCATAAATACACAGAAAATGATAACTTAAATACGTATCAAAATTAAAACCTCTCATTTCAGACCTATTGACATTTCATCTCTGCTGTGTGATCCAATAAAAAAGCAACTACGTAGATTATTTGAGCAATATTGGGGTTTTCATATATACTAATAAGATGCATTCTTTTCAAAGTAAATATAGAATTTATTTTGCAACAAATATCATTATTAATGGTGCTTTGGAAGAGAGAGCATATTGAATTAATCATAGGTTTTGGCTATGGAGAGTACGTTGAATCAGACCAAATGTCCTACCATGAAGAATTATAAGAGCTAGAAATAATTTAAGAGAGGAAAACAAAATCATAAACAAAGCTCCAGCTGTTTAAATATATTATAGAACAAGTAAACAGAGAGAACTTGTAGGGTCAAGATTTTAGAAATAAGGAAAACATATAAAAGTAAGCAATACAGAACTCCCATCAGAGTATCTGCCCATTTGCACTGAGGGATATAAAGCCTGAGCAGAAAATGGTAGCCTTGCAGTGGCGACAACCTGGTTAGGCTGGGAAGATAAACATTGGAGCTCCAGGCTCCCAAGGCAACCAGAATTTGTAAAAAGAGAACTTACCCAACCTAGCAAGACAGGCCAACATTCAAATTCAGGAAATACAGAGAACACCATAAAGATACTCCTTGAGAAGAGCAACCCCAAGAAACATAATTGTCAGAATCACCAAGATTGAAATGAAGGAAAAAATGTTAAGGGCAGCCAGAGAGAAAGGTTGGGTTACCCACAAAGGGAAGCCCATCAGACTAACAGTGGATCTCTCTACAGAAGCCTTACAAGACAGAAGTGAATGGGGGCCAATATTCAACATTCTTAAAGCAAAGAATTTTCAACCCAGAATTTCATATCCAGGCGAACTAACTTCATAAGCAAAGGAAAAATAAAGTCCTTTACAGACAAGCAAATGCTGAGAGATTTTGTCACCACCAGGCCTGCCTTACAAGAGCTCCTGAAAGAAGCAACCTGACCCTAAAGCCAACACTTTACTGCTTCCACAGTAAAAATGGGGAAGATGCAGGCCTTGTAGGAATTTCCAAGGAACAAGTGAAATTAATATCAGAGCAAATACATTTTATTAGTGCTCTTACAATCCTAAAAGAGGCAATAACTTAAATGACTGGAACCACCAAGGAATTTGAAATTTACTTTACCAGTGTCTTTCAAATACGTTGAGGAGGTCCAGCCCCTGAAAACGATGGCATTCTTCTCAGAACATCATGAAATAACGATGTAGCCAAGGACATCATTGGAAGTAGGAAAAAACTTTACTCTCAGAAAATATGCTTGCGTTCTGAACCTCTAAATAGGACCACTAATATATATAATATTTGGAGAAATCATGTCTGTTATCAGGTTTTTACTTTCATATTTTTGCCTATTGGTCATTCCTTTTACCCTCTGTTAACAGGAGACAAATGGTAGCAAGTCTCATTTTTCTGCATTTAGGAAAAAATCAAAGATGAAATAAATAATATTCTGTATTATTTCATCTTTCTATAATTTTGGAAAAGAACATGATGTCCTATGGCAAGACAATAAGCTTGTTCATCTTTTGGAACACTCCCAGAGAACAGTCAGGAACCACTGGACAGACCAGAAAATGTCCTAAGCTTTGTTACTTTGAGAATACCTTTGCCATAAAAGCTTTTTTAGTTGTATATTTTGAAAATAATTGTATAACTAAGGAATATTTATTGAAAATTTTTGGGAAATAAAGATACTCATAATATGACTTTTCCAATATGCTCTTAATACTTTGGAAGAATTTTCATCAATAAATATAAATCCTGTTTATTCTTTGGCCCTTTATAGAGGAGATAGCCTGGAGTATGGTCTTAGAGAATTTGAGTTTGTGCTGGAGTCTGCCACAAACTCCTTGTGAACTCAAGAAAATATTGCTCTTCCTGGTCTCAGTAGAGGATGAGGAGGAATCTATGTTGCCAACCAATTTCCAGGGCTTTTCGTGTGAATACATTTTATATTAGAGCCTGAGCTTTCTAAATGCCAGTGTTATAACTAGTGCCAGGCAGCCCCTAGTGTAGATGAAACAGATTTCTATACAGCATAATGTGTGTAGGTCCAACTACCCAACTTCTTTGTAGGTCCAAAAAAAGAGAGAGAGGAAGAGCTCAGTAGGATACTGGAAATGTTCCAGAGCTGATGGACCCAGAAGTCAATAAGTTAGTAAACATGTGTTCAGCACCAACAGTATCATTATAACAACCATAAACTTAATTGGCACTATTTATTGGACTGTAAGAAAAGGAAAAACAGAGAATCTGAATTACTGTCTGACACCCTTTCCTTATACATTTTCCTACATTTAGGAAATATATATTATATATTTCCTAATATATATTATATATTTTATATTTCCTGATATATATTATATTCCTAATATAATTCCTAATATATTCTGAATAGGAATCAAGCAGCCTATACTACGGCTGAGAAGCCACACTCTAAGGGCTACACAGCTGGTGCCTTAATATATTCCTAACATATATTATATATTTCCTATATATATATATTTCCTATATATTATACATTTCCTATATTTATTCCTAGATTACATAACTTAATGTAAGGAGTTGAGGTTCTCCACCCATCAAAGTCTTGAAACCACACACTTCAGAAAATAAAACCTATATTATATTGGGAGGAGGCTGCTCTTTTCAACCCAAATTTAGCAGAGTCTAGGTCTAATAGTATAGGAATGTGGCAAGCCCCAGGGGATAATTCTTCAGGTTTACTCATGGCATGGTAAAATAACAATACATGGTTGTTTCTCTAGAAGGTTACCTTTTTTTTCTTTCTTTTTTTTTTTTATATGGAGTCTTGCTCTGTCACACAGGCTGGAGTGCAGTGGCTTGATCTTGGCACACTGCAACCTCCACCTCCAGGGTTCAAGTGATTCTCGTGCCTCAGATTCCTGAGTAGCTGGGATTATAGGCGTGCATCACCCCACCCAGCTAATTTTTGTATTTTTTTTAAGTAGAGACGGGGGTTTCACCGTGTTGGCCAGGCTGGTCTTGAACTCCTGACCTCAGGTGATCCACCTGCCTTGGCCTCCCAAAGTGCTCAGATTAAGGCTACTTTTTAAAAGGTGTTTTTAAAAGGGCTAGTAACAAAGACTTGAAGGGCACCCTGTAACCAGCACGTTTTGACAGAAAACTGTTACAATACCACCAGCAGCTCCCTTCCTACTCTCCACATATTACTGGCCACAAAGACTATGCTACACTGTGGCTTCAAACTCTGTATAAGACTCTAAGAGAGCCAACTTCAGCCTGGTGTTTCCTCATGGAGTCCCTCACTAGGTTCCACACATACATTTGGGCAAGTTCCTTAAAGTTGCTATATTACAGTATAAAGTGAGACGCAGTCAACAAACCTCACAATCTTTGCAAGCCTCACTCTTCAACTAGTCACAGCTGATAACTATTCTCCTGAAGTCTTGTTTTTCAGAGACCATTTACCCCAGGCCACTACAAGCCACAGATTCTGAGTATCTCATTTTGTTTCATCATGGAAGTTGTTTCATGTTCAAGCACAATCTGGTTAATAACAAATCCCAGATTTCTAACTTTGAGGTTTTGTTTCCTAGGATCACTGTTGGTAGGTACCACGTGTTTTTATCTAGACTAGTGAGGAAAATAGAGCTCACTTTAGATTTTTGAATAAAAGAGATTGAATGAAGGGAATTGCTTATAAACGTGCTTAAGGGGATGAAAGAGCGAAAGGAAAAAGAGGTTACTTTAAAATGAGGATATTACTATTGCTTCTGAACTCGAATCTGGCATGAATGTCAATGGTACTGATGTTCTGCTGCTGCAGTTAAAATTGCACAACCTCTTCTGAATAGGAATCCAGCAGCCTATACTACGGCTGAGAAGCCACACTCCCAGGGCTACACAGCTGGTGCCTTAGCATCAGCACAAGCAGAAAAAAACATCTGAGGCATTTTCCCTTTTTCCTATCTTCCATTTTTCCATGAAGGCCTCCCGTTGCAGGACCCAACTAGAAGCCAGCTTACAAAGCAGTCTTGGGAATGCGATTATGCAGTTTGCAGCTTCCACATCATCCCCCATACCTACTTGCAGGGAATGCAGTTGAAAATGGAGCTGTTCAGAGAGAAACGACAGCTGAAACAAGAATGCTATTAACATATGTCAGCTCACTTATTTCCCCCTCACCATCCAGGATGGCCATGCTATGTAGGTGTCCATCTTCAACTTTCTGGCAGTCCTATTGGCCTGGAGCAAGGCAGGATAGAAGTTACAAGAAGAGTAGAGTTTACCAAGTTGTATGAAAGTGTAAGATTTTCTGTTATATTTCAAGTAATGAAATTTCAACTTATATGTATGTCTACATATAGCTAGCATACTCTATCAAATAGCATCAGTGCAATGCCTTAGATAGGCATCTTCATTAATGAATGTTTTTGGAGTATCCTCTAACATGCTGTTTTGTCAAAGGAAAAAGAAGCAAAATAAGTGCTACTGATTAGCTTCCATAAAGCATATACCTCTGCTTTAAATTCTGGCCATTAAATGTCAGTCTTCCCATATCCTAATTTGTTGGCCATCCACAATATCTAAGAAAATTCATATCACTTTTGTGCACCCGAAGATGAATACTAACTTGATCAATCAAGTTGAATATTCTGCACAAAATCTCCGTTCAAGAAATTTACCAATTCTTAAGTTCTGTATGAGAGGTGAGGGATCACAAAACAAGCAAAAGTACCGCCACGGGACTAAATATCCAAGCCAGAGTTTTGTTTGCTTGTTTTTTATTATTGACATTTTATGGTGCTGAGGGGTCAACTTAAATTCAAGGATGCTCAAGAAGGCAGAGCCTAGTAAACACATCATGTGTTCAGTTGAGATGTCTGAAGAGCTACACTCTGGATAAGGAAAACAGTAAATAGAATAGCATTCACAACATCTAAAATACCGCTTGGAATCATCTCAATCCGTGATGGGATCAAAATCACTTACTCATAATCTATCCAATTATCGGAAGAAAATTAAATTCTCTCTGGAGAAAGTAACATAATCTATAGCTTCTGAAGTTTCTTACATAAAATGTCAGCATCCAAAATTAATACACATGTAAGAAAACAGGGCCAAACGAATGAAAGTCAAGAGAAAAAAGACAGAAGAAACATACCCATAGATGATCCAGATATTAAAATTACCAGTCTTTAAAAATGATAATTAATATGTTCATAAAACAGGGGAAATATTAGAACTACAGCAAGAAAGCTAGAAAATATTAAAAAGATCAATTAAAAATTTTAGAACTTAAAATTTTAATAACTGAAATTAAAAATTTAGTAGGTGGACTTAACAGCAGATTAGACAGAGCGGAAGAAATGATTGATGAACTGGAGAATAGGCTCATAGGATACACACACACATACACATATACACACATATATGAAAGCATCCAGAAAAAAACTAAGGCAAATGCAATGTGGGAAAAGGCCTAAAGATCTAACAGAAAGGTAATCAGAATCCCATAAAACAGTAAAGAATGAGATATAAATAAATTTGAAAATATACTGGCTAAGAATATTCTAAACCTGGTTCTAAATGTCAAGAGAGATTCAAGAGTCTCTAGATTCCATACAGAATAAAATCAAAGAAAAGCACACTTAGGCAAATCATAGTACAGTTGCTTTTTAAAAAATAAATTCTTAAAGTATCCAATACAAAGAAAACAAAGATACATTGTTAAAGGAACACATTAAGACTAAAGATGAGGTTTCAGCAAAAATAATTAAAACTTGAAGACAAAGAAAATAATTTTTAAAGTCTTAAAAAATGACTACCAACTCAAAAATACATTCTTCGAAAATGCAAGTGAAATAAGCAACAACAAAGAACCCTGGAAGGATATGTCATCCGCTGGCATAGGCTAAAGAAAATATAGAGCAAGTTTTTCATTAGAAGGAAAAGAATTCCAGTTTAAATCATGAAAATCCAAGGAAAAAAAAAAGAAAAATGAAGAGTGTAAATATGGGTAAAGCTATACAAATACTGACTTTTAAAAACAATTAAAATGGTCCTATGGCATTTCAAATATATGTAGAATTTAAATATATAAAAATCATAACACAAATTTGAGAATAGGGCATATGAAACTAAGAAAGTAGTGAAAGTAAGAATTTAAGATAGACTCTACAAAGCAAAGGATGCCTGCTGCAATCTCTAAGATAAACACTAAAGAATAATATAAAGAAGAGGAGGGCAAGATGGCAGACTAGATGCAACCAGGTGGAACAGCTCCCACCAAGGGACCAAGACTGCTGGTGTGCTCCTAACAGATCTCCCGAGGGAAGGCACTGAGAGTGGATGGAGGAAAGACACTAAAGTTGGGCTGAAGTGGAAGAAAGCTGGGAACCCTACATAGGGCTACCACACACCAGGACCTGTTCCTGGCCCACAGTGGTTCTGGAGGAATGGGTGAGTTGAACTGGCAAGAAACAACCTGCTCTTACCATGAGCCTCTGAAATCCCAGCAGGAGGAGATCAATCACCAAGGACACTGAAGTTTGCAAGGACAGCTGCTTAGAGAGGTAGTAGTGGCAGTAAGCAAGATGATATGGAGCCTAGAGGGTTTGGTGCGGGAGCATCTGTAGTGGTAGAGGGTTTGGTGCAGGAGCATCTGTAGTGGAGCACAGCCAGGGATAGCCATTTCCCTAGGCTCAACTTGCTCCCATAGGAGATTTTGGTTCTGACCTCTGTAGGGTGGTCTTGCCCATCGGATGGAGCTGGTCCAACCTGAGCACCCCTTGGACTGCTGGGCTCTCCCAGAGCCCTACCCTGGTCACTCCTGGTGGCAGGGCAGTCTTGGGTGTCCTGAGATCATAGCTTCTGCACTGGTGCACCACCATGCTTGAGCAGCAGAGAGCTCCAGTGGGGCAACCCCTATGGCCACACACCATTTTGCTCGCCCCTTCTTCATATTGTAGCTTCCCAAGGGCCCATGGCAACTCCACATATCACTTTTCTGCTGTATGTCTGCATGGATGGGTTTTGCTTTCCTGCACCTCCTGAGTGTGGGAATGCAGTCTGTCTCCCCTCCACCCCTGTGCTAACCATCATTGCAGATGGAGCCTTGGTGGGCACAGAGCCAGACAACCCTGCCCCCACCAGTGCCCTACACTTGTGCTAACACTGTGCAGAGAACAGTGGATCCTCCCCTGCCCTGAGCAATTACTACTGTTTGTGGGGCACAGAAAAGGCATCCAGACCTGTGCCTGCCAGTAGCCCCCCCCAACCCCCAGTCAACACACTACCTCCAGCATGACCTGGCACACCAGTCACCAGCAGGCCTCCCACCCATACCTAGCTGTGCTGCCATCACTACTGTGGTGAATGCTGGCAAAGAAGCCGGCATTCCAACCCCTGACAGCACTCTGCCACAGCCGCTGCACCTCGGCACCCCCCACTGCAACAGATTCCTAACCTCCAGGAGCCAGAGAACAAAGTTGGGGCCCAATACAAGTCCCCTTATGTTAGAGCACCCACTCCAGGAATTGGGAGCTGAGTGTTGGCCACTAAAATCTTCCAGAATTGAAGCCAGTCAGCTGAAATCAGCTTACACTACAATCAAACCCTCAAGGTCATCAAATAGGATAAAAGGAAAAAAAATTCAAAGGTCAGCAACCTCAAAGATTGAAAGTATATAAACCCACAAAAATGAGAAAGAATCATTGCAAGATCTGCTCCCACTCCCCAAAAACTCAAGAAGATAGAGTGCCTTTTTTCCTCCAGACAACTTCCAAAGCTCTCCAGCAGGAGTTAACTGGGTTGAGATGGTTGAAATGACAGAAACAGAATTTGGAATATCCATAGGAATAAAGATAATTGAGCTACAGGAGTACATTGAAACTCAATCCAAAGAAGCTAAAAATCATGATAAAACAATGCAGGAGCTGACATACAAAATAGTCACTATAGAAAAGAACATAACAGACCAGATAGAGCTGAAAAACACACTACAAGAATTTTATAATGCAATCACAATAATTTAATAGCAGAATAGAACAAGTGGAGGAAAGAATCTTAGAGCCTGAAGACTGGCTTTTTGAAATAAAACAGCCAGACAAGAATAGAGGAAAAAGAATGAAAAGGAATTAACAAAACCTCTGAGAAATATGGGATTATGTAAAGAGCCCAAATTTATGATTCATTAGTGTCCCCGAAGGAGACGGGGGGAATGGAACCAACTTGGAAAACATATCAGGATATCATCCATGAGAAATTCCCCAACCTAGCTATAGAGGCCAACGTTCAAATTCAGGAAATGCAGAAAACCCCAGTAAGATACTTCACAAGAAGATCATTCCCAAGACACATAATCATCAGATTCTCCAAGGTAAAAATGAAAGAAAAAATTGTTAAAGGTAACTAGAGTGAAGGATCAGGTCACATACAAAGGGAAGCCCATCAGACAACAGCAGACCTCTCAGTAGAGAAACCCTATAAGCCAGAAGAGATTGGGGGCCAATATTTAACATTCTTAAATAAAAGAAATTCGAACCCAGAGTTTCATATTGGGCCAAATTAAGCTTCATAAGGAAGGAGAAATAAGGTCCTTTTCAGAAAAAAAAAATGCTGAGGGAATTTGTTACCACCAGACCTGCCTTACAGGAGTTCCTGAAGGAAGCATTAAATATGGAAATGAAGGATCATTACCAGCACTACAAAAACACACTGAAGTACACAGACCAGTGACATCACGAAGAAACCACATAAACAAGTCTGCAAAATAACCAGCTAATATAATGATAATAGGAACAAATCTACTCATATTCATACTAACCTTAAATGTAAATTGGCTAAATGCCCCAATCAAAAGACACAAAGTGGCAAGCTGGATAAAGGATAAGACTTATTGCTATGCAGTCTTCTAGAGATTCATCTCACATGTAATGACATATATGGGCTGGAAACAAAGGGATGGAGAAAAATGTACCAAGCAAATGGAAAACAGAAAAAAACAGGGGTTGCAATTCCAGTTTCTGACAAAACAGACTTAAAACCAACAAAAATAAAAAAAAGACAAAGAAGGGCATTATATAATGGAAAGAGTTCAATTCAACAAGAAGGTCTAACTATTCTAAATATATATGCACCCAACACAGCAGCACCCAGATTCATAAAGCAAGTTCCTACAGGTCTTTAAAGTGACTTAGACTCACACACAATAATAGTGGGAGATTTTTAACACCCCCCTGACAGTATTAGACAAATCATTTGGACAGAGAATGAACAAAGCTGTTTAAGACCTGAGCTCAGCACTGGATCAAATGGACCCGATAAGATATCTACAGAAAGCTCTAACCCAAAACAACAGAATATACATTCTTCTCATCGCCACACAGCACATACTCTGCAACTATCTGATATTCAACAAACTTGACAAAAACAAGCAATGAGGAAAGGATTCTCCACTTAATAAATGGTGCTGGGAGAACTGGCTAGCCAAATGCAGAAGATTGGAACTGGACTCCTTTCTTACACCACATACAAAAATAAACTCAAGATAGATTAAAGACCTCGCTGTAAAACCCAAACCATAAAAACCCTGGAAGACAGTCTAGGCAATATGATTCTGGACATAGAAATGGGCAAAGCTTTCATGGCAAAGACACCAAAAGCTATTGCAACAAGAACAAAAATTGACAAATGGGATCTAATTAAACTAAAGTGCTTTTGCACAGCAAAGGAAACTATAAACAGAGTGAACAGACAACTTACAGAATGGGAGAAAATATTTGCAAACTATGCATCCAACGAAGGTCTAATATCCAGCATTTATAAGAAGCTTAAACAAATTTACAAGAAAAAACAAATAACCCCAGTAAAAAGTGGGCAAAGGATATGAACAGACACTTTTCAAAAGAAGACATATATGTGGCCAACGATTATATGAGAAAAAGCTCAACACTGATCATTAGAGAAATGCAAATCAAAACCACGAGATATCATGTCACACCAGTCAGATTTGTTTTTGTCAGGTTTGTAGAAAATCAGGTTGTAGAGTATGTGCCATGTGGTGATGAGAAGAATGTATATTCTGTAGGTTTTGGCTATTATTAAAAAGTTAAACAATAACATCCTGGTGAGGTAGTGAAGAAAAATGCTTATACACTGTTGATGGGAGTGTAAATTAGTTCAATCATTGTGGAAGACAGTGTGGTCATTCATCAAAGACCTAAAAGCAGAAATACCATTCAACCCTGCAATCTCATTACTGGGTACATAACCAACGAAACATAGATTATTATTTTATAAAGACACATACACACATATGTTCATTGCAGCACTATTCACAATAACAAAGACATGAAATCAACCTAAATGCACATCAATGGTAGACTGGATAAAGAAAACGTGGTACACATACACCATGGAATACTATGCAGCCATAAAAAACGAGATCATGTCCTTTGCAGGGACATGGATGGAGCTAAAGGCCGTTATCCTTAGCAAACTAATGAAGACAGAAAACCAAATTGCATGCTTTCATTTATACATGAGAGCCAAATGATGAGAACACATGGACACATAAAGGGGAATAACACACATTGGGGCCTATCAGAGGGTGGAGAGTGGGAGGAGGCAGAAAATCAGGAAAAATAACTGATGAGTATTAGGCCTAATACCTGGGTGATGAAATAATCTGTAAAACAAACCCTATGACACAAGTTTACCTTTATAACAAACCTGCACATGTACCCCTGAACTTAAAATAAAAGTTAAAATACATGTACATATATATATATATATATATATATATATATATAATTGCAAAGTTAATGACAATTGAAAAGTCTAATAAATTCCCCTAATCCAAAAAAGCAAGAAAATTTTGATAACAGAAAACATAAAACACGTGAGTCAAGTAGAAAACAAATAGTGAAATATAATACTTAAATTCAAATATAGCATACCTTACTCTTGACTCCTTTTAAGAAACAATTTAAAATAAGGACACCAAAATGTTGAAAGCAGAAAATAATGGAAAATATACTATGCAAATATAATAAAAATGGGTTTGACTTGGTTAGACTAAATGTCAGATGCAACAGATATTGAAGAAAAATGACTATTACTCAGGACAATGGAAACATTTGATAATGATAAAGTGTTAATTCATCAAGAAGATATAATAAATATTCATTTGTATCCAAGCAATATTTCCTGCTTCTGTATCTCTCTCTCTCTCTCTCTCCTGTGTCTCTCTCTCAGTCAATGTGTGTGCATGTGATTTTATATATATATATATGTTTTAAACATTTTTATATGTATATATCAGGTACTGTAAGAGATATAAACAAACAAAAATTAAAATTTGTCTTAAGTGACATATATGAAATATTGTTCATAAAACTATAGAATACGCATCGTTTTCAAGTGCCCATAAAACAAGTCTCGACACAATTCTAAGAGTTGAAATTATAAACCTTAGAAAAATAGTTCAGAAATAAAAGAGACAATCTATAAATTACCAATATCAGCAATAAAAAGGGTAAATTACTGAATCCTAGAGAAATTTTAACAATAGAAAATATTTTGGACAACATCATGGCAATAAATTTGTCAATTTAAATAAAATGGACAAATTTCTTGCAAAACACAATATAGAAAAGTTAATGTAAGAAAAATATTAAAGGTTGAATAATTTAAAATTTATTATGAAAAGCAAATTTATAATTAAAAGCCCTCCAGAAATAAAATTTTCAGGCCAGAAAGCTTTGGTGGTAATTATTTCAAATATTTAAGACTGAAATAACACTAATCTTGTACCAATATTTCCATAAACAGAAAAAGGTGAAACTTTTTTCAGCTCTTAAAAAATGATTCCAGCACAATTTTTATACAAACATCTGACAAGAAAATTATCAGAAAATAAAATTACAAGGCAAACTCTGTAATACAGATAAAAAACACTGAATTTGGAAATAAAGGCGTAGACAACTTACTTAACAAAATGATAGCAAAAAACTTCCCTAGTCTTGCAAGACATATAGACATCCAGATACAGTAAGTTCAACAGTTTCTGAATAGACTCACCCCAAAAGTTCTCCAGGGCATATTATAATGAAACTATTAAAAGACAAAGATAAAAAGAATTCTAAAAAAAGCAAGAGAAAGTTATCAGGTGATACATGAGACAATTCCCATCAGACCAATAGTGGATTTCTAAGCATAAACCTTACAGGTCAGGAGAGAATGAGATGACATATTTAAAGTGCAAAAAGAAAAAGAAAAAAAATTACTGTACACCAAGAATATTATACCCAGCAAATCAATCCTTCAAAAATGAAAGATAAATAAATCTTCTTGGATAAGCAAAACTGAGGGAATTCACCACCATCAGATTAGCCCTATAAGAAATGTTTATGTAAGTTCTACATCTGTAAGTAAAAGGAAAATGTCTACTATCATGAAAATACACAGAAGCACAAAGCTTCATTGGTAGAGAAGATACACAAATGAGAAAGAGAAAGGAGTCAAATGTCAATACTACCAAAAAAAAAAGCACTGAATCATAAAGGTGAACAATCAAAAAGAAAAGATAAATGACATACAAGACAATCAGAAAACAATTAACAAATGACAGAAGTTCTCACCTATCAATAACAAAATTGAATGTAAATGATTTAAATTCCTCAACTAAAAGATATAGACTGTTAAATGGAATAAAAAATTATAACCCAATTATATGCTGTCTACAAGAAACTTATTTCACTTGGAAAGACATGCATAGACTAAGAGTGAAGGGATGAAAAACTTACAGGCAAATGGAAACTAAAGACATGCAAATGGAAACTAAAGACATGCAGAAGTATCTATACTTATACAAAAAACCCCTGTAAGTCAAAAAACATAAAAAGAGACAAAGAAGATTATTATATAATGATAAAGGGATCAGTTCATTAAGAGAATATAGCAATTGTAAATATGTATGCACCCAACACCAGAGCATCCACATTTACAAAACAAATATCATTAGAGGTGAAGAGAGAGACAAAATACAATTATAATTGGGGACTTTAACACTCCACTTTCTGCAGTGGGCAGATCATTTAGACAGAAAATCAACAAATGAACATCAGATTTAATCTGCACAATAGACCAAATAATCCAAACAGATATTTACAGACATTTAATCCAACAGTTATAGAACACACACTTTTCCCATCAGCACATGGAAAATTCCCAGAATAGACCACATGTTATGCAACAAACCAAGTCTCAAAAAATTAAAAACAATCAACATCCTATCAAGTACCTTCTCAGATCACAATGTAATAAACTAGAAACTAGTAACAAGAAAAACTTGAGAAAATACAAATACATGGAAATTAAACAACCATTGGTTCAATAAAGAAATTAAGAAGGAAATTAAAAAATTTTTTGGAACCAGATGGAAACACAACATACCAAACCTATGGGATACAGAAAAATCAGTGCTCAGAAGGACATCTATAGCAATAAATACCTACTTCAAACAAATAGAAAGATTTGATATAAACAACTTAATGATACATCTCAAGGAACTAAAAAAGCAAGAATAAGCCCAACTCAAAATTAATAGAAGGAAACAAATGATAAAGATCAGAGTAAAATTGAATGAAATAAAGACAAACATAATACAAAAAAATCAATGAAACAAAAGTAAATTCCTCAAAAAGATAAACAAAGTGATAAACTCCTAAGTAGACTTACCAATAAAAGAGAAGACTCAAATAAATAAAATCAGAAATGAAAAAGAAGACATTACAACTGATAACACAGAACTACAAAGGATTATTAGAGACTATTATGAACAACAAAATGTTAATAAATTGGAAAACCTAGAGGAAATGGATACATTCCTGGACACATACAACCTACCAAGATTAAATCATAAAGAAATCGAAAACCTGAGTAGAACAATAATGGGTGATGAGATTGAATCAGTAATAAAAATGTCTCTTAATGAAGAAAAGCCCAGGACCAGAGGACTTTACTGCTGAATTTTATAAAGAATTCTCAAATTACTCCAAAAAATTGAAGATAAGTAAATTTTTTCTAACACATTCTACAAGGACAGCATTGCCCTGATATAAAAACCAGACAGACATAAAAAAAGAAAACTACCTTTTTGGGAGATAGAGGCAGGCAGATCACCTGAGGTCAGGAGTTCAAGACCAGCCTGGCCAATGTGGTGCAACCCCATCTCTACTAAAAAAAAAAAAAAAAAAAAAAAAAATCCAGGTGTGGTGGCAGGTGCCTGTATCCCAGCTACTTGAGAGGCTGATGGGGAGGTGGAAGATTGAAGTGAGCTGAGCTCATGCTGCTGCTCTCCAGCCTGGGTGACAAAGTGACTCCATCTCAAAAAATCCCCCCAAAAAACTGCAGGCTAGTATCCCTGATGAATATAGATGCAACAATCCTCAACAAAGCACTAGCAAGCCAAATTGAACAATTCATCAAAAAGATGATATACCATGATTAAGCTGGATTCTTCTTAGAGATGGAAAGATGATTCAACACACACAAAATAATATATGTGATACATCACTTTAAGAGACTGAAGGACAAAAACAATATAATCATCTCAATAGACATAGAAATTCCACATTTCTTCATGATAAAAACTCTCAATAAATTAGGAATTGAAGGAATATGTCTCAACATAATAAAGGCTATATATGACAAACCTGCAACTAACATCATACTGACTAGTGAACAGCTGCAAGCTTTTCCTATAAGAACTGGAACAAGAAAGGTATAATGCCCACTTTAATCACTCTTATTCAACATAGTACTGGAAGTCCTATCCAGAACAATCAGGCAAGATAAAGAAATAAAGAAATCCAAACTGGAAAAAAGAAAGTCCCTCTTTGCACACAACACAATCTTATATATAGAAAAACCTAAAGACTCCACCAAAAATCTCCTAGAATAGATAAATGAATTCAGTAAGTGCACGATATAAAATTAGAATACTAAATCTGTAGTACTTCCATAAAACAATAACAAACTAGGTTAAAAAAGAAATCAAGAATTCAATTCCATTAATAATAACTATAAAAAATAAAATACCTAGGAATGCATTTAACCAAGGAGGTGAAGACTTCTATAATGAAAAACTACAAAACAGTGAGAAAAGAAATTGAAGAAGACACAAACAAATGCAAAGACACTATTTGCTCACGGATCAGAATAATTAATATTGTTAAAATGACCATATCACTCAAGGCAATCTGCAGATTCAGTGCAATCCCTATCAAAATACCAAGAACACTTTTCATAGAAATAAAAATATCCCCAAATTTGTATGGAACCAAATAGAGCCAGAATAGCCAAAGCAGTCCTGAGCAAAACATAAACAAACAAAAACCCAAAATTTAAGGCATTACACTACTTGACTTTAATCTAATACAAATATATAGTACCAAGAACAGCATCATACTGTCATAAAAATAGACACATACACCAACGGAAAAGAATAAAGAACCCAGAAATAAATCCATATACTTACAACCAACCATTTTTGACAAAGACGTGAAGAAAATACATTGAGGAAATATCCACATGCAGAAGAAGGAAACTCTACCCCTAACTCTTACCATATAAAAAAATTCAAAATGGACCAAAGACTTAAATATAAGATCCAAAACTATAAAACTACTAGAAGAAAATATAGGGAAATGCTTAAGGACATTGGTCTAGGCAAAGGTTTTTATAGCTAAAATTTTGAAGACACAGGCAATAATAAAAAATAGACAAACATGACTACATTAAACTGAAAAGCTTCTGTACAGTCAAGTAAACAATAGAGTGTAGGAACAACTTGCAGAATGGGAGAAAATATTTGCAAGCTATTCATCTGTATTTAGAATAGACAAGGAATTCAAACAAGTCAACAACAAAATAAATAAATCCATTAAAAAGTGAGTAAAGGATATGAATAGCCATTTCTTAGAAGAAGACGTACAAATGGCCAACGGGTATATGAAAAAATGCTCAACATCACTCATCATCAGGAAAATGCAAACCAAAACCACAATGAGGTATCATATCACTCCAGTCAGAATGGCTATTATCACAGAGACAAAATGTAACAAACGCTGGCAAGGATGATGTGAAAAGGGAACTCATACGATGTGGATGGGAATTTAAATTAGTATAGCCATTATGGAAAATAGTATGGAGGTTTCTCAAAAAACTAGAAATAGAACTATACAATCCAGCAACTCACTAGTGGGTATCTATCAAAAAAATGAAATAAGTATATAAAACGAATACCTGCACCTTCATATTTATTGATACACTATTCACAAGAACAAGGATATGAAATCAACCAGTCTATCAATGGATGAATGGATAAAAAAGGTATAAATACACAATGGAATACTATTCAGCCCTAAAAAAACATGAAATCTTAGACTGTGTGCAGTGGCTCATATCTATAATCCCAACACTTTGGGAAGCTGAGGTGGTGGATCACTTGAGCTCAGAAATTCGAGACCAGCCTGGGCAACATAACAAAACCCCATCTCTACAGAAAAATACCAAAATTACCTGGGAGTGGTGGTGTGCACCTGTAGTCCCAGCTACTTGAGAGACCGAGGCAGGAGGATTGCTTGAGCTCAGGATGTCAAGGCTACAGTGAGCCATGATTGCACCACTGTATTCCAGCCTGGAGGACAGAGCAAGACTCTGTCTCAGAAAAAAAAAAAAGAAAGAAAAGAATGTCATTTACTGGGACATGGGTGAAACTGCTGGTAATTATGTTAAGTGAAATAAGCCAGGTAGAGAGAAACAAATATTGCAAGTTCTCACTCATATGTGGAAGCTAAAACTCTTGACCTCATGGAGGTAGAGCATAGAATGATAGTTACCAGAGGTTTGAGTAGTTGTGGGGAGAGAGGCGATGAAGAGAGAGGTTCGTCAGTGGTCACAAAGATACAGTTGTATAGAAGGAATAAGTTCTATTGTTTGATAGTACAATCAGGTGAGTATAGTTAACAATAACTTATTGTATGTTTCAAAACAGAACAGAAAATTTGAAATTTTTCCATCACAAATAATAAATTTTTGAGGTAATGGAGATGCTAAATACTCTGAATTGGTCACTACACATTGTATGCATGTATCAAAATATCATATGTACTCTATAAATAGGTACAAGTATTATGTATCAATAAATAAGGAAAGAAGAGAAAAAATATTCTAATACAGATGATTGAAAGGGAAAATGATAATATCTACAATGTACTAGAAAGATAATACATCCTTGTCCAGGTGGTTTATTCTGCAAATGAAGGTTAGTTTAATATGTGAAAATCAATCAATGCTATTAACAACATTAAGAGAATAAATAAGATAGATAATATGGTCATCTCAATATATATATTAAAATATTTGATCACGTTTGTACTTATTCATTGTAAATAAAAATCTCACAAAATTAAGAACAGAAAATATTCTCCTTAATCTTATAAAGGGCATCTACAAAACATCTACATTAACTTTATATTTAATAGTAAAATATTGGAAGATTTTCAGGTGAAATCACAGACTGAACACAACTTCTATTCAACGCTGTAATACAAGTCCCAGCCACTTGAGAGAAATAAGAAAGAAAATCAGGTAAAGTCAAAGAGAAATGAAGATGTCATTTTCAATTGTAATGATTATTTATGTAGACAACCCCAAGGAATCTATAGATAAACTGTTAGACTTAATTAATGGATTTAGAAACATTTGTGATATAAAGTCAATGTCCAAAAATCAGAGGTATTTCTATATATTGGTAAACAATTCTTTAAGACAAAGCTTATATTTTTTATTATAAAAATTAGTTTTTAATATGAAAATTATAATTACCAAAGACATAAAAGTAATTTAATGAAAGATCTACAAGAACACAGAAGACCTGAAAACATTACTGAAAGAAACTAAAGAAGTCCTAAATACATGAAATAATATATTGCATTCATGAATAAAGTTGTTAAATATTACAATATATAATTTGTTGCTATATTTATCTATAGATACAATGCAATCCCAGTGAAAATTACAGTCGTTGTTTTAGAGGAAATATAAAGCTGATTAAAATTTATATCAAAAGGCAAATAATTGAGAATAGGCAAAGTAACTTTGAAGAACAAAGTTAGAAGACTTAAATTACTAGATTTCTGGTCTCATTTAAATATATAATTATCAAGTGTATAGTACTGGCATAAGGATAGACAAATAAGTCAATGGAACAGAATGTGTAATTCAGCAACAGATCCACACATATTTGGTCACCTAATTATAATCCAAATATTACCACAACAGATGGCCTTGTCTATAATAGTGCTAGAACAACAGGCTATTCCTATTGTGAAATGAAGAACATTGATCTTTACTTCATATCAGCCATAAAAATGAAATTCAGGGAAGATGGCCGAATAGGAACAGCTCTGGTCTGCAGCTCCCACTAAGATTGACGCAGAAGGCAGGTGATTTATGCATTTCCAATGGAGGTACCTGGTTCATCACACTCGGACTGGTTGGACAGTGGGTGCAGTCCGCGGAGGGCAAGCTGAAGCAGGATGGGGTGTCATATCACCCGGGAAGTGCAAGGGGTCGAGGAATTTACTCCCCTACCCAAGGGAAGCTGTGAGGGACTGAGCCTGAGGAATCGTGCACTCCAGCCCAGATACTGTGCTTTTCCCATGGTCTTCACAACCCACAGACCAGGAGACTTCCTCTGGTGCCTACCCCACCAGGGCCCTGGGTTTCAAGCACAAAACTGGGTGACTGTTTGGGCAGACACTGAACTAGCTGCAGGAGTTTTTTGTTTTGTTTTGTTTTGTTTCCATACCGCAGTGGCACCTGGAACACCAGTGAGACAGAACCAGTCACTCCCCTGGAAAGGGGTACCTAAGCCAGAGAGCCATGTGGTTTGGCTCAGCAGGTCTCACCCTCACAGAGCCTGGCAAACTAAGATCCACTGGCTTGAAATTCTTGCTGCCAGCACAGCAGGAGTCTGAGATTGACCTGAGATGCTGGAGCTTGGTTGTGGGAGGGGCTTCTGCCATTGCTGAGGCTTGAGTAGGTGGTTTTACCCTCACAGTGT
Organism: Homo sapiens; assembly: GCF_000001405.40. Taxonomy (NCBI): domain Eukaryota; kingdom Metazoa; phylum Chordata; class Mammalia; order Primates; family Hominidae; genus Homo; species Homo sapiens. The sequence goes on along the minus strand of NC_000001.11, from coordinate 215,432,925 downwards.
AAACAAAGCCACCAGGAAGTTCGAAATGGATGGAGCCCACTACAGCTCAGCAAGGCCACTGTGGCCAGACTGCCAGATTTCTCCTCTCTGGGCAGGGCATCTCTGAAAAAAAGGCAGCAGCCCCAGTCAGGGACTTATAGATAAAACCCCCATCTCCCTGGGACAGAGCTCCCAGGGGACGGTGCGGCTGTGGGCGCTGCTTCAGCAGACTTAAAAGTCCCTGCCTAACAGCTCTGAAGAGAGCAGCGGGCCTCCCAGCACAGCATTTGAGCTCTGCTAAGGGTCAGACTGCCTCCTCAAGTGGGTCCCTGACCCTTGTGTATCCTGACTAGGAGACACCTCCCATTAGGGGCCAACAGACATCTCATACAGGAGAGCTCTGGCTGGCATCTGGCAGGTACCCCTCTGGGACAAAGCTTCCAGAGAAAAGAACAGGCAGCAATCTTTGCTGTTCTGCAACCTCCGCTGGTGATACCCAGGCAAACAGGGTCTGGAGTGGACCTACAGCAATCTCCAGCAGACCTGCAGTAGAGGGGCCTGACCGTTAGAAGAAAAACTAACAAACAGAAAGGAATAGCATGTCCACTCAAAGACCCCATCCGAATGTCACCAACATCAAAGACCAAAGGTAGATAAATCCACAAAGATGGGGAGAAACCAGTGCGAAAAGGCTGAAAATTCCAAAAACCAGAATGCCTCTTCTCCTCCAAAGGATCACAACTCTTCACCAGGAAGGGAAGAAAATTGGATGGAGAATGAGTTTGATGAATTGACAGAAGTAGGCTTCAGAAGGTGGGTAATAACAAATTCATCCGAGTGAAAGCAGCATGTTCTAACCCAATGCAAGGAAACTAAGAACCTTGAAAAAAGGTTAGAGGAATTGCTAATTAGAATAACCACTTTAGAGAAGAAAATAAACGACCTGATGGAGCTGAAAACCACAGCACAAGAACTTTGTGAAGCATACACAAGTTTCAATAGCTGAATTGATCAAGTGGAAGAAAGGATATCAGAGATTGAAGAACAACTTAATTAAATAAAGTAAGAAGACAAGATTAGAGAAAAAAGAATGAAAAGGAATGAATAAAGCCTCAAGAAATATGGGACTACGTGAAAAGACCAAATCTATGTTTGATTGGTATACCTGAAAGTGATGGGGAGAATGAAACCAAGTTGGAAAACACTCTTCAGTATATTATGCAGGAGAACTTCCCCAACCTAGCAAGACAGGCCAACATTCAAATTCAGGAAATACAGAGAACACCACAAAAATACTCCGTGAGAAGAGCAACCCCAAGAAACATAATTGTCAAAATCACCAAGGTTGAAATGTAGGAAAAAATGTTAAGGGCAGCCAGAGAGAAACCTTGCGTTACCCACAAAGGGAAGCTCATCAGACTAACAGCAGATCTCTCTGCAGAAACCCTATAAGCCAGAAAAGAGTGGGAGTCAATATTCAACGTTCTTAAAGAAAAGAATTTTTAACACAGAATTTCATATCCAGGCAAACTAAACTTCATAAGCAAAGGAGAAATAAAATCCTTTACAGAGAAGCAAATGCTGAGAGATTTCATCACCTCCAGGCCTGCCTTACAAGAGCTCCTGAAGGAAGCATTAAACATGGAAAGGAACAACTGGTACCAGCCACAGCAAAAACATACCAAATTGTAAAGACCATTGACACTATGAAGAAACTGCATCAACTAACAGGCAAAATAACCAGCTAACATCATAATGATAGAATCAAATTCACACATAACAATATTAACCTTAAATATAATGGAGTAAATGCCTCAATTAAAAGACACAGACTGGCAAATTGGATAAAGAGTCAAGACCCATCAGTGTGCTGTATTCAGGAGACCCATCTCACATGCAAAGACACACACAGGCTAAAATAAAGGGATGGAGGAATATTTACCAAGCAAATGGAAAGCAAAAAAGAGCAGGAGTTGTAATCCTAATATCTGATAAAACAGACTTTAAACCAACAAAGATCAAAAGAGACAAAGAAGGGCATTACATAATGGTAAAGTGATCAATTCAACAAGAAGAGCTAACTATCCTAAATATATATGCACCCAATACAGGAGCACCCAGATTCATAAAGTAAGTTCATAGAGACCTACAAAGAGACTTAGACTCCCACACAATAATAATGGGAGACTTTAACACCCCACTATCAATATTAGACAGATCAACAAGACAGAAAATTAACAAGGATATTCAAGACTTGAACTCAGCTCTGGAACAAGCAGACCTAATAGACATCTACAGAACTCTCCACCCCAAATCAACAGAATGTACATTCTTCTCAGCACGACATCGCACTTATTCTAAAATTGACCACATAATTGGAACTAAAACACTCCTCAGCAAATACAAAATAACAGAAATCATAACAAACAGTCTCTCAGACCACAGTGCAATCAAATAAGAACTCAGGATTAAGAAACTCACTCAAAACTGCACAACTACATGGAAACTGAACACCCTGCTCCTGAATGACTACTGAGTAAATAACGAAATGAAGGCAGAAATAAAGATGTTCTTTGAAACCAATAAGAACAAAAACACAATGTACCAGAATCTCTGGAACACATTTAAAGCAGTGTGTAGAGGGAAATTTGTAGCACTAAATTCCCACAAGAGAAAGCAGGAAAGATCTAAATTGACACCCTAAAACCAAAATTAAAAGAACTAGAGAAGCAACAGCAAACAAATTCAAAAGCTAGCAGGAGACAAGAAGTAACTAAGATCAGAGCAGAACTGAAGGAGATAGAGACACGAAAAACTCTTCAAATAATTAATGATTCCAGGGGCTGGTTTTTTGAAAAGATCAACAAAATAGATAGATGGCTAGCCAGACTAATACAGAAGAAAAGAGAGAAGAATCAAATAGAAGCAATAAAAATGATATAAGGAATATCACCACTTATTCCACAGAAATACAAACTACCATCAGATAATACTATAAACACCTCTATGCAAATAAACTAGAAAATCTAGAAGAAATGGATAAATTCCTGGACATATACACCCTCCCAAGTCTAAACCAGGAAGAAGTCGAATCCCTGAATAGAACAATAACAAGTTCTGAAATTCAGGCAGTAATTAATAGCCTACCAACCAAAAAAAGTTCAGGGCCAGACAGATTCACAGCTAAATTCTACCAGAGGTATAAAGAGGAGCAGGTACCATACCTTCTGAAACTATTTAAAACAATAGAAAAAGAGGGAATCCTCCCTAACTCATTTTATGAGGCCAGCATCATCCTGATACCAAAACCTGGCAGAGACACAACAAAAAAAGAAAATTTCACGCCAATATCCATGAAGAACAGCGATGCAAAAATTCACACTAAAATACTGGCAAACTGAATCCAGCAGCACATCAAAAACTTATGTACCACGACCATGTCGGCTTCATACCTGGGCTGCAAGGCTGTTTCAACATACATAAATCAATAAACGTAATCCATAACATAAAGAGAACCAATGACAAAAACCACATGATTATCTCAATAGATGCAGAAAAGGCTTTTGACAAAAGTCAACATCCCTTCATGCTAAAAATTCTCAATAAACTAGGTATTGATGGAATGTATCTCAAAATAATAAGAGCTATTTATGACAAACCCACAGCCAATATCATACTGAATGGGCAAAAACTGGAAGCATTCCCTTTGAAAACCAGCACAAGACAAGGATGCCCCTCTCACCACTCCTATTCAACATTGTATTGAAAGCCTGGCCAAGACAATCAGTCAAGAGAAAGAAATAAAAGGTATTCAAATAAGAAGAGAGGAAGTCCGAGTGTCCCTGTTTGCAGATGACATGATTATATATCTAGAAAACCCCATCATCTCAGCTCAAAATCTCCTTAAGCTGATAAGCAACTTCAACAAAGTCTCAGGATACAAAATCAATGTGCAAAAATCACAAGTATTCTTATACACCAACAACAGACAAATAGAGGGCCAAATCATGAGTGAACTTCCATTCACAATTGCTACAAAGAGAATAAAATACCTAGGAATACAACTTACAAGGGATGTGAAGGACCTCTTCAAGGAGAACAACAAACCACTGCTCGAGGACATAAGAGAGGACACAAACAAATGGAAGAACATTCATTCCATGCTCATGGATAGGAAGAATCAATGTTGTGAAAATGGCCATAATACCCAATGTAATTTATAGATTCAATGCTATTCCCATCAAGCTACCACTGAATTTCTTCACAGAATTAGAAAAAACGACTTTAAATTTCATATGGAACCAAAAAAATAGCCTGCATAGCCAAGACAATCCTAATCGAAAAGGACAAAGCTGGAAGCATCACACTACCTGACTTCAAACTACGCTACAAGGCTACAGTAGCCAAAACAGCATGGTACTGGTACCAAAACAGATATATAGACCAATGCAACAGAACCGAGGCCTTGGAAATAACACCACACATCTACAACAATCTGATCTTTGACAAACCTGACATAAATGAGCAATCGGAAATGTTCCCTATTTAATAAATGTTGTTGGGAAAACTGGCTAGCCATATGCAGAAAACTGAAACTGGACCCCTTCCTTACACCTAATACAAAAATTAACTCAAGGTGGATTAAAGACTTAAATGTAATACCTAAAACCATAAATATCCTAGAAGAAAACCTAGGCAATACCATTCAGGTTATAGGCATGGGCAAAGACTTCATGTCTAAAACACCAAAAGGAATGGCAACAAAAGCCAAAATAGACAAATGGGATCTAATGAAACTAAAGAGGTTCTGCACAGCAAAAGAAACTATCATCAGGGTGAACAGGCAACCTACAGAATGGGAGAAAAGTTTTGCAATCTATCTATCTGACAAAGGGCTAACATCCAGAATCTACAAAGAACTTAAACCAATTTACAGGAAAAAAGCAAACAACCCCATCAAAAAGTGGGCAAAGGATATGAACAGACACTTCTCAAAAGATGACATTTAAGGAGCCAACAAACATATGAGAAAATGCTCATCATCACTGGTCATTAGACAAATGCAAATCAAAACCACAGTGAGATACCATCTCATGCCAGTTAGAATGGTGATCATTAAAAAAGTCAGGAAACAACAGATGCTGGAGAGGATGTGGAGAAATAGGAACGCTTTTACACTGTTGGTGGGCGTGTAAATTAGTTCAACCATCGTGGAAGACAGTGTGGCAATTCCTCAAGGATCTAGAACTAGAAATACCATTTGACCGAGCAATCCCATTAATGGGTATACACCCAAAGGATTATAAATTATTCTACTATAAACACACATGAACATGTATGTTTATTCCGGCACTATTCACAATAACAAAGACTTGGAACCAACCCAAATGTCCATCAATGATAGACTGGATAAAGAAAATGTGACACATATACATCATGGAATACTATGCAGCCATAAAAAAGGATGAGTTCATGTTATTTGCAGGGACATAGATGATGCTGGAAACCATCATTCTCAGCAAACTATCAGAAGAACAGAACACCAAACATCACATGTTCTCACTCATAAATGGCAGTTGAACAATGAGAACACATGGACACAGGGAGGGGAATATCACACACTGGGGCCTGTCAAGGGATGAGGGGCTAGGGGAGGGAGAGCATTAGGAGAAATACCTAACGTAGGTGATGGGTTGATGGGTGCAGCAAACCACCATGGCATGTGTATACCTATGTAACAAAACTGCACGTTCTGCACATGTACCCCAGAACTTAAAGTATATATATATAAAAGACTGAAAGAAGGGAAAGAAGAGGTCAAACTGGAGCCATTCTAGTTATGTGACGTTACCCTATATACAAGGAACTTGGATGCATGGATAGTAGATAAGTCAAGCTATAATCCCCTGAAAGGAAAGTATGTATGTTTATATGATAAATATGTCAAGTATCTAAATAAGACAAATGTAAAGACATGAAAGTTTACAATTAAAAAAAATAAAATTCAGATAGAATTGAAGAAAATAAAAACAATAAAACTTCTAGAAGATAATATGGGACAGGGAATATCTTTATGGCCAATACACAGGCAAAGATTTGTTAAACAAAGATTTAGTAAACAGAAAACAAACAGCTATAACCATAAAAGAAAAGCTTAATGAATGAATTTGATTATATTAAAATTAGAAATTCTTTTTTATTAAAAGTTACTATTAAGAGAATGAAAGTCAAAACATGGGAAGAATACATTTATAACATATATCTAATACAGGATTGTACAGATGAATGAAGTCCCACAAATTAATTTTTAAAAAGTAGGATAATCTAATTAATACATAGCAAAATATTTGGACCAGAACTTCCCAAAGGAATTTATCCAAATGGCCTATAAATATTCAAAATAATAGATACTCAACTTTTAAATCAACAGGAAAACGTAAGTTAAAACATGAAAGGATACTATACATCTCCCAGAATGGCTAACACTAAAAATCTGACAATGCCAAGAGTTGATGAGAATGTAGAACAACCAAAACTTTTATATACTGCTGGTAGGAAATCAGATTTGCAAAATCATTTTGGAAAAGTGTTTGACAGCACACATAATCTTCAACTCAGCAAATCCACTCCTGGGCTTATTCCCAAGATAATGTTTACACAGTATATGATCACCAGAAGACATGTATTGGAATGCTTACAGTGGTGCTATTTGTAACAGCAGCAAGCAATTGAAATGCACATCAATGGAATACATTAGTAAGTTTTGATACATTTTGCAGGGGAGCTAAGCAATGGGGGAAATTGCTGTGGTACCATGGGTAAATCTCACAAAGATACCTATTGAGTGAAAAAAGCAGACACCTAAGTGCCCATGCAAATGCAGTTTGAATGATTCCATTAGTTTAAAGTTCAGAAACAGTCAAAATTAATTTTTGGTGACAGAAGTTGAAGCAGTTACCTTTGAGGTGGTAATTACTAGGATGCGGCACAGAAAAGATTCCCAGGATGCTGGTAATACTTCATACCTTGATCTGTGTGGCAGTGGGATAAGGATGTTTTCTTCTAAAAATTCTTTGAGCTACATAATTAAAATTTACATACTATCGTGTATGTCTGTTATACTTAAAGCAAAACTTAGAAAAATAAACAACGCTAAATTTCTGATATTTTGTGTTAGCCATACTTGAAGGGATAGTCTTGAACTCTTCTTATTTGTAATGAAAATATTTTAGCATTTCTATAGATAAACAAATGGGCTTGGCTAATGTATAGTTCTAGAATTTGTGTCACATATTAAGATACTGCTAAACCTATTTCATCAGACTATCCGAAAAATAAGCGTATTTAGTGCAATGCACATATTTTTCCCCAATAATAAAGGGAGCAATTTGTTTTTTCGGTACATGAATTGTTCATTTATTTCCTGTGCTTCTTTCCTGAGTTGACTACTTCAAATTCATTTATTTTTAAATGCCTACAAGGAAAATGCAATAATCACAACTCAATTCTACAATAATTTTTTTTGTCGGCTGCAGTTTAGTGTCTGACCATCAATTTACCTTGGTGTCATGATGTGCACCCGTCCCTGCACCTGAGCCCTATGTCACCGTGACCCAGAGGACCAGATGTCTTCACTCTTGCATAAACTGCGCTCACTAGCTAAGCACCTGCTACTGTTAAGTTGGCTATCCAAATAATTAATTATGTAATTGTCATTTGTGAATACTGTTTTCTAAAGAAAGTAACAGGAAGAAGTAAAATGGGAGGGAAACTGAGTTTTGGTTGACTTTAAGAGGGAAGAAACTCCCAAAGCACATTTTCTTCTTGGAGCAGAAATAAATAATCTTTCATCCACAGTCTGCCTAATTATCCCTCACAGCTCTTCATCATAGAACCCCAATCTCATTTAGACTTGATTGATTTTGTTAGAAGTCTCATCTAATCAGGATACCCTTCTTGATTTAACCTGACTTCACCCTGAAATTGTGCTCCAATATAGCGAGAGAGACAAGACGATGCGTAAAGAAAAGCAGGGTCAGGGGAATGTGAGTTTTGTTCCTTTCACACTCCATTGTAAGAAAAGTGTATGTAGTCAGGAATAAAATCTCCAAAACCGTTTTGCTGCTGTTTTGGTGTGGATCAATTTAGCAGCTACTGCGGATAATGCATTTGATACTCAAACTTCCTTACATTAGTGTGCCCTAAGGACATTTTTTAAAAAAAAATTCTAAGCTTTTTGTTTTAGTAAATATATATGCATTTTCTTAGATGTTTATTGAAATAACATGTAATGAAAAATATTATAGAGTAGTCATCCGACTAAAAAAATTGAGAATAAATGGAATACTATTCATAGTACTTTTTCTGTTTTCATCCAGCCTTCAGAAAGATACATACTGCAGTTGCACAGGAAAATTACTTTCTTAGCTATAATGCTATGGTCAAATAACTCCCCTCACAAGCTACATCTCACTGCCTTCTTTTGTCAATGAAATTGAATTGAACTGTAGGATAAAGATTTGTCTCTCTGATTCTAAGGCTAAACCTGCTATGCACTCTTTTTCACCAGAAGGCTGTCAATAGGGTGTTGGCTGACTTGAGCTTCCTTCTGTTCTATTAAATGTAATGAAACACATAAAATGGAGGAAGTTTAAACAGAGTTTTAATGCACCAGAGGCAACCATCAAAATCAACCCCTCCTCTTTTTCCTCTGAGGGCTAATTTCAGCATTATCAATTATGGAGTAAAAATGGGGTTCATGAGTACATTACAATCATATAGAGAAATGAAGTTGCATTTCTACATTATCTGTGACATGACTTTAAATTTAAACCTATGCTTGGCCAAGAAAAGAAGTTTTAGAAGAAAAAAGAGAAAATATGGTCAATTTTTAAAATAAAAGATGGCAAGCTAATAATAGCAATATCACTTTACATCTAGGGATAAGTAACTTACTGGAGGTCACGTAGCTCACAGATGGTGGAGCTGGGCTGCAAATCCAGGAAAATGGTCACCGTGGTGCCTACTCAGGAACTCCACATCTCACTGCTTCTGTAAGAGTGAAAGATGATAGATAAGAAATAATAGGGTCAAGGGTAATTTTTAAAATATGAAGAGAACTGACATTTGGAAATAAAGTTAGATATGATTGAAATTTGGGGAGGGGTTGGGGAATTAATGGAATGAGGTTTCTAGGAGACAGGAGGGGAAAGCATTAGAAGTGAGAAGTATCAACCTAAATAACAAACAGAGAGGCTCTCTAAAGAAAATGATATTTTTGGGGGGGAATAGGGCACTGCAATGGTAATATTCGTGCCATAGTGACCTATGTGCACTAGTTTTAGGGAGGTAAGGGAAGACAAAAGTTTTGAAAGGAAAAATGACATAATTGTTTTGAGATAATTATCCTTGGCCTCAAAGATCAATAACAAGGGTGGCACCAGTTCAAGGTTGGACAGGCAGTTGCTGGGCAGATGTCCCTGCAGAAGTATTTTTTTGTGTGTAAAATTGTGATGGCCTTTGTGCAAGTTCACAGTTTTTAGTCTTTTGTGATAGTTTCTGTTATGGGGCATTTATTTGTGAGAATCCTTCTCTCCACGGCCTTCCCTGTTTCTATCTGCCAGGGTGTTTTTTGTTCTATGTGTGAGTGTGTGTGCATTTTTACACAAGTGACTCTATTTTGATCTTGACAAATTTCACAAAGCAAGGGAACCTCTTCCCTTGGGATAGGAAATAAAAAAGAAAGAAAAGACAAAAGGGCTTGGACTGATGAGAAATGATGATGAAAGGGCTTTTCTTAGGAGGCTTCTCATTTTACAATAAGGAAAGAGAGTGCAATCCTTTGAGAGTCAGGAAGGGTAAAATGTGGGTTGGAGGGAGAGTGAGATGTAGAACAGAAAAATGTATGTGGCGAAGGAGAGGTCTGTGTCTGAGGTATTTGGAGAACCCCTTGTTTGTGCCTATGAACTGTTCTTCTGGTAATTTAAAAAAATCCTGAAATCCAAGTGATTTTTATCTTGAGATTAAGTTAGATGGCTGAAATACAAAAATGATATCCCAGTCCACATCCTTGTCTGTATGACTTTCATAAGCAGCCATTATTAGAGTCCTGCAAAGCTTCTACTGAAAGAACAGATTTTATTGTAGTTAGATGACTTTTCAAAGTATCAAGGAAATATGAAATCAAAATAGATATAAGTAATTCTAAATCAGACTCCCCATCTATACACAATGAAACCAAAGAAGAGGAAGACAGACTGGAAATGCTTTCTTAAAACAAGAACATTTCACTCTCAGTATAAAGATTTTAGTGTCTGACCCTGCCCCTAAACAAAAGTCTCTAAAAATATTTATTTGAAATTATAAGACAAGAGATAAGATTATTTGAAGATGAAAGAGCTAGAGGATAATGTTTGGATTGTCATGACAGTATTTTCTAGACATTCTATTTATAAGTAAAAAAAATCAGAATTTGTAGCTGAAGCTTAAAATATGTTGTTCAAAATATCTTAATGCACACTTGCTGCTGCATTTGTCTTTTAAAGTTGCATATTTAAAAATAGGCAAAATAATGTTTCATCTTAAAATGCTTAACTTTTACATTATTTTTATATGTTTAGGTTGTATTTTTCAATGATACTTTATTCCATTTTTATCACCTAATGGTTATATCAGAATTAGAAAATGTGTTTAAGATTTATATCTACATTAATTTACATTTTTATTTAAGTTTTTTTCTGTTTAAAATCTATTATATTTTTAATTTCATTGGTTTTTAAAAATATGAATCCTGAGTACTTTTAAAAATGAAATATTGGCATTAGTGTGGTATTTCAAAATTATAGTGAATAAATACCAAAATGCTAGTTTGTTATTTTTGCGGCAGTAATCCAATCTGAGCAATTGAAGAGACTAGCATTAAAATGACTGATCATGAGTCATTTTTGACATTAATTAAAGCCAAAGGCATCTAATAAACTGAGGGCAGAGGGAGGGGCATTGAAGCTGGAATCTAGTTAAAACAGGCTATAATTCTCTCAGCTGCTATATCAGCCAAGGGCCAGTTGGAGGAATAAGAATCACTTTGGCAATTTTAAGTGAAAAGTGGCTTACTACAGAGAATTAGATGCTTAAATAAATCACTGCAAAGGTTGAAAGGAATGGGCACTAGGTTATGTCCCTAGGGAAGACTTGTAGAATGAAATGGCTAAGCTGACCTGCCAACAAAGCAGCCACCCTCTATTACAGTTAGAAAGTTGGGGGATCATCATCCCTGGTGCCTGTAATTCCAGCTACTCGGGAGGCTGAAGCGGGAGAATTGCCTGAACCCAGGAGGTGGAGGTTGCAGTGAACTGAGATGGCACCATTGTACTCCAGCCTGGGTGACAGAGCAAGACTCCATCTAAAACAAACAAACAAAACCCAAGAAAAGAAAAGAGGATCAGGAGGGCTGCTAGAATTGATGAGTTCAAGAGCAATCTGCTGTAGTTGAATCCAGGATCAGGAGGCTCCCACTTTTACTGCTCCAGCTGCCTCTTGACACCAACAAAGTTGGCACCGGGATGCCAGAAAACTGATTTGATTCCAGTTGCCACCAACACTACTGCAACTGCTTTTCAGTACCCACAAAGCTAGTGACTGAACATTGATACGCCACTGCAGAAGAACCTATGTCTCCATATTTTTGTGTGCCAGAAGCAACTTCCAAAAGCACAAGGATTTCAACCTCTGTCTTACTTCTGCTTCCAAATCTTACATGAATGGATCTAACTGGCAAAACCAAAATCACATCCAGAACTCAGTTGTGAGTGTGGGAGATACTGATTCTGGTTTTCAGTGTCCACAGTTCAGGAAGCTACAACTAGAAAGAAGGTACAACTAGAAAGAAATATAGTTGAGCAAATCAGTCCACCATATCCACCACAGCTGGGATGATAAAACTATAGCATAAGGAGCACATATTAATATTTACTGTTATGACATAATGGAAAATTACCCAAAGGAGACCGATGTCTACTTATATAAAGTATCTAAAGTAATCAAACTCATTGAAACAGAAAGTAGGTGATTGTCAGGGGCTGCAGGGAGGGGGAAATGGAGAGTTGTTCACTGAATATAGAATGTCAGCCATGGCATATGAAAGTACTAGAGAGATGTTATATGACAAAACGCATATAGTTAATAATACTATAATGTACACTTAAAGCTGTTAAGAGGGCACATTTATGCTATGTTTTCTTTTTTATTACAAAAAATAATAAAAGAAAAAAAGAAAAGAGAGGCCTATGTAGTTCAGAGACTTGGCAGTAGCCTGAAAATTCTGGTTATAATAATCATTATTTATGATGATTTATACTTGAAATGATGCATGTCAGCTATTCTCACTGTAGATTCAAATGTCAAGTGTTTGGACTTAGTTTGCAGTCTTTTTTTTTTTTTTTGTAATGTTAGGGATAAAAAATCACATCAAAGCAAAATCTTCCTACAAATGCAATTTTTGATTATTTCATAATTTTAAAAAATAATTAACTGGCCCTCAAGTTAAAATAGAACATCTTCCCAAGAATCTCTGGAAACTAATTCAGAGTACTGGTATCATATTTTACTTAAGCAGTTCTGTTTATATGGAATTTAAAAGGTATGAGATGGTATTTCCAAATTAATCAGCAAAATAGAACAGATATAACACAGAATGTTTTAATTACTTATTTACAAAAACATTAATTGTGAAGTTTTCACTATTGTGAAACTTGTCATTTTTTTTTTTGTATCTAAAGCACGTCTGAAAATTTAAATTACATAGATACAGCAGGAGGACCAGATTTATCTTTGCACCTAGATACTTATTTTATGTGTAAAAGGGCCAAGCGCCTAAGGCAGAAAATTAAATCCCTTCTGGAGATTTTTAATGGCTATAATCTTGTAATCCCAGACAGCCAAATCCTTATAAACTTCATTTTAAGAATTGTTTTAGTATTTCATGGATTTTGTTTTGTTTGTAGACTTGTAGGTTAATTGATTTTTGGAGGGAAAATAAGGATATAAATTTTTAGTTATTTTATCATTATGAAGTTCAAAGAAGTGAATTAACCCAATGATCAAGAGTTCTATATCATAAAGCCTACATAAATTTATTAGGAGTATTTATTTTTAATTTGTGAATTATATTTTATTTGTAATTTCTAGATTTGATTTTTCTAAATATTATTTTCAATTTTCAAATATGGTGGCAATATCTTTGGGAAAGTCAAAAATGGAAATTACATGGTCCATTGCATATATTGAGAAGTAATACTTTCCTTAATCAAAGAATATGAAATTCTATTGCATTGTTTTATTCAGTCTAAGCTTCTGCTTTTTCCAGGGATATGGTTAATAGCTTTTAAAGAGGAAGTTTATCCTCCTACCCCTCTCTGGGATGGAAGTTCTTAGCATATTACAAAAAAGAAACAATTTCCTAACTGTTCTCTGACCTCACCCCCTCAAAGGTTCAGTTTCTAAACAAAAGGCATTTTAGTACGCAGATATAGATTTTGCAGATGTTTCTTATCTCAGTAAAACTGACAGCAAAGGTCAAGTTTAGGATGATCTCTTTAAACTCACTGGATTCCCTCATCCTTAGGTCTGTTTTATTCTTCTTTACAGATAATTTGACAATTCCCAGAGCTGAACCAGACAATACAAAGACTCTGTCTAAATCACAGGCAAACTCTTGGAAGGAAAATTAAAATTTCAGTCCATTATATGATATCCAGATATCTGGATGTTTGATATGGGGCAGACAACACATCTGAATGTTGCTGTCTGTGCCAAGACCGTGGGTGGCAGCAGAGGTAGAGAGAAAGAAGAACCAGGACTACAAGAATGGAGAGGAAACCAGGAAAGGAGGAATGGGGAGAGGGAACAGGCCAGACCACACACAGGAAGTTCCTGGAATACTGAGGTTGAGGAAGAGAGGTGAAGCTTGCAAAGGGGCTGAAGGTCAAAGCAAAGCCAGATTATTTAGGCAAATGTTAGGTTTTGGCTTTGTTGAAATGAACAATAGATTCTTCTAATGTTATCAATAATGCAGCACCAAGGATTTTCAAACCTTTTTTAACAAATGAAAAGTCAAGAAACTAATTGCATCAGTTTTTTTCTAGATCACTTAAGATTTTTCATATTTTCCTGACTGTAGGATCAACGATCAGCCTTTTGTTCAATCACCTCTGTCACAGGACTAAGTGGTTCAAAGGCATCCAGGTTCCACAGAAAGTGACAGTCACACTAGTAGATATCAAATCTTTGTTTTCAAATTAAAAGTCTCTTCAGAGGAGTGGCAAATTAAGTCAATAACGATATAGGTTGTTATTAAGATAATGCTAACCTCATGGAATGAGGAAATCTCTTTGCTTCTATTTTTTGGAAGACTGCCTTCCAAAGAGATTGTAGGAAGTTAGCATCATTTCTTTCTTAAATGTTTGGTAGAATTTATCTGTGACAACATCTAGGCCTGATGCTCTTTTTTTTTTGGAAGGATAGTAATTGATTCAATTTCTGTAACAAATATAGGCAGATTAAGATGACCTAGTCTTCCTTGTTTGAGTTTTGGTAGTTTGTATCTTTGAAGGAATTAGTCCATTTCATCTAAGTTATTAAATATTCTTTTACTTTTAAGTGTCCATAGAATCAGTAGTAATGAATCTTCTTTAATTTCTGACATTGGTAATTTGTGTCTTCTCTCTTTTTCTCTTGGTTAGTTTGCTGAGAGATTTATCATTTTTATTGATTTTCTTCTTCAATGAACCGGCTTTTGGTTTTATTGATTTTTCTCTGTTGTTTTCCTGTTTTTAATCTTATAGATTTCTACTTTAATTTTTCTTCTACTGCTTTAAGATTAAATTATTCTTCTTTTTCTAGTTTCCTAAGGTGGAAACTTAGATGACTGATTTTTAGATATTTTCTTCTAATGTATATATCCAATGTTATCAAGTTCCCTCTAAGCACTGCTTTTACTATATGCCCCAAATTTTGGTAAATTGTAATTTCATTTTTATTTGGTTGAAGTCCTTCTAAATTTCTCTAGACTTTTTCTTTGACCCTCTCTAGTTAAAATCATAACTTTGACATTTGATACTCCTAATTTCTTTGTAACCTTCAAATATACAATAAAATTTCCTTATTATGCATTACTTGTTTCTCTCTTTCTGTTAATATAGAAATTCTACAAGGACAAAGTCAGGAAGCATCTTTAGCTTTGCTTAATGAGGTAGTACAAATACTTAAAACTGTGCCAGATATATAGTAGGCACTTAAATATTTGTGTTGAAATAATAGAAATGTTATAAAAAGCTTGACACAGAATAGGAGAGGGGAAGAAATAGTCTTTGAATCAGGCTCTTAAAACTTTGGATATCGGATTTTTATTTTAAAAAATTGCTTTTCAAATTCTGTGTAGATTTTCGATAAATTTAACTCCATCGATGTCTGAGTAAAGATCTTTTGCCCATTTGATCTCATCTAATCAGAACAGGAGATGTTTTTAATATAGTACACTAGACATATTTTTACATCTCTAGAGTCTGATTATAAATTCTGGCAACCCTGAATCAGTCACCAACGACTTCCAGTCAATTACAAAATTATTGACTCTGTGAATCACAGCACATGCATCACATTTTTTATATCTATAAAGAAAGGAAAATGTACGTAATGTGATTGCTCAAGTTAGTATTCATCTTTGGGTGCACAAAAGTGATATGAATTTTCTTAGATGTTGTGGGTGGCCAACAAATTAGGATATCGGAAGACTGACATTTAATGGCCAGAATTTGAAGCAGAGGTGTATGCTTTATAGAAGCTAATCTGTAGCACTTATTTTGCTTCTTTTCCCTTTGACAAAACAGCATGTTAGAGGATACCCCAAAAATATTCATTAACGAAGATGCCTGTCTAAGGCATTGCACTGATGCTATTTGATAGAGTATGCTAGCTATATGTAGACACACATATAAGTTGAAATTTCATTACTTGAAATATAACAGAAAATCTTACACTTTCATACAACTTGGTAAACTCTGCTCTTCTTGTAACTTCTATCCTGCCTTGCTCTAGGCCAACAGGACTGCCAGAAAGTTGAAGATAGTCACCTACATAGCATGGCCATCATGGATGTGGTGAGGTGGAAATAAGTGAGCTGACATATGTTAATAGCATTCTTGTTTCAGCTGTCGTTTCTCTGTTTGAGCAGCTCAATTTTCAACTGCATTCCCTGCAAGTAGGTGTGGGGGATGATGTGGAAGCTGCAAACTGCATAATCGCATTCCCAAGACTGCTTTGTAAGCTGGCTTCTAGTTGGGTCCTGCAATGGGAGGCATTCATGGAAAAATGGAAGATAGGAAGAAGGGAAAATGCCTCAGTTGTTTTTTTCTGCTTGTGCTGATGCTAAGGCACCAGCTGTGTAGCCCTGGGAGTGTGGCTTCTCAGCCGTAGTATAGGCTCCTGGATTCCTATTCAGAAGAGGTTGTGCAGTTTTAACTGCAGCAGCAGAACATCAGTACCGTTGACATTCATGCCAGATTCGGGTTCAGAAGCAATAGTAATATCCTCATTTTAAAGTAACCTCTTTTTCCTTTCGCTCTTTCATCCCCTTAAGCACGTTTATAAGCAATACCCTTCACTCAATCTCTTTTATTCAGAAATCTAAAGTGAGTTCTATTTTCCTCACTAGTCTAGATAAAAACACGTGGTACCTACCAACAGTGATCCTAGGAAACAAAACCTCAAAGTTAGAAATCTGGGATTTGTTATTAACCAGATTGTGCTTGAACATGAAACAACTTCCATGATGAAACAAAATGAGATACTCAGAATCTGTGGCTTGTAGTGGCCTGGGGTAAATGGTCTCTTTAAAACAAGACTTCAGGAGAATAGTTATCAGCTGTGACTAGTTGAAGAGTGAGGCTTGCAAAGATTGTGAGGTTTGTTGACTGCTTCTCCTTTATACTGTAATATAGCAACTTTAAGGAACTTGCCCAAATGTATGTGTGGAACCTAGTGAGGGACTCCATGAGGAAACACCAGGCTGAAGTTGGCTCTCTTAGAGTCTTATACAGAGTTTGAAGCCACAGTGTAGCATAGTCTTTGTGGCCAGTAATATGTGGAGAGTAGGAAGGGAGCTGCTGGTGGTATTGTAGCAGTTTTCTGTCAAAACGTGCTGGTTACAGGGTGCCCTTCAAGTCTTTGTTACTAGCCCTTTTAAAAACACCTTTTAAAAAGTAGCCTTTGTCAGGCCTCTGAGCCCAAGCCAAGCCATCGCATCCCCTGTGACCTGCACGTATACGCCCAGATGACCTGAAGTAACTGAAGAATCACAAAAGAAGTGAATAGGCCCTGCCCCACCTTAACTGATGACATTCCACCACAAAAGGAGTGTAAATGGCCGGTCCTTGCCTTAACTGATGACATTACCTTGTGAAAGTCCTTTTCCTGGCTCATCCTGGCTCAAAAAGCACCCCCACTGAGCACCTTGCAACCCCCACTCCTGCCCGCCAGAGAACAAACCCCCTTTGACTGTAATTTTCCTTTACCTACCCCAATCGTATAAAACAGCCCCATCCTTATCCCCCTTCGCTGACTCTTTTCGGACTCAGCCCACCTGCACCCAGGTGAAATAAACAGCCATGTTGCTCACACAAAGCCTGTTTGGTGGTCTCTTCACACGGACGCGCATAAAATTTGGTGCCGTGACTCAGATCAGGGGACCTCTCTTGGGAGATCAATCCCCTGTCCTCCTGTTCTTTGCTCCGTGAGAAAGATCCACCTATGACCTCAGGTCCTCAGACCGACCAGCCCAAGAAACTTCTCACCAATTTCAAATCCGGTAAGCGGCCTCTTTTTACCCTCTTCTCCAACCTCCCTCACTATCCCTCAACCTGTTTCTCCTTTCAATCTTGGCGCCACACTTCAATCTCTCCCTTAATTTCAATTCCTTTCATTTTCTGGTAGAGACAGAGGAGACACGTTTTATCCGTGGACCCAAAACTCCGGCGCCGGTCACGGACAGGGAAGGCAGCCTTCCTTTGGTGTTTAATCATTGCAGGGACACCTCTCTGATTATACACCCACGTTTCAAGGGTGTCCGACCACCCAGGGATGCCTGCCTTGGTCCTTCACCCTTAGCAGCAAGTCCCGCTTTTCTAGGAGAGGGGCAACTACCCCTCAACCCCTTCTCCTTCACCCTTAGCGGCGAGTCCCACTTTTCTACGGGGCAAAAACCCCCAATCCCTTATTTCCACGCCCCAACCTCTTATCTCTGTGCCCCAATCCCTTATTTCCGCACCCTGACCTCTTACCTCTGTGCCCCAATCCCTTATTTCTGCACCCCAACCTCTTATATCTCTGCACCCCAATCCCTTATTTCCACACCCCAACCTCTTATCTCTGTGCCCCAACCCCCTTTCCCACTTTTCTGGAAGATAAGAACCCCCAAACCCCTTCTCTCCATTTCTCTACTCTCTCTTTTCTCTAGGCTTGCTTCCTTCACTGTGGGCAACCTTCCACCCTCCATTCCTCCTTCTACTCCCTTGGCCTGTGTTCTCAAAAACTTAAAACCTCTTCAACTCACACCTGACCTAAAACCTAAATGCCTTATTTTCTTCTGCAATGCCGCTTGACCCCAATACAAACTTGACAGTAGTTCCAAATAGCCAGAAAATGGCACTTTGAATTTTTCCATCCTGCAAAATCTAAATAATTCTTGTCGTAAAATAGGCAAACGGTCTGAGGTGCCTGACGTCGAGGCATTCTTTTACACATCAGTCCCTTCCTAATCTCTGTGCTCAGGGCAACTCATCCCAAATCTTCCTTCTTTCCCTCCCGCCTGTCCCCTCAGTACCAACCCCAAGTGTCGCTGAGTCTTTCTAATCTTCCTTTTCTACAGACAAATCTGACCTCTTCCTTCCTCCCCAGGCTGCTCCTCGCCAGGCCGAGCTAGGTCCCAATTCTTCCTCAGCCTCTGCTCCTCCACCCTATAATCTTTTTATCACCTCCCCTCCTCACACCTGGTCCGGCTTACAGTTTCGTTCCGTGACTAGCCCTCCCCCACCTGCCCAGCAATTTACTCTTAAAAAGGTGGCTGGAGCCAAAGGCATAGTCAAGGTTAATGCTCCTTTTTCTTTATCCCAAATCAGAAGCGTTTAGGCTCTTTTTCATCAAATATAAAAATCCAGCCCAGTTCATGGCTCATTTGGCAGCAACCCTGAGACGTTTTACAGCCCTAGACCCTAAAAGGTCAAAAGGCCGTCTTATTCTCAATATACATTTTATTACCCAATCTGCTCCCGACATTAAATAAAACTCCAAAAATTGGAATCTGGCCCTCAAACCCCACAACAGGACTTAATTAACCTCACCTTCAAGGTGTACAATAACAGAAAAAAGTTGCAATTCCTTGCCTCCACTGTGAGACAAACCCCAGCCAAATCTCCAGCACACAAGAACTTCCAAACGCCTGAACCGCAGCGGCCAGGCGTTCCTCCAGAACCTCCTCCCACAGGAGCTTGCTACACGTGCCGGAAATCTGGCCACTGGGCCAAGGAATGCCCGCAGCCCGGGATTCCTCCTAAGCCGCGTCCCATCTGTGTGGGACCGCACTGAAAATCGGACTGTTCAACTCACCTGGCAGCCACTCCCAGAGCCCCTGGAACTCTGGCCCAAGGCTCTCTGACTGACTCCTTCCCAGATCTTCTCCGCTTAGCGGCTGAAGACTGACACTGCCCGATAGCCTCGGAAGCCCCCTAGACCATCAGGGACGCCGAGCTTCTGGTAACTCTCACAGGGGAAGGTAAGCCCGTCCCCTTCTTAATCAATACGGAGGCTACCCACTCCACATTACCCTCTTTTCAAGGGCCTGTTTCCCTTGCCTCCGTAACTGTTGTGGGTATTGATGGCCAGGCTTCTAAACTTCTTAAAACTCCCCAACTCTGGTGCCAACTTAGACAATACTCTTTTAAGCACTCCTTTTTAGTTATCCCCACCTGCCCAGTTCCCTTATTAGGCTTAAGACACTTTAAATTATCTGCTTCCCTGACTATTCCTGGACTACAGCTATATCTCATTGCCACCCTTCTTCCCAATCCAAAGCCTCCTTTGCGTCCTCCTCTTGTATCCCCCGACCTTAACCCACAAGTATAAGATACCTCTACTCCCTCCTTGGCGACCAATCATGCACCCCTTACCATCTCATTAAAACCTAATCACCCTTACCCCACTCAACGCCAATATCCCGTCCCGCAGCACGCTTTAAAAAGATTAAAGCCTGTTATCACTCGCCTGCTACAGCATGGCCTTTTAAAGCCTATAAACTCTCCTTACAATTACCCCATTTTACCTGTCCTAAAACCAGACAAGCCTTACAAGTTAGTTCAGGATCTGCACCTTATCAACCAAATTGTTTTGCCTATCCCCCCTGTGGTGCCCAACCCCGTACACTCTTTTGTCCTCAATAACTTCCTCCACAACTCACTATTCCGTGCTTGATCTTAAAGATGCTTTTTTCACTATTCTCCTGCACCCCTCGTCCCAGCCTCTCTTTGCTTTCACTTAGACTGACCCTGACACCCATTAGGCTCAGCAAATTACCAAGGCTGTACTGCCGCAAAGCTTCATAGACAGCCCCCATTACTTCAGTCAAGCCCAAATTTCATCCTCATCTGTTACCTATCTCGGCATAATTCTCATAAAAACCTACGTGCTTTCCCTGCTGATCGTGTCTGATTAATCTCCCAAACCTCAATCCCTTACAAAACAACTCCTTTCCTTCCTAGGCATAGTTAGTGCAGTCAGAATTCTTACACAAGAGCCAGGACTGCACCCTGTAGCCTTTCTGTCCAGACAACTTGACCTTACTGTTTTAGCCTAGCCCTCATGTCTGCGTGCAGCGGCTGCCGCTGCTTTAATACTTTTAGAGGCCCTCAAAATCACAAACTATGCTCAACTCACTCTCTACAGTTCTCATAACTTCCAAAATCTATTTTCTTCCTCATACCTGACGTACATACTTTCTGCTTCCCGGCTCCTTCAGCTATACTCACTCTTTGTGGAGTCTCCCACAATTACCATTGTTCCTGGCCCAGACTTCAATCCGGCCTCCCACATTATTCCTGATACTACACCTGACCCCCATGACTGTATCTCTCTGATCCACCTGACATTCACCCCATTTCCCCAAATTTCCTTCTTTCCTGTTCCTCACATTATTCAGGCCCCCTCCCTTCCCTACACATCAAGCTCGAGGATTTGCCCCCACCCAGGACTGGCAAATTAGCTTTACTCAACATGCCCCAGTCAGGAAACTAAATACCTCTTAGTCTAAATAGACACTTTCACTGAATAAGTAAAGGCCTTTCCTACAGGGTCTGAGAAGGCCACCGCAGTCATTTCTTCCCTTCTGTCAGGCATAATTCCTCAGTTTAGCCTTCCCACCTCAATACAGTCTGATAACAGATGAGCCTTTATTAGTCAAATCAGCCAAGCAGTTTTTCAGGCTCTTAGTATTCAGTGAAACCTTTATATCCCTTACGGTCCTCCATCTTCAAGAAAAGTAGAATGGACTAAAGGTCTTTTAAAAACACACCTCACCAAGCTCAGCCACCAACTTAAAAAGGACCGGACAATACTTTTACCACTTTCCCTTCTCAGAATTCAGGCCTGTCCTCGGAATGCTACAGGGTACAGCCCATTTAAGCTCCTGTATAGACGCTCCTTTTTATTAGGCCCCAGTATCATTCCAGACACCAGACCAACTTAGACTGTGCCCCCACCGCCCAAAAAAAAAATCTTGTCATCCCTACTATTTTCTGTCTAGTCATACTCCACCATTCTCAACTACTCATACATGCCCTGCTCTTGTTTACACTGCCAGTTTACACTGTTTTTCCAAGCCATCACAGCTGATATCTCCTGGTGCTATCCCCAAACTTCCACTTTTAACTCTTGAAGTAAATAAATAATCTTTGCTGGCAGGACTATGCCGAATCTCCTTAAGCACTCTCTAATCAGATATCCTGAGTCGTCCCAATTCTTAGACCTTTTATACCTGTTTTTCTCCTTCTGTTATTCCATTTAGTTTTTCAATTCATACAAAACCGTATCCAGGCCATCACCAATCATTCTATACGACAAATGTTTCTTCTAACATCCCCACAATATCACCCCTTACCACAAGACCTCCCTTCAGCTTAATCTCTCCCACTCTAGGTTCCCACGCCGCCCCTAATCCCGCTTGAAGCAGCCCTGAGAAACATCGCCCATTCTCTCTCCATACCACCCCCCAAAAATTTACACCGCCCCAACACTTCAACACTATTTTGTTTTATTTTTCTTATTAATATAAGAAGGCAGAAATGTCAGGCCTCTGAGCCCAAGCCAAGCCATCACATCCCCTGTGACTTGCACGTATATGCCCAGATGACCTGAAGTAACTGAAGAATCACAAAAGAAGTGAATATGCCCTGCCCCACCTTAACTGATGACATTCCACCACAAAAGGAGTGTAAATGGCCGGTCCTTGCCTTAACTGATGACATTACCTTGTGAAAGTCCTTTTCCTGGCTCATCCTGGCTCAAAAACACCCCCACTGAGCACCTTGCGACCCCCACTCCTGCCCGCCAGAGAACAAACCCCTTTGACTGTAATTTTCCTTTACCTACCCAAATCCTATAAGACTGCCCCACCCTTATCTCCCGTCACTGACTCTTTTCAGACTCAGCCCACCTGCACCCAGGTGAAATAAACAGCCATGTTGCTCACACAAAGCCTGTTTGGTGGTCTCTTCACACGGATGCTCATGAAAGCCTTAATCCCAGCACTTTGGGTGGCTGGGGCAGGTGGATCACCTGAGGTCAAGAGTTCGAGACCAGCCTGGCCAACACGGTGAAACCCCGTCTCTACTAAAAAAAATACAAAAATTAGCTATGTGAGGTGATGCACGCCTGTAATCCCAGCTACTTGGGAATCTGAGGCATGAGAATCGCTTGAACCTGGGAGGTGGAGGTTGCAGTGAGCCGAGATCGAGCCACTGCACTCCAGCCTGTGTGACAGAGCAAGACTCCATATAAAAAAAAAAAAAGAAAAAAAAAGGTAACCTTCTAGAGAAACAACCATGTATTGTTATTTTACCATGCCATGAGTAAACCTGAAGAATTATGCCCTGGGGCTTCCACATTCCTATACTATTAGGCCTAGGCTCTGCTAAATTTGGGTTGATAAGAGCAGCCTCCTCCCAATATAATATAGGTTTTATTTTCTGAAGTGTGTGGTTTCAAGACTTTGATGGGTGGAGAACCTCAACTCCTTACATTAAGTTATGTAATCTAGGCATAAATATAGGAAAATGTATAAGGAAAGGGGTCAGGCGGTAATTCGGATTCTCTGTTTTTCCTTTCTTACAGTCCAATAAATAGTGCCAATTAAGTTTATGGTTGTTATAATGATACTGTTGGTGCTGAACACATGTTTACTAACTTATTGACTTCTGGGTCCATCAGCTCTGGAACATTTCCAGCATCCTACTGAGCTCTTCCTCTCCCTCTTTTTTTGGACCTACAAAGAAGTTGAGTAGTTGGACCTACACAAATTATGCTGTATAGAAATCTGTTTCATCTACACTAGGGGTTGCCTGGCAGTAGTTATAACACTGGCATTTAGAAAGCTCAGGCTCTAATATCATATAAAATGTATTCACACGAAAAGCCCTGGAAATTGGTTGGCAACATAGATTCCTCCTCATCCTCTACTGAGACCAGGAAGAGCAATATTTTCTTGAGTTCACAAGGAGTTTGTGGCAGACTCCAGCATAAACTCAAATTCCCTAAGACCATACTCTAGGGCAGGTCTTCTATAAAGGGCCGAAGAATAAACAGGATTCATGTTTATTGATGAAAATTCTTCCAAAGTATTAAGAGCATATTGGAAAAGTCATATTATGAGTATCTTTATTTCCCAAAAATTTTCAATAAATATTCTTTAGTTATACAATTATATTCAAAATATACAACTAAAAAAGCTTTTATGGCAAAGGTATTCTCAAAGTAACAAAGCTTAGGACATTTTCTGGTCTGTCCAGTGGTTCCTGACCGTTCTCTGGGAGTGTTCCAAAAGATGAACAAGCTTATTGTCTTGCAATAGGACATCATCTTCTTTTCCAAAATTGCAGAAAAATGAATTAATGCAGAATATTATTCATTTCATCTTTGATTTTTCCTAAATGCGGAAAAATGAGACTTGCTACAATTTGTCTCCTGTTAACAGAGGGTAAAAGGAATGACCAATAGGCAAAAATATGAAACTAAAAACTTGAAAACAAATGTGATTTCTCCAAATATTATATATATTATTGGTCCTATTTAGAGGTTCAGAATGCAAGCATATTTTCTGAGAATAAAGTTTTTTCCTACTTCCAATGATGTCCTTGGCTACATCATTATTTCATGATGTTCTGAGAAGAATGCCATCATTTTCAGGGGCTGGGCCTCCTCGGCATATTTGAAAGACACTGGTAAAGTAAATTTCAAATTCCTTGGCGGTTCCAATATTTAAGCTATTGCCTCTTTGAAGATTTTAAGAGCACTAATAAAATGATTTGCTCTGATATTAATTTCACTTGTTCCTTAGAAATTCCTACAAGGCCTGCATCTTTCCTATTTTTACTGCAGGAGCAGTAAAGTGTTGGCTTTAGAGTCAGGTTGCCTGAGTTTAAAGTCACTTTCTGGCTCTGTGACCTTGCATACATTATTGAACAATGTTGTACCTTATCTGCACAATGGGGCTTGTAATAGTCCCTGCACCATAGGGTTGTAAGGATTAAATCAGATAATCCATGTTTGTTCCTTAGTAGAGGGTTGGCATTCTTTACCACTATATACAGGCACAGACATAACATATAGTTGAGCCCATTTGCTCAGATTAAGAGGCTCTTTCTTAAATAAGAAAGTTTAAAACTTGGCACAGTGAAGCCAAATTGCCAAATACATATCCTGATGTTCTGAGTATTGTTGTACCTCATCCTGGTCAGCTGCTTCCCCACTAACTATAGAGATTTCGAATTTAGGAAGATTTATAATTATTTAGTCATCTGGCTTTGACTTCTTGCCTAGACCTTTGTCTGCACTGGCCAAGAAATAAGAAGACCAAAACATTGTCAATTTACTTGTGACTCTACTTGCACAGTAACCAGCAGGCCTCCTCTACTCTCCCCTCTTTGCAATTTCCTGTTTAGGCAAAGTCACTACATCATACTCACCACGGATTTCCAGTGTAAGTCAAGACTTTCTCACTAAATAATCTGAATTCTGCTACCAGGATGTTGTTGTGTTTCAGGTGATGGCTAAATCAGCTACTGATGTGCTTTAACTTATAATAACTGTAATATTTTCATTTCATTTTGATGTTTTATCCTCATCAAATTGATTATTTTCTCTGCTAGTTAAAACTGAAAAATCATAGGCTACTAAAATAAAGAATACCCAGTCAAACTGCCTGTCGATCACGTTAAATTTTAGCTTTGCTCTGCTAACAAGGTGAAAGGCAAAGTATAATTAGCACTAATAGCATACTTTTATAGTCCCATCTCTCTCACTCCCAGAGAAAAGTCGATGTATTCCACATTTGAATAATGAACAATGAGCATGTAAGACGTGCAACTACATTTCGGGAGTCAGTGGTTTAACCTAGATTATCCTTTTTTAGCGTTTGGGTTCTGCTTCTGGGAAAAAACTTGGAGGCAGGCTAACTTTTGAAGCTGTTTTAAAAATGACCTTGTTTTTGTCTCCTCACTCAAGTTTCTCCTGGGAATATTTTGTTCTAGGACATCATGCTCAAGTCCAGGGTGGGTACTCCAGAAAAAAAAAAATCTTCAAATAAGAGCCTTCAGTTTCCCAGAAAAAATAATAATGACTAAAGAGAAATGAATAAAGCAAAAGTTTTACAAGGGGAAAATATTATTTTCAATACTGTAATATAGCAATGCTAAAGATCACTCCTTAGCCCACCTCTGTTCCCATCCCACTTCCTCAGTGTTGAATCTATTAAGGAAGAATTCAGATCTGGTTGTTATTAAATTAACGAACTCAGCTCCATATGGGGGCTTCTGTGAACTCAGTTTCACCCCTTAACTGGCTTCTGTGCATTACTATTACAGAGTTGCTTTATATTCAAAATATCTCGTCAGTCTAATAAAACTCTTGAGTGCATACTAATAACAATTAAGCACAGTGTTAGGTGTGGCAAACAGAGATGTAAAGATGAGTGACACAGGTTCTTTTTTTTTTTTGCCAGAAAAAGACAAGTGGTTACATAAAGAAATAATCACAGGACACTGAGGTCCATGGAAACACAGAAGTTTGGATAATGTCAAAGGAAAGAAAAATGGAGGAATTGGATTGAAAGCCAGCAGAAGTTTAGATGGGGTAGTAGGGAACACTTCATAGAGAACATAGGAAACCCTGAATAGGGTTTGTAATGTTGAGCAGGAGTTTTTCTAATAGAAATAGTGAATGTGTTATGGGAAGGGAGAATAAAAGAGAACAGAAAGAATTTCAAGGAGAGGGAACAGCAGATATCTAAATGTTTGGAAAAGCATTGACTAATGAATGACCCTCTCAAAATTTAGGCAAATTTGCATCTCCAGACAAACTATAAATGTCAGTTTATACTTAGGAACTTAATAATGAGATAATCTCACATGGGTTGCAGAATTTTAGTGACTGAGAGGACCACAGAGAGCTTTTATTTTTCCTTTTTTAAATTTAACTTTTATTTTAAGTTCAGGAGTACAGTGCAGGTTGTTACATAGGTAAACTTGTGTCATAGAGGTTTATTGTACAGATTATTTCATCACACAGGTGTTAAGCCTAGTATCCATTATTCATTTTTCCTGATCTTCTCCCTCCTCCCACCCTCCACTCTCCAAAATGTCCCAGTATGCGTTGCTCTCCTCTATGTGTCCATGTGTTCTCATCATTTAGCTCCCACTTATAAGTGAGAATTATGCAGTATTTGGTTTTCTGTTTCTGTGTTAGTTTGCTGAGGATAATGATCTCAAGCTCCATCCATGTTCCTGCCAAGGACATGATCTTGTTCTTCTTTTATGGCTGCATAGTGTTGCATAGTGTATATGTACCACATTTTCTTTTCCCAGTCTACCACTGATGGGCATTTAGGTTGGTTTCATGTCTTTGCTGTTGTGAATACGGCTGCAATGAACATATGCATGCATGTGTCTTTAAAGTAGAATGAGTTATATCCCTTTGGATATAAATCCAGTAATGGGATTGACCACAGATTATTTCTAGATGAGATATGTTCAGTGGTTTGAGAAGCCTGAGTTCCAAGGAGGGGTCCCAAGGAACACTGGCATTGCCAGAAGAAAGTCTGGGGGCAAATAGGTCAAAAGAGGCAGGCTCTGCCTCTGCAACTGCTTACTTCAATCAGACAAGAGTCTCGGTAGCTCTTTTGTTGGGCTTCTGGCTTTATAAATGAGGAAACTGGGGTCCAGAGAGGTTAAGTGACTCACCCAAGACCCTTTGGCTAATTTATCATGAAGATGAATCAGAAAACCATAACACAGTGAATGTGTTATGGGAAGGAATGTGTTATGTGTTCCAGTTCAGTTCTTTCCTTAAATTGTACTATATTTCCTCCTCCATATTCAAGTCATCCATGAATTACAACTTGTAGAACAAGAGTTTTAATTTTTTTTTTGAATGACCTGAGCACAGTATTTATAGGCCATATATATTTTTTCATGATTTGCATTCCCACAGTAACATTAGTAGGGAGGGCTACTCTTCCTCTACTCAGTATCAGAGAAAAGCCTGCAATTCAATACTATCGCATAGATCTCTGGAATGATCCAAGGATGTTATTTTTCCAGGTATTGTTGCTATTATTACCACACAGTAAAATGATTACTATCATTCTACTAGTGACAGTTGTTACTCCCTTATCTTTAGCATCCTCCCTATACCTCAAATTCTAGTGGCTTTCTGGGGCACTGAGAATTTTTTTTTAATTTGCAATTCTTTCAATGACATTGGTTATCCAACCCATTACTAGTAGGGTAGTAATGATGAGGCTAAGTAGATAAGAATTGTGGAGGTGTGTGTATTCATATCCTAGAAGTATGCTTCTTTCTGAGACATCTCCCACATATGAATGCCATCTTCGAGGAGTTTTATATATATATATATATATTTTTGAGATGGAGTCTCGCTCTGTCACCCAGGCTGGAGTGCAGTGGCACAATCTTGGCTCACTGCAAGCTCTGCCTCTTGGGTTCATGCCATTCTCCTGCCTCAGCCTCCCGAGTAGCTGGGACTACAGGTGCCCGCCACCATGCCTGGTTAATTTTTTGTATTTTTAGTAGAGACGGAGTTTCACCGTGTTAGCCAGGATGGTCTCGATCTCCTGACCTCATGATCCACCTGCCTCAGCCTCCCAAAGTGCTGGGATTACAGGCGTGAGCCACTGCGCCCGGCCTGAGGAGTTATACTTAATATTCTTAGGCTATGCAAATCCAGTCAGTGAAAGGTTTTGGATTTTTGGTTCTCATTCATGAATTGTTCAATGTATTTATTTGACTATCACAGTCTTTTTTAATAAAAAAATGCAGTTTTTGTTTTTGCAGAGGTTATATTTTATTAAATGAAATAAAAATCCTATTTATTTGATCAATTATACACATTTCTATAGTTGTTTTGGATCCACATGGATGTAGTTGTTGGATATTGATGACCTACAAAAACTAATAATAAATGATTCTATTTTTTTGACCCCAAATGCCAGGTGAATTAAGTTGGTTTAGATACTTATACGATATCATCTCAAACTAATTACTAGCTTCTGGTCAAAATCATGGTTACAATAGAGGCTTATATTTCTGCTCGGTAAGTTAGGTAAAATAATGCAGCCTAGATCAAGTGAGCAAACATTACTATTAATATTATGGGCTGACTTGTGTCCCCTCAAATTCTTATTTTGAAGTCCTAACCCCTAATATCTCAAAACATGACTGTATTTGGGGATAGGGTATTTAAAGTTAAAATGAGGCCATTAGGGTGAGCCCTAATCCAACGTGACTGGTAAAGAAGAGAAAATTAGGACACAGATGGCCACAGAGGGAAGACTGTGAAGATACAGGAAGAAGATGGTTATTTATGAGCCAAGGAGAAAGACGTCAGAAGAAATCAACCCTGCCAATACTTTGATCTTGGAATTATAGCCTTCAGAATTATCAGAACATAAATTTCTGTTCAGTCACCCAGTCTGTGTTACTTTGCTATGGCAGCCTTAGCAAACTAATACAATTGTTTATATGAATAAAGGAAAATTGCATTTTTATCAGTCAAAATATGCTAGGCTGCACTTTGGTAATAACTGACAATTATCAGTGTTTAAAAAAATTATTTCTAGCTCATGTTATATGCAAATTTCAGTTCAGTAGGCCCTGTTCCTAGTTGTTCTCATTCAGAGACAAACTGATGGGCCTTCTCATGTGAAACACTACTGCCATCCTGGGAATGTGAAAGAAAAGGACAATTTTTGTTTGGTTTTAAAGACTCCCACTGCGAAGTGACACGTCGCCTCTTCTCATATCTCACTTCAAGAGGGACATGGGGAGGGCAATCCCCATTACTTGATGAATGGATGACAACCTGAAATATCAGTGAATGGTACCAACAACTACTATGATATTTAACATATTCTCTATTTCACTTAGGATTTCCAGTGCTCAGTAAAAAAAGAAACACTTTAAGTTCAAGGGAAAAACTTACCAAGACTGTTGAGATAAGAACTGTCACAATCATCCTGATGACAAGCACAGTTATAATATCATGTTTTTAGATCTAGATGATAATATTTGTTTCCAGTCCTAGTTTACCATGTCACTAGCACAGTAAGAAACTACAGAAGCAAATGAAAAAATTAAAAAGAGGGGAGGATAAGAAAAACCTTATATTTATCAGGAGAGGAACATTTATTGAGTGTTTCACATGCCAGCCACATTACAAGTTAACTATCAGTCAACTCATACTATCACCCAATAAAGAACAAGATCATTTTATGAATAAAATATGAAGCTCAAAAGATGTTAACCTGCCTCAGGGCAAGAGTATAAGTCCACACAAACCCAAAACTCTTGCTCTGTTCCTTAAACCATGGGTTTTTCAATCTCCAGTTGTAAGCTATTGGCGGGTTAAACAATTGTGGCCAGTATTTTTTTAAGTGCATGAATGTAATAGAAAGGATCAGTGATTCATAAATAATATTTCTTAAAACTTTTATTTCATTGATACACATATAATGTTACTGTGTACATTTGAAATATACACTTTATTCCATACTGAAAAAGGAATCCTGCATCAACCAAGCTTGATGGTCTCATCCTCAATTCCTGTTCCCTCACATAAAATCATTTATTCCTTTAAAATGTCCTGACTGGGTCTATGATCAAGAATAAAAAGATTTTATAAGTCAGAGAAATGCAGATCAAAACCGCAGTGAAATACCATCTCACACCAGTCAGAATGGCTATTATTAAAAGGTCAATAAGCAACAGGTGCTGGTGAGGCTGTGGAGAAAAGGGAACAATTATACGCTGTTGATGGGAGTGTAAATTCATTCAGCAACTGTGAAAAGCAGTTTGGAGATTTCTCAAAGAACTTACAACTACCATTTGACTCGACAATCCCATTACTGGGTACATATCCAAAAGAAAACGAGTTGCTCTACCGAAAAGACACATGCACTCATATGTTCATAGCAGCACTACTCACAATAGCATAGATATGGAATCAACTTAGGTGCCCATTAATAGTGGATTGGATATAGAAAATGTATTACACATACACCATGCAATACAACACAACCATAAAAAAGAATGAAGTCATCATTTACATTAGTATTTTTCCTAATGCTATCCCTCCCCCTAGAACTTAAAGTATAATAAAAAAATGGAAAAAGAAAGAATGAAGTAATGTCCTTTGCAGCAGCAACATGCATGCAGCTGGAGGCCATTTATCCTAAGTGAATTAACATAAGAACAGAAAACCAAATACTGCATGTTCTCATTATAAGTGGGAGCTAACCATGGTGTACTGATGGCCATAAAGATGGCAACAATATACACTGGGGACTACTAAAGGAAAGTGCTGAAAAACTAGTACAGGAAGGAAAGGGTTGAAAAACTAGCTTTTGGGTACTATGCTCAGTACCTGAGTGACAGGAGTGTTCATACCCAAAACCTCAGCATCACACAATAGACCCATGGAATAAACCTGCATGTGTACCCCCTGAATCTAAAAAAAAAAAGTTTTAAAGAAAGAATATAAAGATTTTATTATAAGGGATTATATAACTTTTGATAGAGCAAGAACTCCGTGAGGATCTCTTTTTATATTTTTTAAAGTCTGGAGTTTTGAGAAATATTTTTGGTCAGGAAAAGTTAAATTGGGGGAGAAACATCAGCTTTTGTTACTCTGAATTCTCTAAGTGGAAATTTGACTCGTTGGGCCTGATTCTTCTGCACTGAGCCTGGAGTACACATCTGAGCACAAAATCATTGCCTGAATAATAAAGGTATTCAGTGGATGTTTAGTAAATACTTACTGATGTAGGGCACCGGTGAGTATAAAGTATTATCAGCCTATTTATCAAAAAATCTGGTAGATATTCAAGAGATGTCACTGTGGCACAGTGTGCTAGCTGCTACTAAAACCTTTGTTGTCCTTTTGTTCCTGGGCACCCAGCTAAATTGCATCTCCCAGCCTCCTTTGCAGTTATGTATGGCCACAGGGCTGAGTTCTAGTCAATGAAATGTGAGTGAGTAGAAGTGATATGTTCAACTCCAAGATCTAGCCCATAAAAACCTTACATATGTGCTCATTCATATTATTCCCTCTTTCCAGCTAGCTGGAATGCAGATGACCCCAGCATGGACTTGGAAGTCATATGTTGACGATGACAGAGCTTCTGTCATCCTGGGTCTCTGAATAGCTATGTGAAATAGGACAGCCCCACCCATGTGTTTTACCACACCAGTACTTTTATACAAGCAAAATTTTCTAAAACTGCAACAAGAAACTTCTGTTGTGTCTGAGCCTTCACCCATTGTGGGCCTCCCCTAATTAATACAGAGTGAAAGTGAATATTCCAGATAAGTAAACCAGTTTAGGTAAGAATTATGACCAGTCCTAAAAGTCTATGAGAAGAAATCCTTGTAACCAGAAAAAAAATAATTCAACTTGATTGATTCCCTATTGATGTCTTTCCACAGATTTTATCAGATACCTTTGAGGCTTCTATTACATTACAGGTCAATGGTGATAAAATGATGGTTAAATGTTTTATATACATAAATTTCAGAATGTACATTTAAGTATAAGAATGGTGTATTGTATTCTCAAAACACCCAATGCAACATGCCTGAGCTTGTACTCAACTAGAAATGTTCTATCAGCAAGACGAATGTGATTATTGGTTCTTGAGAGTATTATTTTAAGGTTGTGGAACAAAGTCAAGAGTGGTTGCCCAGCTCTCAGTGTGAAGCTTTGCCCCATGACATGTTTTGCAGGTTAGCATGCCTTCTTGGTGATTTGAGATCTTTTACACAATATAGTAAACTCTCAAGATTGTTAATAATAAAGAATTGAAATTTAGTAATAAGATCCAATGTCAACTGTGAGGCCTAAAAATTGTTCAAGTCATGATACCAGTTATAAAAAATGCACAACATATTTATAAACTCTTGATGATAATTAAGTTCACTTATTTATCTTCATATAATATATTACACTTTGCTTTTGAATAGTGGGTTATAACCACCATCACATTTGCTTCACAATCTGCCCACAAGATCGAAACACAAGTTGTTAGGTCAATTAAATAGATGAGAATAGTAAGGCCTAAATAAGTGAAGCAATTTTCCCAAGGCTACATAGCTGGTAGGATATAGGACTGAGTCTTAAACATTGGTGTTTGTCTATTTATACCATTTGTTTAAATATAGCTCCCTGCATTTTATGACTTTTCAAACAAACTACCTGCCAAACAAAATTAAGAATTAAGAGAGCTACATTCCCTTAATTTGGGAACTCGAGATTGAAAAGACTCAAAAAGACCAACTAAGAACATTTATTAATAGGCAAAACTCATGGTTATGGCTTTACAGGTCAGCAAAATATATGTGCGGAATGCATTCAGAGACTTAGACAGTAAAATGTGCTAATGTATATAAAGCATCAAACACAGTGCTTGGCATCTATGCCCTCAATAAAGGCTAGTAGGAGCTGAGTCCTCATAAAGTATTGCGGGTGACACCATTTCAGCAAAATCCTTACTTTCTTGAATAACTCATTTGCAGAAGATAAACTTCTGAGAGTTTGTAACTGAAGGATCATTGATCAGTGTAAGTAAAAGTTAATAAAGAAAAGCTAGAGGCAAAACAAAGGAGGCAACCTCAGCCAACAGGTTCCTTTTCTATCTCCAGAAATACAAACAAGGACTAGGCAGCATTTGCACTGTGAAAAGCAAAGACGAAAATGTTAGAAGGCCCTTTCCTTAATTCAGAATTATGGCACATATGCAGTTGATTCTTTGAACAACATGGATTTAAAGTGTGCAAGTCCACTTATATGCAAATTAAAAAAAACACTGAAAATTTTTCGAAGACATGAAAAATAATTTTAAAACACTCAGACAAACTGAGTAGCCTAGAAACATTCATAAAATTAAGAAAAAGGTAAGTAATGCATAAAATGTATGTAGCTACTAGTTTACTTCATCATTTACTACTATAAAATATACAAAAATCTATTATAAAAAGTTAAAAGTTATAAAAATTTCTGCACACAAACACAGACCTTACATGGTGCAGTTTAGTAAAATGTGAACAAAAGTAAAGATGAAGTATTAAATCATAACCGCATACAATTAACTGTAGCATATACTGTATGAATTTTATAGCCACCTCCTGTTACTATTGCCTTGAGCTCAAGTGTTGCAAATACTGCTCAAAATTTCATGTGATGCTAATTATCTCCTGATGAACATTTTGGCTCTCTAGCAAATTTCATGTTGCAGTAGAAAGTGATCTTTCATGGTTCTCATGTATTTTCCATCAAGTTTAGTGCCATACCTGTAAACCTTGAATAATAAACTGGAACTCATATGAAGTGCCACTTGTGATGCTGAAAGTGCTCCTAAGAAGCAGGGAAAAGTCTGAGATTAAAAGAAAAGCTGAATTGCTTGACATGTCAGATTGAGTTCTATAGCTACAGTTGCCGGTCATTTCAAAACAAATGAATCGAGCATAAGGACTATTGTAAAATAAATAAATAAAAAGGAAATTTGTGAAGCTATTGCTGCCTCTATCCCAACAGGCAAGAAAATCTTGCACATTTTGCAAAATACCTTTAGATCTTGTATTGAAA
The DNA here is from genome assembly GCF_000001405.40 of Homo sapiens. NCBI lineage: Eukaryota > Metazoa > Chordata > Mammalia > Primates > Hominidae > Homo > Homo sapiens. The sequence goes on along the minus strand of NC_000001.11, from coordinate 215,398,479 downwards.
ATGCAGCTTTTATGTGAGTGCAGAATTACTATAAGAAAGGTATACCTACAGACTCTAATATGATTCAAGAAAAAGCAAAGTCATTCTATGACAACAACTTGAAGAGAAGGTGGAGGACTTAAAGCTGGAGAATTTAGTGCCAGCAAAAGATGGTTTGATAATTTTAGAAAAAGGTGTGGCTTTTAAAAATGTCAAGATCATAGGAGAAGTAGCTTCTGTCAACCAAGAGGCAGTAGATGATTTCCCAGATGCCATTAAGAAAATCATTGAGGAGAAAGGAATCTGCCTGAACAGATTTTTAATGCAGACAAAAGTGCCGCTCTGAAAAAAAAAACCCACAAGCCAGAAAGAACATTTATTATTAAGGAAGAGAAACGAGCAACAGGATTTAAGGCAGGAAGGGATAGGCTAACTCCACTGTTTTGTGCAAATGTAATCAGATTTAGGATCAGGACTGCCTTATCTATAAAGCCACTAACCCTTGAGCCTTGAAGGGAAGAGGTAAACATCAGCTGCCAGTCTTTTGGTTGTATACGAAGAAGACCTGGACAATGACAGCCACTTTTCTGGGTTGTTTCCATTGAAGCTTTGTCCCCGAAGTCAGGAAGTACCTTGCCAGGAAAGGACTGCCTTTTACTATTGGACAATTATTTTTGCATTGGACATGCCCCTGGCCACCCAGAACCCCATGGTGTCAAAGTGATCTGCTTATCTCCAAGCACAGCATCTTTAACTCAGCGTCTAGATCAGGAGTTCATAAGGACCCCTCAGACTCATTACACACAGCACCCTATGGAAAAGATTGTCAATGAAAGTCTAGAAGGATTGCAGGACTGAAAATATCACCATTGCTATAGAAAAAGCTGGGAAAGCCATCAACCCGAAACAATAAATTCCTGCTGGAGAAAACTGTGTCCAGATGTGTGCGTGAATGCCGAAGATACACAACAGAGCAAATCAAGGAAATCATGAAAGAGATTTGGATATGGCATAAAATGTAGTGGGAGAAGAGTTTCAAGATATGGATCTTAGAAAAATTCAAGAGTTAATAGACACCACGCTAGAGGAACTAATAGGAGATGACTTGATGGAGATGAGTGCTTCTGAACCAGTGCCAGACAATGAGGATGAAGACATAGAAGAAGCAGTGCCAGAAAGCAAATTGACGTTAGACCATCTGGCAGAAGGGTTCCGCTTATTCAAGATTGCTTTTGACTTCTTTCACGACATGAACTCTTCTATAATATGGACACTAAAACGAAAGCAAATGGTGGAAGAAGAACTGGTACTGCACAGAAACCTTTTGAGAAATGTCAGACAGAAATTACAAATTTCTTTCTTTCTTTCTTTCTTTCTTTCTTTCTTTTCTTTCTTTCTTTCTTTCTTTCTTTCTTTTCTTTCTTTCTTTTCTTTCTTTCCTTCCTGCCTTCCTTCCTTCCTTCTTTCTCTTTCTTTCCTTCTTTCTTTCTTTCTCTTTTCTTTTCTTTTCTTTTTTTGAGATAGAGTCTCGCTGTGTCACCCAGGCTGGAGTGCAGTGGTGTGATCTCAGCTCACTGCAACCTCCGCCTCCTGGGTTCAAGTGATTCTCCTTCCTCAGCCTCCCGAGTACAGGTGCCCGCCACCACACCCAGCTGATTTTTGTATTTTTAGTAGAGACAAGGTTCCACCGTGTTGGCCAGGATGGTCTGGCACTCCTGACCTAGTGATCTGCCCGTCTCGGCCTCCCAAAGTGCTGCGATTACAGGCATGATCCACCGCGCCCGGCCTTACAATGCATTTCTATAAAGTTACACCAAATGTGCTTGCCTCTCCTATCCCACCTTCTACCTTCTCCGTCTGTCCCAACTCTGCCACATCTGAGATAGTAAGACCAACCCTTCCTCTTCCTCCTCCTCCTTGGCCCACTCAAACTGAAGATGATGAGGATGAAGAACTTTATGAAGATCCACTTCCACTTAATGAATAGTAAATATATTTTCTTGATGATTTTCTTAATAACATTTTATGTTTTCTTTATTTAAGAATACGGTATATAATACTTATAGCACACAAAATATGTGTTAATTTACTGCATATGTTATCAGTAAGGCTTCTGCTTCTCATCAACAGTAGGCTATTAATAGTTAAGTTTAGGGGGAATCAAAAGTTGTACAAGAATTTTTCACTGCATGAAGGTTGGAGTCCCTAATCCTCACGTTGTTCACTGGTCAAATGTTTTACTAATTGTATGATTCTATTGGAATTTAAAATGTCTTTTTTTTTTTTTTAGTTTTGGTCTTTTGGTCTTTTTTTTTTTTAAGACACAGGGTTTTGCTATATTGTCCAGGTTGCAGTGCAGTGGCTAGTCACAGGAATAATCCTTGTGCTCTATGGCCTCAAACTGCTGGGCTCAAGTTATCCACTTGCCTCAGCCTCCCAAGTAGCTGGGACTACATGCACGTCTAGCTCAATAAAATGTCTTTAAAGAAGCAAAACCGGCCGGGCACGGTGGCTCACGCCTGTAATTCCAGCACTTTGGGTGGCTGAGGTGGGCGATCATGAGGTCAGGAGATCAAGACCATCCTGGCTAACACGGTGAAACCCCGTCTCTACTAAAAATACAAAAATAATTAGCCAGGCATGGTGGCAGGCGCCTGCAGTCCCAGCTACTCAGGAGGCTGAGGCAGGAGAATGGCATGAACCCAGGAGGCGGAGCTTGCAGTGAGCAGAGATTGTGCCACTGCACTCCAGCCTGGGCGACAGCAGAGCAAGACTCCGTCTCAAAAAAAAAAAAAAAAAAAAAAAAAAAAAAAAAAAAGAAGCAAAACCATGAATGCTTTCTTAATTCCTTAATGTTCTTCTTGAGACTAATTTTTTTATCTGACTGTAAAAATTTGTTTTGATATTATCATCACACAGCTACAAAACACTAACTGTTGTGATTACAATGACATTGGAGCACAGTAAAGCCCGGGCATCAGAAGATGAAGCCTTGGCTCAGCTGCTTATTTCCAGTGTTAACCTTGGGCAATTTACTTTACTTCAAGGATTCTCAATTTTCACACCTAAAAAATGAGGAGGAGTTGGCTGGGCATGGTGGCTCACGCCTGTAATCCCAGCACTTTGGGAGGCCGAGGTGCATGAATTGCCTGAGGCCAGGAGTTGGAGAACAGCCTGGCCAACATGGTGAAACCCCGTCCCCCATCTCTACTAAAAATACAAAAAAGTAGCTAAGCGTGGTGGTGCATGCATGTAGTCTTAGCTACTCAGGAGGCTGAGGCAGGAGAATCACTTGAACCAGGAAGGCAGAGGTTGCAGTGAGCCAAGATCGTGCCACTGCACTCCAGCCTGGGCGACACAGCCAGACTCCATCTCAGGAAAAAAAAAAAAAGTGAGCTTAGATAAGGTAACTTCAAATGATTCTTTCCAAAGGCAAACGTCTCCAGACCAACTATAACATTCCCTTATTCTGTGTCTGCAACATTTTCTAAACATTTGGAAAGATTTGAGAAATAAGACACTTTGTTCATGTCATTATGAGAGGTGACAACGTGCTGGCGGCCCTCGCTCGCTCTCAGCTCCTCCTCGGCCTCGGTGTCCGCTCTGGTCCTGCTCGGGGAGCCCTTCAGCCCGCCACTGCGCTGTGTGGGCCCCTCTGCGGGCTGGCTGAGGCCGGAGCCACCTCCGTCAGCCTGCGGGGAGGTGTGGAGGGAGAGGCCCCGACTGGGGCTGTGCGTGGCGCTTGCGGGCCAGCGCGAGTTCCAGGTGGGTTTGGGCTTGGCGGGCCCCGCACTTGGAGCGGCCGGCCAGAGCTGCCGGCCCCAGGCAGCGAGGAGCTTAGCACCTGAGCCAGCAGCTGCAGAGAGTGCGCCGGTTTGTGTCTAGCTAAAGGATTGTAAATGCACCAACCAGCACTCTGTGTCTAGCTCAAGGTTTGTAAATGCACCAATCAGCACCCTGTCAAAAAGGACCAATCAGCTCTCTGTAAAACGGACCAATCGCTCGCTGTAAAATGGACCAATCAGCAGGATGTGGGTGGGGTCAGATAAGGGAATAAAAGCAGGCTGCCCGAGCTAGCCAGTAGCAACTCTCTCTGGTCCCTTTCCACACTGTGGAAGCTTTGTTCTTTTGCTCTTTACACTAAATCTTGTTGCTGCTCAGTGTTTGGGTCCGCACGGCGTTTGTGAGCTGTAACACTCACCACGAAGGTCTGCATCTTTGCTCCTGAAGCCAGCGCGAAGGTGTGCAGCTTCAGTCCTGAAGCCAGCGAGATCGCGAACCCGCCAGGAGGGACGAACAACTCCCGCCAGGAGGAACAAACTTCTCCAGACGTGGCGCCGCCTTTAAGAACTGTAACACTCACCGCGAAAGTCTGTAGCTTCGCTCCTGAAGCCAGCGAGACCGCGAACCCACCAGAACAAAGAAACTCCGGACACATCATCTTTAAGAACTCACTGGGAGAGTCTGCGGCTTCATTCCTGAAGTCAGCGAGACCAAGAACCCACCAATTCTGGACACAATTGGATACTATAATCGATAAAGGTTTGCATCTTCTCTTTTTATTGATTCGACAGTAAAATGTTCAGGGAATCTTTGGTGGGCTCTTTGCTTTTTTCCAGTCTCTTGCTCTCACTTCTCAGAATGCTGATATCTAAAAGTTTTTAATTTTAACTTTGAAAGAAAAATTTCTTACCCTCTTCTGCTTTCCTCCTTCTCATTTGTATTTCCCCTAGCTTGGCCTTCAGAAATTCCCAGTCTTGCAAAGGCAAGAGGGAAACACAGCAAGGAGCAAGGTTGTCTGCTGAATATTTGCCAAGAGGAAGTTTGGGGAAATGCCACATGCATAGTAATTCCAAGTAGTATGATGTCTCTTCCTGTAACTCTTCAGATTCTCAATCCGGTCTCCTGAGAAAGACAGTAAGTAGTGCTAGTGCTTTGTTTCTTTATGTGTGAGATTTAGAACTTCATACTCAACTGCAGTTAAGAGTCATTTACAATTCCACAGCAATCTATAATTGTTCCCTTTTCTCTGTAAACTCCAACATTTTCTTTGTCTTGATAATAATTTTTCTAACTGGAGTGAGGTAGTATGTCATTGTGGCTTTTATTTGCATTTCCCTGGTGATCAGTGATGCTGAGCCTTTTTTCATGTACCTGTTGGCCATTTGTATGTCTTATTTTGTGACATGCCTATTAGAGTCTTTTGGCCATTTTTTGTGTTGGGTTATTTGTTTTTTTGCTGTTCTTTATATATTCTGGATATTAACCCCTTGTCAGATGTACAGTTTACAAATATATTCTCCCATTCTGTCGGTGTTTCTTCAGTCTGTAAGTATGGCAGTGCGAAAGCTTTCTAGATTGGTGTGCCATTTGTCTATTTTTACTTTTGTTGGCAGTGCTTTTGAGTCTTATTTAAAAAATGCTTACTTGACCAATGTCCTGACGTTCTCCTCCAATGTTTTCTTCTAGTAGTTTTATAGTTTAGGCTCCTAGTCTGAGGCAAGGCAGGTGCACAAACTCCCCACTACTCTCCAAACTAGATTTATGGCCTGTGAGGCCTGGAGAACTCTCCTGCCGCAAGGACTTCCGGCGTGTGTGGCCACAATGAAGACCACTAGGCATCTTCAGTTTACCTTTTTCCCATAAGATAAAGTACCCCGACTCCAAATTGATCCTGGCAGGGAGACAAAGTGGCAGAGGCAGTGTGCGTTGCTCCTCTCTCTGTGGTGCAATGCTAGGCTTCCATGCTCTATAGGGCTTTCACCACTTCCCTGGTGCTCTCCAATGTATTTCCTCAGTCTCTCTACTCAAAATATAGGTGTTGATTTTTAGTTTTTATTCCTTTTTGTGAGGGGGGAATAAGTGCCATGTACTTCTAGTTGGTCATCTTGCTGATATCATTCTGATTACTTACTGCTCTTAACTTGAGTTGAAATTTAGTTCTTGAACTATTCAGATTTAATCAAGACTACTTTCTGGCAGTGTATGGGAGAACTAGAAAGTTTCTGTTTGTTACTGTGTTCATGGGTATTCTTCCAGTGATTCTGTTTTCATTTCAATAAGGCAACAAGTCTGGTAAATACGGCAAAGGATAATAGCTTCCATTCTGAAATTGTATGCTAGATTTTATTCTAATGTCAAATATTCCACTTGCTTACAATAAAATACAACTCACTAAAGAGACACTTTTAAGTTTTACTTTTTGGAAAATTGGAGAAAACTTGACTCCTGTCTTTCTCCCTCTGCTTCAGCCCTTTCTCTGACTCTCTTCCTCCTTTTAATTCATGACGAGGTTGCTATAGTAACAGATTATAATCAATTGTTTTACACAAGGTAAGTGCCTATTAATTATCTGAATAAATGAATTTCTATATTTTGCTTATTTAACCAGTTTTTCTTAATGTCGTAATAAATGCTAGGTCAATCACATTTACTTATTGAACATTTATGTTTAATAAGTTTAAACATAAGTTTTATAAGCTTATAAACATAATATGCAAGACATTCTAGTACTAAAATGCAAGTAGAAAATCATTTCACTAAGTGATTATAGTACTGTAGATGACTCAGTAAAACTTACATACAATCATCAATAATGTGGCATTGTATATAGATATTTGAAAATTAATAGAAAAGAAGTTATATGAGCACAATGATTGAAACAATGCATTTTGAACTATCTGGACTGAACAGAATGAAAGAGAAAAGACTTGAACATGGTTAATAGCAGTTATTTTTCTAACCTTTGATAAAATAAGTTAGCCAAATACAATTAGGGGTGCATATGTGACGGTTTCAGTGAAGTAATTTGTTCAAGCAAGGGTAGACCGCTTACACACTCCAACCCATGGCAGTTGCTTTCTTTATAACCTACTTAACCAATTGAAAGTCATAGTCACATATTTTTAGCTTAATCAGGAAACATCCTGACAATTAGAAATTAGTATAGTTCTCTTTAAAATACTATCTACTGTTCAAATCCAGGCTCAAATATGAATCACTCATTAACTATTGCTCTCTCTCTGAACACCCATAGTGTTTCATTAGTTATATATCTGTGCTTGCTTAGATTATTTGTGTATTTGGCATAGCTATTATTATTATGAATGTTTACAGTACCCAATCTTTGTGTAATGTTCAAAACAGCAGAGACAATTGGGTCGCACTTACTGAATGCAGCTTGCAGATATGTTTTGTTGGTCCACATCACATTTGTTCATATTGAATCAATAGCCATCCTTTTGAAAAGATAATATTTATGTAAACATTCAGATTTCTAGTAAGTTTAAGAAGTTGGATAATCTGGCAACAAAGGGTTGTCATTGTCATTAAGGGAATTTTTTCACTACAATATTTGGTCAAAGATGGTGATATGGTTTGGCTCTGTGTCCCCACCCAAATCTCATGTCAAATTGTAATTCCTAGTGTTAGGGAGGGTCTGGGTGGGAGGTGATTGGATCGTGGGTGTGGATTTCCCTCTTGCTGTTCTCATGATTGAGAGTGAGATTTCATAAGATCTGGTTTCTTAAAAGCATGTAGTAACTTCTCCCTTTGCTAAATGATTATAATACAGTAAACGATTGAAGAAAACTTACGTACAACAATTAATAAGATGTGGTTGTATATAGGTGTCTGAAAGTTAAAAGAAGTTATAATAGAAAAGAAGTTCTCTCATGCTTTACATGGTAAGACATGCTTGCTTCCCCTTCACCTTCCACCATGATTGTAAGTATCCTGAGACCTCCTGGCCATGCTTCCTGTATAGCTTGTAGAACTATGAGTCAATTAAGCTTCTTTTCTTCATATATTACCTAGTCCTGGGTAGTTCTTTATAGCAGTGTGACAATGGACTTAACACAGAAAATAGGTACCAGAGAAATGGGATATTTCCATGGGACATTGCTAAAGATACCTGAAAACGTGGAAGCGACTTTGGAACTGGGTAACAGGCAGACGTCTGAACAGTCTGGAGGGCTCAGAAGAAGACAGGAAGATGAGGGAAAGTTGAAAACTTCCTAGAGACTTGTTGAATGGTTGTGACCAAAATGTTGATAGTGATACAGACAGTGAAGTGGCTGAGGAGGTCTCAGATGAAGGTAAGAAGCTTACTGAGAACCAGAATAGAGGTCCGTCACTCTTGCTATACTTTAGCAAAGAGCTTAGAGGCATTGTGCCCCTGCTCTAGAAATCTGTGAAATTTTAAACTTCAGAGAGATGATTTAAGGTATCTGATGGAAGAAATTTCTAAGCAGCAAAGCACTCAAGAAATAGCCTGCTGCTTCTAAAAGCCTATGTTCATTTGCCCAAAAAAAGAAATGACCTGAAACTAGAACTTATATTTAAAAGGGAATTAGAGCATAAAAATTTGGAAAATTTGAAGCCTGACCATGTGGTAGAAAAGAAAAACCCATTTTCTGGGGAGAGGAATTCAAGACTGCAGAAATTTGCATAAGTAAAGGAGAACTGAATGTTAATAGCCAAGACAATGGGGCAAATGCCTCCAGGGCATTTCAGAGACTGTCACAGCAGTCCCTCCCATCACAGACCTAGAGATATAGGAGGGAAAAATGATTTTGTGTGTTCACTGCTTTGTGTGGCCTTGGGACATGGTGCCCTGCATCCCAGCCACTCCAGTTCCAGATGTGGCTGAAAGAGTGCAAGCCCCAAGCCCTGGGAGCTTCCAAGTGGTGTTGGGCCTGTGGGTGTGCAGAAAGCAAGAGTTGAGGTTTGGGAGCCTCCACCTAGATTTCAGAGGATGTATGGAAACACCTGGATGTCTAAACAGAAGTCTCCTGCAGGGCTGGAGCCCTCATGGAGAACCTCTGCTTGGGCAGTGTGAAGGGAAAATGTGGGGTTGGAGCCACCACACAGAGTTCCACTGGGGCACTGCCTAGTGGAGCTGTGAAAAGAAGACAACCATCTTCCAGACCCCAGAATAATAGTTCCACAGACAGCTTGCACCATGCACCTGAAAAAGCTGAAGGCACTCAATACTAGCCTGTGAAAAGAGCTATGGGGCTGTATGCTGCAGAGTCACAGGAGTGGGGGTGCCCACAGCATTGAGAACCCACTCTTTGCACCAGTGTGACTTGGATGTGAGACATGGAGTCAAAGGAGCTTGTTTTGGAGCTTTAAGATTTATTGACTGCCCTACTAGGTTTTAGAATTGAGTGGGACCTGTAGTCCCTTTGTCTTGGCCAATTTCTCCCATTTGGAATGGGAGCACTTACCCAATGCCTGTACCCCCATTGTATCTTGAAAATAACTAAGTTATTTTGATTTTATAGGCTCATAGGCAGAAGGGACTTTCCTTGTCTCAGATGAGACTTTGGATTTGGACTTTTGAGCTAATGCTATAATGAGTTAAGATTTTGAGGGACTGTTGGGAAGGCATAATTGTATTTTGAAATGTGAGAAGAAAATGAGATTCAGGAGGGACCGGGGGTAGAATAATATGATTTGACTCTGGGTCCTCACTCAAATCTCATGTCAAATTGTAATTCCCAATGTTGAGAAGGAGCCTGGTGGGAGGTGATTGGGTCATGAGGATGGATTTCCTCCTTGCTGTTCTCATGATAGTGAGATAGTGAGTTCTTATGAGATCTGGTTGTTTAAAAGTGTGTAGCACTTTCCCCTTTGCTGTCTCTCACCTGAGTCACTGTGGTTAAGATGTGCCTTCTTCCCCTTCACCTTCCACCATGATTGTCAGTTTCCCGAGGCCTCCCAAGCGATGCTTCCTGTATAGCCTGCAGATCTGTGAGTCAGTTAAACCTCTTTCCTTTATAAATTATCCAGACTCAGGTAGTTCTTTATAGCAGTGTGAGAATGAACTAATACAGCTGGGTAGTAGCTGTCACATTTTGTCCCCCTTCAGATGATGTGCCAACTCTCTGCAGTTTGTATTCTGCCTACTTCAAACATTTATGATACTTGTCTAGCAATTGCAAGAATTAGAGTTTAAAATCTTTGATTTTCAGTGATCAAATTTTATTCTCATTTGATCACTGCAAATAGCTGTGGGATATAGAGGGTAGGTATTCAATAGATAAGAAAATTGAAGACCTGGGGGTAAACTAAATTATCTAAGTTCAAATAATTAGTCAACAATACATAATGTTTTTTATCTTCACCTTCCAGTTTTTCTACTCAATGATACTGTATCTATGAAAAAAAATAATTATTTCTAAAGTCTTCAAATTACAATTGAAATAAAAATTGGGACATTTGGTTAATTTTGAAGATTAAAAAAATAGCTTTGTCAATATCTATAAAAATGCATGCTTGGATTTTGATTGAGAAGGACTTAAATCTATAGATCACTTTAGGAAGAGCTTTTTAACAATAATGAATCTTCCAGTTAATAAGCATAGTATATATTTTAGTTTAATTTGTCATAAAAATATTGTTTAATATTCAGCATCTTGGTCTTTTTTTTGTTAAATTTATTCCTAAGAATTTCATTATTTATGATATTTTAAATATTATTTTATTGTAATTATCAATTGTTTATTGCTTACAGAAACAGTAGATTTTGTACTTTACCTTGCAAACTTAACACTTTCACATAATTAGTTCTAGTATCCTTTTTGGTAGATTTTAAATAATATTTTGAATATATAATTATGTCATCTATGAATAAAGATAATCTTTTTTCTAATCCTTATGTATATTATTTTTTTTTTGTTGTTATAGCACTGGCTAGTACAACATTAATAGAATGGTGGCAGAGACTATCCTTACTTTGTTTCTGATGTTAACAGGACAGCATTTAGCCTTTCACCATAAAGTATTATGACAAATGTAGGTTTTTCATAGATTCCCTGTATCAGGTTGATAAAGTTCACCTTCAGTCCTAGTTTGATGAGGGTTTAAAGCTTTATATGAATGGGCCTGGACCCTCATTTATTACTGATATAATCCCTACTTCTAAAGAGATGGTTTCTGACGGGTGTACCGGTGACCCATGTATTAGGAGGTTTTTCCTCTCTGCCTCATGGGAACTATTCCTATTTTTGTATTTATTGTTTATTGTTTTTTTAATTGGCTCTTCCCTGGCTTCAGAAAGTTTCTTTTTAACTTGTTTAATTTTTAATTTTTGTGGGTACATAGTAGGTGTATATATTTATGGTGGTACATGAGATGTTTTGAAATAGGCATGCAATGCATAATAATCATATTGTGAAGAATGGCATATTTATCCTGTCATTTGTCCTTTGTATTACAAACAATCCAGTTACACTCTTCTAGTTATTTTAAAATGTACAGTTGTTATTATTGACTATATTCATTCTGTTGTGCTATCAAATAGGTCTTATTCATCTTTTGATTTTTTAGAATTATTAACCATCCCCACCTCCCCTTCACTACCCTTCCCAGCCTCTGTAAGCATCCTTCTATCTTTGTGTCTATGAGTTTAATTGTTTTGATTTTTAGATCCCACACCCTTCCCAGTCTCTGGTAACCATCCTTCTATCCTCTGTGTCTATGAGTTTAATTGTTTTGATTTTTAGATCCCATAAATACATGAGAATATGCAATGTTTGTCTTTCTGTGCTAGGCTTATTTCACTTAACATAATAATCTCTAGTTCCATCCATGTTGTTGGAATTGATATGATCTTGTCATTTTTTATGGCTGAGTGTACTCCATTGTGTATATGTATATTTTCTTTATCCAATTATCTGTTGATGGACACTTAGGTTGGGTCAAAATATTAGCTATTATGAACAGTACTGCTACAAGCATGGGAGTACAGATATATTTTTGATACACTAATTTCCTTTCTTTTGGATATATACCCAGCAGTGGGATTGCTTTCTGGGGACCATTTAAAGTGTTCTCCCTAGTAACTGTACTCATTTACATTCCCACCAACAGTGTATGAGGATTCCCTTTTCTCCACATCCTCACTGGCATTTGTTACTCCTATCTTTTGAATATAAGTTATTTTAACTGGGGTGAGATGATACCTAATTTTAGTTTTGATTTGCATTTCTCTGATGATCAGTGATGTTGAGCACATTTTCATATGTCTGTTTGCCATTTGTATGTCTTCTTTGAGAAATACCTGTTCAAATCTTTTGCCCATTTGTGATCAGATTATTGAATTTTTTTCCTATAGAATTGTTTGAGCTCCTTATATATTCTGATTATTAATCCTTTGTCAGATGGTAATAAGGTTTGGTTGTGTCCCCACCCAAATCTCATCTTGAATCGTAGCTCTCATAATTCCCACGTGTTGTGGGAGGGACCCAGTGGGAGATAACTGAATCGTGGAGGCAGTTTTCCCTGTATTGTTCTCATGGTAGTGAATAAGTCTCACGAGATCTGATGGTTTTATAAGGGGAAACCCCTTTCTTTTAGTTCTCATTCTCTCTTATCTGCCACCATGTAAGACACACTTTTCACCATCCACCAGCATTGTGAGGCCTCCCCAGCCACATGGAACTGTGAGTCCATTAAGCCTCTTTTTCTTTATAAATTACCCAGTCTTGAGTATGTCTTTATCATCAGCATGAAAACAGGCTAATACAGATGGGTAGTTTGCAGGTATTTTCTTTCATTCTGTGGATTGTCTCTTCACTTTGTTGATTGTATGCTTTGCTGTGCAGAAGCTTTTAAACTTGATGCAATCTCATTTATCCATTTTTTTGCTTTAGTTGCCTGTGCTTATGGGGTATTTCTCAAGAAATTTTTGCCCAGAACAATATCCTGGAAATTTTTCCCCAATATCTTCTTGTAGTAGTTTCGTAGTTTGAGGCCTTATATTTAAATCTTTAATCCATTTTGATTTGATTTTTGTATATGATGAGAGTTAGGGGTCTAGTTATATTCTTCTGTATATGGATATCTCATTTTCCCAGCACCATTTATTGAAGAGACTGTCTTTTCCACAGTGTATGTTCTAGGTACCTTTGTCAAAAATGAATTCTCTGTAGGTGTGTGGATTTGTTTCTGGTTTCTCTATTCTGTTCTATTGGTCTATGTGTCTGTTTTCATGCCAACACCATGCTGTTTTGGCTATTATAGCTCTGTGGTATAATTTGAAGTCAGATAATGTGCCTTCTCCAGCTTTGTTCTTTTTTCTTAGGATAGCTTTGGCTATTCTGGGTATTTTATGGTTCCATATAAACTTTTGGATTGTTTTTCTATTTCTGTGAAGAATGCCATTGGCATTTTGATAGGGATTGCATTTAATCTATAGATTGCTTTGCCTAGTATGGACGTTTTAACAATATTAATTCTTCCAATCCACGAACATGAAATATTTTTCCATTTTGTGATGTCCTCTGCAATTTATTTCATCAATGTTTTATAATTGTCATTATAGAGATGTTTTATTTATTTAATTAAGTTAATTCCTAGGTATTTAATTTTATGCTTGGCTATTGTAAATGGGCTTACATTTTTTATTTCTTTTTCAGAATGTTCACTTTTGGTGTATATAAATAGTATTAATTTTTTTGTGTTAATTTTGTATCCTGCAACTAAACAATTTATCTGTTTGTTTATTTGTGGAGTCATTAGATTTTTTTCAAATATAAGACTATATCATCTGTAACAAGAGAAATTTGTCTTCTTTCCCAATTTGGATGCACTTTATATCTTTCTCTTGTCTGGTTACTTTAGCTAGGACTTCCAGTACTATGTTGCATAACAGTGATAAACGTGGGCATCATTGTCATGTTCCATATCTTAGAGAAAAGTCTTTCCAGTTTTCCCCATTCAGTATGATGCTAGCTGGGGGTCTGTCATATATGGCTTTTATTATGTTGAGCTATGTTCCTACTATACCCAGTTTTTTGAGGGTTTTAAATAATGAGGAAACGTTGAATTTTATCAAATGCTTTTACAGCATCAATTGAAATGCTCACATTGTTTTCATACTTCATTCTGTTGATATAATGAATCACATTGATCGATTCACATATGTTGAACCATACTTATATCCCAGGGATAAATCCCACTTGGTCATGATGAATGATCTTTCTAATGTATTGTTGAATTCAGTTTGTTAGTATTTTGTTAAGGATTCTTGCATTAATATTTATCAGAGATACTGGCCTGTAGTTTTCTTTTTTTGATGTTTCTTTGTCTGGTTTTGGTTTCAGGATTACACCATACTTGTAGAATGAGTTTAGAAGTATTCTGTCCTCCTCTATTTTTTGGAATAGTTTGAGTAGAATTGGATTAATTTCTCTTTAAATGTTTGGTAAAATTCAGTAGTAAAGCTGTCAGGTCCTGGGCTTTTGTTAGCGGAAGACTTTTTATTATGGCTTCAATCTAGTTACTTGTTATTGGTCTATTCATATTTTGGATTTCTTCATGGTTCAATCCAGGCAGATTGTATGCATGTAGTAATTTGTGCATTTCCTCTAGATTTTCCAATTCATTGGCATATACTTGTTCCTAGTAGCCATTAATGATCCTTTGCATTTCTGCAGTATCATTTGTAATGTTTCCTTTCTCATTTCTGATTTTATTTGTATTTTCTCTCTTTTTCTTAGTCTGGCTAAACTCTTTTTCTTGTTTAACTTTGTTTTGCTTTGTTGATCTTTTGTACTTTTTAAATTTCAACTCTATTTCTGCTCTGACCTTTATTGTTTCTTTTCTTCTACTAGTTTTGAGTTTGGTTTGCTCTTGCTTTTTTCTTAAGATGCATCCTTAGATTGTTTATTTGATGTTTTTTCTTTTTTTATTTTGATGTAGGCACTTAATAGCTATGAACTTCCCTTTTAGTATTGCTTTTGCTGTATTCCATAGGTTTTGGTATGTTGTGTTTCTATTATTATTTTTTTCAAGAAATTTTTCAACTTTCTTCTTAATTTCTTCATTGATCCACTGGTCATTCAGGAGCATATTGTTTAATTTCTATGTATTGGCATAGTTTCCAAAATTCCCCTTGTTTTTAATTTTTAGTTTTATTCCATTGTGTTCAGAGAAAATGCTTGATGTTATTTCAATATTATTGAATGTCTTAAGACTTGTTTTGTGACCTAACACATGGTCTCTTCTTGAGACTGATCATTCTTGGAATGATCCATATGCTGAGGAAAAGAATGTGTATTCTGCAGCTGTTGGTTGAAATGTCTTTAAATGTCTATTAGATTTATGTGGCCAATAGCACAGATTAAGCCTGATTTTTTTTGTTGATTTTCTGTCGGAAAGATCTGTCCAATGTTGAAAGTGGGTTGTTGAAGTATCCAGCTCTTATCATATTGGGACCTATCTCTCTCTTTAGCGCTAATGATATTTGCTTTATGTATCTGGGTGCTTCAGTGTTGGGTGCATATATATTTAAAATGTTATATCCTCCTGCTGAATTTATCCCTTCATCATTATATTGTGGACTTTTTTTTATCTCTTCTTAAAGTTTTAGTCTTGAAGTCTATTTTGTCTGATACAAGTATAGTGACTCCTGCTCTTTTTTGGTTTCCATTGGCTTAGAATATCTTTTAGCATCTTTTTATATTCAATCTATCTACATGTATCTTTATAGGTGAAGTGTGTTTCTTGTAGGCAACAGGTCAGTGGATCTTGTTTTGTCATCTATTCAGCCACTGTGTGTCTTTTGATTGGAGAGTTTAGTTCATTTACATTTAATGTTGTTATTCATGAGTAAAGTCTTACTCTTGCCATTTTGCTATTTGTTTTCTGCTTATTTTGTGATCTTCTCTTCCCTCTTATCTTCCCTTAGTGAAGGTGATTTTTCTCTGAGGATATAATTTAGCTTCTTGCTTTTTATTTTTTGTGTATCCATTGTATGTTTTTTGGTTTGAGGTTACCATGAGGCTTGCAAATACTATCTTATAACTCATTATCTTAACATGATAATAATTTAACACTGTTTTCATAACAAAACAAGCAAAAGGAAAACAAACTCTAACTTAGTGTCCCTGCTTTTTAATTGTTTTTTTAATTCATATCTTATTGTACTGCCTATGTCTTGAAAAGTTGTTTTTATTTTTGATGGATTCATCATTTAGTCTTTATACTTAGGATAAGAGTAGTTTACACACAACAGTTATCATGTTATAATATTCTGTGTTTTTCTATGTACTTACTATTACCAGTGAGTTTTGTACCTTGAGGTGATTTATTATTGCTCATTAATTTTGTTTTCTTTCTGATTGAACAACTCACTTAAGGATTTCTTGTAGGACAGGTCTGATATTGATGAAATCCCTCAGCTTTTGTCTGGGTAAGTCTTTATTTCTTCTTTATGTTTGAGGGATATTTCTGCTAGATATACTATTCTAGGGTAAAAGTTTTTGTTTTTTCCTTCAGCAGTTTAAGTAAGTCATACCACTCTCTCTTGACCTTAAGGTTTTCACTGAAAAGTCTGTTGCTCCATTGTATGTTATTTATTTATATTCTCTCATTTCCTTCAGGATCTTTTCTTTATCCTTGACCTTTGGGAGTTTGATTATTAAGTCCCTTGAGTCAGTCTTCTTTGGGCTAAAGTCTTGGTGTTGTATAACCTTCTTGTATTTGAGTATTGACATCTTTCTCTAGGTTTGGGAAGTTCTCTGTTATTATTCCTTTGAATAAGCTTTCCACTCCATCTCTTTCTCTACCTACTCTTTAAGTCCAATAATTCTTAGATTTGTCCTTTTGAAGCTATTTTCTAGATCCTGCTGGTATTCTTCATTGTTTATTATTTTTTTCTTTTGTCTCCTCTGACTGTGTATTTTCAAAGAGCCTGTATTCAAGTTCATGAATTCTTTCTTCTGCTTGATCAATCCTGCTGTTAAAAGACTGTGATGCATTCTTCATATGCCAATTGCATTTTCCAGTCCCGAATTTCTTCTTGATTATTTTTATTTACTTCAATCTCTTTGTGAAATTTGTCTGATAGAATTCTGAATTCCTTCTCTGTGATTTCTTGAGTTTCTTTGAATTTCCTTAACATAACTGTTCTGTCTGAAAAGTCACACAACTCTGTTTCTCCAGGACTGGTCTCTGGTGCCCTTATTTTGTTCATTTGGTGAGGTCATGTTTTCCTGGATGGTTTTGATGCTAGGAGATGTTCTTTGGTGCCTAGGCATTGAAGAGTTAGGTATTTATTGTATTCTTCACTATCTGAGCTTGTTTTTACCCATCCTTCTTGGGAAGACTTTCCAGATATTTGAAAGGACTTGAGTGTTGTGATCTAAGTGTATTTGCTTTAAGAGGCACCCCAAGTCCAGTAACACCGTGGTTCTTGCAGACTCTTAGAGGTACTGCCTGTATGGTCTTGGACAAGCTCTGGGAGAATTCTCTTTACCAGGCAGAGATTCTTGTTCTCTTCCCTTTCTCTCAAACAAATGGAGTCTCCCTTTCTGTTCTGAGGCATCAAAAGCTGGAGATGGAGTGACACAGCACCCCTGTGGCCACCACCACTATGTGCTGGATGAGACCTGAAGTCAGCATAACAGTGGGTCTCGCCCAAGGCCTGCTGCACCCACTCCCTGGCTACTGTCTATGTTCACTCAAGGCCCTGGGCACTACAATCAGCAGGTGGCAAGGCCAGTCAGGCCTGTGTCCTTCCTTTCAGGACAGTGAGGTCCCCCTGGGCCCTAGGTGGGTCCAGAAGTATTGTCTGGGAGTCAGGAACTGCAGCCTAAAACCTTAGAAGCCTACCTGGTATTCTATTACACTGCAGCTGAGCTGGCACTTAATCCACAAAATGCAGTCCTTCCCACTTCTTCCTCCCCTTTACAAAGGCAAAGAAGGCTCACCCCATAGCCACCACCACCACCACAGGCCACAAAGAGTACTGCCAGACTACTTCTGATGTTCCCTTAAGTCCTAAGGGCTCTTAAGTCAGCCTGTGGTGAATGCCGCCTGATCTGGGACTCACCCTTCAGGGAACCTCCTCTGGCTCAGGGCAGAATGAGAAATGCCATCTAAGAGTCAAGTTTTGGAACTGGGGACCCCAGGAGCCCACTTAATGCTCTATCCTCCTGTGGCCATGCTGGTACCCTGGTACCCAAGAAGCAAGACAAAGTCCCCTTTACTTTTCCCTCTACTTTTCTCAAGCAGAAGGAGTTTTGTCCCATACTTGCCACAGCTGGTAATATACTTAGTCTCCCCTGAAGCCAGCAAGCTTCGGAGGCTCACCCAAGGCCCTTGATGTAGTACTTGGGTATCACTGCTGGTTATTCAGGGCCCAGGGGCTCCTCATCTAGCAGGTGATGAATGCCACCAGGTGGGGGTTCTTTCCTTCAAGGCAGCGGGTTCCACTGTGGCCCAGAGTGTGTCTAGAAATATCATCTGGTAGCTAGGGCCTGGAATGGGGGCCCCATGACACTGAATGGTGCCCTATCCTGCTGTGGCTGAACTGGTATCCAAGAGGCAAGACACAGTCATCCCCACTCTTCCTTCTCTTCTCCTCAAATGGAAGGAAGGGGTGTCTTTTGGAGCTGTGAGCTGTGCAGCCTGGGGTTAGAGGAGGGATGATTCCACTACTCCCTTATCCACTCCAGCTGGTATATCAGTAGGTCGTGTTCCCCAGCCCACCAAGCCACCCACTGTCTCTAGGCCTAGTTCAGTACTAGGATTCATAAGAGCTGCAGTCCTTGTGGCATAGACTGCCTTTCAAGTTTACTTAGAGACACAGGGCACTGTTGCCCTTGGAGGTGAGGTTTGCAAGAACTCAAGTTCTGACTGCTGGGATCTGCGATTCCACTCTGGCTAGGGCTGGTTTAAATGTTCCCTCTGTGGACAGGTGTCAGTGGAGTTTGGTCTTGTTTTTCTTTTTGCTATAATAGGACAGCACTGAGTGCAGTGCCTCACAGTGGCTGTGTTCCCTTCTCCCAACACCCAGAGATGCTCTCCATACCAGGCTTCTGGTACTGCCAGGGCCAGGGGAGGGGTTGTGTTGGTGATTCAGGACTGTTTTGTCTATTTC
The DNA here is from genome assembly GCF_000001405.40 of Homo sapiens. Taxonomy (NCBI): domain Eukaryota; kingdom Metazoa; phylum Chordata; class Mammalia; order Primates; family Hominidae; genus Homo; species Homo sapiens. The sequence continues at coordinate 215,379,608 of NC_000001.11, read as the reverse complement.
TTCAATGCCTTTTTCAGTGATATAAAGTTAAAACCAAGTACTATGTGTGCTCACCTGATTTTTTGGTTCTTAGTGAAGGTATTTTTGTGTGTTTGTATGTAGATAGTTGCTAAATTGGCGTCCTTGCAAGGGGACATTCAGTGGAGCCTTCTATTCCACCATCTTGCTCTGCTTCTTCCCACAATGTTTCTTTTAAAGTATTTTCAGATCACTACTCAGACAAAAGACCTGAAGGAATACTTGTGGAGATCACTGGAGCTATACCTCTCTGTGGCTTCCTTCTCTCTGATAGCCTGCCCATACATTCTATTAAACCTGAGCTCCTTGAATTCTGACCTCTATCAGAAACTCAGCAGGATGGCCAAGCTCTATTTGGCAATCCCAAGTGTTGGACTCTCAGTGCTGCTGCCAGGAAAGCACCTCTAGGCAGGAAGCTACGTCAATCATAGGGCTTACTTTGTTTCCCTTTCCTTAGAGATTATAATCCAATGCTACCTGCTATATAGTGTATTAAAATTCTTATTTATTTAATTTTTCCAGTTTATGGAGAAGAAGGTAAATCCATTAGCTGTTACTCCAATATGGCCAGAAGTTAGCTTGATTCAATTTCAAGGCAGAATTATAGTAATAGTTTAGCAACTTAAACTGCTTATGTATGTTTGCAATTTTTCTAATATTCTTTGTAAGACTACTTTGTTTTGGCTTGAGATATTACCAACCCAATGTTGTTAGAGGGACTGGCTTATTACTTGGTCCACAAAAATGAATTAAAACTTTGAAAATGGATTAAGAAACTGTAGTTTCTCCCTCTAATATCAGGGAGTGTAGGATATTCCCCAAATTTTAAAAACAGGTGATTATTTTCTAAGAGATCTACATTATTATATCTAGTTGCCTGGTATAAACCTATATGAGCTAATCTTTCATTTGATTGTGTAAAAAGGAATCAGAATGCACTATATGAGAGCTCTCAAACCAGCCTGTGTGGCTTTTTGAAATTCTGATTATTGTAACAACTTTTCATTGTGGTGAGACATAAATATATAGTTCTTTATTTGTATTTGACCTATGAAAGTCATTCCTATAGAATATTAACATAAAATAGTGGGTCAGATAAATTTATCTTTGGTTAATTTTGATTAACTACTCCCTTGTAATTAAAGCACTGAATAAAATACTAAAACTTTGTCTTAATTGTTGTTTTGGGTAAAAGTAATTCTTTAGCATGAATTTTTAATTAGATTTCCCAGAAAAGAGTTTGATTATAGAGTATGTTACTCTGTGTGAATAGGACATAGCATAAAGCTGGGAAGTAGGAACAGGAATGGGAAGATGGCAGAGAGGGAAAAACCTTCTCTCTCTTCTTTTTTAGGTTTCAATATTATGTTCAAGTTTTATTTTAAGTAATGTCAATTGCAACATTTGAAGGGGAGGATTTAATTCCACAAAAAATGGAAGACTTTAAAATATACCCATTAAACTACTAAAAAATAAATGGAGTGGTGACAATACAACAGAAATTCAATTTAGATTCTGAGTATTGTTACCATGTGATTAAAATCACACAGACTCTTCCAAGCTTATAGCTGGAGCTCCTGGAAGCTATTTCATATTCTGGTGCAAGGGCAAAAAACCACAACACGAGAAGGAATTAAGTCCTGAATTACTGGCTTCATCACATTCATCCTCTCTACTCCTAAATGGCCAAAATAAACAGTTACCACATCCTGCAGACCTTTTGGTGTAAAAGAGGTGATGATGAACTGAGATGGGGAAAGGGTCATGAATATCTGTCTAAAAAAGTCCCTTTCAGGTGAGTTCGTACACACCATCAACCAATGAGCCTCTCATCTATTAGGGTTAAGAAACCAAGGTTTGCTTCTTAGGAAACCATAATTTTATTCATTTACTCACTATGAATTTACAAAGTGCCTCTATATTGTCAGCTTCCATTTGCAAACATTTCTACATAAAAAATAAATCTGGCATTTCTACAAAAGCCAAGTTCCCTCCAATTCTGCAGCCGAAAAGACCTTCTTTTGGAATTGAGTTTCTTCTGTACCTTTGAAAGGGTAATACCTTAAAGCTGAATCATTTTTAATCCAGAGGCCTAAGATGATATTTAGCAATACCTGCATCCCAGAAATATGACATTAAAAGATACATTAAATTATGAAGATACTTATGCTGCAAAACAATTTTAAATTAGACAACTATACAGCATGCACTTACACTTGAAATTCCAGTCTTAGATCAAGCTTGTGAGCCTGAACGTTCTTACCATACAGGAAAGCTGACAGTGTCAGTCTGATACCTGGCTTTAGGGTCTGAATATATCCTAAACCTAACAGGCTGAAGTTGTTCAGTTTATCCAAAAAGCAAGCATCAGGGTTGATCTGATACTTGGCTGCTATTTCAAAGCAAGTTTTACATTTTTCTGCTGTCCAGCCAAGATTCACAGTGCTCTCAACTTCCTTTTCATTTTCTGGTAAATGGAGCCACCAAACACTATCCCGTCATTCACATTAGTGTGAAGCTGGAATTCATCAGTCTTCTAGCTAACCACAAAGTTGCTCTGGGTCCCTTGGGACTTTGCAGTCTCAAAATTCATCTGGTAGCCAGCCAGCCAACCCTTGTACACAGCACCAGAAAGCCTCTGATTGAAGGCTCAGCAATTTCAAAATGCATGTCACAGCTCAGGTTGATGTGCTACCACAAATATTCTGTCTTGATTTTAGCATTTTTGTCTCCAGGTTAGGAAGAGTCAAAGGTCAGCTTTACTTTTTCTTCCCCAGTGAGTAGGATGAATCAAAGGTCAGCTTCAGTCCATGTGTGTTATTCTTCATGGTAATCTCAGTGCCTAGTGTATTGTCAGTGTTCCATTTCTCTGTAAACATCAGGCCATGGTCTGTCTGTCTGTACTTGGTTTCCAGACTGCCCTTCACTTTGGTGGTCTCGGTGTTGACTGAAGCTGAGCTTGTAAATTCCAATCCATTCTCAGAATTTTCTTTCAAATCAAGCTTTATTAGGCCAAATCCATAGCCCTTGGTGAAAACATCCCTGGCAGGTTTGTCAAGATCAGCACATGTGGGCAGCACAGCCATCTTCTGCTCAGAGGTGATAGCCACGTGAGCTCAGAGGAAGCTACCACATGAATTGTGGTGCAGAGGTAGTAGTGGAGCCAGCAGTGGGGCCAAGGGTGGAATGGCACTGAGAAGGAAAGACTTTCAAAAAGCCGAAGAAAAGTTGAGTGAAGATACTGAAGTTTGACTAGTGTTGTGGGTTGAATTGTGCCCCACTCCTAAAAAATATGTTGAAGGCTGCTATGGTTTTAATGTGTCCCCAAAAAGTTTATGTGTTGGAAACTTAATCCCCGTTGAGATAGTATTGAGACATGGAGCATAACAAGAGGTCATTTGGTCATGAGGATGAAGCCCTCAAGAATGGATAAATGTCATTATCATGGGAGTGGATTAGTTATCATGAGACTGAGTTGTTATAAAGTGAGTCTGGCCCTTGGTGTCTCTCTCTGTCTTGCACCCTCACTCACCAATGATGCCTTCCGCCATGGCATGACCCTTTCCAGGTGCTGGCACCATGCTCCAGGACTTCCCTCTCCCATTCTGTGAAAAAAAATTTCTTTTTAAATAAATTTCTCAGTTTGTGATATTCCATTACAGCAGCAGAAAATGGACTAAGACAGATAATTCGTACTGGGAGGAGAGATATTGCTATAATAATAACTGATAATGTGGAAGTGGCTTTGGAACTGTGTAATGAGCAGAGGTTGGAAGAATTTGAAAGAGCAGATTAGAAGAATCCTAGATTGCCATTAATGGAGCATTAGGGGTAATTCTTGTGAGGACTGTGAAGAAGACAAGAAGTGCCAGGAAAGTCTAGAATTCCTTAGAGATCACTCAAGTGGTCATGATTAGAATGTTGATAGAAATATGGTCAGTAAAGGATATTCTGATGAAGTCTCAGACAGAAATAAGGAATACCTTATCAGAAACTGGAGTAAAGGCCATCCTTACTATAAAGTAGCAAAGAACTTGGCTGAACTGTGTTCATGCCTGGAGGCTTAATGAAAGGTGGAATTTAAGAGTAATGAGCTAGCATATCTAGCAAAAGAAATATCTAAGCAATGAAGGATTCAGTCTGTGTGTCTACTTTTCATCACTTACAGTAAGATGTAAGAGGAAAGAAATGACTTATAGATGGAATTTATAATCTAAAAGAAAATACAACAGAAAGATTTGGAAAACTCAGTCTGTGTTAGAGAATGAAAGAATTTTCAGGAGAGAAAACCAAAGTCATGGCCCCACAACGATTTGCTAAGGAGATTAGTACTAATACAGGGATTATCAAGATAATGGTAAAAAGACATTGCAGGCATTTCAGATACCTTCAAAGTTTTCCCTTCTATCACAGGCCCAGGCTCTAGAGGAGCAGAATTGTTTAGGGGACTTGCTTCCCAGATCCACTTCAGGTCTCTGCTCCCTGCATTCTGGCACAGCACTCTTCACCTGCCCCAGCCATGGATTAAGTGGCCCCATGTGCAGCTCAACCTGCCACTTCAGAACATACAAGCCAGAAACCTTGACAGCATCCATGTGGTGCTAATTCTGCATATGCACAGAATGCAACAGCTATAGGGACATGGGTTCCTCCATGTAGATTTCAAAGGATGTCACAGAGAGCCTAAGGGCCCAGCTAGAAAACTGTTTCAGGAGCAGAGCTGCGGCAGAGGTTCCCTACGAGGACAAATCGTAGTGAGACCATGGAAGTGGGGCCACTCCGAAGACCAAAGAACTGTAGGGGTCTCAGCATGCAACTCTAGCCTGGGAAAGCTGCAGCCGTGAGACTCCAATGCAAGAGCACTGAAGCGTGGAATGAGACCAGCACAGCCATAGTGTAGGGCTGTCTGAAGCTTTGGGGGCTCAACTCCCTCCTCAACCCAGGGTGTCCAGCAAGATGAATGTAGAGTCAAGGAAGATTATTCTGGAACCTTCAGATTTAGTGTTGTTTGACCTGTTGTGTTTTAGACTTACTTGGGATCAGTTACCCCTCTTTTCTAACCTATTTCTCCCTTATGGAATGGGAATGTCTACACTATGCCTGTCCCATCATTGTATTTTAGAATCAAGTACACTGTTTTGATTTTACAGGCTCAAAGCTGGAGGAATTTGCATCAGGATGAATTGCACTTAGAGTCTCAGCCATGTCTGATTTAAAATGAGATTCTGGACTTTAGAATTTTGAGTTAATGCTGAAATGAGTTAAGCCTTTTGAGACCATAGGGATGGATTGATTGTATTTTGCACTGTGAGAAGGACATGAAGTTTGAAGCCAGAGTGGAATGCTATGGTTTAAATATGTTCCCCCAAAAGCTTATGCATTGGAAACTTAATCCCTTAGGAAGTAGTATTGGGAGGTGGAACCTAATAATATTGATTAGGTCATGAGGAAAAAGCCCTAAAGAATGAATTAATGTCATTAAAGTGGGAACAGGTTAGTTATCATGAGAGTGTGTTGTTACATGGATTAAGTAACAGGATAAGTAATAGGATAATAAGTAATTAAGTAATAGGATAGGAGTATTCTCTTTTCTCATATCCATGTGATGCTTTCTGCATGGGATGACTCTCACATTGTGCTGGTGTCATCATGCTCCTGGACTTTCTAGCTTCTCAAAACAGAAATAAATTTCTTTTCCTTACAAATTGCCCAGTCTATGGTATTCTGTTAGAGCAGCAGAAAATGAACTAAGACAAAGTTCTAACCCCTGGTAATTAACTTAATGTAACCTTATTTGGAAATAGGGTCTTTGTGGGCCTTTAATCCAACCAGACTAATGTCCTGGTATGAAGAAAGGAGTGGACAAAGCAGACGCACAAGGAAGATGTCATGTAACAATGGAGGTAGAGATGAAGGTAATGCATCTACAAGCCAAGGAACACCAAGGACCAACACCATCACTAGAAACTAGGAACATGCAAGGAAGGTCTTCTGCCACAGCCTTCAGAGAGAACGTGCCCCTGCCGACACCTTGACTTTGAACTTCTTTTAGCCTGCAGAACAGTGAGATAATAAATCTCTGTTGTTTAAGCCACCTGGTTTGTGGTGCATTGTTATGTAAACCCTAGAGAAAAGGATATAGTACCAACATTATAGGTCCAAGAATAAGAATTTAGAAGTATTCATATATGTGTGTGTATATGTGTGTGTGTATATATATATACACACATACTATATAGAGATATACTATATAGAGTACTATATAGAGATATACTATATAGAGTACTATAGAGTACTATAGAGAGTACTATATAGAGAGTACTGTATAGAGTACTATATAGAGATATACATACACATGTGTGTGTATATACACACATATGTATGTGTGTGTGTATATATATATATGGCACGTAGCATTGTGCCTGGCAAATAGTAAGCATTTATTAAATGCTAGCAAATATTAGCTTGAAGGGAGAAAACAATCAATGGTAAATCTGACTTTAAAATATGCCAAATACAGACCCTGATAATTATAATACTGAAGGCATAGCATTAGGGTAATATGTAATAAGTGATTAGTAAGTTCCTTCTTAACAAGTCTTTTTGGACAGTCAGTTCAGAGATATATATAAAAAAAAAACAATGAACCTATCTAGCTATCCATCCTTTCATATAATGATTTGTTTGGAAAACCAATTTCAATGGTTTGTGAAATGCAAACTAAGTGTAACCATTTAGCACTTATTTTTTGCCTGTTCCAAAAATTTTTTATGTTAATCTTTTATGAATCCGAAGTTACTTTTTTATCTTTTTTCAAAAATGTTCTGCAAGGCCTTTAAAAATGGCATAAAATGCCCTGTTCTTCATGCCTTACAATAGAGCAAGTTTGGCAATATCAAAAATAACTGGACCACATGTTTCTCTGGAAGCCCAGGTATACTTTATTTAAAAAGAAGTCAGAGAGAGAAAATTACAATGCTTTTTTTCTTTTCAGGCCTGACATCCAGAATAAGAAGACTTTTTCATCCAGAATTGTATTCTGGCATAATAGTAGCTGACAGGTGAAAGCAAAAGATACTAGAGAAGTAGTGCTATAGTGGAGTACTATATTGAGATAATAGAGAAGAAATGAAGTGGTATATAGAGACACCAGAGAAGAAGTGCTATAGTGGAGTACTATATAGAGATACCACAGAAAAAGTACTATAGTGAAGTACTATATAGAGATACTAAAGAAGTGCTATAGTGGAGTACTATATAGAGATACTAGAGAAGAAGTGCTATAGTGGAGTACTGTATAGAGATACTAGAGAAGTGCTATAGTGGAGTACTATATAGAGATACTAGAGAAGAAGTGCTACAGTGGAGTACTATATCGAAATACTAGAGAAGAAGTGCTATAGTGGAGTATTATGTAGAGATACTAGAGAAGAAGTGCTATAGTGGAGTATTATGTAGAGATACTAGAGAAGAAGTGCTATAGTGGAGTATTATGTAGAGATAGTAGAGAAGAAGTGCTATACTATATAGAGGTACTAGAGAGGAAGTGCTATAGTGGAGTACTATATAGAGGTACTAGAGAAGAACTGCTACAGTGGAGTACTGTAAGAGTGGTGAAGAAGATTCACAATCTCCCGGTTTTAAGGAGCTAGTGGGATAAACTGGATATGTAAATAAACTATTACAATAGAATGTGATAAGTGCACATGTGATAAACTATTACAATAGAATGTGATAAGAAAGTATAATAAATGCACTTGTGAGGAACTCTGAAGCTTACAGGAGCGGCATAAAAGCCAGACTTGAGAGAATCAGTAAAGATTTTCTATAAACATGTCATTAGACTGATATCTTAAAGAATGTTATTAAGTTAATACCTGAAAGAAATACTTACAGGGAGTCAGACAAGAGGGAGAGTTTTCCTGGCAGAGAAAATAACATGTATGAGGACTTGGAGATGAGAGAGAGATTGGTGGATCTGAGAAAAAATGGGTTAATATTGGCTGCAATGTAGATTATAAGGCATAGTGACTTGAATGATCATGTAAAGATGATAGGTAGTCAAATATTATGAAGAATCTTAAGCACTATATTAAGGAGTTGGAATTTTATCCCAGGGGTGAGAAGGAGCCATTTTATGATTTTAGGCAGGTAAGTGATATGATTAGTTCTGAATTTTAGAAAATGTACTTTTGCTACTGTGGGGAAAATAAACTGAAGGGGGCTAAGATGACAATGAAATATGAGAAACAGAGATGAGTCTGATGGAGCAGTAGAGGAGAGTCACGGTAATGACTTTAATTAGGGTAGAGTTCATCATTAAAGAGGCAATGAATGGATTTGAGAAACACTTAAGATGTAGAATTAACTGAATTTGTATGTAGGCAGTGAGGCATAAAATTCAGAGATGGGGAAAATTAACTTTAGATAGGAAGACAAGCAATTCTAATATAAAACACAGAATGGGTATGGATTGAACTAACTTTGAAAGTAATTGGCCTAATATCCAGAATTTACAAGGAACTTACACGTATTTACAAGAAAAAAACAACCCCATCAAAAAGTGGTCAAAGGATATGAACAGACACTTCTCAAAAGAAGATATTTACGCAGCCAACACACATGAAATAAAGCTCAACATCATTGATCATCAGAGAAATGCAAGTCAAAACCACAATGAGATACCATCTCACACCAGTCAGAATGTCGATTTTTAAAAAGTCAGGAAACAATAGATGCTGGTGAGGCTGTGGAGAGATAGGAACACTTTTACACTGTTGGTGGGAATGTAAATTAGTTCAACCATTGTAGAAGACAGTGTGGCGATTCCTCAAGGATCTAGAACCAGAAATAGCATTTGACCCAGCAATCCCATTACTGGGCATATACCCAGATGAATATAAATCATTCTACTATAAAGACACATGCACACATTTGTTTACTGCAGCATTATTTACAATAGCAAAGATATGGAACCAACCCAAATGCCCATCAGTGTTAGGCTGGATAAAGAAAATGTGGTATATATACACCATGGAATACTATGCAGCCATAAAAAGGAATGGGATCATGTTCTTTGCAGGGACATGGATGAAGCTGGAAGCCATCATCCTCAGCAAACTAATGCAGGAACAGAAAACCAAACAATGCATGTTCTCACTCATAAGTGGGAGTTGAACATTGAGAACACGTGGACATAGAGAGGGGAACAGCACACACCAGGGCCTGTTGGGGTGTGAGCAGGGGGGGAAGGGAACTTAGAGGATGGGTCAATAGGTGCAGCAAACCACTATGGCACACGTGTACCTATGTAACAAACCTGCATGTTCTGCACATGTATCCTGTTTTTTTTTTTTCTTTTTTTTAAGAGAAAATAAAGTAATTGGAAGCTGGGTATGTTCCCATCTATAGACTTCTGTTTTCTCTGGAAAGTAGGAGACAAAGGTATTGGCTGAGAGTGAGGGAAAAATGGTCAGATCTAGGGCTTGAGATAGAGAAAAATTGAAAATAGTGAAGAATGAGAATATTGAGAGCTGAAAAGTTAAACATAAAAAATTTCAAGGAATACTTGAATGTCCAGTTTAGACTGTTTATCATTAACTTGTGATAGCACCTGTGTGTGTGTGCACTTGGGTGTGTAGTAGTAGTAGTGGTGGTAGTAGTAGTCATCGTATTTAACTACATAGGTTTGGAAAAGGCAGATACTTTGATTTACTTAGAGTTTGCTATACAGAAGAATAGTTGATCAAGAGATTTGAGTATTAATAAGAGATTTGTATAATGATGAACCAACTAGTACAAACTAATCAAGACAGAAAATGAAGACAAGAAGAGAAAGACGGGTCTAATGACTGCAGATATCTGTGCAAAACCTAAACTATGTAAGTGAAATGAAAGAAGCACAGAAATGTAATAAAAAATGAAGAAGATTGTAGAACTGGAAAGCTCTAGTTAATGAATAAGTCCAGGGCATAGCCCATAAATTTCTCTGGATGTCTAATGAAGAGGTAAAAGTCCCTGGAAATATAAAAGTGAATAAACTTGGAGGCCAGAGTACTGGACGGATCAAGAGGGAGTTTAAAATCACTGGAATTGTGGTAAGACTTGGGGATGGAGAAGAAAATCTTGAGTCAAATAGTAAAGCCTTTATATAGAAAAAGGAGCTGACAGATGAAACAAAAATGAGACATTGAGGATTATATACAGAAGTAACATAAACTTTAAGGTTTAAGAAAACCTTTGGATGGGAAAAATAATGTTCTGAAAAGGGCAATAGAGAATAAGAAGAACATGAGTATAGGATGAAAGAGTTTCCTAAAATTTCTAGATAACAAACTTATTGCATTGACAATGCACAAAAAACTGTTGCACTAATATTGTGTTTTCCAGTTTATCACTATATACCTTTATGTATCTTGAATTATACATAGATCTATGTGTTTTTGTTGAGGGTTTTATGAATTGTATACTTTTATAAGTGGAGTGCCATATATCAGTAATAGGATGCCAAAAATGCACGTTTTCTCATAACTCTTGAAGTTTAAATAATGTTTCATTTCCTAGCTACCGTGTTGGCCATTGCAATTTCCTCTGGTCGCAAATCAGACTGCACTGTCACTATGGTTCTGGGAAGAAGACTGAACCCAACAGTTTTGAAAAGTTGTTTTGAATAAGATAGGCTTCAAAAAGGTGATCTTGCAGTATTTATTATTTCAAATCATTTGAAGAGTTTTTATTGTCCTGTTTATTATGCTAAGTTAATTGTTTCTATGATAAAGAGATCTCCCAAAGGAAATATTGTCTTGCCTAAAAAAAACTAATGAAGCTCAAACTGTACATTTTGGCCTCACTTCACAGGTTTTGGAGAACCTCAAATCTCAAAGCAAATTTTTATTCTAAAATAAGTGAGAGAAAGTCACAGATGACAGATCAGTTCCATTACCTGTAGAGTCTACCAATTAAATAGATGTTCCTTGGCAATATTTTAACCTGCTATTAATCATTCTGGTTCAATTTGAATTCATGTAATTGGATGCTCTCATTTCCTGAGATAAAATTATAGTGAAAAGGAAAATAATCCCTCTATTTTCCATACTTTTAGGCCCCCATCTCTGTCACTTCTTTGTGGTTACTTGCCAAAATGGGCTCCATTCAACCAAGTTATACTGTCTTAAACATGCTGCTCTTCTCCTTCAGTCTTCTCCACAAATTCTTTCTATTCTTCAAAAGCCTCACTTCATTTGGTGTCACCCCTATGGGAAGTCTTGAATAGATTAACTTCACCTAACTGTATGCATGCTTCTGCTTTCTAATGCTTTAGTAATATTTGTAATTCCTGTCTTAGTGGAAAAGGATATATGTATTTCATCTCCGTATCCCCAACTCCCAGCACAGTACCTGACACATAGTGGACAGGCATATCAAAATTGCTCCTTTACACCATTTGTCTTTGGGTCATATTTTTTGTCCATCTCTGGATTCACTCTGGCAAGCTGCATAAGTTACTATAGTTTAAATAGGACCAGATATAGCAGCATAGGATCCCTTTGGCAAACTATGGATATCCACTTCTACAGCTGTCCAAAATTATTCTAACACTCTTAGATTCAGGTATTACATGCCTAAGTGTCTAGGAGTCTCTCTAAACAGAAAGATAAATTCTGACTTGAGTTTTCTCACAGAATGAAATTAGAATTCTGAAAGTTAGGCTTAAATGTCAATGAATAAGCCAAAAGTAGACCAGTTTCTTTCAAAGTCTAAGTTCCTTAAAGGTCTGTGTCAAGTCTATAAAACTGACACTGCCTAGTACTTTGGAAATACATATAGAAAGAGACATTAAATATGTTTTAATAATAATTTGTATATAACTACATAAAGATTAAAATATTAAAGGCAACTATAATAATCAAAAGAATGGTGAAGCTCCAAAGTAGAGGCAATGTGTGTAGTGAAAACAACACTGCATTAAGCATGACAGGACTCAGATTCTAATCTATCACAGTTGGGTGGCCCTGAGCGATTTGCTTAATTTTTTTGAGCCAGATTTCTCTTATTTGTCAGATGAGATGGTTTGAGATGTTGAAGGATAGTCTTTAAGATTCTTACAGCTTTTTTAAGCTGTGATATTTTACAGCATTTTAGAAAAGTATAGAGAGTAGTATGATATAATTATGGTTATTAGAATACAATGAATATATCAGAGCTGCTTCCCTACAGAGAAGAATATACATTATTAATTTCACAAAGGCTATGAAAAGGTGTTCCAAAGTGCCTAGGAAACTGAACATACAGTAAATATCTGTATAGTTTATAAAGGTTGGAAAGTATCTCAGAGTTATCTTTTAAACATTTAGTTTTGCAATTGAGGAGCGTGAGGTTAGAGAAGTTAATTTACTTGCTTAATTTCACACTTAGCAAGCAAATTGTGAAAATTACACCAGGATTCAAGTAGGTGGTTAACAACAAGGTAAGTAGTTACTCTATTTTGCCAGTCATTTGCATCAAAGAGAAAAAGTGAGGTTTGGGCAACATCACCAACAGCTAATATTCAGTGTGATAAAAAGAAAATTACTTGCAACAAATATTGTTAATATCTTCAATACATAGAGTTCTTACAAATCAATAAAAACTTAACCAGGCCAGGTGTGGTGGCTCAAGCCTGTGATCCCAGCACTATGGGAGGCCAAGGTTGTGAGGATAGTTTTTGCCCAGGAGTTTGAGACCAACCTGAGCAACATAGGGTGACCCTGTCTCTGGAAAAAAATGCAAAAATTAGCTGGGTGTTGTGCATGCCTGTAGTCCCAGCTTCTCAGGAGCCTGTTGCAGGAGGATTGATTGAACCTAGAGGTATAAGCTGCAGTGAACTGCAGTGGCACCCCTGCAGTCCATCCAGGGTGACACAGAGATACCCTTTCTCAAAAAAAAATAGGTAATAAAATAATTTTTACAATGTAAAAGTAATGCTCATACAAGTGATGGAAATGATTAGAAATTCTGATTAATTTGAAAATTTATTTGCTAATTTGTAAAGAACTGCAAATGAAATCAAACCAAATGAATTCCTTGGTCAGAATCAATGCTGTATGGAAAAGCATGATGTCATGTAAGTTAGATATTTTGTAAGCCTACAAATGAGGTTTGGGAATAAGTAGTATGGACAGGGAAGACAAATACATATCAGAAGTGTACTCCAATTAGTAGCATTTTTTGCCCTTTTATAAGGGGAATGTTCTAATTTAATCAACCTGTCGCATGGTTGCTGGATGACCCCTCTCCTGCCCATCCCCCACTCCCCTGAAAAATCAAGGGGCTTTGTTGTTAAAAGTTCAAATATATTGCAATGTCTATAGCAGATTAATCATGAATCCATTAAGCTAAAAAGGAGAAGGCTGGGAAATCAACCATGTGACAGATTGATTAAATTAGAACACTCCTACCCTGGAAGGCCAATTTCTTCTAACTGGAATCAACACTTTGGATATGTATGTGTTTTCTCTGTCTGTACTATTTATGCCAAAACCTCATTTGCAGACTTACAAAATATCTATTTAGAGTCTTCAGCTCCCAGTGTGAGTGACATAAAAGACAGGTGATTTCTGCATTTCCAACTGAGGTACCAGTTTCATCTCATTGGGACTGGTGGGTGCAGCCCATGGAGAGTGAGCTGAAGCAGGGCGGGGCATCACTTCATCTGGGAGGTGCAAGGGGTTGGGAAATTCCCTTTCCAAGCCAAGGGAAGCCATGACAGACAGTACCTGGAAAATCAGGACACTTCCGCCCTAATACTGCACTTTTCCAACCGTCGTAGCAAATGGCACACCAGGAGATTATATCCCACACTTGGCTCGGAGGGTCCCACGCCCACAGAACCTTGCTCACTTCTAGCACAGAAGTCCGAGATTGAACTGCCAGGTGGCAGTGAGGCTGGGGGAGGGGCATACACCATTGCTGAGGCTTGCCTAGGTAAACAAAGTCACTAGGAAGCTCAAACTGGGTGGAGCCCACTGCAGCTCAAGGAGGCCTGCCTGCCTCTGTAGACTCCACCTCTCGGGCAGGGCATAGCTGAATAAAAGGCAGCAGAAACTTCTGCAGACTTAAACGTTCCTGTCTGAGAGCTTTGAAGAGAGCAGTGGTTCTCCCAGCACAGAGTTTGAGATCTGAGAACAGACAGACTGCCTCCTCAAGTGGGTCCCTGACCCCCGAGTAGCCTAACTGGAAGAAACCTCCCAGTAGGGGCTGACTGACACCTCACAGAGCTGGGTGCCCCTCTGAAACGAAGCTTCCAGAGGAAGGATCAGGCAGTAACATTTGCTGTTCTGCAATATTTGCTGTTCTGCAGCCTTGGCTGGTGATACTCAGGCAAACAGGGTCTGGAGTGGACCTCCAGCAAACTCCAAGAGACCTGCAGCTGAGATTCCTGACTGTCAGAAGGAAAACAAACAGAAAGGAATAACATCAACAAAAAGGACATTCACACCAAAACCCCATATGTAGGTCACCATCATCAAAGACCAAAAGTAGATAAGACCACAAAGATGGGAAGAAACCAAAGCAGAAAAGCTGAAAATTCTAAAAATCAGAGTGCCTCTTCTCCTCCAAAGGATCGCAGCTCCTCTTCAGCAATGGAACATAGCTGGACGGAGAATGACTTTGACAAGTTGACAGAAGTAGGCTTCAGAAGATCTGTAATAACAAACTTATCCGAGCTAAAGGAGGATGTTCGAGCCCATCACAAGGAAGCTAAAGACCTTGAAAAAAGATTAGATGAATGGCTAACTAGAATAAACAGTGTAGAGAAGTCCTTAAATGAGCTGATGGAGCTGAAAACCATGGCACGAGAATTACGTGACACATGCACAAGCTTCAGTAGCAGATTCGATCAAGTGGAGGAAAAGATACCAGTGATTGAAGATCAAATGAATGAAATGAAGTGAGAAGAGAAGTTGAGAGAAAAAAGAGTAAAAAGAAATGAGCAAAACTTCCAAGAAATATGGGACTATGTGAAAAGACCAAATCTACGTTTGATTGGTGTACCTGAAAGTGACAGAGAGAATGGAACCAAGTTGGAAAACACTATTCAGGGTATTATCCAGGAGAACTTCCCCAACCTAGCAAGACAGGCCAACATTCAAATTCAGAAAATGAAGAGAATGCCACAAAGGTACTCCTCGAGGAGAGCAACCCCAAGGCACATAATTGTCAGGTTCACCAAGGTTGAAATGAAGGAAAAAATGTTAAGGGCAGCCAGAAACAAAGGTCAGGTTACCCACAAACAGAAGCCCATCAGACTAACAGTGGATCTCTTGGCAGAAACTCTACAAGCCAGAAGAGAGTGGGGGCAAATATCCAATATTTTTAAAGAAAAGAACTTTCAACCCAGAATCTAATATCCAGCCAAACTAAGCTTCATAAGTGAAAGAGAAATAAAAGCCTTTACAGACAAGCAAACGCTGAGAGATTTTGTCTCCACCAGGCCTGCCTTAAAAGAGCTCCAGAAGGAAGCACTAAACATGGAAAGGAGCAACCGGTACCAGCCACTGGAAAAACATGCCAAATTGTAAAGACCATCGATGCTAGGAAGAAACTGAATCAACTAATGAGCAAAATAACAAGCTAACATCATAATGACAGGATCAAATTCACACATAACAATATTAACCTTAAATGTAAATGGGCTAAATGCTCCAATTAAAAGACACAGACTGGCAAATTGGATAGAGTCAAGACCCATCAGTGTGCTGTATTCAGGAAACCCATCTCATGCACAGAGACACACATAGGCTCAAAATAAACAGATGGAGGAAGATCTACCAAGCAAATGGAAAACAAAACAGAAAAAAAAAGCAGGGGTTGCAATCCTAGTCTGTGATAAAACAGACTTTAAACCAACAAAGATCAAAAGAGACAAAGAAGACCATTACATAATGGTAAAGGTATCAATTCAACAAGAAGAGCTAACTATCCTAAATATATATGCACCCAATACAGGAGCACCCAGATTCATAAAGCAAGTCCTTAGAGACCTACAAAGAGACTTGGACTCCCACACGATAATAATGGGAGACTTTAACACCCCACTGTCAACATTAGACAGATCAACAAGACAGAAAGGCAACAAGGATATCCAGGACTTGAACACAGCTCTGCACCAAGCAGACCTAATAGATATCTACAGAACTCTCCACCCCAAATCAACAGAATATACATTCTTCTCAGCACCACATCACACTTATACCAAAATTGACCACATAGTTGGAAGTAAAGCACTCCTCAGCAAATGTAAAAGAAATTATAACAAACCGTCTCTCAGACCACAGTGCAATCAAATTAGAACTCCAGGATTAAGAAACTCACTCAGAACCACTCAACTACATGGAAACTGAACAACCTGCTCCTGAATGACTAATGGGTATATAACGAAATGAAGACAGATATAAAGATGTTCTTTGAAACCAATGAGAACAAAGACACAGCATACCAGAATCTCTGGGACACATTTAAAGCAGTGTGTAGAGGGAAATTTATAGCACTAAATGCCCACAAGAGAAAGCAGGAAAGATCTAAAATTGACACCCTAACATCAGAATTAAAAGAACTAGAGAAGCAAGAGTTTCTATATATATAACTTTCTCTCTATATAACTTTATATTACTATAAAACACTAATGAAAGAAATCAAAGAGGACACAAACAGAAACATATCTCATGTTTATGGATTGGAAGAATTAAGACTGCTAAAAAATCCATATTGCCCAAAGCAATCTACAGATTCAGTGCAATACCTGCCAAAATTTCAATGTCATTTTCCACAGAAATAAAAAAATCCTTAAGTTCTAATGGAACCACAAAAGACCATGAAGAGCCAAAACACTCTTGAGCAAAAAGAACAAAGCTGGAGTCATCATACTGACTTCAGAATATATTATAATGCAATTGTAATCAAAACAGTATGATACTGGCATAGAAACAGACTCACAGACAAATGGAATAGGATTGAAAGTCTAGAAATAAATCCATGCATTTATGGCCAATTGATTTTTGATAAAGTTGCCAAGAACACACAATAGGGAAAGGACAGTTGATTTAGTAAACAGTGCTGAGAAAACTGGCTATCTACATGCAGAGTAATGAAATTATAACTTTATCTTACACAATGCACAAAAGATCCACTTACAATGGAGTAAAGACTTAAACGTAAAACCTGAAATGATAAAACTACTAGAATAAAATATAGGGGAAATATTCTACAGTGTTGGTCCAGGCAATGATTTTTTGGATATGGCCTCAAAAGTTTAGGCAACAAAGGCAAAAACAGACAGTGATTACATCAAACTGAAAAGCTTATGCACAGCAAAATAAGAAATTAAGGAAGTGAAGAGACAACCCACAGAGTTGGAAAAAATATTTACAAACCATACATCTCATAAGGGGTGAATATCCAAAACATATAGAAAACTCAAGCCATTCAACAGCAAGGAAAGAACCCAATTAAATAATGGGCAAAGGACCTGGACAGATATGTCTCAAAAGAAGACATACAAATGGCCAACAGGTTCATGAAAAAATGCGCAGCATCACTAATCATTAAAGAAACACAAATTAAAACCACAATGAGATATTATCTTATACCTGTCAGAATGGGTTTGATTTAAAAAAAAAGTGTTGGCAAGAACATGGAGAAAAGGAAACCCTTGCACACTGTTGATGGGAATATAAAATTAGTATAACCATTACAGAAAATGGTATCAATGTTCCTCAAAAGACCAAAAATGAAACTACCATATGATTCAGCAATTCCAATTCTGGGAACATATCAAGATGAATTGAAATTAATATGTGGAAAGGATATCTGCATTCTCATGTTTATTGCAGCATTATTTACAATAGCTAAGATATGGGATCAAACTAAGTGTCTATCATGGATGAATCAATAAAGAAAATGTGGTAATATATACACAATGGAATACTATTCAGCCTTTACAAAGCATAAAATTTTGTTATTTGGTACAACATGGATGGGTCTAGAGGAAATTATACCAAGTGAAATAATCCTGGAACAGAAAGATAAATAGCTACAACCTCACTTACCTGTGGAATCTTTTAAGAAGTTGAATTCATGGAAGTAGAGAGTAAAATGATTGTTACTAGAGGGTATGGGGTGGAGAGAGAAGGAATGGGGAGTTACCCATCGAAGGGTACAAGTTTATAGCTAGACAGAAGGAATAAAATTTTGTCATCTATTGCACAGTAAAGTGACTATAGTCAATAATAATTCACTGTAAATTTCAAAATAACTGAGAGTAAATTTCAAATGCACCACTACAAAAGAATCAAGTGAGGTGATATATACATTAATTAGCTTGATTTAATTACCTCACATTGTGTACAGATATCAAAACATCACACTGCACTTCATTATTGTAACATAATTATGATTTGTCAATTAAAAATAATATAAAAAATAAATACCCACTTTTCCAATAAAAATAAATGGCCTCGATCAATTCTTTTTCTTCGGGTGTGCACATGTTGCCATTTGCATCAAGAGTCTTACAACTTTCACTTTCTTTTCATGGCATACTTCCACAGGAGAGACCACAATTGAGAACTGCCCAGTTGAGCTAAGCCAAGCCACAGAACAATGAAACATAATAAATTACTGTCAAGTTTTGGGTGGTTTGTTACACAGCAACAGATAACTAAAACAATGGCAATACTAACAAAGACCATGCATATTAAACTATGGCAGGGCACTAGAGAGTTGACTTAGTCCTAGGGCATGATAATGAAAGTGTATTGCTGTTCTGCTAAGTAAATAAAAAACATTTTTAGTGGTCTTTCTAACAAACACAGGGAAAAAGTCATCTGTCAGATCAATAGCTGCATACCAGAGACTATGTCCTGTGTTAATTTGCTCCAGTTTAGAAATCACATTTGAACTTGAACATAGTTGTAATTAGATTCACAACTAATGAAGATTATGATGAAGATTATGATAACTTGCTGTTGTTCTCCAGTGACAGTAAACCTGTGTGCTATACAGCAAAATAGGTTGGTTAGTTGAGTGGGCAGACAATATAGATACCACTTCTGCAGGCTTCAAGTTTTTGCTGGTGGCACTTATATCTGAGATCCCTTAAAGAACGTGATACTGTTTTTGTTTACTCTTTTGGCAAGAAGAAGTTTTCCAGTTTCCCACATGGCCTTTCCTACTATAAAACTTTCACTCCATAGCTAGCAGAACCAATATGGAAACCCTGCCAATTGCTGAGTAGTTCTGTTACCAGAATGCATTCTAGAACTGAGAAAATAACCAGAAGTTTGGTTGGGTAAACAATGGACCCACTGTAAGATGGACATAAGCCTAGCTTTGGGGTCCTCAGGGGTCAAATCAAGTGACAGCCAGTTCCTGAGAACTCCTGGACATTCTGAATATACCTTTTGTTTCCAAAAGCACAGTCACCCTGGTAAGGGGAAGCAAGTTCTTTCAGAGTGGAATATTTGTAGTATAAATGTTTGGCAGTGTAGCAGGGCACTTCTTCAAGAGGATATATAATTTTCTTAATTCAAGGGGTGCTGTGTTTGGGAACTACCTGAAGCCTGGGCACTGGATAAAAAGTATGCCTCACTATATTTGTAGCTCAAATCATCATACCCAGAGATCTGTTTGTTTTTGTTTGGTTTTACTTGCACACATCATTTATTTCAGTCACAGGGACACCGCTGTCAATTAGCCACTGCCGAATGTCAAATTACTCTGATTACTGCTCTTCTGCAGTACAACGAAGAAGTTCCAACATATCAACTTAATTTAATGTAGGCCATCTTTAAGTGAAGGTTTTAGTCAACCAACAAAATGAAATTCTAGAATCTACCCCCTACTTACTTGAGCCAATGCATTAAATCCAGAATTTTTGATAGTGCACTCATATCAGTAGAATTAGCCTAACTGAACATTACATTCATTCCATCTCAATTGAATACCCAGACAAATTTTCTGTGTTTTTGTTCATAGAAATTGGCAGCATTTTGCAACTTTGTGTTTTCTTCCAGGTCAGACTTTGTACCTATTCCTCTAGAAACTGCTGGGATTCGAATCTAGTTATTGGTCATAAAAGCAATGAAAAATAGTGCAAGTAGATACCCTACAAGGCATCTCTTTCAGGGTAGGTCATTACATGTTTTTTTTTTGTTTTTTTTTTTTTTCAGGAAAATGGATCATCATTAGAAGAGGAAGGACTGTTTTACAAGCCATGGAGGTTTAGTAGAAGTTGGAGGTTAAAATTGCTCAGTACAATTGGAATCTATTCAAATATCCCATCTCAGTTTTCAGGGACTCATTGTTAACACCCAAACTTTAACAAAAGCAGCTCTTCAAGGATTTAAATTTTAATTTGTATTATAATTCAACCAATTGCAGGATTAGATTTTGAGTTCAGTTTTCAGAAATTTTAACCTACAGATACAAAATATAAGGGATTGTTTCTGGGAATGCACAGAAGTCCTATAAGACATGAGCTCAACTTTTCTCTAAGTTCTCCAGCACAGACAGGGATAGCTACCTGACTCTACAACCTTATATTGTTTTTTTCCCACTCTTATGTTCCAGTGTGCCAGGAACTTGGCCACTCAACCTTAACAATACCATCATGCATTACTTCAAGTGATTACAGATGGTAATTTAAGTAACTGATTTGTCACTACAATGAATAGACAACTGGTGTCCATTTGTCATTACCAGTGGGGTCATTAATGTCTTTAAATCTGATCATAGC
This sequence comes from Homo sapiens, assembly GCF_000001405.40. NCBI lineage: Eukaryota > Metazoa > Chordata > Mammalia > Primates > Hominidae > Homo > Homo sapiens. Next base: position 215,358,817 of record NC_000001.11, on the reverse strand, counting down.
AAAAAACTATATGGCCTCATTTTTTAGAGTTTTGACATCTTCGAACAGCTATTGGTGCTAAAAACAGTATCACTCTAGATTTAGCCAGAAGACAGCAATAATGTAAGTATTACAAGAATAAGGGGTTTAATTAAGAAGGAGGACTGACACAAATGTGAGAATAGTGCAACTGAAGTTTGGAAGAGGATCAGAGAAAGTCACCAGTTGCTGCAGCCTGGAGCACTGAAGCAGATGGAAAAGCCAGAACATGTGGGGGAAGTCTGAGAAGTCGTGAGTATCTAGCCACCAAAGTAGGGCTAGGAAGTGAGAAAGAAGAGTGGGCAGTAGAGAGGCCTGTGAACCTGGCACATTGTCTGTTTTCCTGTCTAGTGTTATTGTGAGAGATCACCTCAGTCTCCTAAGAATAATAACTTCCCCTCTCTTCTGAATTCTAAATCTTAAATGAAATTTTCCCATTGGTAAACTCTAAATTAGAACCATTCAAAGAAGGTAATTTTGGACAACATAAATCCAAGCCACAGCTAGAAGTGGAGGTGCCACTCTAAGTGTCCCTTAAATGATACTAAGTAAGAGTCTCATATTTTCCTGTGGAAATGTATCAAAGTCTGTAGGCTTCTCTTCATAGACATCTTCCAATTCAGAATCCAATCTTTCCCAGCAGCTGGGACAGGAATCCTGATCATGGGAGCTTCACCAGAATTCCTTGAATATATCCATCAGGAATACAAGTGGTCAGAGAACAATGTGCTCTCTGTGGGAACTTCTGCATGAAATCTTGTCCTCAATGAACTTAAGCCTTTAGTGCCCTCAATAATCTTAATTGTCTTTTTACGGTTAAACTTCCTTAGCAATCGGCTGAATTTTAGGTAATTTTTCAATTGACACTTTACATATAAAATCAAAATGGTAGATGAATGTTTATGTATATGTGCTTTAAAAGCTAATGGAGAAACAGTACAGCATAATGAATCAAAGATTCCAAAAACAGGTGCACATCAACACAGTTCATGTTTTAGTAAAGCAAGTGAAGACACTCTGGAAGTAGTGTGTTGGAGTTAATTTGTTCCAGCTTATAAGAGCCAAATATTAAATGTTCAGGAATTTTGCAAGCTGACTGACATCACCATCTTGAAATTGGCCATGGTGGTAGCATTTACACAGTAGAAATTAGAAAACAGATTTTTTTTTAAGGCCTAGTTGTTAAATATCTATCAGCAAACCACTACACTCCTGATATCCCAATTTACCCTTTGCCAGCTCTAAATTCTATGCAGGATCAACATACTTAAGTAGTACATTTTTCATTACATCTAAGTTTTATTGTCTTTTGAATTTAGAAATGCTGATTTGATGCGGGAGCAATTAGCAATTAGAATTTATTAATATGGAGGGTCCATTTTAGAAAAAGCAATTAATAAATTTTCTACAGATAGCAGAGATAGACTGCAGGAACACAGTAAATGGAAGCCATTTGTAAAAAGAAGTAGGTGATATCTGGGTTCTTCCTTTTACTATATTTACTTTGTAAATCACAACATGGTACATGTTGTGATTCTTAAAGAGATTTTGGATGCATATCTAGGGTAACTACACATTGTATATGTACAGTGGCAGAAAGAAATCATAAGTAATTTCATGTTAACTCGATTTGTCAGTGATGATGGATCTTTCAAAGAGTGTTTTTGTCAATACAAAACCTGAGTCAAAAATGAGTAATTAGTTAATTAGTCTTATTTTCAGGAAGCCTATTTATTTTTATGGTTGAACTTCCTTAGAAATTGACTGAATTTTAAGTAATTTCTCAACTGGCAATTTATATATAAAACTAAAATGCTACGTAGAGTTACTGAATTTTGATGAATATTTTTGCATATGTGCTTTAACAGTTTTATTAGGGTACGATTTATAAACTATAAAAATTTTCCATTACAATTGTACAACTCAGTGACATTTGGGATATTTATAGAGTTGGCAATCATCACTACAATACAGTTTTATAACGTTTCTATCACACAAGAAAATGTCTTTTAGGCTGTCATTAATTCCTGTTCCAACCCTTAACTTCAGACAACCATTGATCTGTTTTCTGCATCTGTAAATTTGTGTATTCTGGATATTTCATATAAATGGAAACATGCAACATGTGGCCATTTGTATCTGGCTTGTTTCACTTAGCATAATGTTAGGAGATTCATCCATGTAGAGCATGTATCAGTATTTCATTCCTTTTTATTGCTGAATAGTATTTGATTTTATAGATTTATCACATTTTGTATATCCATGCACCCGTTGATTAATATTTGGATTCATCATTTGCATTAGTTAATGTAAATAATACTTTCTTGAACATACACATACAAAACTTTGTGTGGACGTATACTTTTATTGTTCTTGGGTACATTGCCAGGAAATGGAATTTCTGTGTTGTTTGGTAAACTTATATTTAACATTTTCAGAAACTACCAAACTGTTTTCCAAAGTAGCTGTATCATTTTACATTCTCACCAACAATGTTAGTGAACTCCAGTTATCCCATATCCACACATATACTTAGTATTGTCTATGTAATTGACTATAGCCATTTCAGTGGAATAATGCACAAAAATGTTCAGGATTCACACAGTGAAAACTACAAAATATAAAGCTGCATCTCATGAATTGTGATATGTTGTCTTTTCATTTTCGTTAAATTTAAAATAATTTCTAATTTTCTATTTAATTTATTATTTGGCTTATTTAGAATTATTCTATTTAGTTTCTATGTACTTGAGGGCTTTCCAGGGACCTTTCTGTTAGTTATTTCTAATTAAATTGCGTTGTGAACAGAAAACGCACTTAGTATGATGACCTTTGTAAAAAATGTATTGAGACTTATTTTGTACCCCACCCTATAATCTATCTTGGAGAATATTTTTTGTGTACTTAAAAAGATTATATATTTTGCAGTCATTGTTTGGCATGTCCTAAATATGTCAGTTAGGTTGAATTGGTTGGTAGAATTGTACAAGTCTATACCCTTGCTGAATGTTTTTCCGAAGTTGTTTTATTAGCTATTGAGGGCAAGATATTGAAATACACAACTATTACCTTTGAAATGTCTATTACTCTTTTGAGTTCTGTCTATATTTGCTTCATGTGTTTAGGGATTCTGTTGTTAGGCATCTATCTATCTATCTATCTATCTATCTATCTATCTATCATCTATCTAATTGATATGTTGACTCTTTTATCATCATGGAATGCTCTCCTTTGCCTTTAGTAATATATGTCACCTTAAAATAAATTATTTTTATATTAATACAGCCACTCCAGTTCTCTTGTGGTTAGTTTGTGTGATGTATCTTTTTTTATTTTACTTTAAACCTATTTATGTCTTTGAATTGAATGTGTGTTTTTTATAAACAGCATATAGTTGGATCTTGCTACTTATCCCATTTTACAACCTTTATCTTCTATGTAGGGTGATTATTCAAATTTAATGTAATTATTGATATGGTTGGATTCATGTCTGCCATTTTATTTGTTTTGTGTTTTTCTTTTGTTGTTGTTATTGTTTTGTTACTTCTTTTCTGCATTCTTTATATTAAGCAAATATTTTTTAGTATATCAGTTAATTTCTCTGTTGATGCTTTTACTGTATTATTTTCACTCATTTGCTTACTATTTGCTCTAGGGATTACAGTATGCATCTTAACATATCAATATCTATTTCAGAATAATAACACTTCTTAATAATAATAACAACTGAATTCTGGTAAAAAATAGACTTTGCTCTAAATTATACATCCTCTCCCAACTTTAGGTTATTATTGTCAAATCTATTATTACATCTACATGGAGTATGTTATAAACCCAATAATATAAGTGTCACAAGTATTGACTTTTTTATTTTTTTAAGTCTAAAAGAAGAAAAATATATTTATGAAGTCCTTTATTACAACCTACATATTTACCATTTCTAGTAGCTTCATTTCTTACTGTATTTCACTTATATCTGCTGCCCTTTTCTTTTATCCTTAAGAATTTACTTCAGTATTTCTTATAAGCCAGGTCTGCTGGCAACAAGTTATCTTTGTTTATTTGGGAATGTCTTTATTTCACTTTCACTTTTGAAAGGTATACTTGCTACATAGAATTATTGTTTGACATTTTCCCCTTTCAGAATTTTCAAAATAACCATTTAGGTATAATGCACACACTATAAAATTCACCACCTTCAAAGTACAATTTAATGGTTTCTTGTAGATCTATAAATTTGTGACTTGATCACTATTATCTAATTCCAGAACATCTTTATCACCTGAAAACAAACTCCATACCCATTAGAAGTCACTACCTGTAACCTATTCTCCTCAGCCCCTGGCAACCACTGATCTACTTTTTGTCTCCATAGACTTGCCTAGATTGGATAGTTTATGTAAATTCAGTCAAACATGTGGCCTTCTGTGATTGTGTCCTTTCACTTAACATGTTTTCAAGTTTTATCTATATTAGTGACATGTAACAGAATTTTATTCATTTTTATAGCTGAATTACACCTCGTTGTTTAGATATATCACATTCTGTTTATCCATGCATCAGTTGATAGAAATTTCGTTTGTTTCCTGTGTTTGAACAGTATAAATACTGCTGCTATGAACAATTATGTAAGACATTGTTTTCATTTCATCTTAGATATTTAAGTAGGAGTGGAATTATTGGATCATAAGGTAACTGTATGCTTCGGTTTTCGAGAGACAACTACTTTCCAGAAGTATGCTTCTCTCTCAGCACTTTGAATGTCATTCCACTACCTCTAGCCTCTACTACTTCTGCTAAGAAGTTAGTTTTCAGTTGCTTTTCTCTAGCTGTTTTCAAAAATTTCTCTTTGTTTTTAACTTTCAAAAGTTTGACCATGATATTTCCAAACGTGAATCTTTTGGTGTTTCTCCCATTTGGGTTTCATTTATGTTCTTGTATTTGTACATGCAATAGATAATGTTTTTTATGTAATTTGGGAAGTTTTCAGCCATTATTTCTATATACACACATCTCTCTCTCCCTCTCTCTCTCTTTACACACACACACACACAAATATATGCATATATATGTGTATTATATAAATTAATATAGCCTAAGAGACCTAAGGGACAATAATAAGTACACCAGCATACATGTAATGCAAGTCCCAGAGTACTGAAAACGTTGTTTATTTTTTTCTATGAAAATGCTTTAGTAGGTGAAACCATATACTATTAAAATGCTTTAAAATGCAATAACATGCAGTGTGAAGATACGACAAATATCAAGTGCACACACCGTGAGATGTGGGTATCCTAGAACACATTGTGAGTAAATAAAGAATTCACACAACTTCCACCCTTCCCCAGTAACGGAAAGCTCTAGGGCATCTCCTCCTCAGCCCACTTCTCAGCTGTGATGTCCTGGTACTGTTGGTACTCGGACACCAAATGATTCTGTATCACTCTCAACCTCAGTGAACTCCATCTCATATCTTTTCTTACTTGAGACTTCCATTCCGTGCATATTAGTATACTTATTATTCTCCCTTAAATATCTGAGGCTGTATTTTATTTTTCAACCTCTTTCTCTCTGTTCTTCTGATTGAAAATTTCTATTGATCTTCGTTTATGGATTCTTTATTCTAGCTCAAATATTCTGTTGAGTCCAGTCATTATAATCTAAAACTTTTGAATTTCCATTTGATTATTTTTAATATAGTTTATATTTCCTTATTGAGAATATTTTGATGAGATGAGTTATTGTCATTATATTTTCCTTAACTTCTTCAAAGTTTTCTTCTGTTCTTTGACTATAGTTATAATAGCTGCTTTTATGTCATTGTCTTTTACATCCAACATCTGGAGTCACTTGGACTCAATTTCTATTCACTGCTTTTTTTCCTCAGCATTGGGCACAGTTTCCTGTTTTTTTCTTCTCTCATAAATTGTGTTAAAACCTGGAAATTTTAGACAATATATTGTTTCCAGATTCTGTTTTTTAAACTTGTTGATTTTTGACACAGTAAATAGTTTCCTCTGGCGTGTTTTTTATCTTTTAAGTCTGAAAGATTTCATGTATACCAAACAGTGATGTATGTAATATATATGGAATTTATGACTTATGGTAACAGCTTAAAAAAGATGTTCTCAGTCTTTCTAAACCTGCATGTGTCTTCACCCGAATCTTATCCCTATACATTCCTAGCCCCTTAGGTATCTTCAAATAAAAAATAAGTCCTTGATTTTCTTTACTCTTGCCATATATGTATACATCTGTAAAAGATATGCCTTTTTTGTTTTGATTTTATTAAAATGCTGTCATGATGAATGTAGTCATCTGCAACTATATTTTTTTTCCAGACAAAACTGTGATTCTAAGATTTATCTCTATTGATGTATTTGGTTATTATTTGTTTATTTTCACTGATATGTAGTATTTCACAAAGTGTCTCTTTTGTTCTCTCATGATTGATATGGTTGTTTTTAAATGTTTGCAATCGTGAACAATGCTGATTAAGAATATTCTTTTTTGTGTCTCACCATGCACATGCATGTATATTTCTTTAATGTATAAATCTAGAGTATTGCTTGCTCATTAAGTATGAACAAGCTCAGCTTTACAAATTAATGCCAACTTTTTGTTTTTTCCCCATAGTTATGTTTTTAACTTCCCATCAGCAGTAAGGGCTCTAGGAACTACACATTTTTGCTCACACTTCGTATTGTTAGTTTATGTTTCTTGTAGGCATGCTGAAAGTTTCTCCTGTGGACTTTTTATTTCATATCATTGGTCATGTGCTTACTTATACAGTAAGCAATTTATGAAATGTAGGTAGTTGCATGTAGATTGACAGAGTCATCTGCTGTATTTATCCCTTAAGCTGCAGAAGATCTGTTATTACATCTATTGCAAGTACCTAAGTTGAAATTTTGTTGGTGTTAATAGTGTTAAGATTTAGCATAGTGGATTAATTCAAAAAACTTTGATGAATTATCTAAACAGAACCAGGAATAATAAGGTGGGTAATGAGTCCAAGTGGTTAGCCGAAATGCACTGAAATTGGCAGGGTGGTAAATTAGATGAAACAAACACTCTATGGAATACTTTGTGGGCACAGAGTGCCATGTATAAGGAAAACTGCAGTACCATACAGTTTTCTGTAGATTTCCTGCCCTGACTTTCCATCAAAGGAAACTTATTCATCAGAAGTCAGTCTCAACAGGAAAGGACTGAAAAATAATACTTGATGGATCTGAGGCAGAATGGTGTTATAGAACTGAATTGCAATTTCAGTTAAGGATACAAATTGGTTACTACAGAGTAACATTTGTGTTCACTCTCTCATTGGCATGAAAGCAGAGAAATTATATTGTCTTTTGGGTTTACTGCCCAGTTCAAGGGGGAATATCTCCTCCTATTGCCTTTAGATATTAAAAAAGGACATCGAAACTTAAATTCCAAGGCTATTCAACATCTATTTAAATTGAATGGGATATTTGAAACATGCTAATATTAGAAAGTATTAAACAATTAGAGTAAAACTCTAAATTGTACAGTACTAGCAATAAAAAAACCCAGATCATTAAAAGGTCAATGGGATTGCTGAAAGCACAATGACATAATACAGTCTATCTACCAGCATCATTAAACACTCAGGAGGGGCAAAACTCCTTTGAGAGAAGCACGTGAAGACAACAAATCACAGTGAGCTTCTGAAGCTGCAGCTGCTTTTAGTTTCTTCTAAACTTTGAAGTTATCTTTGATTTTTAAAAAATCTTCCTTTTATTATCAACTTCGTCCCTTCATAATATCTCTGGTATTCATCCTTTCGGTGTTAGTCAGAGTTCTCCAGACAAAAAGAACCAATAGGATATATTTATATAGGAGATATATATCTATATAAATATCACACACACATGCACAAACGCACATATATATATAATGGATATCACATGTACAAACGCACACACACACATATATATATATATATATAATGGATATATGTGTGTATATATAAAGTAGTGTGTGTGTGTGTGTGTATATATATATATAACCAGTCCCTACCATCTCATGAATCTATTCCTTAAACCAGCTCCCTAGCCTATCACATATATATATGTCTCCTATCATATATATATAAAATATATATATATCTTATCATATATATATATATATCATATCATATATATATATATATATCATATATATATGATAGGATAGCTAGGGAGTTAGTTTAAGGAATAGACTCATATGATTGTAGGGACTGGTAATCCAAAATCAGTGGGGCAGATAGGTGGGATGGAAATTCAGGTGACAGTTGATGCTGCAGGCCCGTGTCCAGGCTCCACAGGGCAGCAGGCTGGAAAATCAGGTAGAGTTTTTAAGTGTAGTATTGAGGAGAATTATTCCTTCTTCAAGAAACCTCAGTTTTGACTGTTAAGGCCTTTAATTAATTGGATGAGGCTCACCCACATTATAAAGGGTAGTCTGCTGTACTCAAAGTCTAATGATTTAAATATTGACCAAATGGCTATGGTTTGAATGTGTCCTCCAAAGTTCATGTGTTGGAAACTCAATAACCAATGCAACAGTGTTGAGAGGCGAGACCTTGAAGAGGTGACTAGTTCATGAGGGTTCTTCTTTCATGATTAGATTAAAGTCATTATCTTGGGAGTGGGTTCATTATTGCAGAGGAGAGTTCCTGATAAAAGGATGAGTTTGGCCTCCTTTCCCCCACTCTCTCTTGCTCAGGTGTATGCACACATAAGCAGGATCTCTTGCCCTTTCACCTTTCATGATGGGATGATGCAGCAAGAAGGTCCTCACCAGATGAGAGCCCCTGACCATGAATTTTCCAGCCTCCAGAACTGTAAGAAATATATCTCTGTTCTTTATAAATTGCCTAGTCTCAGTTAATCTGTTATAGGGGCACAAAATGGACTAAGACACATATCTAAAAAATACATTAACAGCAACATTTAGACTGGTGTTTGACCAAACTACTGGGTGCCACAGCCTTGCTAAGTTGATGCATAAAATTACCCATCACATTTTCCTTTCCGTTTCCAGAAACCACTACCTCAAACCTATGCTTTTATTACCTCGTGCTTGAAATGATTAAAACGGGTCATCTCACCCCTGCTCCCCACAATGCTGGTCTTTCCTCTCCCAGTCTCTTCATTCTTCAATTCACCTCTTTTTTTTCTTGCTATTGCTATATTCCTAAAATATTTTCCCCTCAATATTCTTTATTATCTTACCCAGGATATCAGACCATACTGATTTACAGCTATTCTATGACTCTCTTTTTGCTTCATTCTTGGTGTTTTTCTTACCCTTCTCCACATGACCAGCTCATTCTGTGCTAGTCAAATCATAGCTGGGCTATTGCATTTCCTCTTAGTTTTCTAATACTCTCCCTATTGCAGACCCATTCTAATTATATCTATTCCAATTCCCATCATGGTCTCATATCTCTGGAAAATTTATTCCATCCATCCTCAGTAGCATATGGTTTAGCAAATACTATTCTCCATTTGTTTCATATGTTAACTTTGTCCTCTTGATCAAATTGTAAAGTACTTAAACTTTGGAATTGTGTTAAGTTTATCTTGTATGCATCATCTTATTTAGAACAGTGCTAGCGATGGTTGCATGAAGGAGCTATTTGGCCATTGGTTTGGTTATAGTAAAAAAAAATCTAATATATTGTGCAAGTCAAATTTAAATGATGCATAAAAAATGCAGTTAAGGAATAAAAAATTACAGTATCCTGGGCCAACCTTTACACCATTGAATTAGAGCCTCTAAGAATAAGCTCAACAATCTGTCCTTAAAAAGCTCCCAAAGGTGACTTTGATCTTGTGAATCTAAATACTGATATTTGGAAATTAGTGTACCGATTGCTTACTATTTTTTTAGTATCCTAATAATTGACACAAACATTTTGAGTATTTTTCCACTGAATAGCTCTGAAATGTGTTCATATTGTCTTTGCTTTGCATTAAGCTTCCTGTTACTTTTTTACCGATATTACATCAATATTTTCTTAACTATTCTCCATACTTCCTATTAGGCTCCTCTTCAATATTGCCTCTATATTGCAGTCAGAAGGTTTTGTGTTTAAAAATTGTAAAGTTGATTGTGCTATTTAAGCATACAATGCTTTATGCTTTCCCCTCTGCAGGATGAAGCTCAGTCTTCTTTACATGGCTTATAAAGCTACTCAAGATGTAATATCTGCCTGCCTTTACACGCTATGCTTCTTTCATTGCCTTCATCCATTCTGGACTACTCAAAACAGCTATATCTTCTTATGGGTCTCTGCCTGTGTACCTTCTTAGGAGACACATAATTCATGCCATTCATCCAAGTAATATTTACTGAGTTAATAATACGTAGTCCAAGCATTTGCCAGATACTAAGGCTCCTGAGACTAAAGATACAGCCCTCTTCTTCTGAATGAGATAAGCAAAAACTCATTCACAAAAGTTACTATGGAGAGAAAACATTACTGCCAAGACTAAACTAAGAATTTTGCATGAATGATCAATTTTAATCTTCACAATGATACTAGAGGGAGCTGGGCTAGAGCCCAGGTCTTTTGGAATCTGGAGCTCATGTCCTTAACCATTATGCTCTCCTGCTACTGTATTGAAAGAGTTAAGGGGAGCCACAATCATATCATAGGGAACTTCATAAATTACTCATAGTACAATCTCCTAGATTAACAGAAAAGAAAATTAGATGAGATAAGACTACTACTTTCCCCTATCTCTTCTTTGTGTTGCATTGGGACTAATATTTTGCTTATTTTAATAGTAACAGAAATTAACAAATTGCCTCCCATGTGGCAGTTACCAAATAAAAACTTGAAAGTTCCAGTTCTTTTCCTTCAGCTGTCTCAGATCACGTTACCAGCTTTCAATGTTTCGGCACTGACAGAGTTGAGTTTGAATCCTAGCTGTGGTCTTTTATTAACCATTTACTCTTAGGAAAGTTATTTAATTTCTCATTCTTAGTTCTTTCATCTGTGAAATGGAAAATACAACAGCTTGTAAGCCATATTAAGTTTTCATGAAAGGTTTTAAGTAGGAGAAAGACATAATTAGATTTGTATTTTGGTATAATTAACCCTAGCAACCATGTGCAGTGGTCCAAGTAAAAGGTATTGATGGACTAGACTATAATGTTAGCAGAAGGTGTAAACAGAAGAAAACTCAGGGATATCTACATACTAAAGTCTTATCAACAAAGTGATAGAAGTAGGACTTGGTCTTCACAACACTAACCCAATTGTATAGACCTGAACATAAAGCCTTAAGTTTCAAACTTCCTCCCTATTGTAATTCTCAATTCGCTTGAATTAGTCTCTGAGTCTCAGTCTACTGAATGAAAGGTTTGTATAAGATAATAGCTAAAACAATCTCTTATTAAAAATTCCATAATTCTGTGAAACATGTAGCTATCCATTTAATGAGACAAGAAGTCGTTAAAGAGTAAACATTTATAAACCTCACATACATACAAAGAAAGCATTTTGAGTGGTCTAAATCTCCTCTTTTAAAGTAGAGCATTGAGAAACATCTTAAAGTTGAATAAACAAGAAATAGCAATGAATGTATGTTATTGAAAACCTGGAGGTAACTAGCAGAATAAATACATAGAACTGCTTAAAACTGGTCTATTTTGAGACACCCCAGAAGGTAACTAGATCCTGACTAAAGATTCTGATGAAGAAGACTTGGGGCTCTATTCTGATATTTCAAGGCAGCTCAACCAGGTTCTAAATAGAGAAGTGCCTAGGAGACGCTAACCTTCAAGGGGGAAATCTAGACTACCCTTCTAGAAAAGGTCCTGAAGTTTGCAGAATGCTCAAGAAGACATATCCCACACTAAGAGAGCTCCTCTATCCCTAAATAGTTAAGGAGCCTTTAAACTTCCAGAGCTCTATAACGGGGTAACTCTGAGCATAACTTTAGTGTTCATTAAAGGAACATGTACAAAAATATATCAATAAAAGTCTAGGCCAAGCTTGATGGCTCCCACCTGTAATCTCAGCATTTTGGGAGGCTGAGGCGGTGGATAGCTTGAGCTCAGGAGTTTGTGACTTGCCTAAGCAAGATGGCAGGACCCTGTGTCTACTAAAAATACAAAAACACAGCCAGACATGGTGGTGTATGCCTGTGGTCCCAGCTACTTGAAAGGCTGAGGTGGGAGGATAGCTTGAATTCCAAAGGCAGAGGTTGCAGTGAACAAAGATGGCACCATTGCACTCCAGCCTGGGTGACAGAGTGAGAACCTGTCTTTAAAAAACAAAAAAACAAAGACTCTAAAAACTGGGCATATGCAAAACATTTTCTGAAAATTAAATTGACTTGGTATTATAATTTAAATTTTATTTTAATGTCATTTTTTGAGAAACAGTTTTCAGTAATGAAAAATGGCATATGCTTGACTTGAATATTGAGTTAATCTAATCAATAAAATTACTTTCTTAATTACTTTATGCTGAAAAACTGCATAGCATGCTAATTTATCAAGCTAAAAAGAAATCAGTAAAAATTAAATAATTAATGATATGTGAAACTGTAAATAAGAACGTAAACTTTATGTAAATGGAAGCTTATACTGATTATAAACATGAGTAAGAATGAGACCTAAGAATAAACTTATGTCTGTAGTGCAATATGGGTGAGCTTAATATCAATATGTTGAAATGTGATCAGGGTTTATTATACACATCAATGTTACATTCGCTTTTAATAGAAGACATCTGGAGCAGTGTTCTTAAAGAGAGAGGAAAATTGTTTGTTATATATGCCTTATTGCCAGCATTGGAATTGAGGCTAATATTATTAGACTTCTCCATAGGGGATTTTCATTGGCTAAAGTCCAACTTGCTTAGCAGAACAGCTACTGTTAACAGCCGTCTCTGCGGATTTCTTGGGCTAATGTTCATTATGTTCATAATCTTTTAAAACTATTTCAGTTCTTTACAGAATGGGTATGCAAATTTAAATAGTAGAAAGGTCTAGACTTTAATTATAATAAACATGTTACTGGTAATGTACAAAAGGGATCATACATTATCTTTAAGTGCTTTTGTGTTTCAATATAAACCAAAATATGAGAAATTAGAGAATTTTTTTCAGGCATTGGGTGTTCAATGCACCAGGCTGAGCAAGAAAATACAGTCATGAAACTAAAACTATATCCATACATATTATATTAATTGTGACATTTATATAAAAACTAAGTCTGTTTCTAGAAAAAATTATGAGTCTCTGCTAAATTCTAGACATTGTCATAAACACTGGAGATATAAACATAAGGAAGACATCCTTCCTGCCTGCAAAGGCCTCATCATGTGATGAATAAGAGAGACATAAAAATAGAAACATAGTAAGTCAACAGAATATGCCTGGTAATAGCTATGCACAATGGAAATTTAAAAATTTAAATAAGAATGTGAGCTGATGATGAATGAAAACTTGTAGTATCTCAATATTTCAAGTCAGACATAATAAAGAAAAAAGGAAGGGAATATAATATCTAAAATAAGAGTGAAACAAATAATTTTTTCTGGTTACATATACATAACCATCTGTCTATCTATCTATCTATCTATATATAATAGGAAATAACTGGATTGACAGATTTTCTTAAGTTATTAATTTTTAAAATTGAAATAATAGAAATGATGGTAGGTTTGTACATTGGGTAAACATGGTCAAGTAAAGAAAAGGCCTTATAAACAAGATGCATTGCTGGTACGTGGAATCTAACTACACATCCTCTCTCTTCTGGGAGATGATGGTTCTGGGTGACCTTAGCCTGTATGCTTAGATATTAATGAAGCACTCTGGGATAAAGAGTAAGTTGAGTTTGAACAAGACAGAGATGGAAAGGTGCCAAAGGAAAAACTAAAGTGGGAGGGAGAAGAGGTAGAGATAAGGAAAAATTTATATGTCTGGTATTGCCAGCCAGACTCCTCCCTGGTTTTAGGCCAGGCTGCAGCTGATGACTGGCTCCCTTGAGAGGCAGGGGCTCCCAAGTGGGGATAAAGTCAAAATAGTTTCTGCTGTCTTGTTTCCAAGTTATTAGTAGGTCAAACTGCTGGCTGCTTGTAGGACCAATGGGAAACTGTCCATCTGGACAGACTTAATAAAATGTCTTAGTGGCATGCTGTGTTTAGGCCACTAGCTGGCCTTTGGGTCAGAGGATCTACAATTTCTAGGGCTACTCTCCTAATTCTTCATACCCATGGGATAATTTCAACTACTCTGTGATTTCTGCTTTTCTTTACTTGACCGATTGTAAGATGGACACCAAATTCAATTTTTTTCTAACATTGTAAATGAAGTGTTCAGTTTGGTTACATTAGCTTGATTCATTTGATTTTTGTGAAACTAGCACATTAGAGAAATTCAAATTTAAATGCGATATTTATGACATTCTTCATGGATAATAAAATAAATTTCTGGTCTATTAATGTTTTATGGTTATTTATTTCACTGATTTACTTTATTACTGTCCACTCTCTGAAGTGGCCGACTTAACAAAATTGTTAAGGAATATAAATTATTCATTTCAATATATTCTTCCCAAAGTAAGTGATATAAGATTGCACATTTCCCTTTAAATAGTAAGATTACCGCATGTTAAGCATAGCAGAGATGTACAAAGTCACATTAAAAAGTTGCAAGAGCACCAATATTTGTAAGATCCAGTTGTAACTTGATGAGCACATTGAAATAAAGAGTCAATTAGAAGGTGAATTTATTCACCTTATAAAAGAGATACTAAGAAGTTGAACATTGGCAGGATCAACAGAAGCAGGTTGAGAGTTAGAAGAGTTGACTCACAGGTACTCCAGTCCCATTTGAAGGCATAAAGTGTGATGGCTACTATGGTGATGAATATATCATTATCAAGGCTTGACTTGATTGAATGTTGGCTATTCTGACTTCTTGATCTGACTTAGTCTTTGTTCACCAAGAAACTTGTTGATAAACACATAGCTCCCCAAGCTATTCTCTGTAGTCAAATGGGCAAATTAACTGCCCATAAATAATTATAAATTAATAAACTGACAGTATAACAACATGCTAATAATATAATAAAAAATTTAAATTAGCAAATTGAAATTTTAGATTTACAAACCACCCTTGTATTCATTTACTTCTGGCTGAGAGATGTAGCCAGCCCTAGGATGCTGTCAACTTCTTAACCCATAAAGTTGAAGTTACATTCAAAACAATTAATCACCAGAAAATGAGTGCTCCACAATGAAACATCCAAGAATAGAGTTATTTAATAGCTCTTTCCTCCTTTTTTACTTCATTGACTCAGCAAGGCTTCCTGAGCAACCATATGCTCATGTTATCCCTTCTATTTGACAGAAGATCCTGGAGAGCAGATATCCTGCTTAATCAATCTCTTTAGTTCCCATGCTCCATAATGCCTTATTCTTAGTAAATGTATTCAGTGAATGAAAGAGTAAAAAACAGGTATTTCGCCTTCATCCTTAAGTTACTACATATAGGACTGGATGTCACTAGCAAGAGGAAAAGCTCTAGTTAAATATTTGCTATATTTTATTTCAGAAAGGAAATTATAAGTGATTTTTATCTCTTTGCTTTATGTTACAGACTCTAGAACTATGGAACTTGAGATACAGCCATGGGAAAAGTCCTATGGAACTGAAAGATTTATGGACATAGAATATTATAATGTAACCATGAGAATGGGCTATTTAAATGGCCTGGAGATGAGAATTTCTCATTAAATCATTGTCACATCCTTAACCACTAATTTTCAAAATATGAACTTGAGACTCCATCTATTTAACATTCCAAATAAAAATAACCAGGAGAACTAATAATATGTAGTATGTAGTAAAATTTTACATTTATTGAAATTATTTAAACGACATATGAATCCATGAAACATGGAATAATGGTAGTAATAATTTCTGCTATATAATAGCACTATGTGTCAAGCACTGTTCTACATGTTTTAAAAGTATTAATTTGCCTACTTCTCACAACAATCTTAATATTATCCTCATTTTATGCTGAGAAAACCAAAGGGCATAAATGTTAAATAATATGCCCGAGGCCACTTTCCTTATAAGGGTCGGACATAGAATTTAAGGTGAGGCACTCTGGATCCAGAGTCCATGCTCTTGATATGGTTTGGATCTGTGTCTCCACCCAAATCTCATCTCAAATTATAATCCCCATAATCCCCACATGTCGAGAGAAGGACCTGGTGGGAGGTGATTAGAGCATGGGGGCTGTTTCCCCCATGCTGTTTTTGTGATAGTGAGTTCTCACGAGATCTGATGGTTTTATTAGTGTCTGACAGTTCCTTCTTCGCATGCTCTCTCTCTTCCTGCCACCTTGTGAAGAAGGTGTCTGCTTCCACTTCCACCATGATTGTAAGTTTCCTGAGGCTCCCCAGCCATGTGGGACTGTGAGTCAGTTAAACCTCTTTTGGTTATAATTTAGCCAGTATCAGGGAAGTTCTTTATAGCAGTGTGAAAACGGACTAATAAAGCTCTTATCCATTAAAATAAATAAAACAGCGGTTGTTAAAGTTGGCATATTAGAAGACCTACTAAATGTTATTCTTCCTTATTTATTCTAATGTGCTAGTTTAGTCATTCTAAGGTGAGAAACAGCAAGCCAAAAATATTGTGGATACTTAGGAGGATTACAGCTGTAGGATATCTAATTAACACATTTAATTTATATGCTTTATATAAATCTGGCAAAAATAAAATTGATACACTTAATTATAAAATATTTTAAACACTCAAAAAAGTAGCAAATAATATATTCTGTATTTTTCCTTACTTAGATGTAACAGATGTTAACATATAAATATATGTACTTTAGAATTCCATCTTCAACTAACTTAAGAGAAATATGAAACTCCAAATCACAGAATTAGAGGAAGATCTGCCAATATTAATAAAGTTAATGTGTATGAAGATGTGGAGTGAGAATACCTATGGCTGCAGATCTCAATGAAAGCCATGAGAGAGCACTTTCCAAAGAAATGATTCCCCTTCTGGGTCACGGAGCTAACAATTTCTATTAGCAACACTGGGAAGGAGCGGGGGGCTCATGGTGGGTCCTTCCTTGTGCTTACTAATGAGTCACACAGTGTTGGGAAGGTAAATGCAGAATTAGTGAAGGAATCATGCAGGCAAAACATATTTGCAGGAAGCAGTGTTTGGTGCGGCAGGAGTACGAGAGAGGGCACTGGGCCTCTCTGTAAGTCCCAGTGGTCAAGAAAGAAGCAAAGGCTCCCTAAACGTAAATCCCTGTGGTCCCTGTGCCATAAGGAGAGTTCCTCCTTCGTAATTCCCTACTGCAAACAATGGGTCCAAGGAGACCTTCCTCATTCAAAGATGAGTCATTAAACATAAACTAGTATAGGATCCACATACAAAGATAATCAAAGATAAAAATAGCATAAGAACAGAAAAAAAATGACAGAGAATATTTATGAGAAAAATGTTGGCACGGAATAAAAGAAAAATTTAACCAAATATATCACTGTGAATTTAAAACCCACAAAAAACCATAATGAAAAAAGTACACCCTACAAAAAGAAGAGCTTAAAGCAGAGATATAAGATAAGGGTCTCACTCTGTCGCCCAGGCTGGAGAGCAGTGGTGTCATCTTGGCTCACTGCAACCTCCGCCTCCCAGGTTCAAGTGATTCTCCTGCCTCAGCCACCACCAACTTTTTTTTTTCTTCTTTCTTCTTCTTCTTCTTCTTTTTTTTTTTTTTTTTTTTTTTTTAGTAGAGATGGAGTTTTGCCATATTGGCCAGGCTGGTCTCGAATTCCTGACCTCAAGTGATCCGCCTACCTGGGCCTCCCAAAGTGCTGAGATTACAGGCATGAGCTACCATGCCCACCCTAAGATCTTTAGAAATATATGATAGGGTAAAAAAAGAAAATGAAAGATGAGCTGGCATGGCCCAGAATAAAATAATAAAACCATGACAAAAAGTACCAAATTGAATGTGACAAATACAATAACATATTAATTTGTTCATGCTACAGTGAACAAATTAATATGTTACTTTAATGTTAATTTAATTGTTTGTCTCAATGAATGAACAATTGAGAAACTTCCATGTGACAGGCCCTGGGGATATGGCAATGACCTAAAGAGTCAAAAATGCTTGTCCTCAAGGAGTTTGTATTCTAGTAGGGGGAGACAGACAATAGACAAATACACATGTGCACAGATGCACACTCATATATAGTTTGTCATATGCTGATTAGTGCTATGAAGAAAATAAAACTGTGAAGGGGTTTAGGGAATTCTGGATGTCGAGATGTATGTAATTTTATATAGGGCAGTTGGGTCCTTCTTGGGTGGATGATTTTAGAACAAAAACCTAAAGGAGGTGTAGGATAAGGCATGCAGGCATCAGGATGAAGAGCTTACCTGGCAGAAGCAACAGAAAGTTTGAGGAGCTGCAGTGTTCCAGTGTGACTGCAGAGGGGAGAGCAAGACAAGGCAGAGAGGTGTTGGAGATGAAATGAGAGAAGTAGCAGAGACTTGATATTTTTAGGGCCTTGTGAGCCAACATTGGACTTTAGTTTTAATTCTGGGTGCAATGGGCAGTCATTTAAAGATACTGAGCAGAGAGGAGACACTATTTGACCTACAGTTTAACAGGATCAGTCTGGCTGTTGTGTTCAGAATATGTTATAATGAGGGGAAGGAGAGGGTGGAAGCAGAAAGAACAGTTAGAAGGCTATGGTTACAATTTGGTGAGAGATTAGGATGGCTTGGATTCTGGTGTTAGCAGTGAAAGTGGTATGATTCTGATATATTTAAAGGTAAATTCAAAGGATTTACTCTTCTCTGATTGGATATAGGGCAAGAAAAAGAAGAGTCACAATGACTCCAAGGTTTTTCCCTGAGCGGTTGGAAAGATCTAATTGCCATGAACTGAAATAAAAAGAGACTGAAGAAAAAGCTTAGGAGAGAAGATCAGAGGTTGAGTTTTAGGACATGTCAATGGAGATGTCTACTAGACACCCAGGTGAAGATGTTGATTAGAGAATTGAATCTATGAGACTGAAGTTCATAAGTGACCAATAATAAAGTATTTTTAAATGATGCATATTTATTTTAAGGTCACTAACTTTTTATTTTATTTCTTTTGCTCTTCACTAATTTATAAGGAAACATTCAGAACATAATTTACTATTAGCAGAAGGCTTTTTATGTACAAGCAAATTCACACTCATAGTTGTATTTGCTCATCATGGAACACTGCTATGGCTGCTATATACTAGCCAATCGTCTTAATGGAAGGTACTCAGTATTCATTGCACAGCACTCGGTTTACCAAATTAGTCCTCACGTGGTATTCATTGCTCTACTCACACTCTTTTTCCCCTGCTTCCCATCCAGAGGACTCAATTCTTTAGGTTTCTTGTATTTATAGTTTGCTCTTGTATATATACATAATGCTCATAACTAATAACAAGTAAAGAACAGTTCCATTCCTTAGTCTTGGACTGTGGAACTAACTCATGTCATAAAAGTATTCATTACCCTTCAAAACGGTAGGAGTTCTGCTGCCAGACTTTGGTTTATATTGTTAGGTTTCCAATGTGCTTTTGGGTGGTTCTCTCTCCTAATAATTGCCATTAATAAATCCATCCCAAGTTAAGTCCCAGAAATGTTGCCACCTGCTTTCTTTGTTCCTTGAACTTTAATTTTAGTAGTACTTTAATAAATTATTGACAAGTGGTTTTCTTAAAAAAGTCTATGTGCTGAAATATTCCCAAATTTGCCATAACTGTTTATTTCAGAGCATGCATTTTTCCAGAATGTGAAAGGAGAAATGTTTCATATCTCATAAATATGCACCTATAAAACTAGTACTTTGAGTGGCAATTGACAACAAAGGAGTGTAAGATCAGAAGTTTCCTTCCAAAGTTAAATGTCACCCTGAAGCTAGCTGTAGTTCCAAGTGAAAGACAGGAGGTGGATTTATTTTAGTCAGAGTAGCTGGTTTAGAAGCAAATTTTGGCTTTGAAAATTTCTATTATATTCTTCATCTTCTTTGGAAAACAAATAATTTCATCAGGATACTGATTATTGATCACATTTCATAAACTATTAAGGATAAAATATTCAATATCTTTCATTTCATAGATGTGAAAGGCAAGCCACAGATAAGTTAAAACTATTTGTATAAAAGAGAACAATTTTTAAATAGAAATGTATCTTCTCTCTAATAGTGAATGAATTCATTCCCTACCTTGCATTGGCTTTATAACGTTTTTTGAGTGTACAAGAGATGATTTCTAAAAAAGGGAATTAAAGAAAAACCTGTCTGAAGATAAAGCTATGATTTCTCTTCTATTCTAGATTTGCTAACATTCGAATGGTGTGAGCTCAGCACTGCTTGTTGTTTAAAGGACTTCTTGTTGTTGACATTTTCTTCTTTGTTGAGATAGTCATTTTCTAAATAAGTTGAGAGAGTCATTTTCTGAACCAAAATAGAATAAAATTGGATATCTACATTGCATATTCTTCTGTGTGTAAGTAACATTTGAAGTTCTTTTGAAAAGGCTGTTTTCAAACGTTTTTCAAGGAGTCAGAATGGTCATGAAGGAAAGTCATTAATCAAACGGAGTATTCATGGAGACCACTAAAGAATGCAGAAATCAGTGTAAGGTAAAGGAAAAGAGTACATAGGTAAAATTTGTTGAGGTAGGAAAAATTGCCATATATTCTCTATGGTAAAGTATAAAAATGTATCTAGGTTGCAACACGAGGCAAGGCAAAATTTCTCAGTCCTAGACAAATATTAAAATCATCTAGAGAGCCTTTAAAAAACCAATACCTGGACCCCAGCCCAGCCCAAATATATCAAAATGGGGGTGGCAGCCAGACACTGTAATTTTTAAAAGTTCCACAGGTGATTCTGATGCGCCACCAGGGCTGAGGGCCACCAGAGTAGGGAAATAAAAGGAACACAAAAATGTGAGGCTTAGATAAAAGAATAGCTACTCAGACTGAAGGGTAAAAGTGGGTCTGTCTTAATGTCAAAAGAATAAGTTCCTTTCTTGATTTTATAGGATCTATTATTTTTCTCCACCAAACTGAAACCAGAAGGTTTCCAGCCTCTGAAAATGCTCTGTGGGGCTACCAGAAGACATGTAATTCTTTACCATTTGTAAGCTAAGTCCACCCCAAAGCCACCCTTTTTTCTCTCACAGTAGCATGATTCTTCTCCATCTCCCTAGCAATTTTTTTCCCTTTAATATCATTAGCACAGACATTGCACTTTTCCATGATAAGCAACCATTGTATTCCTTTGGTATTTAGTGTAGAACCTCATAAATCATTTTTGCTTTATGCGGTCAGCTGTCACCTTCAGCTTTGCTTTTAATTGTTCATTCATTCATCAAATATTAAATGAGTGCTTACTATGTGCCAGGCATTGTTCTAGGTGTTAAAGATGTAGCAGTGAAGAAACCAGGCAAAAATTACTGTCTTGTAGCACTCATATTCTATTTGTTCTTTTAGTTATTTGACTGACATACGCAAACTTTTTAAACAGATTTATGTACTTTATAGCTACCTTGATAAAAGTCCCTAAGCAGTTGCTTCTGAATAGTTGATGCTGTTTTTCTTTTCTTTTTTATATCATAAAACTGAGTTTTGTTCCTTGAACAAGAAAGACATAGTTCCTTTGATGAGGCCTGAGCAAGAGTCACCCTCAGGAATTCTCTCATTTATCCAGAATGGATGAGTCTTCAGATGAGAACAAGTCTGCTTAGACAGACTTGTGTGATTTCAACTACTCAGATCTTTTAGTGGGGAATGAATTTGTGGAAAAGGATTTTTCCTAGAAAAGGCATCATGTTAAATTATGCTGTAACTTTACCTCATGCATTGGGCAAGAAAATGTTCAATAGCTATAAGACCTTTTTCTGTCTTTAAATTTCTTGAATTATTGCAGTTAAATGACAACTGGCATCTTTTGAAAACGAATCATGTTGTTTTTTAGCTACAGGAGGGGAAAAGCTTTGAAGTAAAATTAACCATCTGAGATTCAGAATTTTAAAATCTCCCCTGGGGATAGGAAAGCCAGTCCTGCTCCACTGAAATCCATGGGACTAGATAGTCACTTCCATTACGCAGAAGGCAAGCCATGCAGTGCAGCAACCTCACTGGAAAGGCAAGATAACTGAGCAAGTTGACATCAGCAGTTGAAGTAGCAGATGGTGACAGCACTGGAAAGGAAGAAACCAAGGAGGCCATTGATCCTGTTGCCTCATGGTTGGCTCTTTATGATGGGGGAACTGGAGGAAATAAACGTCTGTTAAAAGTCTAAGTAACCTGTGGCAGAGAAAAAAATGTAAGCTTGAAAACCTAAGTTCTGTGCAGTGAATGTGGTAGCTTTGTGGCATGAGGGGGAGCTGAGCTCAGGATAATATAGTGAGATGCAAATTGTTAAAAGTTTGAAGAGATAAAAGAGAACAAGAAATCATAATTACATTGCAAATAGCACCTCTGGACTGTAAACTCCTTGAACTCAGGAGCCTTGTATTATTTATCTTTATATTCTCAGCACAGTGCTTGAAGCAAGGATGCACTCAGTTGATAACTGCAGAATTAAAGCCAAAGTGAAGAGTAATAGCTGCAGTTGCAGCAAAAGTAGCAGGAACTAAAACTGGACTCTTAAGTTGGCATAGTATCGTGGCTTGGTATTTGGATGCTAGATTAAATGGCAAGCCCCTGCAACATTTAGGAGATGCAGAGAGAGAAAGAGTGAGAGAGACAAAGAGAGAGGGAGAAGACTCATGTGGATAGGGTCAAAGTACAAAAATGAGTAAAGAAGAAGGTCACAAAAGGATAGTGGAGTTACACCATATTACATTTAATTGATGAGAATTCAACTACATACATTTGCTTTTTTTAAAAAAAATATGTATATATAATGGGAATTTTAGTCCTCCATGAGACTCAAAAAGCAAAAGCCCTGAAGGTTGCCTGAGAGAGGACACAGGACCTCTCTTCAGATATCTCTTTTGGTCTCAGGATTCTCTTAGTGCAAGTGTTTTGCCAAGCTTGGGGAGATTGTATAGTTTAAAGACACATTTTTTTTTCATATAACATGGTTCTTTCTTCATTTTGTGCTCAAAGCTTAGAGAAAACCAGTGTGTTGGATGGGTCAAGAAGATGATGTAATGACCCCTAGGGTAACTTTTTTTTCTCATGTGTAGTATACTGTCTGTTTTCCCTCTACATTAAATGGAGAGAGGTGACATTTTAATCTTATTTCATGGTTACTATGCATATAAAGAGTTATGATTTTATTTTTAAAAAATTAATCAGATAAAATATATTGACTGTTTTTGCCCTATGGTTCATCAACATGTCTACCGGTGAAATAGTGGAAAAAGAAATGAAGCTAGAGAACTGGACTGTTTGCCTTTGGAAGCAGTCGATTAAAACTAACATTTTGTGATCGTTGCATGCAAGGCAATGTACTGGCTTCAGTAAAAGTACAAAGAAAACAAGAAAAATTTTCAAGATTTTTTTGGCTTTTTGGGGAAGTGCATCTAAATACATAACAACAATTCAAGAATCTTATAAAACAAGATAGTTACAAATCAAAGCCAATGCAGTATCAACCAAGTACATGTGTATCAAGAGGCTTCATAGTAAATATGTAATTTGGCATAGGAAACATTTAGTGAGGAAAAGAGTCGCTAGTAGAGATATCTTGTGGATCTTATTTTGAAAACGTCGGGAGCATAAATGAGGGAAGAAAAGGGACGTTATTTTGCCAGGTAGAGGCATTTCGTGTGTAAAGACACAGAGGCAAATGACATGTAGATGTTCAGTATAGGAGTATCTCAGGAACAGAATGAAATATTGGGAACCATAAGAGATCAGGTTAAATAGACACTGTAACTGCAAGTATATTCCTCTTAAATTAGACTGATGATAGATACAAACCTTGCGGTAAATTTCAGATATTGCTTAATCATTAGGAAAAATATAAGAAACTTTCTAAGCCAGAAAGATCTCCCTCATTTCTTGTACATCATGCTTTTATATCATTCCTGATTTTATGTAGCGATTCAATGACCTCATTTCTCAGCAACCCCCACACCCCAATCAGTTTAGATTTCCTTGAGCTTTTCAACGCACCATAATGGTTTTTCCTTTATAGCTGTTTGGAGGAGAGACTGCACACCTACCATTATCAGGGCTCTGCCAGCCCTCATCCCTTCATTGCAATCACACACTGTCTGCCAAATAAGCAAACAGAAGCCCCAGTTTTTTTGAAATAGACACATGTCAGAGACAGAACCATTATCAGCTTCTCCAAAATTGCATTTTCACCTGCTTCTGTGGAGTATGATCCTCTTATTTAGGAGGAAATTATTCTGAATATTATTTAGGGGCTGTCTATCATCATAATGAGCCTTTCCTTGCCTCTCCTTCCTCCCCAGTGATCTCACTCACTATTTTCCCAAGAATTCACTTGCTATGATTTTAAAAGTTACAGGTCTAGTCCTGTCTGCTTTCAACACAAATGAGCAAGTGTCGTTATTTCTCAGAGGTGAGACCACTGTGGGGCAGTGGTTCCCAATCTCAAAGTCAATTTATTCATTAGAGTTTACTCTGTACTCTGGCACTGTTAGGAATCAGGTTTATCCTCTTCTCCAGAAGGGTCATACCTCACTACAGAGCATCTTCTTAGGGGAGGAGGGGAAGCAATGGACAGAAAACATATGGAATCAGAGGCCAGCAGAAAGAGCACTTGTAGTCCATTTCTTAGTGTTATTAACCAGCTGCCAGGCCAATCCATTCATGTCTCTGGATTTCATTATGACCTCTAAAATGAGATATTTGGGCTACATAATTCTAAAAAGTTGTTCCAGCTCTAAAATGCTATGACTTTGTTTTTTTTCTAGATTATAAGAAAACCCCCAGAAAACAGACACACTGAAACACGTGTTTGTCCTGAAGAAATTGTTTGTGATTTTTTATAGTGTCCTATGAGTACATGAAGGAGTAGAAGATCTAGAAAGAGAGAAGCTAGATTCTCAAACAAAGGCCTCACAGTTTGCTCTAAATGGCTTCTATTTAATATGCTCTCTATCTTTCCATAGGGGCAAAGTTACAAGCAGGACGTTCAAACAATATAATTTCTAAAAACCAACTTCCGTATTGTTTTCTAATAACTCTGTCAGAATCATATGACTTACATGAAAACTGACTTCCTGTTATCATCAAGAAAAATAGCAGCCTTCCTATTCTGTATCAAATATTTAAGTAAAAACAGTTGTTTACTCAAGCAGCAGCCGAATTCCCTATAAAATGGCATTGCTAATTATGACAATTTAGGAAACATGCTTTATTTATTTTTAGCTCAGTGGTAATTGAAGATAAAATTGTATGGAAAATGTGACACAGGGGCAAAAACAAACCACCAGTGGGAAAGAAAAATGAATGCAGCCCTATTTTACAGGAGGCCTCTCTGTTTTAGAAATGGGATTTTAAAACTATGTTAATAAAAGTTCTCTTTTAAAAATATTTGGTTTTAATGGGCTTTGAGCTAGATCTAATGAAATATCAGGGAACACAAACACTAATGTCATTACTTCCCCTACAATTTGTTTCAATTTATCCTATGAGTATAGCCAAATATTCCTAGGTTTCTGTACCATCTTTCTCTAAAATGGGAACATGGGACTGATGTACCTCATGTGGTTAATATAAGAAGACAATTACAAAATGTTCTACTAATGATTAAAGGAAAGAAATGATAACAAATACAATCATTTATAAACAGGAGCAAAATAAGTTCTCCAAAAGGCTGAGTTCTGTGCAGTAATAAATTCCTTGATGTTTATTTGAGTTAAACAAATTGCTGGTTACTAACTTCAAACATCGGCAATGATGTAAGGCCAGTTGGGTGGGTTTTCCAATGGGACACCAAGTCCTTAGGCCTCTTAATTGATGGATGATGTGTTCCGCCTATTGTTACTTTGGCCATATCCTTGCTACAATAATTCAGAAAATGTAAGGAAAATCTCAGATATTGTCAATAGGCTGCTTGATTAAATTTAAATTATTTGAAATGTTTGATTAATTTAATATTTTAATAATTGAATAGTTAATATGTTTATTTCAAAACCAAAAATATAATGAAGCCTCCCTCCCCCATCTGCTCAATTCCTTACTCCACCTCATCCTCAAGAAACTCCTGTTTAACTGAATTCAAGCTGACTTGTGTACATAAACAACTTCTTTTATTTGTCTTTTTAAATGTGTTTCATTAAGATGTTGCTGTCTAATGAGTGTAGGAGAGAAACAAGTAGTACAGAAATAGAAAATATCTTGTCCATTTGGAAATAAAATAAGTATTATTTTATTTTCATATCTAAAAAAGGAACAAATCTCTATAAAAATATTATCTTCCCAATGCAATCACATAGTTGGAAATAACTGGCTTAATGGCAACAGGAAATTACTAAATATTGGCAGTAAAGTCTATTACTATAATTGATTTTATTGTATGTTTGTTATTATAATGTTTGTAATCAATCCTAATTAGAAGCATATAAACAAGTAACCTTTAGCTGTATATAATAAGACCACCAAATAAGAACAGCTGTAGCCATTTCTTCTTTGTTGTTTTAAAAACACACATTGGCAATTATATTAGCCTTGATAAGGAATAGGACCATCTTTGTTTTTTAAGTAGTGGAAGTCTAATAGATTTGGGCTAAGCATGGTTTTAGAGTTATGGTGTGGTGTTGTGCACATATAATGTGATGATTCAAGATTGTATAAAATTATTTCTAAAGCATTTATTTTGAAGTAGGCAACAGGGTAGTGTACCAGTTCAATGTGAGTAATAGTCCAAACTGCCTCTCTGGATGTATCTCTTGAATGATTCTGAAGAATTTATGCCAATTGGAGACTGTCTTGTCTTCAGGTAAAAATGCATCTTTAAGTTCAAATTTATAAGCCAGAGGAATAGGGTTCTTCTGTATGCTAGAGATGCCGACTTTCATTCTCAGCAATCATTTGAGAGACATCTTGATGTTTATAAATTGTCTTCATGCCTTATGAAATTCAATGAAAAACTTGCCTCTTACCTGCTTTTGCCTCAGGGATGGGTTTGAATGTCTTCCTCCTAACCCTGCCTTGCTTATCCTACTTTAGAATGTCACTTTAAAATGCTTCTTCACAAAAATAAATATCTTTATTTGTTTACCCTTCTAGAATCTTTCAGCCAACTTTTATTGATAATGCTTTTTTCTTGCTTTTTAATGTTATATTCCTAATACTCTATATTATCTAACATTTTAATCTTATTTACTTCATTTTTCTTTTCTATTCTAATTTTTATCTTGCCATTACATTGTATTTATTTTTTTCTATTATTTATTTTGCATTTTGCACATCAGAGGTCAAAATAATTACTACAACCAAAATTGTGATTTTCATTAAATAATCATGGTTTCAATATACTGGGTTTTTTTGTACCATTATTTAAGGTGAAAAGTAAATTTTGGTTCTGAAAATTTTTGAATATATGGAGTCATATGAGTAATTTGAGCGTTCAGTTTATTTCACTTAAAATAAGCCACATCTATGGAATTTGGGGCCAGCATGATAAAATGAGGAGGGGGGACAGGGAGAATGGTTGTACTGTTGTCACTTTATGCCTGCCTTCTTTTTCAGTGGCAAGAATGACATTTTTCATTCAGTAATTTTGACACAAAATCTCCAGGGAGAATTCCAGCTTGGGTCACTTGTTTATTCTTAAATTACTGTAGTTAGAGTCATGAGATAGCTGATTTACCAGGTCTAGATAGCAGGGAAAACTCTAACCAAACCACATAGAATGTGTCCTCAAGAGGATATAAGGATACTGTTAGCAGAGGAAGAAGGGGTTTCTAGGCAGGCAAAAATAGCACATATTTGCTGTGCACTGTGATAGTTGGCTAAAAGCTAGAGGCAAAATTCTATCAAGCTGACTTTAATATTTTGAGCTTTCAAGTCATTCATGTCCATTGCAATAGAAGATAGATTTCATGTGGCTTGAAATGAAGCTCAGGGAGAGCTCTTATAGTTTAGTCAAGCACAATACAAGAGACAAAATTGATGGCACCCCTGAATTAGTGAGAATAAGACAAATGCTTCACTCTTCAAGAATGTAATTTCTATCCTGCAGAGCTCTGCTGGATGAAAACAAAGAGGAAAAGAATAAGTTTAAATATATAAATCACCTGATATCAAGCTTTGCCTTGATTCACTGACAAAGGAGCATGATATGCAAGCAGATGAAGGGCTAAACATCAGACATAAGTAATGTAAGAACAGAAACAAAACTGGAGAAAGGTAGGCATGAACGACAATCTCTTACTTAATAAAAGCAATGACAACTTAAATAATATTTACCTGATGAATTGGGCCATACTTTAGCCATCATGTTAATCAGCATATCAGCATACTCCATCATGTATATATCAACATGTCATATACATATTAATGTAGTTTGGATGTGTCTGCCTGCCCAAATCTCATTTGAATTATAATCCCCAGTGTTGGAGTTGGGGCCTGGTGGCAGGTGATTGAATCATGGGGGTAGATTTCTCATGAGTGGTTTACCACCATCTTGGTGCTGTCTTTGCAATAGTAAGTGAGTTTTTGTGAGATGTTGTCATTTAAAAGTTTGTGGCACCTGCTCATTCTCCCTCTTGCTTCTGCTCCAGCTATGTAACGTGCCTCCAACCCCTTCCCCTTCCACCATGATTGTTAGCTTCCCGAGGCCTCCCCAGAAGCTGAGCAGATGCCAGCATCATGCTTCCTGTACGGTCCATAGAACGATGAGCC
Source organism: Homo sapiens (assembly GCF_000001405.40). Lineage (NCBI taxonomy): Eukaryota > Metazoa > Chordata > Mammalia > Primates > Hominidae > Homo > Homo sapiens. Next base: position 215,329,887 of record NC_000001.11, on the reverse strand, counting down.
AATTAAACCTCATTTCTTTATAAATGACCCAATGTCAGGTATTTTTTATAGATATGCAAGAATGGACTAATATGCATACACACACAATATAATTTAAAATTAATGAAAGAATAGAAGAGAAAGTAATACTAGCAAGACAAGATCAAACTAGTATTTAATCTTATAAAATTCCATGCCATAGGTATGGAGAATCACAAATTTGACTTGCAGTCTACTAGAAGCCTAGGAGGAAAGAGAAATCAAATCCTTTACACAACTCCTAATATCTGGTTACTTAGAAGAAGCATAAACACTTATGGCACTGCCACAAGAACAAATCACCTTATCACCAGAAATAGCCCATGTGATATTATAGTTAGTGCTCTCAGTGACAGCATTCTTAAAAACATTCCATGTGATAACAGAATGGCTGCCTCCAGCCATTTTGGTGTTTTCTGCTTTTTTGGATCTTGCAATTCTGTGGGTGTGATGTGGTATCATTTATGGTTTTGATTTGCATTTCCCTAGTGAATAATGATGTTAGGCATTTTTTTATGTGCTTGTCGGCCATTTCGATTTCTAATTCAATCTCTTTGCATTTAACAGGTCTGTTCAAATTTCCTGTTTCTTCCTAATAAGTTTTAGTGGTTTGCATGTTTCCAGGAATTTGTCCATTTCATCTAGATTATCTCACTTATTGGCATAAAGTTGTTTGTAGTATTCTCTTAAAATCTTTTTTACTTTTGTAAGGTCTATACCCCACTTTGTTTTCTTAGGCTAGGAATTTGAATCTTCTGTCTCTCTCTGTCAGTTTTGCTAATTGTTGAACAGTTTTGTTCATCTTTAAAATAAAACAATTTTTTGTTTTGTTAATTCTATTTTTTCTATTATCTATTTCATTTGTCTCTACTTCAATCTTTATTATTATTTCCATCCATCTGCTGGCTTTGGGTTTAGTTTGTTCTTCTTTTACTAGTTCTATAAGAGTAGATATGGTTACTGATTTGATATCTTTCTTCCTCTTTAATGTAAATATTTACAGCTATAAATGGTTCTCTGAACACTGCTTTTTGATGCATGCCATAGGTTTTGGTATATTGCATTCTTCTTTTCATTTATCTCAAAGTACTTTGTAATTTTCTGTATGATTTTTTCTTTGACCCATTGGTAGTTTAAGGCTGTATTGTTTAATTTCCACATATTTGTGATTTTTTTTCAGTTTATCTTCTGTTGTTCATTTCTAATTTCATTACATTATATTCAGAAAACATACTTTGTATAGTTTCCACACTTTTAAATTTATTAAAACTTATTTTGTGGTCTACCTAAAAGATTGTCTATTCCTGAAGAATATTCCATGTACACTAGAGGTGAATGTGTATTCTTCTCGTTTTGGCTAGAGTGTTTGACAGATGTCTGTTAGGTCCACTTGATTTTTAGTGTTATTCTAGTTTTCTCTTTCCCTGTTGGTTTTCTGTCTAATTGATTTATCTATTATTGACAGTGGTATACTGAAGTTTCCAACTATTGTTTTTGAACTGTTTATTTCTTCCTTCAATTCTGTGAGTTTTGCTTCATGTATTATGCAGATTTATTGTCTGGTGCTATATACATATATATACAGAACCTCTTAATAGATTGGCACTTTTATCATTATAAAATAAACTCTGTAGTAACAATTTTTGTCTCAAAGTCTATTTTGTCTGATAATGTAGGCACTTCAGCTTTCCTTCAGTTACTGTTTGTATGGTATGTTTCCACCTGTTCACTTTTAATCTGTTTGTGTCTTGGATTATAAAGGGTGTGCATCATAGAAAGCATGTACTTGGATTTTTTTTTTTTTTTCGTAGTTTCGCTCTTGTTGTCCAGGCTGGAGTGCAATGGCGTGGTCTTGGCTCACTGCAACCTCCGCCTCTGGGGTTCAAGTGATTTTCCAGCCTCAGCCTCCTGAGGAGCTGGGATTACAGGCGTGAACTAACATGCCTGGCTAATTTTTGTATTTTCAGTAGAGATGGGGTTTCACCATGTTGACCAGGCTGGTCTGAAACTCCTGACCTCAGGCGATTCACCTGCCTCGGCCTCCCTAAGTGCTGGGATTGCAGGTGTGAGCCACTGTACCTGGCCGGGTCTTTGTCCTAAAATCAGTTCTGTCAGTTTCTGCCTCTTGACTAAAGTGTTTAATTTATTTGTAGTTAAGGTAATTACTGGTAAGGTAGCACTTACATCTGCAATTTTACTATTCGTTTTCTATACCTCATGTCCTTTTGTTCCTCTATTTATTTATTTTTATCTTATTTTGTGTTAAAGAGATATTTTCTAAAGAACTGTTTTAATTACTTTGTAATTTCTCTTATTACATATTTTGAGTTTTTTTTTAACTGACTGTCCTGGGGTTTATAGTTAACATGTTAATTCATAACAATCTGTTTAGAATTATTATCAATTTAATGTCAATCACATATAAAAACTTTGTTCCCATATAGATTCATTCTTTCCCGCTCCTTTGTGTTGTTATTGTCACTTTAATTATGTCTTTATATATTGTATAACCATCAAAACAGATGTATAATTGTTACTTTATGAAGTTGCTTTAAAATTATATTGGAAAAGAAACAACAAAAATATTTTTATATTGTATCTTATGGTTATCTAGCTTGCTACGTTTACCATGGTCTTTATTTCTTCATTTATATTTTAGTTGCTGCCTAACATCTTTTTATTTCTGCCTAAAGACACCTTTCTAGTATTTCTTTTACAGAAAATCTACTAGTTAAAAGTTCGCTCAGTTTTTGTTTATTTTGGAATGTCTTAACTTCTTCATTTGTGAGGGGCAATTTTGTTGGATACGCAACTCTTAGTTGACAGGGTTTTTTTTGTTTTTGTTGTTATTGTCTTTGTTTTAGTCTTGGCAATTAAATAGGTCATACCACTGTCTTTTGTCCTTTATTGTTTCTTATGAGATACTGACTGTTAATCTTATTGAGGATTACATTATATCATTCACTTCTCACTGCTTTCAAGAATCTCTCTTTGTCTTTGTCTTTTGACAGATTAATAATGATGTCACCTAGCAAAGATCTCTTTGAGTCTGTCTTACTTGAAATGTGTTGAGCTTCTTGAAAGTGCAGAATAATCGTTCCCATCAAATTTGTGAGGGTTTGGTCACTATTCAATTTTTTTTCTGCCTCTTTATCTCTTTCCTTTTTACACTATCATTATGTGTATGTTGGTGTGCATGATATTGCTTCACAGGACATTATTATTTTGTTTTTTACTTTTTTTCTTCCTGTTTGCTTAGACTGAATAATATCAATTAATCTGCATTCACATTCTTGGATTCTTTCTTCCCCTGATCCAATGTGGTGGTGAGCTTCTCTAGTAAATTTTTCATTTCAGTTAATGTATATTTCTATTCCAGAATATCCATTTTATCCTTTTTTATAATTTCCATGTTTTTATTGATATTCTGTCATCGATGAGACATAGTTATTACTTTCCTTTAGTTTGTTAAGCATGGTTTTTCTTAGCAGTTTGAAAATATTTAAAATAGCTGATTTAAAGTCTTTGTCTATAAAATCCAATGTCTTGGCTTTTTCAGGAACATTTTCTATTTACTGTACTTTTTTGGTCTTGTGTATGGACAATACTTTCTTGTTTCTTTGTCCATCTCTTAATTTTTTATGAAAATTGCACATCTTAAATAATAGAATGTGGCACTCTAGGAACCAGATTCTCTTCCCTTATCCAGGTTTGTTGTTGTTGTCACATTGTTTCTTTAGAGGCTTTTCTGACTAATTCTGTAAAATCGATATTATTTGTTATGTGTAGCCACTGAAGTCTCTGCTTAGTTAGCTAATGATTAGACGAAAATCTCCTCAAATACCTCCAGTCAAAGTCTCCCAGGCTTTAGAAAGAGCTCCACGTGCATGTTTGTCAGGAAGTTGAGAACTCTGACTTAACCCTCACATCCAGCTTATGCAGAGCTTCAAACTCAACCAGAGCAAGATTTAAGGCATTCTGGTTCCCAGGAATATGATAGGGCTTTAAAAAGCCCCATATCTTTAGTTTATTGTGGTTTTCCTTTTAAACTTTTTAATTAGCATTTTGTTTTCTTCAACTTTTATCCACTGTGTCATGCAGCAGCAAGTTAAACAATGGCCAGTGATTGTTTTCCACAAATGACTTAGGAAAAAGACAGTTCACACAAGGAGAGGTCCAAGTCAGGTTAAATAAAGGCAAGACTTGTGAAAGACTCTTAAAGGGAATGACTAGATAGGTCAAATGATAACAATTATCTGGAAATGGGGCTTTCAAGGAGCTCCAACACCATTCTGCCTCCTGCAGTGTCTGCCAGCCTGCTGATTTTCACTATGATTTCAGGCAGTTGGTTTTTAAGATTACTGCAGGATTGTAGGAGATGATTGTAATAGGGGAATTAGAAATTTCATAAAGCTCACTTTTCTTACCAGTATTTTTTTAAATGAATGCTCCCAGGGTTCTAAGCCTGTGGTTAATTTCCAAAGTTCTGAAAATGTTGATTCTGACAGTGTTTATCAGTGATCTCATGACTTTTATGAAAGGAAAGATTTTTGGAGCTCTTCACTCCACCATTTCTGGTGATGCCATCCCAAAAAGTTTATTTAAATAAACATATTTTAACACTTCATATGGCCATTCATATTTTACAGCTGGATATCAGCCTCACTGCTAAGCACACTTGGTATGTGATATGGTTTGGCTGTGTCACCACCCAAATTTCACATTAAATTGTAGTTCCCATAATCCCCATGTGTTGTGGGAGGAACCTGGTGGGAGGTAATTGAATCATGGTGGTGGGTTTTTCCTGTGCTGTTCTCGTAATAGTGAATAATTCTCATGAGATCTGATGGTTTTATAAAGAGCAGTTCCCCTGCACATGCTCTCTTGCCTGCCACCATGTAAGATGTGCCTTACTCCTCCTTCACCTTCTGCCATGATTGTGAGGCCTCTTCAGCCATGTGGAACTGTGAGTCCATTAAACCTTTTTTTTTATATATATATATACATAAACTACCCAGTCTTGGGTATGTCTTTATTAGCAGCATAAGAAAGTACTAATGCAGTAAATTGATACTGGTAGAGTGGGGTGCCACTATAAGGATTCCTGAAAATGTGGAGGCAACTTTGGAAGTGGGTAACATGCAAAGATTGGGACAGTTTGGAGGGATCAGAAGAAGACAGGAAGATGTGGGAAAGCTTGGAACTTCTAGAGACTTTTTGAATGGCTTTGACCAAAATGCCGACAGTGATATGGACAATTAAGTCCAGGCTGAAGTGTTCTCAGTTTGGAGATGAGGAATTTGTTGGGAACTGGAGTAAAAGTCACTCTTGTTATGCTTTAGCAAAGGGACTGGTGGCATTTGGCCCCTGCCCTAGAGATCTATGGAACTTTGAACTTGAGAGACATGATTTAGGGTATCTGGTAGAAGAAATTTCTAAGCAGCAAAGAATTCAAGAGGAAGCAGAGCATAAAAGTTTGGAAAATTTGCAGGCTAATGATGCAATAGAAAATAAAAACCCATTTTCTGGGAAGAAATTCAAGCCTGCTGCAGCTATTTGCATAAGTAACAAGGACCCAAATGTTAATCCCCAAGACAATGGGGAAATGTCTCCAGGACATGTCTGAGACCTTCACGGTAGCTCCTCCCATCACAGGCCCAGAGGCTTAGGAGGAAAAAATGGTTTCATGGGCCAGGCCCAGGGTCCCCCGCCGTATGCAGCCTAGGAACTTGGTGTCCAGCATCCCAGCTGCTGCAGCCATGGCTAAAAGGGGCCAAGGTACAGCTCAGGCCATGGCTTCAGGGCCCCAAGTCTTGGCAGCTTCCATGTGGTTTTGAGCCTGTGGGTGCACAGAAGTCAAGAATTGAGGTTTGGGAACCTCCCCCTAGATTTCAGAGGATGTACGGAAATGCCTAAATGTCCAGGCAGAAGTTTGCTGCAGGGGCAAGGCACTCATGGAGAACCTTTGCTATGGCAGTGCAGAACGGAAATGTGGGGTTGAAGCCCCCACACAGAGTTCACACTGGGACACAGCCTAGTGGAGCTGTGAAAAGAGGACCACCATCCTCCAGACCTCAGAATGGTAGCACCATTGACAGCTTGCACTGTGCACTCGGAAAAGCTGCAGACACTCAATGCCAACCCATGAAAGAAGCTGGGAGGGGGGCTGTACCCTGCAAAGCCACAGAGGCAGAGCTGTGGGAGCCCACCTCTCACATCAGCATGACCTGCATGTGACACATGGAGTCAAAAGAGGTCATTTTGGAACTTTAAGGTTTAATGAGTGCCCTATTAAATTTTAGATTTGCATAGGACCTGTGGCCCCTTTGTTTTGGCCAATTTCCATTTGGAATGGGTATATTTACCCAATGCCTGTACCCCTTTGTATTAGTATCTAGGAAGTAACTAACTTGCTTTTGATTTTACAGGCTCATAGGCGGAAGAGACTTGCTTTGTCTCAGATGAGACTTTGGACTGTGGACTTTTGAGTTAATGCTGAAACAAGTTAAGCTTTTGTGGGGGTCCTGGAAAGGCATAACTGGTTTTGAAATGTAAGGACATGAGATTTGGGAGGGGCCAGGAGTGGAATTATATGGTTTGGCTCTGTCCCTACCCAAATCTCGTCTTAAACTGTAGCTCCCATAATCCACCACATGTTGTGGGAGGGACCCGGTGGGAGGTAATTGAATCATGGGGGTGGGTTTTCCTGTGCTGTTCTCATGATAGAGAATAAGTTTCAGGATATCTGATGGTTTTATAATGGGCAGCTCCCCTGCACAGGCTTTCTTGCCTGCTACTATGTAAGATGTGACTTTGCTCCTCCTTCTCCTTCTGTCATGATTGTGAAGCCTCCCCAGCCACATGGAATTCTGAGTCCATTAAACCTCTTTTTCTTTATAAACTACCCAGTCTTGGATATGTCTTTATTAGCAGCATGAGAACAGACTAATAGAGTATGGTTTCCTAATTGTGAACTACTAAATTTAAGCATTATTTTTTTTCATAAGTAAAGAAAAAATTAATGACTTTTCCTTCAATCTGGTGTTATCTGGAAATCTGTAGATTTTTAGCTGGTGTTTGCTCTAATGTTATGCAGATGGAAGGTGTTAATTATTTTTCTAACACCTCTTAGTGTGTAAGGACTACTGGCTTTTATTTTCTTTTTGCTGAGACTATGCTTGTCCCACTGGTGGGAGCATCATGCAGAGCCTCTGTTTCTATCACTTTACCACACAGAACTCTGATTCCATAATATAGAGGTCTTATCTCAGATTTAGCACTAAATCACTTGCTGAAAACCACTTTCAAATAATCTCTCCACATTAAAAAAAAATGATTTTGTAAAGAGGCTGCTCTAGGTAACAATTTAAATTTTTTTTCAAACTGAGAAGAATGAGATAGACCATGGGCATGCACATTTTGCATTTGTAACTTCAGCATCTTTTAGACAGAAAAGGAAGAAATTAAGAGAGCAAACAATAAAGGTGCAACAACTACTTAAAGCAGTGCATCTCAACCATGGATATGCCTTAGAATATCCTGAAGAGCTTAAAAAATATCCATGCCTAGTCTCCTCTCCAGAGCAATAATATCAGAATCTCTGGGAAAAGGGACCAGGCTTTTGCATCTGTTGAAAGCTTCCCAAGCGATTTTTAAAAGGCAGTCAGGAATGAAAACCACTAGCATAAAGCATGTATTGAAGCACAGTGCCATGCCATGTGTCCTCACAAAAAATACCTGAGAAACCTCAGCACTGGAAGATCTGCCCTTGAAAACACTTGGAATATGTGGAAGAACTGGTACCTTGAAGGAAATGGTCAGAGAAACTACAAGTTTGCAGGCAGAACTAGAAACAAAACCAGGCTCTGAGTATCTGCATAATATGTAGGGTCATTAGTCACGGGGTGAGAAGGCAAGATTCTTGGATTCTATTCAGCAACTAACACTGAAGTGCCTAATTGTGCTGGGCTCTATCCTATGCTAACTAGCCCTGTGATCTTAGATAAGTTATTTGTGATATCTAAACATTGGATTCTTCCACTAGCCCAAGGCAAAGTTCTTAACTTATGCCTATTTGGCCATAAAGTCTATTTCATCTTTTTGTGATTATGTCCTTCCTACATTTGAAGGGCTTACATATAATTTTGTTTACTAAAAAGCAATGCTAGAAAGTGGTAAGTTTTATTTCTAATGCCCTTTGTCAGCAATATCAAAATCAGAAAGTCATTTATTAGTGCTTAAAATTAAAAAAATACTTTTAGTAATCTTTAAAATTTGGAAGTCAGGAAACCACTAATTTGAAAAATAACTAATGTCTATATTTGATGACTAGTTTGAGGAACACTAACCCAAATTATGCCAACAAAAGTGTTTGTAAAATATTATGGTTTTTGAAATGTGAAATGTCAGATGCCTTTGTTTTTCTTATTATGGTTTAAGTGTAGGTCCATTTAGAAATTCTTTTGAATTTTTAACTATAATTTTTATTTTAGTTTACTTTATTTTTATCAAAGGTGGCACTGGAGCTGACTTGAAGAAATAATAGTGCTAGTTAAAAAGGCTAATTACAAATCTAATTTCTTTCCAAAATTTCTTTTAGAACTAAGCTAAATGAAAAAAAAAATTAGACCTTTTTTTTTTTGAAAATGATGGTTTCCTAATCCTATATTAGTGAGCTGTTAATTTTATTTTCTGAATTATTAACAATCACTTGGAAACATTATAATAATTTTGGTAATTGGGGCAGAATACTCTAGTCATGTCAGTGGAGTTCCTGAAATGAAGGAATCATCCAAGTGTTTAAAGAATAACCCTCCACCTGGATGTGGGAGCAATTGAATCTGTTTTGTTTTTGGTTTTTGGTTTTGGGCTATAATTTTTTCTCTAAGCAGGCCTATTTTAGATCCAAAGATGCAGGCTCTCAAAGACCATAGAAGATAGGACATTTCCAAGAGTAATACCAAAGGTTTTTCCCCAGTTCTTTTCTACTCTGTCTGCCTGTCTTTTCTACAAAAGCAAAGCAAAGAATCAAACACTGCCCAATGAATTCAATACATGTAAACGAAACTGGGCAATGAGACCCCAATCTTCATGGCTTAAGCATGTAATCATCAGATTTGAGTTAATGAGATTTAAAAAACCAATTTTTCTTCATAACTAGAACAGTACATGGCTTAGAATAAGTGCTCAATCAATATTGGTTGAAAAATGCATGAGTTGTGGTCAGATAATTAGACAGGTATCCAATGCCTTTGAACTTTTTGTTGTTTCATAACAACTTTAATAACACATCTTCAGTCCAGTATTTTCTCCTACAATTCTGAAGAATTGTCCACTTCCATGTCAGATGAACCATTTAATATTTGGACCAGTCTTCAAACTTTTCTAAAGTGATTTCATATTTACTCAGAGAAAAAAACTGGGAGATAAAGGTGCAGAAAGGAACCACCAATTCTTGCCAAAAAATAAAAGCTTTGGCTGAGCACATGCAAATGCCCAAATAGTCCAGTTTATCAAAGATGACAGTATTAAAAAATGGTCAACATCAGGTACTCCAAAAGGAGAGAAACAGGAAGAGAGGCAAGGGTAGAAAAACCACCTTATTGGGCTCACTATCTGTACGATGGGTCCAATAGAAGCCCAAATCTCAGAATTACACAAACAATATATCCATGAAAAAACCTTACATGCACCTCCTGAATTAAAAAAAAAAAAAAAGTCAACGTTATACCCCAGGTCTGCTGATTTCTAACACAGATCAGGTATTTCAGTCTTAAAGCCTATCCTTCAGCTTGTACATTATTAAGTTTTCTGTCATTTGAGTGACTAGCTAAGAAGATCAAATTATGTGTTTTGAGGGCCAACCTGTTTAGAGTTAGTGAGATTTACTGGCAAGCACATGATTTTTTGGAGTCAGATACACTTGATTTCCAAATCAGGTTTCTAACTATTGGCTGTATGTCTTTGGTCATGTTATATCCATTCTATTTGAATTACAATTTATTCATGTAGAAATAAGAATACCTGTTGAAGGCTTGTGTAAGAATCAGTTGAGTTACTGATATATAACGTCCTTGGCATATAAAGAGCACTCCAACTTAGTTTATTTACCACTTTCTTTCATCAATGACATCTTCATAATGAATATTTCTTTGTAATAATGAAGTAATGAGCTCGTGAATGAAAAAGAAACAATAACTATAGAGGAGGCATAAATGGAGCACTTGCTGTATTTAAAATTCCAAAATGTGATTGTCACACAGCTTTGCTCTGTGTTTCTGTGTGTCTCATATAAGTTCACTGTCACTGGACTTAGGGACCATTCTAATTCAGTATGATCTCATATTGATTCTTACCTTAATTATATCTTCAAACACCCTATATCCAAGTAAATGAAGTTCTGGGTAGACATGAGTTTTGGGGCACTATTCCATCCATTATCATCTTATAGGATGCTCTCATTCATTTATTGCCTTCTAGCTTCCTTGACCTTTCAAAGATATCTATCTCAATCACTTCTTCAAGGCTTTCTATTTCCCCTTTCCTCCTCACAGAGCATGTTTCTACCTAAATTTTGCATGAAGAATTAGTTCTTCATGCTCCTTAAAATCCAGCTTCTTCAAAAAGACCATCCTTGACTTTAATTATTTAAATAACACCCACAAGCCACTAAATAACTTCTTACAAGTCACTTGCTATTTCATTACCTTGTTTTATTATCTTTGCTGTAATTATGACATTCTAAAATTGTATGTTTTTATTAATTTGTTTTACTTGCTGTGATGGCTAATATTGAGTGTCAACTTGATTGGATTGAAGGATGCAAAGTATTGTTTCTAGGTATGTCTGTGAGGGTGCTGCCAAAGGAGATTAACATTTGAGTCAGGTAACAGAGAGAGGCAGACCCACCCTCTATCTGAGTGGGCACCATCCAATCAGCTACTAGCATTCTAGGATAAAAACAGGCAGAGGAACCTGGAAGGACTGGATTGGCCTGAGTCTTCTGGCCTCCATCTTTCTCTTGTACTGGATGCTTCCTGCCCTCAAACATCGAATTCCATGTTCTTTAGCTTTTGGACTCTTGGACTTACTCCAGTGGATTGCCAGGGACTCTTGAGCCTTCAGCCATGGACTGAAGGCTGCACTCTTGGCTTCCCTACTTCTGAGGTTTTGGGTCTCAAAATGACTTCCTTGCTCCTCAGCTTGCAGGCAGCCTATTGTGAGGCTTCACCTTGTGATTATGTGAGTTGATACTCCTTAATAAACTCTCTTTCGTATATACATCTATCCTATCAGTCCTGTCCCTCTAGAGAACCTTGACTAATACACTTGCTTTTTTGAAATCTTACACTATTCTATTCCAAGAGAATATAAAGTATGTGACAACATAAACATGGTTATATGTTTTATCATTGCATCTTCTGTGCTTATCTTAGTAATAAGAACATAGTGGCACTCAACAAGTATATGTTGAAAGAATGAATGGTCAATAAAAACAAAGAATATGAATTGGGAAGCAACTGACCTGACCCTAGTCCTAACTTTGCCACTACCCAGCTATGTGACCTGGAGTACCACATGCTACCTCACTGGTTATCAATTTCTCCATTTAGTAAGTGAGGAGGTTGATTGCTGAGTAACTTTGTAATTATATGATTCTGTTACTACAGATTTCAATAAGTCTTTGACTACATTTTTATCAGAGACAAAATTTTCAGGTAAGAACAACTGTTATAACTGTGAATAAACCTCATACTGTGGCTCAATTCATAAATTAATTGGAGAGTTCTAAGTTTCAATACAATTAGGAAAACAATTTGTTTTTCTTTATAAGTTGGTTTTTTATGAGGGAGGTCATCAATTATATTTGCTATTTTGTCAACTGGTTCCTGAGCATATTTCGGATAGTTTTGATCCTATTAATATCGTGGGTCAGAAACTCCACTGGGCTGAAAGCAGGGTGTTGATTTACCCAACCACGTTATGCTACAGAGAAAATTTCTGATGGGAGTGATAACTACTGAAACTCCCATTGATTTTAAAAAGAAGGTAAAATTTGAATCTTTCTTCTAACTTCCATAACTTAACAGAAATTCAGGTTAAAATGTGGCACATATACACCATGGAATACTATGCTGCCATAAAAAAGGATGAGTTAATGTCCTTTGTAGGGACATGGATGAAGCTAGAAACCATCATTCTCAGCAAACTATCGCAAGGACAAAAAACTAAACACTGCATGTTCTCGCTCACAGGTGGGAATTGAACAATGAGAACACTTGGACACAGAAAGGGGAACATCACACTCTGGGGCCTGTAGTGGAGTGGGGAGAGAGGGGAGGGATAGCATTAGGAGATATACCTAATGTAAATGACGAGTTAATGGGTGCAGCACACCAACATGGCACATGTATACATTTGTAACAAACCTGCACATGTACCCTATGAACTTAAAGTATAATTAAAAAAGAAAAAAAAATCTTCTCTATACATACCCCTCAGACATTGTTTTTTCTTGAGAACTCTATGCAATGCAGCCTGCCTGTGTACAGATTCCGAATACACTTTCCAGAGAATAGCAGATATTTTCTGCTCTTAGTTGACCTCCTCTTGGAACAAAATATCAGTAACAATACTACTCCAAAGGCAGGGAACGTCAGCTTTCAATGACTATTTCAGTGTCAGCCACCGTGCTCATTATCTGACTAACAAAACTAATTTTGTTGCAGCCTTTGAGAGAAGATAATGTAGGCCCCTGAACACATAATAGCTGATCCTAAATCCAAAAGTGTTTTATATCCAGAGCAGCTGCTACCCTCTTGGCGATCTCTGAGATGTATGAACTTGGAAAATCTATTTCTTTATATAACATATTGAAATTTTCTTCTCTATAATAAAAATTTATACATGCCATGCTTCAGCTCACTGCTAGGAAAGCATGCAACTATTAAAGTTATGTAAAAATAATGTGAATTGCCCCAGGCTATTCACAGTCCTTCATCCAGTCCTCATTTGACCCATGGTGGTCCGCTGGATATTAACCAACATGCAGGGGTGGTTTGTGATCACGCAACCAAGCATCTTTCTCTATGAGTTGACTCAGACATGATATTTTCAGTTGCTCTCAGTAACCAAATAGCTCTATATGCCCTTTTAATATAATAATTTAGAAATGAATGACAGTTGTATAGTGGTTCCAAATGTCATACTCTATAGCAGTAACATGGTGAGTCTTAAAGTTATTTATTCTGAAAGAAACATTTATTCTCTGTGTCATTGGTTTAATGATGAAAGGTATTCTTCATGGAATGAGAGTTGTGAGGGAGGAGGAACATCCAACTCCACATATTGAATGAGATTGTTAAAAGAAAGCATGGTAGCATGGAAGTGGAAGCAAAAATTATAGCATCTGTATTGTAAAACTATACATCTATCTGCACCAGAACCCTTCACCTTCCTTTTCTCTTTTTTTCTTCTGCCCACTTCCCTTCTTCCCCTATTCCTCCTTCTTGTTCTGTTTAGATTAATATTTTTGCCTACTCTTTATTATTACTTAGGATATATTTCTAGAAGTAAAATTACTGGGCCAAAGAGAAAATATCAACTTTTAAATTTTTCTAGCAATTGATTTTACTAGCTTGGTTGGCAGCATCTGTGGCTTATCATTAATGGAACCCATACACAGGAGTCAGGAATCCTTGCTCTATGAAGTCTACATTAATAAAAAAGCAGTTACAGATAATTATTTTGTGTCAAAAACAGGGCATTGTGGCAATATAAATAGTCCAGGAAGATTTTTGATTCCAAGTTTTCAATCAAGATATAAGAATAATACATTTTTAAGAAGTGAAGGTGCAATATTGACCCTCACCTCTCAGTGTTACAACTATGAAGATACAGGGATGCTTTGTCTGTTTGATGTAGAAAAAGTTCTGGTTAGTTTATTTATTTATTTATTTTTTTGAGACAGAGTCTCGCTTTGTCACCTTGGCTGGAGTGCAGTGGTGCGATTTCCTCTCACTACAACCTCTCCCTTGTGGGTTCAAGCAATTCTGTACCTCAGCCTCCCAAGTAGCTGGGACGACAGGTGCGCACCACCACACCCAGCTAATTTTTGTATTTTTAGTAGAAACAGGGGTTTCATCGCTACTAAATCTGTTGGCCAGGTTGTCTTCGAATTCCTGACTTCAGGTGATCCACCGACCTTGGCCTCCCAAAGTGCTGGGGTGAGCTTTTTAATTATTGTTGTTAAACTACAAAGTAGAGCATAGCTATGTGGGAAATCTCAGGTGGAGTCATCAATCCTGCCTCTGTACTAGTGCAGAGCAGAGTACTCTGGTCTGGATTTATGATGAGCTCTGCCTCACTTCTCCTCTGGAGTCTCTCTAATATAAAGGAATGCAATTCCAAAACCCTCAGCTAGAATAGCTAGCCTCCACTTTTTGTCCTAGTTCCAAGCCTTTACTGCAAAAACATTTAACAGTACTCTTCTGTAAACGTTGCCTCCTTTCTCTCTTCCCAACCTTCATTTACCTGTTTTTAAAATTACCAATGTGAAGACATGATGTAATCAGGCTTTACCACATTTAGTGAAATATCACATTTACTGTAGATTTTCCGAAAATAAAAAATCAATGGAAGTTGAAATCATCTTGAAAAGCCTAAATAAAAGCATCTGTCTATCTAGATTAGAGTCTGACACAAAGATAACTCTTAAGAACAATTAACCTGTTAAAAATAATAAGGGTGAACCTTACTGATAGAAGATAATACAGGAGCTCTGCAAATTTAGCAACTTGAACCCTCTGCCTATATTCGCATGAAAAATCAGATGGTACAGTTAGATGATATATATAGTATATGTATGCAAAATGTAATAAACAATTTAGTCAAAATGTTGGAGGAGAACAATTTAATGGCTACACATAATCTCAAATTTTTAAAGGTCACAGTTCTCTCTTTTTTTTTTTTTGGTATGATTAGTAAGATGCCTAGAATATATTTGGGCTTCTATCAGTAAAATAATATAGAAATACTACAGAGTACAGAGTGTATATAGGACTTTCGACTGGGCCTTTGACAATTCAGATCTTCAGAATGTTTTCCATTATTTTAATGAGAAGTTTATTACCAGTTTTAAAAAGATATTTGTTTTAGGAAGAATTTAAGATGGAATTTTTTTGGTTCATTTTAAACATAATTTGTCAGTTTCAACATATTTTATCTGTTTCTTGGGAGATTAATTTACATATAATAAAATTTACCAATTACAAGCATATAATTTCATTATTTTTGACAAACATGTATGGTTGTATAACCACCACCACAATCATGATATAAAACACATCAATCCTGAAAAAGGTTTCTTCGCTGCCCTTTTCTGCATACCTTCTCTACACCTTCCAACCCCTGGGTAGCCACTGGTGTATGTAAGTTCTGCCTTTTCTAGAATTTTACATAAATGAAATCATATGGTATGGGGTCTTTTGTGATTGGATTCTTTCACTGAGCATCATGCATTAGATGTTCATTCCTGTTGCATACATATATCAATAGTTTATTCCTTTTTGTTGCTGGGTAGTATACAAATATTAAAAAATAAGACTAAAATATATAAAAAAAAACAATGTTTTCTGATGATAGTAAGCATTTTGGAGTAACTACCCTAAAGATTCTTAAAGAATTACTTTGTAGTCCTGCTTGCAACTAAATCATCAACAGAGAGATGAGCTCATTGTTATGACAAGGAAATAACCAGAAGATTAATTGGGCCTAAACAAATTCATTTTAACTTCTATTACTCCTCCAACATAGACATGTCTGTTTTGGGCACTGAATTAATCAGAAAAAGTCTCTAGCGCTTCAAGTATGTTTATGTTTTACTTCTAAAGTAGTTAAACAGCTTATAAAAATTTTTCCTTGAACTGAATGAAAATGCTCTTCCTGGGAATAATAACATAAACTCATTTACCTTTTTGATTGTTTATTCTGCTGTTTGTGTTAATTAGCATAGACATCTGTGCTTGTAACTGAATTTTTCTTTATAGTATAACCTTTTTGCTGCTAATGGCTTAAACTGCAGTGAAGGTATATGCCTGGACTTCATGGAGAATGAAATTGTTAGTCAAGCAGCACAAACATCATTAGAACAAAAATATGAAATAAAAAGTTCTTACAATGAGGAAAAAAATATAGACAAGCTTCAAGTTTTTAGTTCCTTTTAATTTCCATTCTTTAAGCTTAGAAACCAAAGTTGCTGTACTTCAAATATGTTCCATATTGTAGAGCATAAGTAAGATGTAAAAATTTAGTTTTGTTTCATAGGATCAAAAAACTACCTATCAGTTACTATGCTCATTACCTGGGTGTCAAAATAATCTGTACAACAAACTCCCAGGACATGCAATTTATTCATGTAGCAGACCTGCACGTGTACTTCCTGAACCTAAAACAAAAATTGGAAATAAAAAAATAAAATCCACCTCCACTCATTATTTTTAAAGTACTACTAAAAAGCCAATGATAAATTAAGAATAGAAAAATATACATATTCAAATATTCCCAAAAAGGCAGGAAGTGGTAAACAGAGAAAGAAAAAAAACAGATAAGCATGAAGCAAATAATAAAATTTTAGACCTAATTCCAAACATATCAATATTATATTAAATATTAATGGATTAAACATTCAAAAGGCAGAGATGGTCAGATTAGTTAAAATTGAAAAACTCCATTATGCTATCTACAGGAGATGCTGTTTATTTATGTATTTATGTATTTATTTTTTATTATTTGAGACAAGGTCTCACTCTGTTGCTCAGGCTGGAGTGTAATGGTATGATAACAGCTCACTGCAGCCTCAACCACCAGGGCTCAGGTGATTTTCCTGCTTCAGCCTACCAATTAGCTAGGACCACAGGAACCAGCCACTATACCCAGCTAATTTTTATACTTTTTTTTGTAGGGACAGGATCTCCCTATGTTGCACAGGCTGATCTTGAACTCCTGGGCTCAAGTGAAGAGATGTGCTTTAAACATAAAGACACACAGAGTGAGAGTAAATGGTTAGAAAAACAATATGCCATACAAAAAAAAATCAAGCATAGGAAGGCTAAAATGGCTCTGTTAATAGCAGAAAAAAAAGCTTAAGGCAAGGGGTATTATCAGAGATAAATAGGGACATTACATAATGATAAAGATGTCAGTTCATTAGGAAGACGTAACAATTATGAACATACATGTACAAAATAAGAGTTTCAAAATACATAAAGCAAAAATTGGCAAAACTAAATGAAGTCAACTGTTCTACGATCATAATGAGGGAATTTAATATTATTGACATTCAGTGGATAAAACCAGGCAAAAATTTAGTAAAGACAAATGATTTTAACAATATTTTCAACCACCTTGACCTAGTCGATATTTATAGAGCACTGTACTCTGTAATTACAGACACACATTTTTTTCAAGTACAACCACCTTGACTTAGTTGATATTTATAGAGCACTATACTCTGTAATTACAGGCACACATTTTTTTTCAAGTACATGTGGTACATTTATTAAGATAGACCACAGGCTGCAATCAAAATCAAACAAGATAAATTGTCTATCTAAAGGAGCAGAATTGAAGTAGAAATCTCTCTCTCTTTCTCTCTCTCAATATATTATATATATATATATATATATATATATATATATATATATATATATATATGTATCACCAGGTGTTTAAAAATTGAAATCATCACCCTTCTAGGCAATAAATGATTTAATAAAGAAATTATAAATTAAGTGAGAAAGTATTACAAACAGAATGATAAAAGTACAGTATAATAAAATTTATAGAATCAGTGAATGCAATGAATTTAGGAAATTTATAGTGTTAATGCTTATATTATTTTTAAAAAGTTCTCAAATTAATGACCTAAAGTTCAACTTCAAAATGATAGAAAAAAATGTATACATAAAATCAAAAAAAGGAAAAGGGCACAAGTCAATCAAATATAAAACATACAAATAGACTTTAAAAGGATCAAAAAATTTTCTAAACCCCTAGAGACTAATTTTGAAAAAAATGGAGACAACAAAATCACCAAAATCATAAGTGGGAGATTATCACTATAAATCTCATAAACACTAGAAGTATAAGACAACAAAATGATAAAATTTATACCAGCAAATCAGACAACTAAGATTCAATGGTGACATTTATTTAAAAAATGCAACTTACCAAAATTGATACAAGACAAATAGAAAAAATCTTAATTTTCTTAAATTTATTAAAGCAATTTTATCTGTTATAAAAATTTCCACAAAGAAAATTCTAGACTGATTGATTTCATTGGTAAATGCTATAAAGTATTTTTTTAGATAACAACTTTATTCTAACTTTTTCAGAAAACATAAGATGAAGAACTACCTTTGTTTGGTCATGAGACAAGGAAAACCTTCCTATCCAAATCTGACAATTATATATAAACATGTTTATTCATATATAGGTAACATAAACATAATATTAACATCTCATTAAAATCAACGCATTACTGTTTTAAAATATTAGCAAATAAAGTCGAACAATATTAAAACGGACAAGTCATAATAATCAAGTAGAGCTTATTCCTGAAAGGCAAAGTTAGATTGACATTCAAAAATCAATTTCATTCATCATACTAACAAAATAAAGAGTAAAATCATATGATCATTTTGATAGATGTCCCCAAATTCTCCAAAATTTTGACATAATTAAACACTTCTTAGTGATAAAAACTCTCAGAAACTAATGAGCAAAAGGACATTTTTGAATCTTAAAAGGACATTTTCAAAAAACTTCACATATTAATTAATAATAAAATACTGAATGTTTTTCCTCCAGGATAGGGAACAAGCAAGAATTTCCATTCTCATCAGTTATATTAAACACTACACTAATATCTGAGGTCATTATAATAAGGCAAGAAAAAAATACATTCAGATTGAAATGGAAGAAGTAAAACTGTCTCACTTAGTAGATAACATAAACATTGTCATTTAGAAAATGCCTATTAAAATTTAGAAAATTATTTGAAGTAATGGACAAATTTAGCAAGGATGTGAGATAAAAAGTTACATTACAAAAATCAATTTTATTTTTATATACTAGCAGCAAACAATTGAAATTTAAAAACAATTCTATTTGAAACAATACCAAAGCACTTTAAAAGTATTTAGAAATAAACTAACAAAAATACACAAGACCTGTACACTGAAAACTACAGAATGTTCCTAGGATAAACTAAAGGACACCTACAGAACTGGGGAGTCATATCATATTCATGAACTTAATATAATTAAGGTGACAATTTTTCTCTAATTTATCTGCTAACTCAGGAAAATCCCAAACAAAATGCCAGAAGATTTTTTTATTTGTGAAATTGATAAGCAGTTACTAAAATTTATGTGCAAATGAAAAAGATCTAGATTAGACAAATCAGTTTTTTAAAAAAGAATGTTTCTCAACTTCATTGGTCATCAAAATGCAAATTAAATCAATAATGAGGTACCACTTACACATCCATTAAAATAGGTAAATTTTAAAAGACAGATTGTACCAAAGTGAAGATGTGGAGCATCTGGAACTTTCGTATACCTCTGGTGATAATGTAAAATGGTACTATCACTTCAGAAAATGTAAAATTATGAACATTTAAGTTTGACATTAAGTGTACATAAGGATTAAACATACACCTACCATAAAAACCAGCCATTCCACTCTTAAATTTACTCAGGAGTAATAACGACACGTTTTCACATAAATAGGATTTTTCATAGTAGCTTTATTCATAGTAGCCTCCAAATGGAAATAACTTAAATGCACATCAAAAGCTGAATGGATAAAAAAAATGTGAACACTACTCAGCAGTAAAAAAGGAAAAGAAGTGAAAGTAGACAGATACAAAAGAATACATAGTACATGATTCCATTTATATAACATTCTAGAAAATACAAACTATAGTAACAAAAAGCAGATTAGGGTTTTCCTGGGAATGGGATGGAGCAGGAAGGAATGGTTACAAAAGTCCATGAGGAATGTAATATGTGTGGTGGATATGTATCTTGATGGTGGTGGTGATTTCATGGGTGAATATATGTATCAGAATGCATTTGATTGTATACTTTAAGCAGATGCAGTTTATCAGATGGAAATTATACCTCAGTAAAGTTTAGTTTAAAGTGATAAAATGGTTGGCTGAACATATACTAAACCTCCTTCATGGTGAAAAAGAAAAGCAAGGTTCAAAAACGAGAAGAGTTTCTGTGTATGTTAGAAATGAAAAAGCGTCAGTTACCTGGGAACAGCCATACCCAGATGCTCATACCTGCAGCAAGATATAAGGTGCCAACCTATGACCAGGAGCAGAATCAGCATCACCTGTAAAACTGGGACTCAGGCCTGTGCTACAGATGCAGGTGAAGGACCCAGAATTGCACCACCAGTAATGAGCTAAATCCCCAAACATAGATGCCCAGAGCTTGTTGGGTTTGAAGCTGTGTCCTGAGCAGGCTTCAAGACCCACTCACAGGATAGCTGTCATAACTCTGGACACACATACATAAATGAGATTTTAAACCAATGTAAAAGCAGACAGTAAAAGATTCAACAAACTGAAGAAATATGGTCAAAGATTAAAAAGTTTTCAATAAAGAACTTTTTAAAAGTATTTTTAAAACATCCCAGAAAAATCAAAGGAAAAATAAAAATAGCATCCATGAATGATGACTGTATATTGGGTAGGTATTTATCCTCTTAGATCAAAATTACTATCCACAAATGTGGAGATTTAAAATAATGTAATTTTTTTAAAAATAGAGAGTGAAAGTATTCAAGACTATCCCTAGAGTATGTTCAGTCTGTGTGTGTGTGTGTGTATGTGTGTGTAAGTGACAGTGATGAAGTGTATCCTTTAAAGAAGAGGAAGAAAAGACTCCAAAGGTAGAAGGAAAAAAAATAGTGTGGTAAAAAAAAATGTGGTAGAAAAAAAGAAGACAACATTAAGAGAGAATTTGTTAAGAAAGAAAGAAGCAGCTGGATCTTGGTGTTTTCCTAGGTTCAGAATTTAGTAATTTTCTCTCTTTAATGTTTCTCTCTAAATTACTTTATTTATCAATATGTTTTATTGCCATTTACATAATGATAATTCCCCAATCATACATATATACATTTCCATATATTTATATACATGTTTATATATAAATGTATTCCCACACTTATATCTGACTTTCCCTCTGAGCGCTAGACATTATATCTGACTGCCGACGTGAAAAGTAAATTTGGATGTCTTAGAGATGTTGCAAAGTTGACTTGTTCAAAACTGAATACTTATGTTCCACCACCAACTGGCTTTCCAACCATTCTTGCCCTTCCTCACCTTAGTATAATACCACAGCTTACAACTTTTTTGAGCCTCACATGTGGATGTTCTCCATGATTCCTTTCTGTATTTTATCACCAATACATTAAGTCACTAGAATGTTATTGGAATCTATCTGCAAAATATGTCTACTTTTTTCTACCTCCACTACTATGTCCTGGATTAAGCCACCATTATCCCTTGCCTTGGCTCTTTACAATAGCCTCCTCTATTCTCCTAGCTTTATTCTTGCATTTCCTGTCATGCTCAATGTAACAGATAGAAAGATTCTTCGAAAACACTAATCAGACCTTATCTCTCTCAGGCTTAAAATCCTCCAGTGTCTTACTGTTTCACTTAGAATCATATGTAAACCCTTTACCACGGCCTATGATGTTCTGCTTGATATCACCCCTCCGCAACTCTCCAAACTTGTCTTATGTTCCTCTCTCCTTCCTCAGACTGCTCAAGACACAATTGCATTTTTCCAGCTCCTTGTCCACAGAAGCTCTTTTCACTTTGCTTCCTGCCTCATTCCTCAAGCAGGAAGGCGCTTTCTCCATTCTTCATGTTGCTAGGTCTTGCCGACTCTTCCAGGTTCATTTTACTTTTTATCCCCTAGAGAGGTCTTCTCTGACACTATTTAAGAGTACTTCCTTGTTACTCTTTATCTCAGTCACTGATGATCTTTCTACACAGCACTTATCATAATTTTAACTATTTTTAATGTATGTACTCTGCTTTTGCTCCATCTCTCCCTGCTTGGCTGCAAGCTAGTGCGTGAGGACAGGGACTCCATCCATCTTCAACCTACCATGGAGGAGACAACTAGCACATGCTGTTTAAGCAATAATTCTGGTTATTTAGGCATGCTGTAATTAAAAAAGAGCTTGGAATGGCAGAATTAATAATATTTGTTTAAATTTCAACCATCTCGTGTCATCAATGACCTAAAAATAAGTTACATTTATTTATCCTAAATCAAAATTAGTTTAATAAACTTAGGAAAACAAGGTTTCTCTGACACTTTTTTATGGAACAAAAGATTCTCTAATAGACAAACAATATTGAGAGGTGGAGGGGCATTCCAGGATACTTAGTGAGCATTTCCTATGAAAGAGTAATTCATCTTCAGTGTAGGAAGGGCCTGACTAGCTCTCTGAAGACATAAAATTATACAAAGTGAAGCCATTAGGTTGAATTTAAGACATTGAAGCAATATTTTAAAATGGCCTTGTTTTGTGAATATGAATAGCAATTTGAGGTTATGTGAGGTCACTGGTAGAATAGCTTTTTCTGCTGTCTCTTTTGGGATTTTGGATAGAATGGGGTGGTGGGGGTGGGTGTTATATTACTACCATTGAAAGCAGCTTCAAACTCTGAAACAATGCATTGAAAGGCCCATTTTTTTCTTGGCAGCTCCCAAGTTAGAGAGTGTGGGTGGCAGTTGATTTTCCATTTTCACCATGTGCCAAATTCCCCTGGATTTGATTTGATCCAAATAGCAGGTAACTTTAGTTAAGTGATAAGAAGTCTAGTTGAGGAAGAAGGGGAGAAGGAAAGGATAGAGGTACCATCAACCTGTCATTCTGGGTTTATTTGTTGTTGTTTTTGTTTTACTGGCAAGTGTAGACATCAAGGTCTACTTATTCAACTAAATGCTTTAGTTTTGGTTTTGTTAGTATTGGCAGTGGCTCGATAAGATTCAGCTCAAGCATCTGAGATCTTGTGAGAAGCTATTAGCTCTGATTTACTTCTTCATGGCATAAGTACAAGGGTGATAGGTCAGTGTATCATAGGGCGGAAGACATTATGGTCTAATCATTTAAACTTTTCATGTTGTGATATTGATAAAAGTGTCATGTAGGGGCAACCCCTTGTCCAGGAGATGCCATTATAGGAGGCAGAAGGAAAAAACTAACAGTAGTGAATTGATTGCAGTAATGACTCAGATTTTTTTACTCTTCTTAATAACCTTGCTCTCTTGCAGTATCCTTCCACAATGATTGATGTGACTTGTTTTGACCAAAGAGATGGAAACCATGACACAAAGACAGATTGGAAAAACACTCACAGTAGAGCTTGCTCCCTTGCTGCTCTTGAATTCTGCCACCATATGAACATACCCAGACTAGCGTCCTAGAGATGGAGAGGTCATTTGGAGAAGATTCGAGGTGCCCTAACTAGCCTTCTAGTCTAACAAGAAGCTGACATCTGACTGAAAACACACTAGTAAGCTAGACTGACAGAATTGGAGAGCTGAGTATAGCCCAAATTTTTGATCTGCTGATCTGTACATGTTGATAAATGGATGGCACAGCCACTAAATTTTAAGATGTTTTGTTGTGTAGCAAACACCAGCTGATACATCAAGGTATGAGTAATAGATCCATTCTAAGAAGGGGAAACGAAATCAAGATCCACCAGATATTTGTATCTACTATTGAAAATCACTGGATTAACTGTTCTGTGAGTTGGAAACCAGATTTGTCTTTAGGAACATTTCAAGTGCTCCAGTATGATTGTATATGCTTATACAGGAGAGGTCACTAAACACCTCTTTACTGACTATATCTGATGCAGAGGAGCTAGGATAGTTTTAAGGTGTTTTAATTAAAGTGGTTTTGCTCTTTTGAAGTTGAGTGGAAGGCTATTCACCAGGAGGCTCTTTCCATTGCGGTCTAATTCTTGTGTGGCCTATTTTCCATAACAGTACTGGAAAGAATCCCTAGGAGACTTTATTACAGATTGCAGGGGTGGCCTGTACTGAGAAAAGAAAATATTGAATTATAACTTAAAATTTGCTGCAATATTTCCCCAAATCATCATTTTTTTTTAAATTCAAGAAGCCAGGTGTGAGTTTATGGGGATAACTGAAGGCCAAAACGAAAGCTCTGCTGTCTCTTAGAAATTGTAAATACCTTGAAGCATGCCTTCCAAAAACACAGCACAGCAAGAGCTCCTAGGAGAAGATAGCAGCTGAAAGACCAGTCTGGTATCCAATAAAAAGGAATTTTGCAAATAGTAATAATGACTCTGAGGACCTGCCCTGTGCAAGCCACTGTAATTTGGCATGTCAGTGAAATAAAATAGAAAGCTTTAAAAGAGTTTTAAATTAAAAGAGTTTTTAAATGCATCTGAGGGCATCACACTCAAAAGGGATGTCATAAACGTGAGATCCTGTGCAAAGTATGTTTATGCAATACATAGAAGACAATGCCTAAGGGACAGGTATTCTTTACTCTCCCCAAAACAATGTGGGAGAGGATCAAGACAACAGAAGGTACTGCAACAGCATCTGCCATGCAAAACATGGACTGAATATATGTGGGCTCAGGAGCCTTTTCAGTCACATCTGCAGATACTGACTGGATAAAAGTCAAATGTGTTGGGAATTTTATTAATTATTCAATCAGGCAACTGTCTGATGCTAACCAATATATAATCCACCAAAATTTACATCTATCTAATACTCAGCCTTTCTACAGGATTCTTCTCATGCAAATTTTATGTTCAAAAGCTGCAGTTTCAGAGACACCAAAATGATCCAAATCATTTCTATACTTCTTACAGAGCATAAAAATTGCTAGGATTCCTGGAGTTCATACTATTTGTGTTTGCCTAGGCACTGTTCTAAGCTTCAGGTATGAAGGGAACAAAATATGTTAAAGGGTAGTGTTTCCCTTGCTATTCTTTAGATGAGCTTTTCCCCTTCAGTCTCCCTTATTCATTAAGGTATGTTTTGTTTTGCCAAGCAGGTTTTCAGATTTGGGGGGTTTTTGTTTGCTTGTTTGTCTGTTTTTGGTAATGCAGAAGAGAGAGAATGGACAGACGAGAATAGAAACCAGCAGTGCTTATCCTAGTTAGATATCCTAGTTTGCCTGTTGAATCAGAGCTAAAGTGCTCTCTCTCTTTCTCTCTCTCTCTCTCTCTCTCTCTCAGAGAATGTGGGAAATTGATGAAGCAGGCAAAATAGAACTTTAAACATTCGGAAATGTTTAGTTTTTTTAAATATGCATTGAGAGTTGGGAAGAAGGAAAAAAGATGGGAAAGTCGTGGGTAGTCTAAGGAATTGGAGAGAATGTGGGGGAATTTTGCCATATAAAAAGGATGCACAGCAGCTGTGAGTATGAGAGACTTGCTTGGCAAGGGGTTAGGAATTGAGGGGGGAGCAGAAAATATTTGGAAAGTGTTGCTGTGCTTATGAATTGAATATTCTCTAATTTCTTTGAGGGATACAAAGACACTTGGAATTCCTTTTTATTTATGTTAGGTTGTTCTTCTTTGAAAATGACTTCATGCAATGACTGAGATATCTTATATAACCAGGGTAGTTGCTGAGAGGCGACAAATAGAAAATGGTGTTACTTCTTTTTCCAATGATTATAATCCATTTTCTGCTGACTCTCACTTACCGTACCAATGACATCTTAGGTGAAGTCCGTAAACTTCCTCTCACTTCCCATTATTAAAGTCTAGGTTGGTTTTAGTCAAGCTTAACATTCAATCCTGTTTCCACATGAAGAGTTTTTTCTCTCTCTCCTTTTGGTATTTAGCTCCTCAATACAAGGAGGATTCATCAAGAGAAAAAAGGTGTATCAGTCAGATTCCATCAGGAAATATACCATAACTCAAAATAGGATAATCAAAGGAGTTTATTCACAAAAGATATTTACAAAGGTAAGTGTAGAGAAAACAAAAAGCATAACGCAAAAACATAGACAGGGCTTAGTGGCAGCCAAGCTTTTACCACACCTGCAGGGAGAAGGGTCAGATGTGGCCACTGGGACTTGGAAGGAGAGTTATGTAGAGTCAGCCCCTTTAAGAATCGTGGTGACCTGTGTCAAGGGACACAGCCAGCTTGTCTGGTCTTGTAGGAAGGGAGCCCTAACCTTACTCTTCTATCTCACCAATTTCTTTCCAGGGTTCTCAACTGGTGAAACCCAACTAGTTTCAGGTTTCAAAAAAATCTACTGATGTAGTTCATGCAGTTGATTTTCTGGGATCAGAATACAGGGGAAAAGGGTGAAGAATGGATCTGGACAGGCAAAAGAAAGCTATATCTTTATCCTATCAAGAGCTGCCCTTCTCTTTCATCTAATTCATGTCTCCAGCATAGGAAAGCAAAAGGTTCTACCAACTATCATAACAGGGAGGAGTTATTTCCACCAACTTATAATCCAAGTTGGGAGCTAAATGTTTGTTACTGCTGGTATTCTTTATATAAGGAAGTGTGGAGAAAAAAAGAGTACAAAGGAAATGGTCAAGTAATAAAACAGATTCAACAGTTCTTGCCACCCTATCTGGTCATGAGGCCTGAGATGGTAATAATTGCTGTCGACTTCCACCACTCATTCCATGTTCCCCTTGACTTTTGCCAGCTCCTCATTTAGAGGGTGGTTCGTTTATATCTGCAGGATCTGAGTGTTTGCTTGTTTTGTTGTTGTTTGTTTGTTTTGGTTTTTTTTTTTTTGAGATGGAGTGTCGCTCTTGTTGCCCAGGCTAGAGTGCAATGGCACGATGTCAGCTCACTGCAACCTCCGCCTCCTGGATACAAGCGATTCTCCTGCCTCAGCCTCCTGAGTAGCTGGGACTACAGGCAACTGCCACCACGCCCAGCTAATTTTTGTATTTTTGGTAAAGATGGGGTTTCACCATGTTGGTCATGCTGGTCTCGAACTTCTGACCTCAGGTGATCCACCCGCCTCAGCCTCCCAAAGTGCTGGATTACGGCGTGAGCCACTGTGCCCGGCTGTTTGCTTGTCTTTTCTTTGTTGGATTTATGAGTTTTTTAATTTACCAGACAATGGGGCAAAGGAACAATAAGAATAGCCCAGTTAAATTATTTGGGTTCTAAACATAGCCATCCTTACCTCAATTGTGTAGCAGCACCTTAATTTCTTCCAGCAAATGGGATCAGCACTGTAACCACTGATTCTGCCTCTGTTGGTTCACCTTTATGAGGAGCCCAAAATGGCCAGGAGATGTTTTCAGCTTCAGTGTATCAGGAATATTACTGTTTCATGGTGGAAGTCTCTTGGGGATTAGCAACCACAAATCTACTAAACCTCAGTGGCTTAAAATACTTTGGTTACAATTTTGTTCTTTTTTTTTCCCCCCCATTTCTTCCTTTTTTAAAAAAAACTTTTTTTTTATTACTATAAGTTCTGGGATACATGTGCAGAGCATGCAGTTTTGTTACATAGGTATACAAGTGCCATGGTGGTTCACTGGACCCATCAACCTGTCATCTACATTAGATATTTCTCCTAATGCTATCTCTCCCCTAGTCCCCCACCTGCCAACAGGCCCCGGTGTGTGATGTTCCCCTCCCTGTGTCCATGTGTTCTCATTGTTCAATGCCCACTTACGAGTGAGAACATGCAGTGTTTGGTTTTCTGTTCCTGTGTTAGTTTGCTGAGAATGATGGTTTCCAGCTTCATCCATGTCCCTACAAAGGACATGAACTCATCCTTTTTATGGCTGCGTAGTGTTCCATGAGTATGTGTGCCACATTTTCTTTATCCAGTCTACCATTTATGGGCATTTGGATTAGTTCCAAGTCTTTGCTATTGTGAACAGTGCTGCAATAAACATACGTGTGCATGTGTATTTATAGTAGAATGATTTATATAATCCTGTGGGTATACATCCAGTAATGGGATTGCTGGGTCAAATGGTATTTCTGGTTCTAGATCCCTGAGGAATCTCCACGCTATCTTCCCCTAACTTATTGTAGTTATTCCACCTTAACTTTGATTGTCTGAGTGGCCTTTACCAATCTGAGATGCCATAATTCCCACTGAGATTAGTGAACCCAAAGTGTAATAGCATATTTCTCTGCTACTTTTAGTCTTAAGGGGACAACCACCACAGAGAGCTTCAAAGCTACTGACATCCTTTCACAAATGCATTTCTTAATGCATTGTCTGTTTTCCAGGCGAAGTGGCTGAGCAAGTTGCACATAACATACACCTACTTCCTGAAATAATTGGACATTTTTTTCTTTTCTGTAGTATGTATGTGAATAAATTTCTGGCAGTTTGACCTCAATAATTGTAAGCCCTGATTAAATCCATATTTTGATTATTCAGCCCAGCAAACTATTAACCCACTTTCTTGAGCTCAAGGCAACAAATTAATTCTGAATCTCAGGTAGATGGGACATAGGACAATGAATTTGGCTCCATCAGGTCTTATGTTCTGTCCCTGTTGGCTTAACCCTCTTAGAATCTGTTTTCATAAATCCACCTCAGTTCTTGATGGCATACATTGGTAATGCCTTGTCATTGCATTGATGTAAAGGTTTTCTCCTTGTAGAATAGGGCTTCCCTCACTCAGTCTGGGCTAAGTGTTTTATTAGGATTAGAGGCAATGAAAGCTGGCAGAGTATGTCTTGAACAAACATGGGCATCAGCTTGAGAGCCAATCATTAAAATATTATTTTTTCCAGAGAATAACAGTTGAGATTTCTCTACTGGCAAAGGATGATCAGAAGAATTTTGAAGTTCATGTTTCTCAGTTATAACTTCTGGGTAAGATGGAGTAACAGGGATTGAATTCACCTTCCAACTAAAAAACTGAACACCATGACTAATTAATGGTTGTCGAGATATTGGACATCAGAAACAACTGGGTTTGTTGCCTAGAAGATGAGAAACAAATAACATGAGTGCTATGATTACCCATCTTACTTTCTAGAGAATGTTTCCAGCCTACAGTGTATTGAAGAAGGCCCCAGAAAGAGCTTGGTGGCCTCCCAAAGATAAGCAGACTTTAAGAGGTCAGGAGGACAAGTCAGCTAGAGTACAAAAAGCAGAGTACCAGAGAGAAGAGAGCTACATAGAGAATGAATTGCAGAAATCTGCAGAGGCTTACTTAAATTGAACTAAAGTCAGTTTAGTAGTGACCAACATATACAGGTAAGGAAACTATTCAGGCTAAACAAGGAACCACTCTAAAGGATTAGAGAAAACAATTCCTGGTGCTCCAATAGGGCTGAGAATAGTACCTGTTCCCATCAATGGAGCAACCTCATAATTCAAAAGGCATTTTAGAGTCCTACCTCAGCAGTAGTGAGGTTACCTCTAGAACAAAGCTTTAAAACAAGACCTGAAAGAATTGAACTAGTTTCAAATAACTTAGCCATGTTCTTTGCTCTTCATTTTCTGTGCAGGTTTAGATTTCCATCTGATATCATTGTTCTTTTCCCTAAAGGGCTTTCCTTTAAAATGTCTTGTAGTGTAGGTACACTGGCAATAAATTCTTCCAGTTTTTCTATGTCTTAAACAGTCTT
Organism: Homo sapiens; assembly: GCF_000001405.40. Lineage (NCBI taxonomy): Eukaryota > Metazoa > Chordata > Mammalia > Primates > Hominidae > Homo > Homo sapiens. Next base: position 215,300,188 of record NC_000001.11, on the reverse strand, counting down.
TATTTCACATTTTGTTTGAAAAATATTTTACTAGATAAGGAATTCTAGGTTGACAGTTATTTTTCCTTTCAGTACTTTAAGGATATCTTCTAGTTCGCATTGCTTCTCATAAAGGTCTGTTGTCCTCTTTATGTGTTCCTCTGTACATGATGTGCTTTTTTTCAGTCTGTCTCTTGTGATTTTCTTCTTTTGTGTGTGTGTGTTTAGAGTTTTCTGAGCTTCTGGAATCCATGGGTTTATAGTTTGTATAAAGTGTGAAAATTTACCAGACATTATTTCTTCAAGTATTTTTTCTTCCCTAATTCCTCCATTGAAGACTCCAAAAACAGGTATATTTGGTTGCTTGAAGTTGTGCCACAGCTCTCTGATGCTCTGTTCATTTCTTTCAGTCTAATTTTCTGTCTAAATTTTGAACTGTTTCTATTACAATGTCTCCAACTTTCATTACTCTTGGTTTTTTGTTGTTGTTTATGTTGTTTTTGTTTGTTTGTTTGTTTTTGAGATGGAATTTCGCTCTTTTGCCCAGGCTGGAGTGAAGTGGTGCAATCTTGGCTCACTGTAACCTCTGCCCCCTGGATTCAAGCAATTCTCCTGCCTCAGCCTCCCGAGTAGCCAGGATTATAGGCACATGCCACCACACCCGGCTAATTTTGGAATTTTTAGTTGAGATGGGGTTTCAACCATGATGGCCAGGCCAGTCTCGAACTTCTGACCTCAGGTGATTCGCCCACCTCAGCCTCCCAAAATGCTAGGATAACAGGCATGAGCCACCATGCCAGGCAGTTCATGAATCTTTTTTTCTGCAATGTCTAATCTGCTGTTAATTCATTAAGTATAGTTTTCAACTCAGACATTTTTGCTTTTATCTTTAGAAATTTGATTTGTTCTTTTTATATGTTTCATGATTTTTCTTATTGCATCTTTTCTATAGCTTCTTGAATGTGTGCAATACACATACAATAATTGATTTAAAATTGTGTGATTATTATATGTCATTTCTAGGTAGATTTTAATAGATTGATAATTCCGAGTTTTGATGAGGATGTGGAGCAACTGGAACTTTCAAATAATGCTGATGGGAATGTAAAATGATATAACCACTACTGAAAATGTTCATATCTCCTATATAACCCTGCTATTTTACTCTTAGGTATTTATCCAAAAGAAGTAAAAGCATATGTCCACATATTGACTTGTATATAAATGCTCATAACAGCTTTATTTTTACTAGGCAAAAACTGGACACAACTTAAATGCCCATTAGCAAGTGATTGGATAAACAAATTATGTTATGTCTGAAGAAAGGAATACTACTCAGCAATAAAAATGAATGTTACAATCAACAACATGTATAAATCTCCAACAACATGTATAAAACAATTGTGTTGAATGTAAGGAGTGAGACAAATTAAAGTAACATAAACTCTTATAAAATCCTGGAAAATAAAAACTAATCCATAGTAATAGGAAGTAGATCAGTGGTCTGCATGGAGATAAGAAAGGATAGGAAGTTGCAAATGACAGAGACTACAAACTTTTGCAGATGGTGGTTATTTTAATTATCTTTATTGTAGTGATGGTCTTTATGTATGTATATAGATGTGTGTGTGCGTGCACGTGTGTCAAAATTGATCAAATTGTACAATTTAAATATGTGGGGTTTATTTTTATATAAGTTATATCTCAATAAAGATGCCTAAAATGTAAAAAAGAAAAAAGCAACATAAAACGAGCAAAAATTTTCTCTCCCTCATTCTTACCTGCTTAAATGTCTCCCACCAATGCATATGGTTCCCAATCTTTCCTCATAATGCTCTTTTAATAGTAAGAAAGACTTGGCAAGATTGAGCATTCAATTGTTGCAATAATGCTGCACTCATTACAATCAGACTTGACTTTGTCCTCAGTCATATCTTCCCTGAGACTGCCAGAGATGATGAACTCTTTCAAAGCCACCACCAAGGCCTTCTGGTTCTCCTCACAGATTTTAATTGCATGTTCATGACTTTTAATGTTTTTTTTTCATCCTATGCACACTCACTAGGGTAGTAAATGGAAGGTGGATGGCTCCACAATCTGTTGCCATAGAAGGTAAATACCAAAACCATTAGTTATTCCTCCACCTTCCCTCTGACTGCATCTCATCTCATGTCATATTAGTAATAATTTGAGTACCTGGGAAGCTCATCTGGCAGTCAGAATTTTGGGGTAAGTTATTGTAATAATGATTTGGTCCGCCTACCTTCTGAGGTATCCCATTGATGTATGGGATGTCCACACATCCAGAAGGGCTACACTAAACCAATCATAATTCTATTCTTAAAGAATTTAATTAAAAACAAAAAGTGAAGGGTTGACCTAATAACAAGATCTTTTTACTTCTTTACGTTGAGTTACTTGATAGCCGCAATGGGTTAAATGATTTCAACATTAATATTTATAAGCTACTTGGAAATTTTGAGGAGCTTAGGCCTAAGAAAATACGTTAAATGCTAGCACAAAAAGCGAAACAAACATTTATGTCAGCAAAATCTAATTATATCTTAACAGTCATTCCCATATCACTTCCAAGGTAGAATGATTTTGGACAATATGGATCATAAGATGATTTAATGTCTTAGATGTTACTACTACAGACAAATCTAAGTCTCCTTTTAAGCCTTGTTACAATAAGGTCAAAAGAAGGTGAATGACAGGAGGAAGCTTATTGCTTTCCAGGGTAATAAGAACAGGAACTCAAAATTCCAGATGTTTCTGGAAAGCTAGATAATAATCACAGATTTTGTGCTTCCAAAAGTGTTCTTCAGTCTCTGGTTTTGTGCTTTGTTTGTAAAAAGGACATGCATGTGTTCAAACATACGATTTTAGCAATTGGCCCTAAATCAAAATGAAATGTTTTTATTAGCATGTGTTTTCCTTGAGGGTGAAATTAGGCCATCTTCTTCATGCTATGGAAATTCTCAAGGTGCCCAGAGTTTGACCAGAAATGTAGTAGGTTTTCAATAAATAATGACAGTTGGTGATGATGGCATGCTAAGTAGAGAGACAGTTTTTGGATTTGCACCTAAGGATGCAGGACAGTCTGAGTGGTGGTGCTAAGTCCACATGTGTCCTGTCTTATGCGCCCCTCCCCCCTGGTGCTCAGGTTGTTGTAAGGGTCATTTATATTTTAGCTGCGAAGGAACTACAGTTACCATTAAGTAGCATCAACTTAGTTCATAATTATGTTTGTAACCCAGGGAAAGCCCATGTGTTTGTCCATGCTACTATTTTTACTGCCTGTTGAAACATTTTATTCATATACCTCTACAGTTTTGATTGTCTGTTGCTTATCCTTGTAGTCAAGGCTTTTCACTTTCTTACTCTACTAAGCATTTTCAGTTTTATCTTCTGCTTCTCATTATAAATCCTCTAACCCACTAGATGGGCCACAGTGGGTTCGAGGATTTATAATGGTCCCAGTCTTCGCCTTTTTTTTTTTTTTTTTTTGAGACAGAGTCTCGCTCTGTCCCCCAGGCTGGAGTTCAATGGTGCGATCTCAGCTCACTGCAAGCTCTGCTTCCCAGGTTCACGCCATTCTCCTGCCTCAGCCTCCCGAGTAGCTGGGACTACAGGCACCCGCCACCACTCCTGGCTAATATTTTTGTATTTTTAGTAGAGACGGGATTTCACCGTGTTAGCCAGGATGGTCTCGATCTCCTGACCTCACGATCCACCCACCTCGGCTTCCCAAAGTGCTGGGATTACAGGCATGAGCCACCGCGCCCGGCCCTAGTCTTTGCCTTTATATAACCTTCCAGAGCATTTACTATCTATTTGATTTGAATTTAGCAATGCACTCATGCGTTCATTGGATTCTATCCCTGGTCATTGCCTGACTTCTCTAAGATTGGACTGTGACTTTTCACTCCCTGTCAATCTTCTTTCTTTATCTTGACACTTCTCAGACTGTCTTAGAAAAATGGCTGCAGCCTGTAATCCCAGAACTTTGGGAGGCCAAGGCAGGCAGATCACCCTAGGTCAGGAGTTTGAGACCAGCCTGGCCAACATGGTGAAACCCTGTCTCTACAAAAATGCAAAAAAATCAGCCGGGTGTGGTGGCAGGTGCCTGTAATCCCAACTTCTTGGGAGGGTGAGGCAGGAGAATCACTTGAACCCAGGAGGCAGAGTTTGCAGTGAGCCGAGACCACGCCATTGCACTCTAGCCTGAGCAAAAAGAAACTCTGTCTCAAAAAAAAAAAAAAGAGAAAAGGAAAGAAAAGAAGAAAAAGAAAAACAGCTGCAGTCTCTAAAATGAAGACAATAATACCATGTGTCTCATATAGTTGTTCTGAGAAGTAAATGAGTCAATATATGCAAAACTCTCAGAAAATTGCTTGCTGGAAAGTGCAATATAAATATTAGCTATATACAAAGCTATATAAAATTATAAAGTTTTATATATATTTGTTTTATATACACATAACACATGTATGTGTCGTGTGTGTATGTATCTGTTGGTATCATACAAACCTCCTCCCCTTGGCTATCTGGTTTTTAACATTCTTTTTCCTCTTCACATGTAAGTTTGGGAAGTGTTTACTGACATATCTTCAAACTCTCTGATTCCTTCCTCTGTTTAGTCTATTGATGAGCCCATCAAAGGCATTCTTCATTTTAGTTGCAGTGCTTTTGATTTATAGCATTTTCTTTTGATTCTTTCTTAGAATTTCCATTTTTTGTGGATGGAAACCATCTAATCATGTATGTTGTATACTTTCTCTATTAAAGCCTTTGACATATTAATTATAGTTATCTTAAATTCCCTGTTGGATAATTCCCAAATTTGTGCCATACCTGAGTCTGGGTCTGAATGCTTCTTTGTCCCTCCAGACTATGTTTTTCCTTGTCTTTTAATTTTTCTTGTTTTGTAATTATTTACTTAAAGTTGAACATTATTTGTTAGTTGATAGAAAATGAGGTAGTTCTTTAAAGTGAGGTTTTGTGTTAATCTGGCTAGAACTGGGCTGTTTAATTTTTGCTGTGGCTGTGGGTATATAATACTTCAAATTTTTTAGTCTTTTGTTGTGTTTTGTTTTCATCTTCCTTGTTGTCTTTGGGCTTCCCTAAATACTCCTCCTTAAATAGAGGTGGCATCTTGCCACTCTTTCAGCTATGATCCACTGCTTTACTATTGATGTGGTGTAAGCCCTGGAAAAGGCAGACTTTTGTTCTATAATCTTATGATTAAACCTCAGCCTTCTAGTAGGCCTGTGTTTTCATCTGTTATTTCAGAAGCTTTTCTTAGCTCCCCTTCCACCTTAGATGGGACAGAAATGCTAGAGGAGGCTGGAGTTGGCAAATTGCCATTTTCCCAGGTGGGATAAGGCTCTGGTAAAGTCTTTCCCCCTACATAGTAGGTCTTGGTCATGGAAAATGCTCTGGGCATATTTCAAAATGGTTACCTTACCCCTTATTCTGCCAGAAACACAGGAATTTTTCCCAGTTCTTTACCATGAGAACCTGGTGGAGTTCCTGAAGATAAAAGCTATGAGAGTGAGGGAGCTCCCCTAAGACTGTGGTCCCCAGGAGATTCTCATTCTCACATTAACTTATTCTCAGTCTCCAGCAATTTGGCAAGATGATCATTTAAGTTTATGGCCTATTAGTTTATGGCTCCTACAACTTCTGCTCCAGGCAACCACATCTCAGTGGTGATTCTCTGTATTCTCCTGTCTCTCCAGATTTTGGGATAGCAGTTTGCTCTGAGACCTCAATTTTCCAATGTTCCAAGACAAGGTATTGACTTTCAGTTTGTTAAACTTTTTTTCTAGTTGCAAGGACATGAGTGACAACTTCCAGGCTATTTACGAGTGAGAGCTTGGCAAGTGAGAATATTAACTCAACAGAGCTTTGAAGACTCATCCACTCTCCTTTATTTCAATTTAGTGTTTTGTTATTTTGTGATCCTTCTTGAAGGGTAATATTATAACGAGTTTAACCCAGGTTTGTGTCTTTGTTTCAAATTCAGTAAACATTTACTATCTATCTACTGTATGTTAGGTGCTGTTTTAGGTTCTGGAGACACAATGTGAACAAACAGATGAAATTATCTATTTTTTCTTTTGGCCAAAACTCTCAAATAGTCATAGTCCTACCACCTCCTTTAGGTTAAGACCTCTCTGCATTGTTACAAAATATGTCACTCGTTCATACCATCTCTCTCTGCCATGGAATTTCCTTTATATTCTTCACATCTCACCCCGCATTTGAGGCTCAATTCCCCGAGAAGACAGAACTTTTTATCTACAGTGACCTTTTTATCCTTTGAGTTCTTATCACTTTGCGTGTATTTATATATATCTGTTGGGGTAAGGTGAAGAGGTGTTTATTTAGGTCATAATAATATAACACCTTGAATGGGAGGTTTTCTTTTTAACATCACCTATGTTTCAGAACTTACAAATTTTGTAAACAATTAGGATGAAGAACCTGGTTGTCCTGTTCTTTTTCATTTATCAGTTGAGAGCTTTCATTAGTATAGAAGACACAATGAGGTACCACTGAAGAATTCGGTTGTACCCATCACTAGAACCCAAAAAAAGCAAATTCTTTATCTAGTAGGTTCTCTGCTGCACACTGATGGCCATAAAAGTAATGTGGCCAATTTCTCAAGCTCATTTGATTTATCTACAAGCATGAACCTCTCCTTCTTCTTTGACAGCATGCACTTTTTCTGACATCAAGATCCTTGCTTATTAGATCTTTTTGTCTGATGTCCAGTCTGCCATGTATGGTAAACACTTGACTGTATAGCTATTGGATGATATCAGAAAGTGTGAATTCTGTTGCAATCAATCATTTTATTTGTAAGACAATTTATGCATCTGCACTAAACAACTTCAACTCTTTCTTGTTAAAAATAACTGCATGTTATATAAGCATTTCTATAAATACATCCAGTTTTACAATGCTTCTCATATATAACCAATGTGGTTTCTGCACTATCGACCATGGAGACACATATGTGTCCTGTACTGCTGGATTTGCCAAGAAGTGTTTTTGATGAATGTGTGGAATGCCCTTTTTCCAAAGTCAAACATCTGGTTTTGGCACCAATTATCAGGCCAGCTCTATGCTCAGCACAAAAATGGAATGTACTGGATTTGCTTGGGTAGAAGTTGCTCACACAATCCACATTTCCAAATGCCAAGGCTTTTGCAAAATTCATTTGAGTTGATTTTAGGTGTGAGGTGAAATCAAGAACAATACTGCTTCTTGCCTAGCCTAGATTTTTGCTAGTTCTGCCATTCCATATTAATCATTATGTTGCAAGTTTCTGTGTTACAAGGGAAGGCCTTATTGACCAGTGGCATCAAATAGAGACTAATCAGTAATTTCCACATCAATAATCAAGGAGGGTACCTGCAGATTTTTAAAATTGCAGCAGAAGCTGAGTTTAACAGCTTTTATTATTACTAACCTATGTTCAGATGTCAAAATGGAAAAGGCAATTTTGAGTTTTTTTTCTTATCTGTATCATGTAATAGTAGATTGTTCGCTTAAATCTTTTGGCTTATGTTAAATGGCCAGTGCTGGACTTTGAGTCCCTGGAAGTGAGCTCATGCCATATCCTAGAGCTCCTACTATATCCTTTAGTGACATCTTAAAAAAAAAAAAAAAGAAGAAGAAAAGAAATGCGTGTTGAGTTCTAACTATGTGTTGGTCACTATAGTAGGTGCTCAGGATATAGCCATGAGCAAAACAAAGTCTCTACAAAAAAAGGGGCAGGACAGGTAAGAAAATAAAACAATAAATAAATAAATGCACAATACATAAGTAATATAAATCAAAATAAATTAGAGTGAGAGGATAGTGACAGGTGGGATAACATTTAAGCCCAGACCTGAATCAAGTGAGGGCGTGAATTACTCATGTGAATCTCTGAAAGGAGGGTGGTCTGCACTGAGAGAGCGAGAGTGCACAGTAAATACTCCAAGTCAGAAGGTAGATCAACCTGCCCTACCAGAGGCCAAAGGAGCAGTGCAGCTACAGAAGAGTATGCATGGGCCATGGTTGTAGGAAATGGGATCAGAGAAGTAGCAGTGGTGAGATTTTTGTAGATCAAAGGAAGAACTTGAATTGTCCCCAACTGTGATGGGAAGATGTTGGGAGATGCATCCCTATGGGCCTAGCAGGCATAGCAGGGTCAGCTTCATAGTAAATGCGTGTTGAATGGAAATAAAAATCGTGAACATTCAACTACACATTGTATAAACTTTCACAATCAATAAGGACTTTAGAAAGACAAAGTAAATAGGATATAATATCTCGTTCTTTGCCCTACGTTTTCTGCATCTATTTTGAATATGTTTTAGATCCTTCCATATGCCCAGTGACTTTTACCAAATAGTCACTTTAATTCTTTCATCAGCTACAACAGTGGGACAAGATTTATCTGGATCACCCTGAATGACTTGCTATAGAAGGTCTTGGACTGTTTCCACATGTGCCTTGACACTAGTTTATTGCTTCAACCCACCATTCTGTCGTGGAACACAACAGAAGCATCTCTGAAGTCAAAAAGGGAACAAGTTATCTGATTTTTCCTTTCCCACTCAGAGTGTATGCCTGTTTCATTCACATAATCAAAATAGTTTTTTGATTTTTGGTTTTATTCTGGGTCTGTAAAACAGAGAAGGCAGCCAAAATGTATTTTTAGATTTTTACCAGACCTAGAGGGAAAAACATAGGTTTAGAATTTAGACATAGGTTTTAATTCTGAATTATGGCTCTAAATCACAGAGAGGCAGTAAGTGTGCAGGCTCTGAAGTTATGCTTGGGGGCATGCATCTCACATTGCCATTTACTAGTTATGTGGCATTGGGAAATTTACTGACATTTTCCAAGCTTCAGCTTTCTAACCTATAAAACATGAAAAATAATAATAGTATTTTCTTCATAGAGTTGATGTAACAATTACTAAGTTAATGCTATGCATATAAAATGCTTAGAAACTACCTGGAATATAGATTATAATATGTACAAAATAAATATTAGTTATTATTATTGTTATACTCACTGTGTGTCCCTATACAAGTTGCTTAGTGTCTATGACCCATATCTGAAAACTGGGGATTATTGGTACATACTGTTCAACATTAATAAGAAAAACAAATGAGATACGATATGTCAAACACCTAACACACTGACACATAATAGTAATGATCATATTGAAATTGCTATTATTTGAGGTAATTTTAAGATAGTAATTTATGATTTCCGCTTTTGAATATGATTAATTACTAGATTCTGCAAATCACACCTTGGTCTATTGTCCCTGTCCAATAATGTATGTTGAAATGGAAGACCCCAAAACAGTTATCATTCATTTGTTTGCAGTTTAAAAATATCTGATTCAATAAATAAGAAGAAAATGCATGACTGCCTAGAGGCAGCCATCCACAGGGAAGGTGAGTTTCAACATTATTGTGTTCACTAGCTGAAGGCGATTCAGAGATGCAGGGTCTTTCTATCCTTCACTTGGGTATTTGCCAGATTTATCTTCAGATAAGCTATCCTTGGGGTTGGAGGAGGCATCACATCTAGGTCCAACAATGCCCGGAGGCAAAAACAGAAGCTGAAACATGTATCTCAGAAGCCCCCAACAACTCTCCTGTTACGTTTCATTGGCCAGAACTGCATCATATGCCCTCCAATAAATCATCACTAGTATGGAGAAAGGCCTACCTTGACTGGTTTATACCAACCAGGATCTACCTCTGGAGTTAGGTAGGGGCATCCTCCACTGAGTCCTATGGGGAAAGGGTGGAGCAGAACAAAACCAGGGCTCTGCCCTCAAGGGAGAAAGAATAAGATAAATGGTTGACAGCAAATACTGTCTGCAATAGATGATCAACCAAACCTTGCAAAACTACTTGTATTATCCTCTAAAATGAAATTGTGTTAAGATTCTTTTTATATGAGTCCAAAGCACTGACTATTAGCTTGGAATGTAGCTGTTCTCATATTTCTCACCCAAAACTATTACATAAGAAGTGCTTTCCAAGCCTTAGATATTTTCAAAGCAACCCTGTATTTTTAGATACCCAAAGACAACCAGAGGTGGCAAAGAACCTCTCATGGACATTTCAAGTGTTCTGGGTCAGAGACTTTCTTATGGCCAGTTGAGTTGGATTTTTGCCCTAAAACCAAGTTTCCACCTTCCACGATGCCAGTGAAATGTGAGACAGCCAATGCAGAAGGGAGAATTTGTCCTCAAGATTGTTCTTTTTGAGTTTGTAGTAATATTGTTACTGCTATAAGAGGGAAGGAACATGCTAGCTTTCCTCCTTGTTTATTGAATACAGCCTGCCATAAACTCAATTTTATTTTTCTCATAGCTGTATTTTATTTTCATCTGTGTTGGTGCCTCAAATAAATGTCTGGAAAGACCAGCTGGGGAGGATTTGATACCAACAGGAATCACTTTCTAAAAAGTAGTTGAATATAAGGAGCACTGAGAAAGTTAAAAACTAAACAGTGGGGAACTTTCCTGCTGGGAGTTTAAATTGTACCGTCAACATCAACCATACACTGGCTACAAGGACATAATTAGAGAGAGAGAGAAAGCACTTCGATTTGAAATTCCATTATAGACTTTTATAAAAGGAGTTAAATAAGATGCTGAAGAAAACTCACTGTAAATAAGCACTTTCTGACATAGATTTAATTTCTGTAAATGGAGGTACCTACTCTTCTTTATCTCTTAATAGTCTTTATTCTGCTCGCAACACTCTACTGTCTTTAGATATCCATTATTCATTACCAAATCCAATGATCCTTTCTCTATTATCCTTCTCAGCCTCTCTGCAGTATTTCACTTATTCCCTTGCTGAACTTTTCTTGCCCCTTGGGGCCTGAACTAAATATATTTGAATTAAAGATGTCAATTCTGCATTCTAAATGGAGTGATGGAGCCAGTGGCCACTGGAAGTCAGTGGAGGGTCAGAGATGGGGAATAGTCGCTGATTATCATATGGGGATAGGCAGTGTGAGTCTATCACCAAATCCATAGTCATAAGAGTCAGACCCTCTGAGCTCAGACAGAAAGGTAGAGATCGAAGCAGTTAGACTGAAGTCTTGTTGGATTCAACTCAGAACAACTCGATCAATGTATAGTTAAGTCACTAGGATGAAGACACAAGACAAACGAAGGCACAAGTAAATAAACCGGAGGTACTAGAGTTAAGAAGTAAAGCAAAGAACTTTCCCTGTGTAGCACGAATCACAGAGAGAGGTATGGAGGAGCTATAGTTACAGTCTGTTTCATTGTCATAATAATTGCTTTTAAGATCCAGAGCCAGTCTGGTGTTTGGAAAACAAAAAGAAAATAAATATATTTTATCACAACCCAAGAGTCTTCTTTTCCTTTACAAATTGTCATCTCAGGTGAGTAGAAAAATTCTGAGGAGTTCTATGCCCGGGGAATATACATGGTGGAGGCGCACAGACACAGAAGGGCGTGCTACATGGCTCAAGTGACATTGGCCTCTCTTATTTTTCTCTTTCCTTCTTTCTTGAGGATTAATCATTTTCTATCCCCTGATTTGTTTAATCATTTCTCTCCTATGGCATAATAGTAGCTCTTCCACCCTCTTCTCTTCTTGAAAATTTTACTTACTTTTCTGTTTTCAAATCTACATACCTGGTCCCAACCTCACACTTAACCTCTAGTTATGCATTTTAAAACCACTTGCAAAATATCTCCACTGAGCTGTATCTAGCTGTCACCAACATCTCAAGGTGAACTCCCTTTCATCAAACCTAGACTTCCTGAATTCCTTATTTTTTTGGTTGTTGTTGGTATTGTCTTCTCAGTCACCCTGTCTTGAAACCTCACTAGCCTTTGAATACACATTCATCCTTAAACTTCAGGCAAATCCTTCTGAATTCTAGACATTCTAGCTCTTCCACCTCTCTCATATCCATTTACTCCTCCATACCCACAGTCATTGCCCTTATTTAGGCCTTACTTCTCATGTAGTCCATTATAATTTTCTTCAAACTGATATTTCATTTTCCAGTTGCTTTCCCTTTCATTCTGTCCTATACAGACTTGCATAGTAATTTACATAAGGTATATTTCTGATTACGTAAGGTATATTACTGCATAGTAATTTACATAAGGTATATTTCTTCAATGTATCTCTATCACCACTGCCAATACTATAGTCAGTTTTTCATCTGGATTACTGCAATAGACTTTTTATAGCCTATTTACTACTTCTAGTTACCTTGACTCCAATCAAGTTGGTAACCTGTGAATAAGTGACTATTTCTTAAATCAAGAGTAAACACTTTAGATCTCCATGTATAGCGCTTCAATGGTTCTCTAATATTCCCTCAGAAAAAAGTCTGAATTCCTTTACATAGTTTTGAAGGTCTTTCAAGATCTAGAATCTTTTTTCATCTTTGATCTTACCTTTCACTATCACTAGCCAACCCCTCCACCTCCCACAACCCTCTTAGGGTACAAAACAAAGACGTAACTAATAGCAGATGTTCCCTCTTATCAGACAGACAGCTCATGTGGGTAGGCACCAGTTTACTCTTTAGCAATTGGCTTAGGGCCACTGTGTAAACAAAACCTGATGCTGTGTTTCCACGACACCAGAAACCATGTTGGTTGAAAATGAAAAATTCAGTCAATCATCTGGAGGCATCCCAAATATCCAGATGTTTGGCATCATTTTGACAAAACAGCCAGATGATTCAAAAAGAAATTTTCACTTTTTCAGTTAGAATATGTTTTGGTCTCCTGTAGTTATCAAAGGGGCCAACATGTCCAAGTGACTTTGTTGAGATAATGAGTTCCAAGTGGAATTGAAAACACCAAAGGGATAAGGAGGAATGAGAACTGTGGTTATTGCACTTGTAGGACTCTAAAAACAATAAAATCTTCTTTCTTGTTGTAAATTGTTGTTAATTAACAATAATCTTTGTTGTTATTTGTTTATGCTCCCAACGGGAACTGTGGCAATGGCATCCATATCAAGAAACTTTCACAAATACACTGACATGCATTAGGCATGAGTTGACATAAATTGCTCTGAAATGACTGGAGTGTCTTTTATGTACAAACCATTTAGTTACCTGGTAGAATTAGCATTACATTAAGGGTTTTAATTTTAACTGAGCTAATGTTTCTGTGCCTCATAGCCAAGACAAACTGAAGAGTTGAGGAAACTGATCCAATGGAAAAATTTTCCTCCAAACACAATAAAGACTTTATATGAGCAGTCAATGGGAAAATTAATATTTGTTTTACATCACCTGAAGAAGAAAAATAAGCAATAATTTAATTTACCTATAAAATTAACAGTAAAATTAAAAGAGGTGCTTCAACTACCCTGCATACTGTAAGGTAGAGGCTTAAGAATTGTAACAGAAAAGTTTGTCTAGTCCAAAAAACACTGAGACATGTGGACAAACCAAAGGAGAACCGATGAAGGTAGTTTGTAGAATAAAACTGACATTTATTTAAAATCTAAGTTTACACAGTCTGTTACTGAAATCTCTGCATGTACTAGAGATATTCATTAGTGATTTCAGATTATCTGGGCAAACACACACTGCTAGGGGGATCAGCCGTAACCATTTGTGACTTGGAGAATCTTTGGTTAAAAATGGCTGCTATCTTAAATGTGTTTAGAATTATTCAATGTTTAACAATGGAAAAGTTCCATTGCAAAATTTATCACAAGTTGGTTGAGATTCATGGAAAAAAATATTTTCATTGAACAGAAAAGTGATGGGAAAATTTTCAAGGTAGGACATTAGCGATACACATAATGCGGGAGATTAACAAACACCAACACAGGAGCTTCTGTTAGCGTTGAGCAGCGATGATAACAACAGAAAACTCATCTCAAAGCAAGAAATAATCTAAGCAGAAAAGTGATAATTCGCTACTATTTTTCTACTATATAAATGCTTTATTCTGTTCAATTGTGTGGAAAATCACATTAATGTGTTGTTTGGTTCTTTATTTTTTTAAATTTTTGTGGGTACATAGGTGTGTATATTTATGGGATACATGAGATGTTTTGATACAGGCAGGCAATGTGAAATAAACACATCATGGAGAAGGGAGTATCCATCCCCTCAAGCATTTATCCTTTGAGTTAAATGTGTTGTTTAAGTGAATATAATTTCTATTTTCCTCAGAGAAGAATTAGTTGAGTAAAAACATCTCGTGTGCTCACTGCACCAATTACATCTGTAACTACATCAGTGATATATGTCTTGGAAATCATTCACCTGGCTAGAAACATGGGGGCTAAATCAACAGAACTTCAGATATTCTTTCAGCTCTAGAATTTTCTGATCATGCTGAAAAATTGGCAGATCTGCCTGGTCTATGTACAGGAAAGAGTGAGGCTTTATGGGAATAAACCCTTGTTTTTAAAGTCATTAAAGCTATAGGTCTTGAAGAATTTTGTGAATTCCAAAAACAACATGTGGCCCTGCTTCTATGAGACAGATGAGGGCATTTTATTATCTTAGAGAAAAGGCAGCAGTTGATGGCTTCCTGTGGGTATAAGTTATTCCTTGGGAATCAGGACAAGACTCAAAGGCCTATTAATTTCCATAGATACATACATCCTGTCCACTCACGCACATGCATAAGAGTAATTAAAGTTTTGAGTGGAAAACTCTTTACCACATGGGACACAAATACGATGTTGAGACCAAGTACATGGAATATATACTCAAACATTTGGTTATAATTAGCCCTAACTAGCATATAATAAAAATACATTCAAGGAACTAGGGTGCGTGCTGAGCTGAAAGCTGATAGTTCTTTAAAGTTCTGTTCTATTATTAAATTTCTTCCTCTTTCATATTAAACTTCAATTAAATAGTCTCATTGGTTCATTGGAGTAGGTTTCCATTCAAAATGAACATTTGTCAACAGATACATTTATAAACAGCTGTGGTTTTCTTTGGGTATATACAGTGTCATTATCCAGACCATCTGGCCATTCTATGATGGTGTTTCTTATTTGAGCTCTCTCTCTGACATAATAATTTGTCATCTTCAGTCTGCCTCATTTCTTCAGACAGACCTTCTCCTGCTCTCACACCTCATGAAACAACAAAAACAACAACAAAAAGCAATAAATTATAAAGGTTACAGGAGGTGAATAGATATTTCTAAAGGTCACTGAATGGCCTGATAATTCTTCTTTTTTCCTCTTTTTACGATTAAATGGAGCCTGATTAGAGAGAAAGGTCAATTTAAAAACAGAGCAATGCAATATTAATATTTTTAAAAGAAATTGTTTCCAAATATAAATATTTGCTGGAGTTTATTTGTCTGATTTATTTGTTTCTTTAATTTTAGAATCCTTGGCCAGTTCTCAAATGATTAAGAAAAAACAGTTTTATTTTTCCAGGGCTTATCATGCTAGCCCATGCTTTTCTTACCAGCAATTTTAGTCAGAATGATATAACCATGGAAAGAAAATGAGAGGGGAGTGAATGTGTTTGCCTTAAAAGCTCCATAAATGAGCAATATAAGAACCTAAAAGTATGTACTTTACCTATGCAGAGATAAAGAGCAAATAAATGTTTAAAATGCAGGAAGTTATATGGAAGTGGCATTTTTAATGAATATGAGCCAAATATAAGCCAAGTGTATTGGTAGTCAAAGAAATATGAAAACAAAAATTTAAGTCACATTCTTATCTTATTATGAACATATAAATTATTAAACTTTGGTTGTCAAAATTATGTATAAATTTTAAATAAAATTATATTAGGAAACAAAATATTGAATATGAAATAAGAGATTCTTATTTCCAAAGTGTGGACTGAGGTTATCAACGACCTAGAAAACCCAGCAGGGCAGCTTGATCACTGTAGAAAACTAAAACATAAATAAGCAAATTAGAACTTTCAGCCTTCCCAATGTCAGTGAACATTCGCCGTCTGTAACATCAGTGGAATGAGTTTGACAAAAAATGGCAAGACTTTATTTAAAGGAATAATTGATGACATGGAAGAAACAAAGGAAACAGAAAATACTTACAGGTAAATGAGCTCTGTGAAACTGCACACCTACTGTATATAATTATTCAAATAACCAAATACTGTTTTCTAACTTTTATATTATTAAAAAAATTTTTATTCTTAAATTACTTGTTAAATGAATTATTTAGGACACAAAAATATGTTATAAGAGATAAATAAGGAAGAGTTGAAATTATTGGTAATTCTTTCAAAGCTCCATGAAAGCAATGTAGGTGCTGAAAATGTTTAGCATTGTCTTTGTGAATAATGTCTTGTGTAAAAATTTACACTATGAAAATAATCATCAAAGGCTGCTAACATCACAAAAAGAGGGACAACCAGACATCATGTATCTTCTAATGGGGCAAAACACCACCTAAGAAGTAATTTTGCCTGAAAGAAAATTGAACCTGACACTGATTTAACTACTCCAACTGTCTAATAACTTAAATGAAATATAGAGGAAAGAGACAACGGTAGAATGACACCCATGGGTGATGCAATCAGAAAAATTCAGACTGTGAAGAATTCTATAGGACAAAATACAGTCCCTTTAACCAAAAGAAAAAAGGAATAGAGATATCAGAGGAGTATATATAGATTTTAAAATATTTAGGAAATATCCCAATAAAATACAATGTATAGACCTAATTTGGATTTAGAAGCAAAAAATATATTATAGAACTATAAGATAGCTGGGTATTCATGATATTTTGGAATTTTAATTTTGTTAGATGCAATATGACATCGTGATTATATTTTCAAATGATTTCATATATTTTATAGATGCATACTGAAATGTTTAGAGATAATATGCTGTATAGAATTTTCTTTAAAATAATTTGAGATAGGGGCTAAGTAGGTAGGGAAGAGATAAGATTGTCCATTACTTGAAAATTGCTAACAGTATATGTGATTTTCTTTTATACACGAAGGAAATTCTTCATATTAAATATTTTGTGAAAGAAGTGACTGGTCATGTAAGAGAAATACCATTATACCACATTCTCTTTAACATAGAGTATTATTTTTAATATACAAATTTAATATACAAAAAACTAAACAATATTATAATGTAATTTTAAAGACCTTAAAGAAACTTACTCACTTTGAAAACCAGTGCATGACTTGCTGCAAACAACAATGAAATAGTGACAACATCTAAAAACGTCAAAAAATTATTTTGCTGTTATTAATTTAAAAGAATAAATAGAAAGTTAACAAAAGATGAAGTGATAAGAAGCTAAGGTAGTTTAATGATTGTCTCTTCAGACAATAGAAATGAAATGGAAGAAAAGCTTTTCACTCACTAGGGCTATAACTCTGCACATCTCTGAATCATTCTCTTCAGGAATGCATCTCTCCTAATCTAAGAGGAAATCATCAGGAAGGAAATGACACAGAAACTTTTCAAATGCTTTCAGGATGTTCGCATCTAGATTCCATAAAATACCTTACCAACTCCTCTGTTCTGTCAATGGTATCACCATTCTCTTAGTCCACAGACTTGAAATCGTCCGATAATTTTGGATCCTTCCTTTTTTTTTCAACTGCAATTGCAGTCAGTGAACAAGTCCTGATGAACCTTGTTTGTCAATGGGTCATGTATTGCCCTCTTTTTCCACCTTTACTTTCTAAACTTCACATCTGGCTCCTATTTAATAGTTGAATCCTCACAGTACTTAACTGACAGCCTAGTCTTCCTAAAATGCTGATTTCATCACATCATCCTATACTGAAGAAACTCCAGTAGTCCCCTCTGATGTCAAACTATATTTCTTTGCCTGGCTGTCCACATTCTCCTAGATTTGTCCCCGAGTTATGGATAGATTTTGCTTCCTTCCACCCTGAAGTTTTGATCTATACTCCAGTTCCACTCTTCACCCTTCTCCACTCTTCTCTTGTCACCTGGATGTCTATTTTACATGACTCGCTTGTCCTCTACCTATTGAATTTGGGACTTCTAGGTTAAATAAACCCTAAGTCAAAGGACTTCTGGGTTAAATAAAACTAAAGACATTTAAAAGATATTTGCCTTTAAAATAAACTGGAAGAAAACGAAACCAATTAGTTTTCTCTCTGTCCTAACTAGAAACACAGTAAATTATATAGAATCTCCAAGTAAAGGGGAACATAAAAGTTATAAACTCCAATCACTTTCCAAAGCTAAATTCTTCCTTAGCGTAGTCTCTAGCTTATGTTCCCTTTTTCTCCCTCAAGAAATTCTTTCCAAGTTTTGGCAGTTTTCAGTTTTTGAAAGTTTTTTCTTATGTCAAACTTTCTATCTTCCCAGAGTTATGTCCATCGCAATCCTATGTGCTACTTGGAACCTTTATGACAGCACTTCAAATATTTTATGACAGCTATTACTTTGCCTACTTTCTCTAGGCTGGAGATTTCCAATTTTTAAAACTGTGCCTGAAAGAACATTGTTTTTCAGACCAGTAAATTTCCTGACCCACAGAGCCTGTTGACCAAGCCTTCCCTATAGCAGTCACGCTACCTGATGAGAGCTCCATGCTTCATATATGTCACAGGTGCCTGGCTCCTCTGTCATATGTGAGCTCCTTAAAATCAGTGACTGTGTCTTTTTCCTGCTTGTATTCTGAGTGTTTAGTCCCAGTTACTAGTGTTTTCGTTTATTTATTTTTTAAAAAAACATAAATGGATGGATCATAGTTATTTCCCCTTTTAATGCTTTTAGTGTGTTTCTCCTCTCAGAAATGAACTCAATAGTTCAAGTGAAGTCTGACCAGTATAGTGAGGATTGGAGCCTTCCTTGTTCAAGATAGAATATCACACTTCTTAGAATGCAGCTAGAGATTACATCAGCATGTTTTCTTCCAGCTATACCCACTATTTACTCATGTCAAATGAATTTTAAGTTAAAATCCAATTCATTTTTTTCATATTATATCAAATCATATATTCATAGTATATATTAGTGCAGAAGCATTTTTTATCCAAATATACAAAAATTGATGTCACTCATGGTAAATTTATTCTTACTGGATCTATCAAACCATGCTTTAAGAACATTCTGGATTCTGACATTATCGTCGTTTATGTTTGTTATCTCTCCTATTCTTGTTTGCTAGTTGTGAGCTAGTCCTCATAATCCTCTTTCCAATATATTGATAAAAGCATGTTTATTTATTTACTTATTCAGTGACTATTTATTCTGTATCTATGACATGTAAGCACTTTTCTAGGCACTGGGGAATTCATTGGTGAGTAAGAGACATGACCTCAGGCCTCATGCCACTTATATTCTAGGCCAGTGGTTTTCTAACTTTAACATGCATCAGATCAACCTAGAAGACTTGTTAAAATACATATCACTAACCTGGCCCCACCACCAAAGTTTCTGATTTAATAGGTCTGGTTTCCAGGGTCTTGGGGGAGGTGAGATTTTATATTTCCAGCAAGTTCCTAGATGCTGTTGATGTCGATAGTTCAGGGACCACACTTAGAGAATCACTGTTCTAGGGAGGGACATACATTTAAATGCCAAGGACTTAATTAAAAGTGAATGTGAGTTCACAGGACTGAAGACAGATCCTTGCCTATAGAATACTCCAAGGTTTATTTCATTCTATATGTTTGTGTCTAAAATAAAAACAATAGGTTGGCTTAATTAATTATGCTAAAAGAATGATCCAATATATTGAAGATGAGTAGAGGGCAAATTAATAGAAAATGAAACTTGTCTTAGATGAATTAATCAGTTGATTCAATTAAAATAAAATATTTAATATAATACGAGCTAGAGTGCTACTTATGCAGCTGGAGTGATTTTTTAAAATAGCAACTAATATACTAGATTGAATAATATAGTCTCAAGTATTTGGTTCAAAACTAGTAAATGTCTAATATTAATATAACTGTGAATAAAGAAATGAATGAATAAATAAGGATCAAAAAGTTAAGTGATTTTCTGAGTAGTGATCCATAGATAAGTGGCAGAATCTGAACTTGAACTCAAATCTTCACAAGAGAGCAGAGTCAATAGTACATTAAGAAAAGTAAAAGCTTATTTCAAAGTCACTATCTATCTCCTAGGTAGATATGAGTTACTAAAAGTTTGAGCACTTATTTTCACAACTGCTCTTAAGTTTAGGCACCCTGTGAGACATGAACAATGGTGCATCTGAATGTCTTGGAAAAAATCCCTAATCTCAGATCATTAACTATTGCTTGGATGAAAGCCAAAGAATTGTACAACCAGTACTGGCAGCTGTGATGTGGCAGATAGGCTTCTAGGAAAATTCACGGGCTGACCCAGCCAGCTAGGGCCTATTTGGTCTGTTGACATGTGCGCTCTCCACACTGACTGCTGAGCTGGAAGTGGACACTGAAGAGATGGGTGGGTGGGTTTTAAAGGTTCTAACTTAGGGCCCTTTCTGTAGCCTGTAGGCAGGTGTTCCGCTTCCAGAGTGATAAGTACACCATAGACCTACCACAATGGTTTGTTTGAACCACTCTTTGTGCTATTCTGGGGATGAGCCTAATAAATTATAAATCACACTTACTAGTGAGCTAAAATATGCCTACACAATGTCAAAACCTCTGGTGTTTATTAGCTCATCAGATGAATGGTTCAGCTTCCAAGCACTGAAATGGCTCTGGCTTCTTATATCAATGACTTTGAATTTTTCACCTGGAAACTTACTTTGGTTTGTTTTAGTCTATGTCTATTTTGGGCCCAGTAATAATTATTACTCCATTATTTTATAAATATTTATTTACCCTATTAGTGTCCATGTTCCCCCAAGGATGAAGGCTACATATTTTATACTATTTAGTTTAAAGTCAAATGAAATCAATTTTAGTTAAGAGTCTTATACCATTGACTGAAAAGGCTTGAAAGACTCCGGATAGTCTACACATTCAGAGCAAGAAGCTGGGGTTTGTATAAATAGTGACAAAGCAGGCTGCTATGGACTGAATCATGCGTCCCCCCATTCATATGTTGAAGCCTTAACTTCCAATGATGTGATGAGTACTTGATTTGGAGATAGGGATTTTAGGAGATAATTAGTTTTAGATGAAGTTCTGAGGGTGGGTCCCCTATGATGGGATTGGTGCCCTTCACTAATCTAAGAAGAGACACCAGGCACAGCATGGTTGCTCATGTCTGTAATCCCGATACTTTGAAAGGCCAAGGTGGGAGGAACGCTTGAGGTAAGGAGTTTAAGACTAGTCTGGGCAAAATAGTGAGACCACAGTTCTACAAAAATAATGAAAAACAAAACGAAACAAACAAAAGGTTGCCCAGACATGGTGGTTCGCACCTGTAATCCTAGAATTTTGAGAGGCCAAGGTGGGTGAATCACTTGATGCCAAGAACTTGAGACCAGCCTGGCCAACATGATGAAACCCTGTCTCTACTAAAAATATAAGAATTAGTCAGGGGTGGTGATGCACGCCTGTAATCTCAGCTACTAGAGAGGCTGAGGCACAAGAATCACTTGAATCTGGGAGGTGGAGGCTGCAGTGAGCCAAGATCGCAACATTACACTTCAGCCTGGGCATAGAGTGAAACTTTGTTTCAAGTAAAATAAAATAAAATAAGATAAGATAAGATAAAATAAAATATAAAATAAAATAAAATAAAATTGTAGTTGAAGACACACCAGAGAGGTTAGTCTTGCTGTCTCTCCCACTCACCCTCACTCCCACCTCCTCAGCCCCCTACTCCCACACTCCCACCATGTGACAGCATCTATAAGCCAGGAAGAGTGCCCCCACCAAAACCCAACCATGGTGGCATCTTGATCTTGGACCTCTAGCTCCAGAATGGTGAGAAAATAAATTTATGTTGTTTAAGCCACGCAGTATATGTCAGCCTGAGCTGACTAAGACACAGGCAAAGTGTTTTAAATGAAACTTTTGGATGAATTAAACTGTCTCCACTAATAACATTCTTACAATTTTTCTGCAAATGATACGACTCAATTTAACTTTTTTAAGACTCATTTTACTGGATGTTTGGTCACTGAGAAGTCATGAGTTGATTATTTTATTGTATGACATTGCAGGTATAACCTATTAAAATAACAAGATGACTCTAAATGACTTTTGATGCGGTTACAAACTCATCAACAGCAAGAAAATAGTGGAAAATTCATATCCCTTCTCTTTTCTTCTGCAAGAAAATCATTGAAATTCAGAGCAATGCCCGGAATCATGATTAACTAAGTTGGATGTGCCATTCTTAGAGTATATAATTTGAAATGCCACACATACTCCACCAAACTACAGCTGTATCTTAATAGAACGTGATAGCAAGCTAAATTGTGTATAAGATTCTGAGGGCTTAGGAGGATCTGATTGGCAGAGAACCAAACAAAGCCATCCTCTGAGTCAGTCAGATGTTCAGATTTCCAGTAAAGGTTCCACAAACAACTACCCAAATGCATTGACAGTCAACTGCCAAAACAACAGCTTCTCTTTTTTTTCCAAAGCAGTACTTGTGTACAATCCATAAACAAACTGTCAAAGATGTTGTACATCTGGACGACACAGTTGCAAAGTTAATTTTGGTTGGAAGAAAACTACATCCCTGGTTTTCATTTGAGTGGAATTTTGATCAGGGAAAGAATTATATTGTGGGCATTTCTAATGTTTCTAAGGACACGTGCAATAGTGCCACAAGCTGCCAAACACAGAGGATTCTGATAAATAAAATTAACCCTTTGAGTGAAGTCTAGGAAACAGTGAAGGCTTCAACTCATGGACTGTTTAGCTTCATGGACCAGCAAGTATCCCGGAGCATTCGACATCACATTATAGACTTGAAAGTTCAAGATTCATATTACAAAAATAACTTTCTTCTTATGTATGTATGTTTTCTAAAAATTAGATAGGTGTCTACTAAGTGGATGATGCTACCTAGTGCATGAGAAATACTGAGTAGTTTCTCTTGCCTTACAGGATTGTGGTAAGTTTTGTACTCTTAGAAGGAGTAACCACCATTATCAAAATAGTCAAAGTCCTCTAGCACCTTTGCTGATGCAGAGCACTTAGGGCATTAAACCTCTCTAATATTTCTTTCATTCCTGATATTATTGAGATTCATCTAAATCCAGTGTCTCCAGGAAATGACAGAGAGTCAAACATCTCTTCCCATCTGAGTCCTTTTCAAAATAAAAAAAAAAAATAACCATGTGCATAATGACAGGACTCACTGAAGAGTAATTATAAGTGTGGAGAAAGAAAAAAGTGAATAACTTTCATGATATTGCACAACTGAACCCATATAAAAGCCAGATTCTTTCCACCATGTTCTTAATCTTTCCCACTTCTCCCCTGAGTAGGTTATGGTCAACTGCATAATACAGCTGCCTTCTATTCTGTTGTTGCAATGGGCTCTTGATAGTTTCCATCTGCAGTCTGGACCACCTCTGAAGTCTACTCAGTTCAGATTACCACCGAACAAAGTGTCTGAGGTTCTTTCAACACTCAACTATCAGGTTCACCCAAGAATATCTGTCCTAGCAGCCTTCATCACCATTCTAAAAGAAGTGGCCTTCCACTTCCATACAGTTGAGTAAAATATTTATATAACCTGGGCTCAAGATCCTGACTTAAAATATGAGTAAAGTCAACAACAAAAAAAAGGTTATAAATGGATGAATTGGAGAAACTATTTATTTTTACAAGGATTGAAAACTTGGCCAAAGAATCACCACAATTATCCTAAATAATAATAACTCCTAGTATAATCACTGTATACAACTTGTTTAATAAATTTTACCTGCAACTGTATATGCAAGCAAAAATATCACCTTTTATGTCAGTATTTCATACTTTTCAAGTGTATTAACTCATATTTTCTTAATAACAATTTTATAACCAATTTAGAGCAAGAATGGTGTCAATTTTATAGCTGAAGATTCTGAGAGAAATTAGAAGACTAGTCTAAGATCATATTGATTGGGAATTAAAATAAAAAGTCAGGTTTTAATTTCAAGATCTCTGTGTTTTCTACTATACAGTGTCTACTTCTGAACCTTTATACTTAATAAAAATATTTAGGGGAATTAACACATGACAGCCGTTGCTATTTAAGGTTTAATGATTAGGGATCCTAAGTATTAAGGATTATGAATATTAACTCATGATCAACATTATAGTCCATCCATGACTTTATATATTTTTCAATGTCATCATAAATGGCTGTCTGTTGACCTCAACACTTCTTAATTACACCTTAAGCACAAGGACAGGCTCCATCTGTATCTAGGAAATATGAAGCCCTATATATTTTCTAGTGAGCAGGGAAGCAAAATTTGCTATTAATCTCATATTCACCTGTGACTTACTTCTAATAACTGTGCTTCTGTGTTGATCTTCTTAAAAAGCTACTCTCTTAAACCTTTGTTCTGGTATCTCTTTCCTCTTGCCCCAGTTCTTATCTTGTTTTAATGCCAGGCACTTTAGTTCCTTTAGTTTGAGGGATTTTTCTTGTCCTAATAGTCCCTGTATCTTCAAACAGTACTCATCACCCTTGCACAAGCATTCTCAGCCTTGGAGGGAGATGTCCTTCATGCCAATGTTAGTCTCCCTGCTGGGCTCAGGAGGGCTGCCTGGTGAAGATACCATAGACGTGGAGTCCAATCGTGATGGGTTTAGTCATTCATTCCTCACTTTCATCCACTAGCTTTAATCTCTACTACAAATCCATCAGGTAGGTATTAAATTCCCATGTACAAATTATGAAACCAATACAAGTCATTTGGCCTCCAGAAGTCTCAGTTTCATAATTTTTAAAATGCCACTACCATTATTACTTAACCAGGGACTCTGTAATATTGACTAGAGATTGAACTGCCCTCGATCACTGCCTTTCAGGCTTTGTGGATTCTCTATAGATCCTAGAGCATGTGTCAAGGATCCCAGATCCCTTTCTTCCTGGTTAGCTATACTTTATGGCAATCTGGGCTTCCAAATGTCTCCAGGACAAGTATAAACTGACAGAGCAAAGTATAGCAGTTTAGATGAGCACCTTCTTCACATAAGTTTAAAACAGCAAACACACATTATGTACTATGCAATTTAAAACAATTATTCACTTTAGTTCACTTCAAATTTCCCTATGTTATTATTCCCCTTTGTACTTGCAACAGTCCCATGTTCACTTTACCTTGTTTTGTTTTCCCTCACAATGCATATTCGTCATTGCTCTCTGGCATTATGTTGTAGATTGATTTGCTTATTGTCAGGGCCCCTTTCATGAACAAAGACTCCCCTTATGAAAAGAAGGTTTTCTGTTTTGTTTACCTCTTTTTCTCCATACACATAGAGGATTATGGGGCATCCATAGTTTTTCAATAATATCTGTTAAGGAAGAAGGGAGTGAAGGAAGAAAGGAAGGGAGTGAAGGAAGAAAGGAAAGAAGGAAGTAGGAAGTGAAGGGAGAAAAGAAGGAAGGAAGGAACGAAAGAAGGAAGGAGCAGAGGGAGGGAGAAAGGGGCATGTTTGGGTTAAGTTTGGGAAAGATAAAAGTTTTAATTTTGATAATGATATCTAAGACTTACTGAGTACTTATATGTGCTAGTAAGAAATTGATATATACTAATTAATCTAATAGTGCAAATACATGTTAAGAGATAGGTAAGATTGGGAAACTGAAACACAAAGAGGTTCAGTTACCAGTTGATGGTCACACAGTTCATAATTTAGTTGAGTTAACATACAAACCCAGGAAATTTAACTTCACGTCTCATACCCTTAATCTCCATGACGTATTGCTTCTTGCCAGTAGTAACTGATTCACTGAATAAAAAATGAGACTGATCATCTATACCTATTCAACAAAGTAACCCGATGAAGCAACTCCAAGAATGTTATTAGCAACTATTACTGAATTCCATAAACTCAAAAAATCCTCCTTGTTTAGGCAACTTTACTGTGAACACTTGAAATAAGAAGACTTGGAGAGCAAGAGACAGAGAGTGAGAAGGACGAGTCTGGATTACACATTTCTTATCCAGACCCAGTATAGATTAATAAATCACAAACCATTGAATTCATAAGACATCCTCATGCAACTCCAAGGGTATTTCAAGGAACCTTCCCATCTGGAATCTGTGCTGATTCTTTTCATATTGTATTTCCCTAAGGATGACTCACAGGAAATTGAGGTTTCAGAAATATGTTGTGTTTTTTTATGGCACTTCTCTACCTTCACCAAAAAGTTTTAAAGATAAGCGACTTTGTGGTTATGTTTTTTTCTCACTGAGTTTAAATAAAAAAACACTTTTTCAATTTTTTTTACAGCTTCTCTAATTGTAATGATGTTTATACCTACACGATGATGATGATGATGGCAGTGATGATGATCCTCTTGATTGTGGTATAAATATTCCAGTAAGTGAGGGTAAAAAGAGGGTGGAAAAAACCCTCAATAAGAGATATAATTGCAGTCAAAAAACAGTTGTTGGGCTTAAGTATTACATATATGGAGCTATGCTATATATTGTGAGAGTATGAAAAATATATGGCATCACCCTGTCTCACAGAGTACACAGTGTTGGAGTCAAAGGTAGACCAGATGTCTCCAGCATGAGATGAGGGCAGTAGGTATAAAACAGGTATCAGGTACAATGACCACACATTCACTGGGAAATGATTGATTTCAACTGGAGGATCACTCAAGCTTTTGGGAAAGGGTGACATTTGAAATAGGTCCTGAGAGATTGTATAGACTTTCTTTAAAAAACACCATGAGGAGTAAAGAGGAAATTTGCAAAAGGTGCCAGTATTAATGGAAGGAGTGGCTTCCCTCCCTCTATTTTTTCCTTTCTTCCTTCTTTCTTTCATTCCAATGCCTTATATACTCTTAAATGTTTAATGGGCCAGTACAGAAGTTCATGAATCTCTTTTCAGTGCCTAGAGTGATGTAATGTTCAATAAATATTATTATTTTATTTTTAGTTGACAAATAATAGTTGCATATATGTATGAGGTACACAGTGATGTCTTGATACATATATAGTGATTAGATCAGGATAATTAGCAAATCCATCATCTCAAATACTTATTTCCTTGTGTTAGGAACATTAAATATTCTCTTTCTAGCTATTTGAAACTATATATTATTGTTAACTAGAGTCATCCCATAGAGGTACAGAATAATAGAAATAATCCCTCCTATATAGCTGTAATTTTTTTCTTTGAGACAGAATTTTACTCTTGTTGCCCAGGCTGGAGTGCAATAGCACAAGCTTGGCTCAGCACAACCTCTGCCTCCCGGGTTCAAGTGATTCTCCTGCCTCAGCCTCCTGAGTGGCTGGGATTACAGGCATGCGTCACCATGCCTGGCTAATTTTGTATTTTTAGTGGAGACGGGGTTTCTCCATGTTGGTCAGGTTGGTCTCAAACTCCCCACCTCAGATGATCGGTCCACCTCGGCCTACTGAAGTGCTGGGATTACAGGCGTGAGCCACCACGCCCAGCCATAATTTTTATTCTTTAACAGATCTTCCCATATCCCTCCTTTCTCAGCCTCTAGCATCCTCTGTTCAACTTTTTACTGCTATGATATTAGCTTTTCTTAGCTTCCACATGAGAGTGAGAATATTCAGTGTTTATCTTTCTATCCCTGGCTTATTTCACTTACCATAATGTCTTCCAATTCCATTCATGTTACTGTCAATGACAGGATTTTTTTTCTTTTTTATGGCTGAATAGTATTCCATGGTGTGTGTGTGTGTGTGTGTGTGTGTGTGTGTGTGTGTGTGTATATATATATATATATATATGCCACATTTTCTTCATCCACTTATCTGCTGTTGGACACCTAGATTTGTTCCGTATCTTGGCTATTGTAAATAGTGCTGCAATAAACATGGGGGTGCAAATGTCTCTCCAATATAATTATTTTCTCTTCTCTCAATAAATATTATTGAAAAAAAAGGTTATCATGTGTACGAATGGGCACCCAGATAAACAATTCTAATTTGCAAATTAAAGCAAAACTTTCATCTATCTAATTTATTATTTTGAAGTAAAAAAAATTATGAAGATCTATATGAACCACCCATTATGTAATTGCAAGAGAGAGAAAAGAATGAATAAGAATTCAGGCTCTGAGCTATCTGGAACAGGAACCATATCTTTACTCATTCAATAGATATTTTGTTTAGTACTTACAATATGCCATCTTCTGTATTAAGTATTATGTACAACAATGAATGATATGGTCTTTGCCAATGCTGTGCATGCATTTAATGGGAAAGAAAGATAGGTGATATAGGTGTATGATGCTAATGATTATTAGATAATGTCTACTGTGTCTATTTCCAGGCACTATATTAGGCACTACAAACACACCGTTTATTTGGTCACCCATCCTCTACGGAAGGTATTATCTCCATTTGACACATAGGATTTAAAGCTTAGATAAGTCACACAACTTGTCCAAGGTCACACAGATATTTTACTTTTTTTTTTTTTTTGAGACAGAGCCTTGCTCTGTTGCCCAGGCTGGGGTGTAGTGGCGTGGTCTTGGCTCACTGCAATCTCCATCTCCCAGGCTCAAGCAATTCTCATGCCTCAGCTTCCCCAGTAGCTGGGATTACAGGTGTGCACCATCATGCCTGGATAATTTTTTGTATTTTTTGTAGAGACGGGGTTTTGCCATGTTGGCCAGGCTGGTCCTGAATGCCTGACCTCAAGCAATCCGCCCCCACCCCAGTCTCCCAAAGTGTTGGGATTCCAGGCATGAGCCACTGTGCCCAGCCAACACAGCTATTTTAAGTGATAGAGTTGGGATTAAACCTTTCAGATTCTGAAATCTATGCTCTTAGCTGTTCATTCTACAGTTATAGGCGTTGGAAATAGTCATTTCTTAGATTGTTGCCTATGTTGAATCTTAAGGAATAATTACAAACGTATATGGAAGGAAAGGAGTGGAATGGATGTTGGAGGCAAGAAAACAAGTATTTCATGAAGACTAGGGCACATGGTGTGTTGGAAGAAAGGTGTCGGAGATATGGTTAGAAATACAGAAATGAGATGGCTTATAAGAAGCACTGGATACTTAGGCTCAGGCAGTGGCTCACCACCCTGGCAAAACAATAGAATCAACTGGGGAATGTTTAAAAAATGTAAGAGGCTGGGCACCTGTCCAGACCAGTTAAAATGAAGTCTCTAAGGGTAGGGTTCAGGCATCTGCATTTTTAAAAGTTTTCCTGGTGTAATTCTAGCACGGTGTTGGGTGAAAAGCACTGGGCTGAAGTGATGGGAACCATTGAGGGAGTTTAGGCCGAGAAGTGTGGCAGATGGAAAGGAGAGGCCCAGAGTAGAGGCCGGGAAGTCATTGAGAAGGAAGCGCATCAGTGATGGCGAGGGGCTAAGGAGAGTTAGGAGCAAAAGGGAAGGAATTAAAGGGGGAGATGTAAGAGATAATTAGGGAGTGGAATACACAGGTTTGATATCCACTTGGATGGGTGGGCTGGATAAGATGAGGAAGTAATAGTGACTCTTCCATTTCCAGTTTGGGTGACTGCATGGAAGTTAATCTCTTTTATTGAAAGGGCAGATACAGGAGGAAGGGCAGGTTTGCGGAAAAAATGATGAAGCGAAAATTCTGTGAATTAGACTAAGATGGAACTCTCAGAGGAGTTGCAGAAGAGCCAGGGAGAGTGACACTCCAACAGCTAGGAGAACAGGAGCAAATTGTCAACACTGTCAAACATCTCTGGAACAAGGGACGACATGATTTTATTGAACATATTTAAAACAAAATACCATCCCATGATGTAGTTTTTCTTCCTCTGTCTATCTTCTAAGAAGATTCCTGCTCGGGATGTATAAACAAATGGGGATAAGTGCATAACTGGAAGAGGCCTGTGCCATTTATGAAGTCATTGTCCCCAGCTCCAAACTGACCCTCTATGCTCTGCTTTTTGATGCTAGGGCAGAATTCCAGAAACCACATTTCTGCTTTGTTAGGCTCTGCCAGTGAGGGGCACTAGTGAGAGACTGCAAGGCTGGAGAAGGAACAAGCAACAGTCTTGGCTGTATTCTCCCTGAGGGCTGTGACTACTAGCAGCACTTCAGAGTTTGTTGTTGTTGTTGTTGTTGTTGTTGTTGTTGTTGTTGTTGTTGTTTTGACTCCATAGTACACCAGTTTGCTTGTTTGTTTCAACGCAGCAGGTGAAACCCGTTCGTAGTTTTTCCCGCACTTGCAGATCAGCTCCATTATGTTCTCTGCCTGAAAACACCAGCACCAACTGTCTGCTGACCCCTTTTCCGTAGACAAAGGTCTCAAGTCTACAGGGCCTTTTCTCCAAGCTCCAATGCACCAGCACTAGCTGAACAAGCACCTTCTCATCAAATGGCTTAATTTCTGCAACAGAGAGCCCCTAGCTAAGGTTCTAAAGATTAATAATTGCAAACTCTCCCGTTTGTTCCCTCAGCCCTAGGGGTGGTAGCTACTTTCTGCAGTTTATATCTTTAAAAAAAAAAATGCTTTCTTTTATCTGTTTAAGAACTTTGTAAATAGTTAACAGTTCTTTACATTAAATTTTCTGGGTTCAAATAGCCAGTACTGTGTCTGTCTCCTGAATGGGCCCTTCCTTACACAGTAATTGGTTCCATAACCAGAAATTTATTTTAGGAAACAAATCCTTAAAGTTATGTTGGATTAATATGGTCATGTCCTTAGATTGAACGCAATATCAAGATCCTTGCCAATGGTAAATGAGGTGCTAATCACTAATTGCATGTAGATGCACTACACTTAATCACATCACCACCTGTGGTTGATTGTGATGAAGTGTCTACTGAAGCAAGAACCTTGGGAACCCAAGTGACTATTTCATTTGACTCTTACTGGAGTAAGGATGCCTATGTGGACTGTGGTATGGGATGGATTCTTATGAGCATCTACTTATTCAATCCCCATGCCAACCCTAGGAGGAAGCATGATCACAGCTTAAATAAGGTCATATCATGGCTTGATCTTCCTATCATGATGCATCCTCATTAGCTTTTTGCTGTCAAGTGCACAAGAGTGGTTAGAAGATGGAAACTATAAACATAGGTCTTTAAACTCTCAATTCAAGTCATGGTCAGAGAACCACAAACTTTTCATGACAACCCTAAATAAGTCTCATTTTTCTGCAGCCATGTGACCAATATTTTAAGAAGCTATACTTAAAATACTGTGAAGTTTGCAGAATTACAATACGTATTGAATTCATAGCCTTACAAAGTCTCTCACAAGAAAGTGAAAGCATTGATAAGGAAGAAATGGGACTCAGAAACTTGAAATGGACAAATTAATTCATACTCAGATGAGGCTGAGAATCTTAGATTCAAGTCACTCTGAGCCCCCCTGTAAATACATGCCAATTGCTTACCTGAACAGGCTGAGAATTCCTAATCTGAACATCCAAAATCTGAAATATTCCAAAATATAAAATTTTGTGCATGCCAACATAACCTACAAGTGGAAAATTCCACACATAAGTACTTAACACAAACTTTGTTTCATGCACAAAATTATTGTAAAATATTATATGAAGTTACCTTCAGGCTACGTGTATAATATTTATATAAAACATGAGTTTCATGTTTAGACTTGGATTCCATCCCCAAGATACTTCGTTATATGTATGCAAATATTCCAAATCCCCAAATTTGAAACACTTCTGGTCCCAAGCTTTTCAGATAAGGGATACTCAGCCTGTAGCTGAAAAGACAAGCTTTCCCTTGCCTGAAAACTCTGCAACCATCTGTCTAGGAACTGGACTGTTGTCTTGCAAGTGAATGCTCATTTTATGTAAGATTAACCTCAGCCATCTCTTATTGTCACTATAACTGACTTATAACTAGGTTCAGAACTCAGCATGCTCCATGGGTCTGGTACAGAATCTGACCCAAAGAAAAATAGCTTATACATCAAAATAATTGCAAGATTTTGTAAATAATATTGATAGAAACCTAGGAAATATGTGTAGGAGATAATTCCAATGGGGAGTTAGAATAAGGATGGTGAAATGTAAAACTAGATCAGGTCTAACTTATTAAATAAGTGGAATTTTGAAATATTCCTAATATAGTGGGTTAGGCTGTAAAGCCAGAAGTGATTCTAACAGTTTCTTTGTTTTGTTTACTTAAAATTGAACTTAACAGTGTCTTAAATTGAATAAATTGAAGTAGAAGGAGATAGCAGAGATTTCATGGTAAGATGAAGTGGAAGGAATCCAAAGACATAGGGAGAGAAGAATATTAGGCAAATTGTATAATATGCAAACGTGACACCTATCCTCCAACTACATCACCCTAACCAACCCAATACCTTCATTACATTATTGAGAAACACATACATGTGCAAAGCACCTACATCTTTACATAGCTCTGTGATGGCTGTCTTCTGTAAGCCAACTATGAGTATGGAAAATAACATAACTGAGATGG
Organism: Homo sapiens; assembly: GCF_000001405.40. Lineage (NCBI taxonomy): Eukaryota > Metazoa > Chordata > Mammalia > Primates > Hominidae > Homo > Homo sapiens. Next base: position 215,267,698 of record NC_000001.11, on the reverse strand, counting down.
AATTTCTGATTTTAATGGAAATGATGAGATCCTGGGGTAAAAGGAATGTTTGTTTTACTTTTTTGTTTACATTTGTTTTACTTTTTCTGTTGGCAGTATTTAACCACCAAAGATAAGACAGGCACATTTACCATAAAAGTTAGCCATGGTTGAGTAATATAATGGTTTTTTTTTTGGTTTTAATTTTTTCCCCTGCTTTATTAAAATATAATTTACAAATAAAATTGTATATATTTATGGTGTATAACATGATGTTTTACTACATATATATGATATATATGAATATATATATTTGATACATATATAGTGAAATGAGTACCACAATCAAGCTAATTAACATATTCATTACCTCACATAGTTATCTTTTTGTGTACATGTGATGAGAATACTAAATCTACTTTCTTAGCAAATTTCAAGTATGCAATATGTTATTATTAATTATAGATACCATGCTGTATTTCAGGTCTCCAGAACACATTCATCCTGTAACTTAAACTTTTTACCCTTTGATCAACATTTTCCCAGCCCTGGTAACTACCTTTCTACTCTCTGTTTCTATGAATTAAACTTTTTTAGATTCCACATGTAACTGAGATCAAGCACTATTTGAATTTCTGTGTCTGGCTTTTTTCATTCAGCATATTGTCTTCCAGGTTCATCTGTTTTGTTGCAGCTGGCAGGATTTCCTTCTTTTATAAGGCTGGATAATAATAGTCAGAATGTTTTAACTTTCAGGGATTTTGGGAAGCAGGTAATTAATCAAGTTGTTCCTAGAAATGAAATATATGGGGAGTCAAATAAAATGTTTCTTAATCTATATAACGGGAAAAACTCCAGCGGTGTGGTGGCCAAAAGCATGACTTGAGTTGCCACAATGGAGAGTAATGGCTTCTCACTTCGCTACCAGACCTAGGCCAATCCATAAACCCAAAGTCCTTCTGCTGAAGAAGAAATTGGGTTCCTTGAGAATGGATGCTGCAGCACTGCTATACATACATCCTATAAATATTTCGCTAAGTTTTCCCCAAAGGAACTTATAGATATTTACTAGAGTTAATGCACATTGGGGAAAAAGAAACACCCAGACCTATCAGGGATTTTTACACTGGTCCTGAATTAACATTAATTCCTATAAACTCCAAATCCTACTGTAATCTATCAATAGTGAGGGATTATTGTACTCAGGAAGGAGATGGCATCTAAGCCCAAATGCAAATCACCATGAGATCTGAATGTTCATGGCCCACCCTGTGATTATTTCCCCAGTTTCTGAGTATGTAATGGGAATTCATGTACTTGGACACCAGCAGCATTCCCACATTCGCCCTGTGACTCATAAAGTAAGGCTCAATATTGTAGGAAGGACCAAATGGAAGCCACTAGAACTTTTTCTTCCTACCAGGATAGTAAACCAAAAACAACTGCATCCCAGGGAGAATTGCTGAGATTAGTGCCATCAAAGACTTGAAAGATTCATGGATGGTCCAGGCGTGGTGGTTCACACCTGTAATCCCAGAACTTTGAGAGGCTGAGGCAGATCTCCTGAGGTCAGGAGTTTGAGACCAGCCCGGCCAATATGGTGAAACCCTGTCTCTACTAATAATACAAAAACTAGCTGGGCATGGTGGTGCATGCCTGTAATCCCAGCTACTCGGGAGGCTGAGGCAGGAGAATCACTTGAACACAGGAGGCGGATGTTGCAGTGAGCCGAGATCGTGCCTTTGCACTCCAGACTGGGCAACAAGAGTGAAACCCTAACTCAAAAAAAAAAAATTAATGTATGGTGATACCTGTAATATTTTACTTAACTTGCTTATTTGGCCTGCGCATAACGTAGATGGCTCTTGGAGAATGACTGTGATTATAATAAAGTGAATCACATGGTAACTCCAATTACAGTGGCTCTTTTATGTTATATCTTTACTGGAGCAAATGAACACAACCCCTAGCACCTGATAGCAGCTACTGACCTGACAAATAATTTTTTCTCCATACCAGTTTTCAAGGTCTGCCAGAGTAGTTTGCTTTGCTCCTTGGCAGGGCCAAAAATACACATTTGCTTTCTTGCCCAGAAGTATGTCAACTCTCCAGCTCTCTGCCACACAGCATTTTGTAGAGATCTTAATGGTCTTGATAATTCCACACATCACATTAGTCTATTACATTGATAGCATTTCACTGATTAGATTTCATGAGAATATTTTAGGTACTTCCTGAAATGGGAACTAGAGAATGGCAGATAAACTCAGTAAAATATCTGGGATCTGCCAACTCAGGTCCAGAGATTTTGAGAATATCATTTTAGTGCTCTGTGAAATGAAGCTGTAAATAGACCCCAGGCTTTCTAGATGAGATGGACTCTGTGCGGCTTACAGAGATGCCCAAATCAAGATACTAGGAAGCCAGTGGCTATGGTGAGAGAGAGAAAGGTGGTCACTTACCCTTTGTTCTTGAAGAGAGCAGCTCCAAATAAACCTGTTTGCACCTCTGAGCCAAGATAGTTCCAGAGCTGAGACACCATGACTGGCTGGAAGGCTCCTCCTACCAGCCTGAAAGTGGCATGCAGAGACTTCTGGTTTGAGGCTTAGAAACTACACAATCAGGACTCAGTTATTTCAACCAATCAGGATGGAACAAATTTAAATTCTTCATTTACATATACAGGCCTGATTGAGGGCTGTGATGGGAACTTTTCCTATTTACGCCAAATCCCCTCTTTGTTCTCTGCAACTGTGCTTTCATTATACATCCAAGGCTGTGTCTCCTCCAGCATCGGATGTATATGTAAATATATATAAAATATATACAATATATTTATTTTAAATATATATATTTATTTAAATATAAAATATATTTTAAATATATATTTATTTAAATATAAAATATATTTATTATATATATATAATATATAGGCATATATTTTATATATACATATAAAATAAATCGCTCCCTTTTTCCTCTGGAGATCTCATGGTCTTTTGTTAATACTTCTAATGTGAAAGACAAGTTACTGCACCTTGGACCATCTACCACAAAAAAAATGAAAAGGCATAGTGCTTGATGGTTTGTGTGTTTGTTCATGTTTCAACCAACATATAACAAATTTAACTGTGCTAATTTTACCTCCAAAGGGCTTTGAGAGGGACCTGGGAAGAGAAGGCTCTGGTGCCCTGCAGTATAAAGCAGCATTTACACTTTACTTTATGACCCAGCAAATCCAGTTGTATTAGTCTCTTCTCACACCAATAAAGACGTATCTGCAACCGGATAATTTATAAAGGAAAGAGGTTTAATTGACTCACAGTTCGGCATGGCTGGGGAGGCCTCACAATCATGGTGGAAGATGAAGGAAGAGCAAAGGGACGCCTTACCTGGTGGCCAGCAAAGAGAGAACTTGTGCAGGAGAACTCCCATGTATAAAGCCATCAGATCTCATGAAACTTACTGACTACCACAAGAATAGCATGGGAAATACCTGACCCCATGATTTAATTACCTCCCATGACATGTGGGAATTATGGGAGCTAAAATTCAAGATGAGATTTGGGTGGGGACACAACCAAACTGTATCACCAACGATACCTGAAGTGCCTGAGTGAAATAGGAATGCCTATGAGCCTCTTATAAATGCCAATAGGATAATCATTGTGAGGGCCTTTAGGATTTTGGAGAAAATTTATGCCTTCTTTTACAGATAAGTATTTTTCTTTTCTCTTGAGAAACAGCTTCTGGCTTTTTCCTAAACTAGGATTAGAGACTAAACACCAAACCATGGGATATTGAATGGCCAAGTAACCTTAGATCTCCACCATGATTTGGCACTATCTGACTCACTAAGACGTAGGTTGCACATGCACCAAAGCAACCTGTCATCAAGTGGAGACAGTATACAGTCATGCATTGCTTAATGACAAGAATGGTTTTGAGCAATGCACTGTTAGGTGTTTTTGTGATTATGTAAACATCATAGTGTGTACTTACACAAACCTAGTGTGATAGTGTAGCCTACTACACACCTAGAATATCTGGCACAGCCTATTGCTCCTAGGCTACAAACCTGTGTGGCATGTTGCTATATTTAATACTATAGGCAACTGTAGCACCATGGTAAGTGCTTGTGTATCTAAAACTATCTAAATGTAAAAATACAGTATAAAAGATAAAACATGGTTCACCTGTATAGGGCACTAATGGAGCTTGCAGGACTGAAAGTTGTTCTGGGTGAGTCAGTGAATGAGTGGTGAGTGAATGTGAAGGCCTAGGACATTACTATACACTACTGTAGACTTTATAAGTACTGTCCAATTAGGCTACATAAATTTATTTAAAACTTTTTTTCTTCAATGATAAGTTAATTTTAGCTTTCTGGATGACCACCATTGTATATGCAACACATCATGAACTGAAACGTCATTATGAGGTGCGTGACTGCATATGAGATTGTGCTTGAGCAGGTCCTGAAGCCACACAAGTAATTTGCATGAGCAGGTGCCTACAACTCCTTTGAGTAACTCCTGCTGCCTTCCTTCCTTTCTTATAGTCTCATGATTTTATGACCAGGTGACTGAGGAAAAAAAAAAAAAAAAAACTCAGGCCTAGTACAGATGGTTCTACACAATATACTAACACTACTGAAAGTGGACAGAGGCAGCATTATGGCATCATTCAAGAGTGGCCTTGGAAAACTGATGAAGGCAAACCTGACAGGGTCCAGAGGTTGAGTGGTGCATTTGGTTGTCTATCTTCTCTGGGCGTAGACATACCCAATCGGAGGGATGAGTCTACATTGATTCATAAACAGTTACTAATGGTTGAGCTGGATGATCAGGGCCTTGGGTAACAAAAACCCCATAGAATGAGAATACAGGGGACAAAAAGGTCTGGGAAAGGGGTTTGCAGATGGAACTTTTAGAATCACAACAGAGTGTTAAAGTATTCATTTTACATGTGAATGCTCACCAAAGGACTTCCATGGCAAAGGTGGATAAAATGACACACTTTGTGGGTGTCAATCAGCCTCTTATCTCAACTACTAGAACACATGCTAAATGGATCAATGCAAAAAGTGGCCATAGTGGTAAGAACAGAGGCAGTCCATGGCCTCAACAATATGTTGAGACAACAACATGCACGACATGGACAATGAGTCCATGTCTCAACAATATGTTGACATGGACATGTCTCAACAACATGCACAACATGGACAATGAGTACATGTCTCAACAATATGTTGAGACAACAACTCACCAAGGCTAGATGCCCAACCTACCAACAATAGAGGCCAGCACTCAGTGCCATTAAAGCATGATTCACTAGGGGCATTTTCTAGACACTTGAGGTAGCAGACTGATTACATTGGACACCTCCCCACTTGGAGGGGCTACAAATATGTCATCACTGGAATAGAGACATATTCTGGATGCACATCATATTTTCTCCAGAACAACCATTTGTGGGTTTACAGAAAGTCTTTTTCATTTGTCACGTTATTCCACATGGCATCTCTTCATAAAAAGAAACTCATTTGGAGAACATATGGACACAGGGAGGGGAACAACACACACTGGGGCCTGTTGTGGGGTGAGCTGGGGGGAGAAAGAGGATTAGGAAAAATAGCTATGCATACAGGTGCAGCAAACCACTATGGCACATGTCTACCTATGTAACAAACCTGCACACCCTGCACATGTACCCCAGAATGTAAAATAAAAAATAAAATTAAATTTTTTAAAAAAGAAACTAATCTCACTGCAAAGAATGTAGCAACAGACTCATACCCATGGGGTTAATTGATCTTACCATGTTCCCTCATCACTCTGAAGCATCTGGCTTAATACAAAGATAGACTGGCATGTGGAGAATTCAGTAACGGCACCAGTTAGAAGACACTTTGAAAGCATTAGGGTTCTATTTCACAAGATACAATACATGATTTTACTATTAAACTTGGGAGCTTCTCATTTTGGGGACAGGATAATAATGTCTTCATTTGTGAGATAGATAGTTGCATTGCCTTAGGCAGGAACAATGTCTTTTGTTGTTGTAGAAAAGTGTCAATATGTGTAGAAGACTTTATATGGATGCTAAGTAGTCAAAGGGAGAGGACTGTGCCAGTTTTTAAGCTACTCCCTTTTAACTTCAAATACACACCTGTATAATCTGCTTTATGACCCCGGACACGGGTCTCAGTAAATCATGTTCTGCTTTGCCACCTGGCTCTATGTTAGGCTCTGCCGATAGGGGTTTCTAGAAGTAGATTATAAAATTGGAAGAAGCGGAGCAAGAGGCTTGTTCCTTCCTCTCTGCTTTCTGTGAGCTATTTGTTTGTTTGTAATGCCTGTCAGAGGCACCTCAGCACAACTTTTTCATCCCAGAGACAGAGTTCCTTTCTAGAGCAGTGCCTGAACTCAGTTTACAGCTTTTTAAAGATCTGCAGAACCAGCTTAATTATGCTCTAGCTTAGGGACCCCAGCACCTGCTAAGCAGTACCTTGTCCTCAGAGGTAAGAGTTTCAGCCATGTGGGGCCCCTCCTTTAAGTTACTAAGTTTTAATAATTCCAACTCCTATCATAAGAAGGTAGGTCCTTCTTATGATGGCTTCTCTATGATATCTTGAATTTCTCTTTTTATCCTTGCATTTTCTTGGTCAATAATTTATTTCTAGTTAACAAATTCTCTCTGTTCTCGCTTTGTTCCTTGACTGGACTCCTACTGATACAAAGCCTTAGAAAGTCTACAGTGATGTGTATTAGAAAACAATGGGGCAGGGGGTGGGGTGGGGCGGATTCAAGATGGCCAAATAGGAACAGCACTGGTCTGCAGCTGCCAGGGAGATCTACGCAGAAGGTGGTGATTTCTGCATTTCCAACTGAAGTATCTGGTTCATCTCATTAGGACTGGTTGGACAGTGGGTGCAGCCCATGGAGGGCAAGCCAAAGCAGGGTGGGGCGTCTCTTCACCCAGGAAGCACAAAGGGTCGGGGAATTTTCTCCCCTACCCAAGGAAAGCCATGAGGGTCTGGGCCCAAGGATCTCCAGCACAGATACTGTGCTTGTCTCACGGTCTTCATGTCTAAAACACCAAAAGCAATGACAACAAAAGCCAAAATTGACAAATGGTATCGAATTAAACTAAAGAGCTTCTGCACAGCAAAAGAAACTATCATTAGAGTGAACAGGCAACCTACAGAATGGGAGAAAGTTTTTGCAATTTATCCATCTGACAAAGGGCTAATATCCAGAATCTCCAAAGAACTTAAACAAATTTACAAGAAAAAAAACAAACAACCCCATCAAAAAATGGGCAAAGGATATGAACAGACACTTCTCAAAAGAAAACATTTATGCAGCCAACAGACATATGAAAAAATGTTCATCACTGGCCATTAGAGAAATGCAAGTCAAAACCACAATGAGATACCATCTCACGCCAGTTAGAACGGTAATCATTAAAGAGTCAGGAAACAACAGATGCTGGAGAGGTTGTGGAAAAATAGGAATGCTTTTACACTGTTGGTGGGAGTGTAAATTAGTTCCACCATTGTGGAAGACAGTGTGGCGATTCCTCAAGGATCTAGAACCAGAAATACCATTTGACCAGCAATCCCATTACTGGGCATATACCCAAAGGATTATAAATCATTCTACAATAAAGACACATGCACACGTATGTTTATTGCGGCACTATTCACAATAGCAAAGACTTGGAGCCAACCCAAATGTCCATCAGTGATAGACTGGATTAAGAAAATGTGGCACATATACACCATGGAATACTATACAGCCATAAAAAAGGATGAGTTCATGTCCTTTGCAGGGACATGGATGAAGCTGGAAACGATCATTCTCAGCAAACTATCACAAGATCAGAAAACCAAACACTGCATGTTCTCATTCATAAGTGGGAGTTTAACAATGAGAACACATGGACACAGAGGGGAACATCACACACTGGAGCCTGTCGGGGGGTGGGGGCATAGGGGAGGGATAACATTAGGAGAAATGCCTAATGTAGGTGACGGGTTGATGGGTGCAGCAAACCACCGTGGCACGTGTATACCTATGTAACAAAACTGCATGTTCTGCACATGTAACCCAGAACTTAAAGTAAAAGTTAAAAAAAAGGAAGCAGAGAGAACAATTGTAAGAAGATAGAGAGTAGATATATCAGATAAGCAGAGAAAGAAACGTATTACGAGAAATTAGAAGAGTTTGTGGAGAGAAAAAATTGGGGGAATGGAAGGTTTGAGAAAACTGTCAGATTGTGATAAAAAATAGATTTTTGAGGAAATAAGTGGATGTGAAGGTTTTTACACAGTTTTGCCACACAGAGTGACAAAATTCCTCTCTTTGGCCTTTCACACAAAGTTGTATAAAGATTTCAATTGCTTTACAATTCACTGTGGACGTGTATTGCAGGGATGTGTATTGCAGGGCACCTGGCAGGGCAGCAAGTAAGTGGCAACCCTTAAGGACACAGACGCCTTTGGAGACAGTAAACATAAACAAATTAGAGAGGAAAGAGGGGACAGTAGCTAGCTCATTTTCCAGACTCAAACCTCAGACTAAACATAGTTTGGAATAGAGAATTTGTCTGGAAATCTGGGTGTCTAAGCACATGCTAACAATAAGACTGCTGAGGTCCTCCAAAATGCAAACTGAAAATGAGTGATTATTTGTGAATACATTAAATTAAAGGAAGAATGTAACACTAGTATCAGAGCATAATAGTTCATTTTGAATCTCTATGTAATGTGTAACTTGGAATGATTTTAGATTAAGTTATAATCATACATTCAAACATGTGATGTATATACAATCAATTTCCTTTCTCTTTGAAGTGATACATTAAGAGAAAAGCAATGGCCAAAATAACACTAAATCTCTAACATTGTCTACTGAATCCAAACTGGGGTCTCCCCCACCCTATGAGGAGACCCTCTATGACAGAGTTTTTCAGTTCAGAAACTACCCTTTTGTGGAGGGACTCCGGAAAAATAATTGCTATGTATTTTTAAGTCTGTTCTCCAATAAAGAGTTTACAGTATACGCTTTCTTAACTGAATGTTTTATTCGTAAACAGTAAAAAAATATCATGAGAAAGGGAGGTCCTAACTTCTGTGCATATTCCTCTACTCTGAAACATGCTACAAACTTGTTCTTCAACTTGTACTTCACTTAGGGTTGCTAGAGTTGCCACCGACAGGGGTCATTAAGTACAAACCCAGGGAGCAAAATCATGAATGCCTCCCCTTAACACTCAGAAGCTGGTGTGCATCGTCCCCCTTCAAGAAATTCTGTGAGGTTGCCAATGTGGAGCATAGGCATGGAGACCTTGGAAGTATCTGCAGTTTTGTCTCCCAAAAAGTCATCCTTAGCTTGGTTGACAATATATGCTTGGTATCTTTCTGCTTAGCCTCTGGCTATTAAAAGAAATTTGGGCATAAAAAATAGATTGGCTTCAGGGTGATCACGAGGGTGAGTTTGAAGTAGCATGCATCTGTGCAATAGGGAAATTGAGAAACACCTGACAGGATCGAATACAGAAAACTGGCAAATCGACATCGTAACAGAACCAGGGAAGGACCCTAAATAAATCCATCTTATTCATGCTTCACCCTATCTATGTCTCTTCTTCCCATTCATGTTACTTTAAAAGTCTAAATTTCAGATAAATTATAAATATATATAATTAATGAGAAATAAAAACTGAAAAGTAAAATTCTTATCAGCCTATGACTAGTTAGCCTGCATAAAGTTGATTCTTATCTCAATCAATGCTTAAACCTTATGATTAAATGTCAGTATTTATAAAATTTATGATGGTGCCTAATACATAACACATGCCCAGTAAAACTTACTGGTTCCCTCTGTATACAGAGGGAAACAAATAAACACATTTCAGTCTCCCCAGGCAGCCAATTCCAAAATTTGTACAATTGGTCAAAAGAGTAATATTGTATGCACAAGTCTGCAACTTAGAATGCAAACTCCTTGTATGTGAAATTGAATCTTGGTAATAATGTTGTTTTCCTATTACATGTTTCTTTTACTGTGAGCTTCTTCAATATTTTTGGAATATAATTTAAATTTTGATTTAAACACTGGGAAAGTGACATTTAAAATGCATTTTCTCCAAAATTGTTAACCTAGGTCAGTATACTTACAAGGTTGGTCTTTGCTGGAAATGCAAGATTGAAACATTCAACCACACTTTTGCGTAATAATGACCATAAGCAAAAAAAATGTCTCACAGTAGAGATTAAACAACACTAGCTGAAATATGTACACTCTGGGAAAAATTATATGTTAATAATCAAGAACCAGCTAGCAATTCCATCTCTATTCACTGAATGTTAACATCTCTCATCTGTTTTGTTCTTGCCCATATTTATTCCCTGACAGCCAGTTGATCACTTGGGTCCAATAGGGTTTTTTCAGTCTTTCCTGACTCTAAGCTTCTAATCTGCTTCTGAGACATTACAGTTGGAATTGCCTTGGAGACAGATAAATAGCTACTGTATGGGAAATCAGAGAAACAAATATTCCACTTGGCAGCATGCTGGCCTGCTTTCTAAAAATCTTCTATAGCAAAGTGACAATTAAGACATGCCAAACATGTTTACAATCTCCACTGAATGAAATGCCTCTCGAAATCGAACAAATGCCATGACACCTTTTGTCTCAAATATTAATGGCCAGCATGCCCTGGACTTTCCTCTCTCAACCTTGAATGAAAGGATTCTGCTATAGTGAAATAAGGTTGAAAATAAGAGTAACTGAGTTATTCTCTGGTGTCCAGATAAACTAAGCACTCATTCCTTCTACTGGAAATATGAGACTGTGCTAATTTTCCTTTCTGAATGACTTAGCTGGTCTGCCCTTGGTCTTTTTCCATTTCCCTTTCTACTTTTCAATATGTTAGATGAATTTTTTTTGCTCAGGAGATTACAAAAGAAGGTATTTTGACCCTAAAGGTATAATAGAATCAGAAATTTTTATCTTAAAGATATTATTCGGTCCCAGCCCCTATATTTGCAGGATAGGGAAACTGTAGCTCATCTTACTTATCATCACACAGTCAGGCAGTGTCAGGATTACGACTAGAACCAAGACTAGGGCACTTTCTATTCCAACATAAATAGTTCTCAAGTTCAACTTAATATACATTTCTCTGCGCCAATATCAAATTGGAAAATTTCAGCAAAGATTATCACTAGACAAATTTTCTAGACTGAAAGAAATAACAATTTTCCAAGGGACATTTAATTCAATTCAATTTAATAAACATTGCTGAAACACCAGTATTTCAGGCATAATATAGATATTCTTCTTCAGGAAATGATTACTTTGTTAAACCCTTTGACTAGGTCCACATAATAGGACAGATTGTCTCTTAGTGATTGAAAGGGCTAGGAGCTAGTTTATTGCATGCAAAGAGCCTGAACTTGTTCTAACTTCCATTCTGTGTCCTGAAGTTATGTTGTTGTGCCATTACATTTGAATCCCTCAAGCAGTCAAAATATAATCATTCCTAGGTTGGAAGCCTCTTTCAACCCATTAGTGTATAGAAATACTCACCAGTTAAAAGATATTTACGATGTTAGCTTCCTGAGCCACCAAGGGTATGCCTTGTACATGCATGAAATAAAGAGTTTACTTAAAAAGGTAGCAAAGAAGAAACTGCTATTTGCTATCATTTAGATGTTACTCTGGTGTCCTTTTAATTTGAGGAAATACCTCATTTATTTTGTTATAGTAACCTGAGGATATACCTATTCTGGCCTCCAGTATACTTGGAATCTTGAAATGATTCTACCTCTTCTCTATTCCTGCTGCCAGGGTGTTTTTGTTTTGTTTTGTTTTGTTTATGGGGAGGGGGTGGATTAAGAGTGACAGTGAGTTTGCAGGAGGAAGAAGTTGCACACTTTACTGTTCCCCAAACATACACCCTAGAGTACCAATAGTGGCAACGTAGACTTGGGATTTTTGGTTTTTGTTTTTTAAAGGAATAGGCAGGCACGGTGGCTTATGCCCGTAATCCCAGCACTTTGGGAGGCCAAGGCAGGTGGATCACTTGAGGTCAGGAGTTCAAGATCAGCCTGGCCAACATGGAGAAACCTTGTCTCTACTAAAAATGGAAAAATTAGCCAGGCATGGTGGCAGGCACCTGTAATCCCAGCTACTCGGGAGTCTGAAGCAAGAGAATCACTTGAACTGGGGATGTAGAATTTGCAGTGAGCCGAGATCACACCCCCACACTCCAGCAGCCTGGGTGACAAGAAGACTCTATCTCAATAAATAAATAAATAAATAAAATAAATAAATGGCCTGAGAAGTTCGGCTGAGGTTGAAATTTAGGCTCCTTCCTGACGTAGGGCAGGATTAAGGAAGTGGTAGCAAAGCATCTCCATTCTGTCTGTGTTGATTGGTCCTTAGGTAATCTGAAAGAGCAGGAGCTGCCCTCCCAAATCAGTCAATGATTTTCTGAAAGAGCAGGAATCTTGGCTCAGGAAGTAGCTGGTGTTTCTCATGGACAAATTCCCTGAAGCATTTTTATAAGAAAAGTATTGCTGACAACCACTGAGACAGTAATCTACCATGGGAACTGTGTGAATATAGGTTATAGGGCTTTCTGGGATGCAGCTTAGCAAAGTGGGAAAACCAGCCTCTTTATAGTCTGACAGATCTGGTTCCGATATGTGATTCTGTCTGTGCCTTTTAGGCATTAAATGGTTATTATTGTGATGATAGCTATTATAATGATGAGAACATAATCCTGGGTGTGGAGAGGCAAGACTATCTGCAGATACCCAGGGTATGGCTGAACTTGACTTGTAGAATCTGATACCATTGGTAAACTTTAGGAAAATACGCAACCCAATGGGCATTTGAGGACAAGGTACCCTGGTGCAGATCTCTTCAAAAGCATCTCAACTCTAATAAAAATTATAAACTCACGGCTGCCAGGCTCAGTGGCTCATGCCTGTAATCCCAGCACTTTGGGAGGCCGAGGTGGGCAGATCACGAGGTCAGGAGATCGAGACCATCCTGGCTAACATGGTGAAACCCCATCTCTACTAAAAATACAAAAAATTAGCTGGGTGTGGTGGCGGGTGCCTGTAGTCCCAGCTACTTGGGAGGCTGATGCAGGAGAATGGCATGAACCCGGGAGATGGAGCTTGCAGTGAGCCGAGATCGTGCCACTGCACTCCAGCCTGGGCCACAGAGTGAGACTCCGTCTCAAAAAAAAAAAAAAAAAATTACACTCATGTCACAACCTTCCTCTGACACATTGCTAGTTTCTCCTTTCCTCCCCGACCTACCTCCCTCTCACCCCAATCCCCTCTCCACACACACAAATATACACTCCAAAAAGCTTAAGCCACTGGGCATAATGGATGATGAAAGTGAAAAAAAAAAGTGCTGTATTGAGGAATTATAATTCAATACTCAAAGAAAATGTGTTATATAAGCCATATATAAACTCCCAGTAAAAGAAAACATATCTTCTGTGAGTAGATTAGAAGGTATTTCCATCTCAGTTCATCAAGCAACTTATATCAGTAGACCAATATTGTCTACGAGCTTCTTCCCTTCCTCTCTGGAGACCTGAAATATAAACATCTCTTATTTCCAGTGATCCATGGAGTACAGTCAGGAAACCCAATCAATCTTGGTTCTGTTCTTTAGGTGAGGTTTGAGGGGTCATTACTAAGCTTTTTTTGTTTGTTTGTTTTTCTTTTTTTTTTTTCATACAGGCGCCTGCCATTAAGCTCTTAAGGCTCATTCCAGAGCATTCCATTAGGGACGTTTCCTTTCACTTTAAGGTAGGATTATTAACATTTAATCACTGTACTTACGTTCAGCTTGCTAACACTTGATTCAAGAGCCTTGGACCAACTTTAGATTACTTCTTCAGATTTCAAAAATATATAAGAATGTATTGCAACTCTGGAACTCAATGAGCAAAGATGAGTTTTTCCAGTTAATTAGAGATATTATTAGGAAGTGTCCTCTTACTCTTTTTATCAGAACATTTATTGGAGAGTGTGACTTAAGTCAGACCTTTATGGTTGCTTCCATGTCATTTATTAAATATAATTACCTAATTTCCACAAGCTGTACAGATGTAATGAGCACACAGGTTTTTAAAAGAAGGATCAAAGCATTGAGAAACTCTGAGAATTTAGAGTTCAGACGAAGCACAAAATGCAGTGCAATTTTAGAAGTTTCCTTTAGCTTCTGAATAAGGTCCTTTATGACACTCTAGGAAGAAACAAATATTTTAGTTCAGGTCAACTCAAAACAAAATGAAAAAGAGACTAAGGTACCGTTAGTCCCCTCCTTCCATGAACAAATCATCTCCCTTGTAGTCAAGATTCTCCTCCAGGGCCATAGCCCATTGTGTCTCCCGTCTGGGCCACCTGCCATTCTCTGGATCTGAATTACTTTCAGTCTCTGACAGAATTTCACAGGAAAATTTCTTTCCCTTTCCCTTCGGATTTTACCTGACTTTCACTGTGCTTTTAAAGTGTCAGTGGGTTACTATACATGTTTCTCTCTGCTCCTTAGCATAATTTGGGGGAATTGTATAGTTTTAATATATTGTTTTTTCAGATATGCTTATTACTATAATCTCTGCATATATAAGATGTGATTGCTAAATAATGATTTTTTTCAATTACCATACAATGACATACACCCTGTAACCCTTCACCTTGATATATCACTCTGTAATCATCAACCATATAAAAACATGTATAGTGCATATTTTTATATTTAACATGAAAGTCTATATGGTTTTAAATATTTCTCATACATTTGCAATGTTTTAATATTTAACATTTTTAATATTCATATTTGATTGAATTTTTCTCTTATAATTTACTGATACTGTTTGATTTTAGTTTTGATAATAAAAATGTAGCAGAGATTAAACTTTGAGCCTCAGCTGAAATTTAGATAGCTCTAGACACGTCTTGCTAACTGATGTTCTGTGCCCAACAGAAGCCTGTCTGGAAAGGGAGTGCTGGAAGGGAAGCACAGCGTGATGATTTTAGATTTTAGCACAGCAACAAAATTCCAGGACCAGAAACATTAACTTTCAGTTCAGCATGGTGGTTGCCATTTAAAATCTGTATATACCCAGTCCAGCACATAGACTCATTTCTGTATATGAGAGGCAAAGGGCTGCAAGTAAAAATGAATATAATTTTGTTTTTACTCAATTTCTCAGTAAAGTATTAAGGTCACAAAGCAAAATTGCTCTGGGATATTTACCATCATTTTGCAACCAACAGTGGCACGGCTTAAGCAATGAAGATTCACAGATCTGATGTGTTTCATAACAGCAGTAGCATCTAATGGGAAAAGGGAGACAGCAGTGCCTAGGGAGTGCAACACCTACTATTTGTGGGAAAAATTAGAGACACCTCTGAAGATGCCAAGAAATACCTGTGAGGTGAACATTTGCCAGAGGATAAGGAAAAGACCCCAACAACTTCAAGTTCTTACTAATCATGGTGACCTCATTAGTTCTTCTTCTCTAATGATGACTGGAGAATATGGTTACATATCTACACTCCTAAAACATTTTTGTATTTGAAGATTTTTTTCCTTCTTAAAATCATTTCCTTGGGATAATATCCCAGAAGTGAGATGACTTTGTAAACACTGGAGTAATATTTATGTGTCTTTAAAAAATACATTTTACTTCTAATGGGATTTTCAAAAGACAGGTCCTTTAGGAGACCAATGGGAAAAATACTTTGGGGCAAATGAGACATTTGAAACCACTAATATTCTAGGCTGTATCAATCTTCATATTCTTCATTCTCAGAGGGCTGGCACTAATTAACATCTCCCTTTACTAACTTTAATTGATCAAAGAAAGAAGTATGGCTTC
This sequence comes from Homo sapiens, assembly GCF_000001405.40. NCBI lineage: Eukaryota > Metazoa > Chordata > Mammalia > Primates > Hominidae > Homo > Homo sapiens. The sequence continues at coordinate 215,251,792 of NC_000001.11, read as the reverse complement.
TGAATAGATGTAATTGAATATGCTGTAATTATACCAACTTATTTGAGATGATTGCATCTAATCTAGTTTTGGAGACATTAAACATATAGATTAGTTTAAAGCATAATGGAAGATTCCCTGTACCTTTGCTTTATGTTCAGCATCAGCCGTAGGCTATGCCAGAGACTTCCTTGCCTTTTGGTCAGTCCTGATACGTTTAATGTTTTTTCTTACCTAATAATCTAGTTCCTTGGGATCTGGAAGGTAAATATTTCTTTTATTGAAATTGGATAACAGAACTAAGTAAACTAGGTTTACCTGCAGAGATTATTCTTGGTAGCAGAAGTGAAACCCTGCAAAGAATCACGCAGAGATATTCACCCCGATGCACTTAAAAAAAATAGTAAGTAATGAAAGGATGCACATTTTATTTCATACTTAATATTCTTTCAAAGAGTGGGAGACATCATTTCTACTTTTACTTCTACAGTGAGGTGCAATGATAATTTCTTGCCCATGGTATGATGATTTTTTTTTTTTTTTTACTGAAACCATTATTAATACTCCATGACTGTATAAATAGAATGAAAGCCAAAGGACCTCAAACTCAGAGTGTCCGCAACCTAACTTCAACTTACCCTTACATTTTTATCACTCACTTTCTCCCTCAAGCCATACCAAGTTAATTCCTTTGTCACAAATATGCTTTTAGTCATAGATGGTAGATATGAGTCTACATGGGATCAGGAGTAAGGCCAGGTCAAAATAAAAGTGGGAGGGTTCTGGGTTTGTCTAAGAATGGGGGTAGACGTGGCCTATTAACTACATTCAACTCAGTCAATCACTGAAAATCTGGGAAAATAAAAATATTATAAATTCTGGAAAGTCTGTCAGGCCAGCAGAGGCTGTTGCAGTAGGCAACCTCTAGAAGGAAACAGGGTGGGAAGAGGTTGTTAGTGCTGAGATATGGTGCTCCAAGTATTGGTGTTCACCGGAAAAACCAAGGAACAAGGAACCATCTGCTATCTTTATTTGTGCTTGTCCTCTTGTCCTCTGCCTACTACCCTATAGGTCGTGTGGCATAAAGTCCTTGTGGCAGTCACAGAAGTGCCGCATTCAGATCTCCCTTCAAGAAAACTTATGTTTATTGCAGGACTATTCACAATAGCGAAGACTTGGAACCAAGCCAAATGTCCAACAATGATAGACTGGATTAAGAAAATGTGGCACATATACACCATGGAATACTATGCATCCATGAAAAATGATGAGTTCATGTCCTTTGTAGGGACATGGATGAAGCTGGAAACCATCATTTTCAGCAAACTATCGCAAGGACAAAAAACCAAACACCGCATATTCTCGCCCATAGGTAGGAATTGAACAATGAGAACACATGGACACAGGAAGGGGAACATCACACACCGGGGCCTATTGTGGGGTCGGGGGAGGGGGGAGGGATAGCATTAGGAGATATACCTAATGTTAATTGAAGAGTTAATGGGTGCAGCACACAAACATGGCACATGTATACATATGTAACTAACCTGCACATAGTGCACATGTACCCTAAAACTTAAAGTATAATAAAAAAAGAAAAAGAAAAGATAACTTGCTATTTGATATATAGCTGTTGAACCCCTTTTAGCTTATGAACCTTTAGCTCTACTACATTGTTCACACCAGTGCTTCTGTAGGACGCCCCTAGGCAGCAGCTGAACATGGTAGTTATAGTGGGACCAGACCATTCCTGCTCAATGCAAGATTTCTACAATGACAGCTTTGGTTGAGGGCCTCACACTTTTAAAAGCCAATCTAGCTACTGCTGCTTCTGAAAGTCTTAGATGCCAGCAGCAGAGATTAGCATTGAACTCCCAATATGGCACTATTCATCAAGAAGACCAACTGGCCACTTGGTTACAAGTTGACTACATTGAGCCCCTTCCATCCCATCACTGAAATGCTAGCAGTTTGTCCTCACAGGTATAGATAATTACTCTGAGTATGGGTTTACCATTTCTGCTTACAAAACCTCAGCAAGCACCACTATCCAGGGACTTACAGAATGCCAGATCCACAGGCATGAGATATTACCCAATATAACATTGGAGCAAGGAACCCACTTCCCAGTGACAAACGGGTGGGAGTGGGCTCATGCCCACGACATCAACTTGTGTAATATGCCAGACCATTCAGAAACAGCTGGTCTTATAAGTGCTGAAACAATGATTGAAAATACAGCTAAAGCACCAGCTTTGGGGGAAATAATTTTCAAAGATGAAGTGTCATCCTTTGGGATGCAGTACATCCATTAAGTTAAGTCCTCTATATGGTGTCCCCAGTAGGAAGGATACTTGTGTCTGGGAACCAAGGGATGAGAGATGTGGTTCCATTTTCCATCATTTACAATGGCTCATTGGGAAACGTTCTGCTTCCTGTATCTGAGCTCTGCAAGGTTGTATATCCTGGTCCCCATGGAGGGGGTGGGACGTATGCCCTTACAAGGAACACAAGGGTCCTGTTAGACTACAAGCTTCAGTTGGTGTCAGGGCACTTTGAACTCCGTGTCCAGTGTTCAGCACATGAGAACAAGAGACTATTTTCATGAAGGTTATTGACGATAATCACCAGAAGAACATAGGATGGCTTTTGCACAGTGGAGGCAGAAAGGGATGTGTTTGGAACCCAAGTGATTCAGTTGTGTGTCCTTGGTACTCATCCAATGTGACTGTAAATGGATAAGAGCAAAATCCAGTGTGAGATGGATATAATTATCAAGGATTTGGGTACCTTCAGGAATAAAGTTTTGAGCCACGCCATCAGGTAAGGCACAAAGATCTGCTGAGGTTGAGGGAAATTTAACATGAATAGTGGATTAAAGAGACAACGAGTACAAGTTGCAACCCCAAGCCCAACTGCAACAATGAGGGTCATGGGTCATCCTACTACCCTACTTCTTCTAAGTTTCCTCTCAGGAAGAGCAACTCATAGCTACTGAGCAAGTGTGCTTGCAAAAGCATACTGTGGTGGCCATAGATATGTCCTGCTCTGATCTGCCTTTAATAGAAACTGCTATGAGGAGCAAGCATAACTGATTTTACAGCCTCTAGCTGTCAGCTTTTGGGCTTCATTCATGCCAGGCTATGCTTCTACCAGGCTGTTCCAAGCCAATATCTGAACATGGCGGGTGGGGGTGCTGGAACTAGAACATTTATTCCTGATGTGGAATGCCTTTAATGGTGAACTTTGGTTGGAGATTCCTCAGTGGCCTGACCAGAACTTTCTCAGAACTGTATTGTGATCTGAGTTTCTTCCTACCCAATCTGTCCTTCCTCCCTCCTTTCACAGGGATCACACTGCACTGCAGAAAGAAGACTCTCCTTGAATATTTCTCTCTCTCCCCATTCACACTTCATAAGTATTATTATGGATTGAACTGTGTCCCCTCAAAAGATATTTCCAAGTTCTAACCCCTGGTACCTGTGAATATGACCTTATTTGGAAATTGGGTCTTTGTAGATACAATTAAATTACAATGTGGTCATTAGGATGGGCCCTTCATCCAGTAGGACGAAACACTGCATGTTCTCACTCATAAGTGACAGTTGAACAATGAGAACACATGGACACAGCGAGGGGAACATCACACACCTGGGCCTGTTAGATGGGGGAGGGAAAGGGGAGGAAGAGCATTAGGACAAATACCTAATGTATGTGGGGCTTACAACCTGGATGATGGGTTGATAGGTGCAGCAAGCCACCATGGCACATGTATACCTATGTAACACTTTCAGCACATGATCCCAGAACTTAAAGTAAAAATTTTAAAAAAATAAATTAAAAAGAAAAGAGAAATTTGAAAAACACAGAGGGAAGAAATCCATGTGAAGGCAGAAGCAGAGACTGGAGTTATTATACCACAAATCAAGGAATGAATGCCTGGGGTTACTGGAACCTGAAAAAGACAAGGAAGAATCCTCCCCTAGAGGCCCTGGAGGGAGCATGGCCCTGCTAACACCTTAATCTCAGACTTCCAGACTCCAGAAGTGTGAAAGGGTAAATATCTTTTGCTTTAAGCCACTCTGTGATATTTTGTTATGAGAACTTTGGGAAACTAATATAAGTATTTCCTCAAATAAATCTCTTGCATGTCTAGCCTTGTTTTCATATCTGATTCTCAGAGAACCCCAAATATGACATTTATCTACTAGTAAGGAGATAGACACAACCTGATATCATGACCCATGGAAGTGAGAGAAGAAAAAGGTGGGAAGTAAAATACTCCACAAACATTCACTTTTTCCTTTATCTCAAAATCCCATTACCTTTGCATTACCATTACATCTTACATATTAGCTCCTCCATGATAGCTTCTGGGAACCTTGAGATGAATGAACTCTTACCTCCTCCAAACCTAGTGGTTTCTTCATAACTCTGATGGCATATACCATTGATAATCTTGTATTCTTTCTGCATATATCTTAAAGAAATTCCATTTAAACCTGGGTGTGTGTTATTTCAAAAATGATATTAGAGCAGATCTGATTCTTGAACACATTTGCCTTAAAGCTTAATGTGTGACATCCGTCCAACAAAAACCAGTATTTTGTGTTCAAATGAATGGAAAAATCTGAGGTTCTGGGATATGTTCTGAGAGCTTGGAGCAATTTTCTGTTTACATTTTTGGTATGATGTGGTACATTAGACACATTAAAATATGGGGTGATGAATTTATCGACTTTTTAAAGTATAAGTAATATATAAAAATTAATGTTTGTTTTATCTGCAGTTATGACTTGTTTTGATATGTAGTTTTTATTGAGCTATCCATATTCTCTCACATCATTTCTTAATTATTCTAAGCAAACATCTGAAAAATGACTAGCCAGGAACTCTGGAGTGTGCCTATGAAACAGAAGGCAACTCTCTGGCAACTGGGAGCATTTACACTGTTGTCACTACTCTGCTCTGCCCAACTGAGCAAACTCATCCAGACAAAAATTAAGTTAATCATTCTTGATCTTCTTCTTTGCTAAGAGCCATTGTCACATATTTGTCTGAAAGGTGGAAAAGAGTGACATATAATATTTGCATCTACAACAGATTTGACAGACTTGATCCTTAAGGTGCATATCAATTTCTTCCCAGTCTCTTATGGCCATTGACACACCCCTTCTTATTTACCTTAGGCAAAAAGGAATTGCGGCACCTGTTAAACCTATCATTCATATGCAGAAATGTTTTTCTGAGGATAAAGTATATATATGATATGTAATAAAGGCATACTTAAATATTCAGCAACATAGAATGCATTTCCCCTTGGAGAACCAATATAACCTACACCTCTAATAACCAGTTTTTCTTTGCTTTTGCAAGATTTACATTTAACTACACAGGATGGGTTATGAATTATCTGAAAGTAATAGTCTACCCCAAAATTATTGTATTAGCTAATGTTATTAAGAGCTTGAACTTACATCTGAAACGAAATGTAATTTTCTTGAATGTAGAATGAGGTTTAATTGTTTTAATCAAGAGTATTCATGTCTAACACATCTGTGTATATGTGTACTTCCTACTTACCTACTCTTCGAGTATAAGCTTGACTTAGTGATTCATTTTTAATGAATAGAGTAAAAGTGGAAGTGAATATGTGTGACTTCACAAACTAGATCATAAAAAGCACTCTGGCTTCCTGCTTGCTCTCTCTTTCTCAGATCACTTATTCTATGGGAAGCCTGCTGCCATGCTATGAGGACACTCAGGCAGTACTGTGGAGAGTTGCACATGGTAAAGAACTGAGCTCTCTTGCCAACATCCATGTGAGTAAGCCATCTTTGTAGTAGATCTTCCTGTCCCCCTTCAAGCCTTCATATGATTGCAGACCTGGCCAACAGCTTGACTACAACCACATGAAAGACCCTAAGCCAGGATATCCAGCTAAGTCATTCCCAGAGTCCTGATCCTTTGAATCTTTTTGCGATAACAGATGTCTAACTTGCCAAGTTTTGGAGTAATACAGATTATTACGCCATGTTTTAGGGTAATACTGCGCTATTAACTAATACAGATTCCTTACTGTAGGACTCCTCAAAACCTTTAAAACCTGTTGGTGTTAGTTGTTTAGGTGTAGGGTACACTGTATTCCAAATTTTTTGACCACAAAACATTCTTTCTTTCCCCAAAGAATCTTAAAGGATAATGTTTCTGTAAATATTTTTGGGAATGGCTGTCATAGAGATTTTTGATAGTTCACAGTAACTTCAACAAGAGATCAGATTCACCTAGTTAAGTAACAATTTCAAAGTGGTCAATTTAGAGAAATTTTGGAGAGCCCAGATGCACTTGGCTAAGTAGGACGTAGAAGTCAAAAACATTCCCAATCTTTGATTTTCAGTGCATTTCCTGCAATATGCAGAGGGCATTGCTGCACCTAACTGGCAGAAATACATCAGTATCTGATTAAATAGATATTTTTTCTGCTAAAATCCATTGCCATAATAATTCATGAAAATTTACGTCCTTCATTGCAATGTTGGTCATGTTCCATAGCTGGTTGTAAGAAATTATCATGCTGCAAATGTTAAGCCTTTATAATTCAGCTTTGTCATGGGGAGAGAATTTACAGATTAATAGGAAATGTATTTTTTCTTTCCCTTCTGAAACTCAAAGAGCCTCATTTTGCTGAAGAAAATTGCTACTTGAATTCAGATGAGATTAAGACCATTTCACGGAGACTACGCCATTGCAGCAGGCTTCTTCAGATAACACATGTGGAAAGGCTCAAAGAGGAATTACATGATTCTTTGGGTAAAAGGGTTTTAAGAAAAGTTTATTCCTAGGCTATTTAACTCCAAAACGCAAACACAGCAGATGGAACTGCTTACTATCTGACCACTTCCCTTGGTTTTAACAGTTGCCCATGGATGAGGCAATGTAATTTTGGACCACAATATCAGAAAAGGGTTTGATTTCATTCAATCTGAACATAATCAAGGAAGCTCTCTGTTTAGCCCTTGAATTGAGTCAACTCAAGTCAATGAAACTGCAGGCAACTTAGCTAGCTTCCTTCATTTGTCGAACTCATTATCTTGATTTGAACTAATTTTTGACCTGAACCAATTCTCTAACAGTATGTCTTAGTTCATGAGTATCTCTCAACTGCATATGTTTAATCAAATACTCACCTGTTTATATTCCTGGAGCATGTAACTTCCTCTTGGTTGACATCGCTTAACTCCTTAGACAACATATATAATAGTTTACTTCAGTGGTGCTAAGCTAGGTGTGATTCCCCCAACAGGGGGAACATTTGGCAATGTCTGGAGACATTTTTGGCTACCACGTCTTGGAGGGTACTACTAGCATCTAGTGGGTAGAAGCCACTATTACTACCAAACATTCCCATAGTAATAGCCACTATTACTACCAAATAATTATCCACTCCAAAATATCAATAGAATAGAGATTAAGAAACTCTGATTTGGAAGCCAAGTGATATTTTTCCAAGTCGTGTACTGCATTTAGCTATTAATCACTCTCCCCTAGTCATAGTTTATATATAATTGAACTTCACTAATTTAACCATTTCGTGATTGGCTTACCCTGCTTGTTTCACTTTGCTTCTGTTGAAGTGCATGAGCTAAGTGAAAAACTTCAAATCCCTCCAGCCTAAACCACAGCTATATAATTTTGATGCATCCAATATTTCTTTGTGTCTTTCGCAACCTTTTCAGGATCCTACCTGAAAAGTATTCCAAATGGAATCCTTCATTGCTCTCTGTTACCTATATGAAGCCGTATGTAAAATTGTATTATTAGAATTCAGTTATGAAAAGGCTCTGTTTTCATGAGACCTGGATGCACTTTCTCATCATTGCTAATGAGAACAAAGTCATGATAAATGTTTCACTTTTCACTATGGTTGCCCAGAGACTAAAAGCCACATAAATGGCCGAGTCATCACTTCTGTATTTTAAAAAAATGTTTATGTCTCCCACCCTGAACCTGACCTTCTCTTCCAATATATGACTTCTACAGTCATCTTCAAAACAGAGCATGAGATAGGGATTCAGGTGCATGTGATATTTGGGTGTGTGCACTCTGAAGAAAGAGTATGAAGGCAACAGGAGAGGACAGAGAGAGGCTCTAAGCAAAGATGTTATCTCAGCTAGAGTCTAGCCTCAGCCTGGCCTCATGGGGAGCTCTGGAGTGTAAGTCTGCTTTTTGTCATCCTTATGGCAGTTATTGGCTGTGGGTCACCCGTGTTGGGGTGGGACTGAAGCGGCTTCAAGTCTGCAGAGGAGTGTGCTTCAGAAAATGCAGCAGCTGTAAACTGTTAGCATCTAACACTAAGAGCAGCTGATGATAGGGCTTCCAACTCAGTAAAGGCAATCTGGCTCAGGCAGCAACAGAGTCCACTACAGTTTTCAGGCATGATTTCATTGATGTTTTTCCAGTTTCATGCATGAGTTAGTTGTGTTTCTCTTTTTCAAGAAGAGATGTCATGGGAACATATGTTAAGATTAATAAAACCAAAAGAAATAGTTTGGCAGAGATAAAAAATATACACACATATACATGCCTTGCTGATGAAAATTGTTTACCATAAAGAAAATGTACACAGTAATTACCATAGTGCCAGCCAGTAATTCTTGATTAATGTTTAGGAGGAAAATGTTCTAAGATCATCCTATTTAATTCATATGAGGTTTTTTTTTTTATTTGCAATGAATACCCCTAACTTACATAGGTCATTCAAGGCTGGGTTAATATTTAGAAGAGAACAGCCTTTTATTTTTAGCAGTATTAACTATAGCGACTTCAACTTCTCATTATTAATATGAAGTTCTTGTAATATCAGCAATGCCTACATTTGTTTCTTTACCTAGGACCCCTGACCTGAGCTCATTTGAGTATTCTAACTGCCCATGGAGGGTTTTCACTTTGGTGATCCCACTGGCACCATAACTTCAAAACATCTGTTTCACTTTCAAACTTTCTCTTCCTTTCTGGTAGCTTCACGATCCTAATCTGAGTTGAAGGCACCAGTATCCACCCAGTGCCCCTCGCATGGTTCAGACTCAAATCCCGCTCACAGACTGCTCCAAGAGTCCTCTGACTTCCTGCCAGACATTGCATCCCCTCACATTGATTTCCACATCATTGCCAAGGTGACTGTTCTACAGCACAAATCTATTCACATCACTCCCTATTTTAAAGTTTGAAGTGACTTTTCACTGCCAAATCTAAACTTCTCAGGAAAGAATTACAGTTCCTTCTGAGGAGCCTGGCTGCAGGCCAAAATCCTATGTGCGATCTTTCAGGCCCAACCATAGGCAATTTCAAGGATTTGCCTGGCAGGACTCATGGGGAAGGGTGCCTCTCCATATTAGATGTGATGCACAGCCAAAGCATTGGAACTTTCTGGAGGGAGTTGCAATCAGGAACTCAGGAGCTTCCATTTGGAAAGTTCCTTATTGGGAGCCTGGGTTGAGGCACTTTTCTCAACTCTGACTTAGTATTTCAACTCCTATCCCTTCTTTTCTTCCACTTTCTGCCCCCAGCCTCCAGAGTCTGTGGGAGGCAGGAGGCTTTGACTGGGAACTCCTCAGTGCTGAGATGATTCCCCTATCTGTGCTACTAGTTGTCTGATTCTCACCCAGTGCCGTTCCATGGGGAAATAGGGAACACTGGGGAGCCTTTCTCATGTGTTCTTCCAGTAAGTGAATAAAGGCTTGATTGTTACTTTAAGTTTACTTCTTTGTCCTACTTGACCACCTCAACCTCTGGCAGCTGAACACCTTCATCACCCAGTTCTCATCAATTCTTCTAGCCTCATTTTCTCTAATGTATATGGGATTTATTATTATTAGTTGTAGTAGTAGTATCATCATTAGCAAATATTTATTGAGCCCTTAAAATGTTCCAGGAATTACACTAAACACTTCACATGTATTTGTTCGTTTAAACCTCTGAATAATCCTAAGATTTGGAACCCATCGTCATTTTACATATTAGGAAAATAAGGTATATAGATGTTGACAAACAAAAACCTTACTTAGGGTGTGGCAGGACAGAGGAATGAACTCAGGCCAACTGGTTCCACACTTTGTGTTCTTAAGCATTTTGCAATATCATCACACACACACCCTGCTCAGCCCACACAAAACAATCTGCTAGTGCCTAATCATGCTAAACTTTTGTTTGTCCTTATACCTGAAATCCAATGAAATTCTATAGCTCTTTTGAGATCTAACTCAGACATGAGTCGCTCAATAAAGCCTTTCTTCAACTCAAGTTGATAGCTTTTCCTTCCTCAGAGTACTTGTACTACTCCTAGTACTTCTTTGCACACCTCATTGTAATATTTATCACCTTGTATTTTGGTTGTTTGTTTTCATTGTTGTCTTACCCATGGCTTGCCATTTCCTAGAGAGCAAACATTGATTTGACTTAGTGTCTAATGATTGGCACTCCAAAGAGTCTTGATAAATGTTGACTTGATAAACCATAAGCAAGATAATATTTTGTTTGCATATACAATTTAGTCAGTGAAGAGATTCATACATTTGGCTAATTTACTTGTCTACATATCTAGACTCTGGCAATATTAGAGAAAGTTTTTCAATGCACGCGTAAATTCTGAATTGCTGTTCCCAACTGACTGAGAATCAAAATGAGTTATTTGGATGTCTTGACAGTATCTTGGTGTTGTGTCTTCCCAATCCTGAAGTACTTGGTCAATGACAAAATTTGAATCGGACCAGATAATGTCACTTACTAATACTTGTTTTAAATTTTTCAATAACAATCTCAAAACATACAGTCTAATGTGAAAATTACTTAAAAGTCTAAAATGTTTTTAAACAAATTAGACAGAATGATAAAAAATCTACATATTATTCTCTATTAATTGTATAGTGCAAAAAGGGATACCATATACAAAATCAAGAATCAATTGAATGAAATACAATAATTATTCTATGAATTAATTTTACAATCACACCATGTAAGTGATTAATATTCTCTATTGAATACTGTTCAAATGTGCCAAATAATGGATTGCTTCCAAGACTTTATCAATTTGTTTAAGCATGAAAAAGCTGGATTTTATTTGGCAAGGATAATAATTGTGCATTTAGCTTTCTACTAATAAAAAGGCATCCACTTACTAGCATTAGCAAATATGTTTTGAAGTTAATTTCTAAACAAATCTTCAAGATTAAACTATAATTGAAAAGCTTTGATAGTATCTATTGTGAGTTTAAGTTTAGAAATACAAACAATAAATTTCTTGCTTATAAGTAGCAAGAGTATATAATGACTAATAAACTGCAAGTCTGTCTAGTGTGAGAATTGGCTTTAATTCATACACCCACACACATGCACACACACACACACCACACAATAACTAGTACCAGCTTATCAGTTAATAGTAGTTAATAGGAGAAATAACTGCTGTTTGTATTTCATTTACTAGTAATCAGTGGAAGAAGACAGATAAATGTGGAGCTAAGAAAATATGAGTTATTTATGCACAAGGAAACTTCAGATGTTTACAACAGCCAAATCCCTGTTTTTATTCATTCATTTATCATGTATTTATCGAGCACCGATTTTATGTACTCTGCTAGTATCTGGGAATAAAATAGTAAGCTAAAACAAATGAATTACATTCTAGTGATAGAGACATATAATAAATAAGAATAGTTATGAATATCTAATCATAAACTGAAGGAAAGAAAGAGGTTTTATAGAGCATATTACAAAGTTACCTGAATTGGTGTTAAGGAAGGCTTATCAGAGAAAATGATAGTGTAGCTGGGTTCTGAAGGATGAGTAGAAGTTTTTTAGGTGAAAAAGGTTAAGGAGGAAAAAGAGAGTGAGCATTCTAGGTAAAGGTACAACATCAACACAACCTTGTGACAGAAGTGAGAAATCTAGTGGAGCTGGGGTTCACAGAGGTAGAGAGGGATACAAGATGAGTCTGGAGAGGGTGGCATAAAGTAGACTAATTAGAAGAAGGCCTTGTAGACAATTTGCAAATTTAAAAACAACTCTTCACCATCAATGACAAGAAAAGAATGATATAAAAGCAGTTGAGTGAAGGGAAAAGATGGTGTTGACTTGGATTAAGGCAATGGCTGTGTACAAATTCAAAACATATTTAGTTTACAAGTCAACAGCTTGGTGATAAGTGGAGATAGAGTTGAGGAAGAGAAGAAGATATCAAGGATGACTTGCCCAGCCAGAGGGATGGTCATGCCATCCGCTCAAATAGATGATACCAGAAGAAGGCCAGGTCTGGGGAAAGATTATAAAAGAGTCTTGGTTCTGTTGAGGTCCGTTTTAGAATTGAAGATACCCATGTGAGTTAGCTTGATGAATCCAGAGCAAGAAGTCCAAGTCTAAAGGTTCAAAATAAACAGAATAAAGACTAGGCAGTGAGTTTTTGGTGACTATACAAAAATACTTTAACAAGGAATGCCAGATAAAAAGAAAAAATAGTTGTAAATTGAGACAAGCCTAACACAATGAAAACATTTTGTAAAGCTAATACTAGGAAAACAATAAACGGCTTTATAAATATTAGAAATTGTAAAAGCCGGGGTTTAGTGAACAGAATCAAATCAAAACAAAAGAGCAAGACCAAAACTCCTGTTCCATGAAACCAATCCCTGTCTTTCAGGAAGTGGTAGTTGAGTTATGGCTGGGGAAGTATCATGTATGAAACAAGAGGGGAAAATCTTTGAGAGGGTCGTTGAGGTGGTTGGGGGAGGAAGAAAGCAAGTGTAGCTTATGAAGCTCCCCCTATATTAAGATAACTACAATACGTTACCCTCAAATGTTTCTGTCAGAAATAACCAGGTTATCCTGTTCTATCTTGGAACTGACACATGAGCATATGCAAGGCCAGTTTCACTATGAGAGGAAATTTTATTTTATTTTATTTTATTTTATTTATTTAGTTTTATTTTTTTGAGACAGAGTCTTGCTCTGTCGCCCAGGCTGGAGTGCAGTGGTGCAACCTCCACCTCCAGGGTTCAAGCAATTCTCCTGCCTCAGCCTCCTAAGTAGCTGGGACTACAAGCATGCGCCACCACGCCTGGCTAATTTTTTTGTGTTTTTAGTAGAAATGGAGTTTCACCATGTTGGCCAGCTGCATCTCGAACTCCTGACCTCAAGTAATCCACCCGCCTTGGCCTCCCAAAGTGCTGGGATTACAGGTGTGAGCCACCGCACCTGGCCAGTTTCACTATGGGAGGAAATTTAAGTAAAATCATGCTAAAGCAAATATCACACATTAATTGTAATGGAGTTATGAACGTTCAAATAAAAAAACCCTTTAGTTTATATAAAAACAAAGTCATACTTACATTTTAATAAGAAATGCAAATCCCAAATAAGTTACAGCTTTACTAGACCAGCAAGAATTAAAAACAACAAAAAAAGAAAGACAAGTTGATCTAGACCTCTAATTCTTAGGAATAAACAGCTATTTCAAATCTTCAGAATGTCTAAATTTGTTTTTTGGTATTCCATTTAAAACTTTAAGTCTCTTTGAACTTTAAGCTTTAAGAGTCAAATAATTCTACTGATTTTTGACACAGAATTAGATGGGATTTGGTCTTTTATGTCATGTGTTCCTTAAAATTTGAGAAATAAACAAAGCCTTACACACGGTTCTTTCTTTTTTTGAAGGCCAAGATGCACATTATTCAATTTCCTCTTGGCCTCAGAAGTTTTACTTTCTTCTGCATTACAAGAGTGAAATACTATTGGAAAACAAGGTGTGTCACATGGACTATGTAGCACAGTATATAGATCTATGTAAGAAATTGAAAGAACTCCAAAAGAACCACTTTCACATTTAGTGGCTGTAAGGTTGGATAGAGAGCATATTCTAAAATCTACATCTAGGGATATAGATTAGGGAGTCCCTGATACTTTCTGTTCTAGTAGTTTTTTTTCAAATATCTTTCCAGGAAAAACTACTCACTCTTATATTGGCCTAATGGAAAAATAAACTCACTAGAAAATTCCACGTTTTGTCAAAATCTTTATCAAGTTTCTCCCTACAAGAAATAAACAAAATAAAGCTTGAGAAAATAAAAGTGATTTCAGTTCACATAATACACACTTTCTTAAAATTCCCCTAATCCTAAGGGTAATGTGGGGGGCTAGTTTCAGAATACTTACTGAGCATCAAATTGTTTAGGAATTAATCAATAAATCTATGTAGGATACGAACAAGGTAAGTAGTCCAAACATTTGTGGTATAAGGTCTAGAAGATCGGTTGGTAACTACCTTCTTTAGACTTCAATACCACCAGGATGCTTACTTGTCTTTTTCTTACAAAAAACACATTCAGGCACCTGTGTTCAGCATTCAGTCTACTTCAGTGTCAAGACAAGGTCTAACAATGATAAAATATGGCATAAATATATGGTAATATAATAGAAACAATCTTGAAACTATATGCGATTTCAAATATCTTATTTCAAAAATGAATTTCAGTATATTTGGTTTTAGTGAGTAGCCACTGAGGAAAACAGTCTGCATGTATTTAGCAAGGGTAGTATCAATGCATCAAAAATATTTCTTAAATATTTTGAATAAAGGAGGGACACAAACTCAGCATGAAAAGTAACATCCTGGAGTTCTACCTACCTAGATCATATCTGAATTCTCAGCAGCAAGCAGGAGACTCAGAAAATGCTGACTTTAATTACAAACTTTATTTGTCAATACAATTCACAGTTTATACATGGCGCATTCCACCATATAAATTTTCGGAACAGTTATTTGAGGAAATGGGTGTAGCTTTCTTTCTAAAAGAGCCTGACTTTCTAAAATTTTGGTTGGATTTTTTTTAACTTTATAAAAGTACTTTTAACAAATTAATTGAATATTTACATTTCTAGCTTAAATTTAAATTTTGGAAAATAAGCGTCTATTAGTTTATTTGCTTCTTTTAAAGATTCTGGGTTTATTTTTCAAGACCCTAATCTGAATGCCACTTATTCAGATACAGCTCCCACCCCCACACACAAAAAAGTAAAAGAAATCAGTTTGCAATTATATTTAGGGAAATTATTTTCTTTCTGCATTTTAAAAATTATATATATATACAATGTACAGCAGATCTAAGTATGAAAATAAAGGAAAGGGTAGCAATTTACGGGGTGCATTTACTGAATTTTTTCTGAATCTTGGAACCATCCAAAGAATTACAGGATATAAAATTAAACTAAAAAGAATAATCAGCCTCTTTTATGTGAAAAAAAAACACAGCAAACTCTCAAAATTTAAATTGTGCTATAACAGCTTTTTCTCTAATGTCAGAGATGAATTATGCCTGCAATCTGCATTTTTCCATGTGCAAAGTCACAGTGATCCCAACTTCAACTTCTGCCCTCACAGCCAAGTCACAACTCCAAAAGTATACCCACAGAAGGCTAGGACTGTGCCCTGCACTCACCACTGTGCCACCTCCTCTCATCTGGCAAAAGTCACCCAACGAAAAGAAAATTATATAAGCCTTTCATACATCAAAAAGCAATTAGAAGCTGGCAGTATACTGTTTATTAGCAAATACTTGTAACACATTGTTTTGCTATTTTCTTTCCATCAGAATGATAATTCACACCCACTGTTTTAAATCCCCTCCAATAATATCCATTTTTAACAGTTTTCTTCTGTCAGGTCATTTAGATAGATAGATAGATAGATAGATAGATAGATAGATAGATAGATAGATAGATTTTCTTCTTCTGCCTTTAAAAATGTATAGTTATTAATAAATGATAAATTCCAAATACTGCCAGGAAAAAAGGGGATTGTTTGCGAGCAGCCAATTTTACCAGCCTGGTCATAATTACACTGTATATATGTACCACTGGTACCTGAGTCAAATAAATACTCAGAGGGGCCACCTCTGCACCTCATTTCTCTGCAGTGCCTTTAACGCTAGGCAACGCTGAGTGTTGCTTCAATGTCCATCTAATTTGGCATCTATTTCATCTTCGGGCATCATCACTTCAGTCATTTTACACACTGTTTCCAGCAAGGTATGGTATTCAAATGGGAGAACTGGGGTAAAAGACTGCAGAGGTGAGCCTAGGGGTGGGGGCAGGGAAGGAGAAACCACACATTAGCTAGAGAGGTTCTGTTTCTTCATAAGATAAGGCACTGACAGAAAATTTCTTAGGTAAAAGGCTGCATAAGAATTTCTTGTCATTTACAAAAAAAAAATTGTTGTCATCCATAAATGGTCCATATCTAGGCTCAGTTAGGTAGACCCTGAAAAGTTAAGAACTGATCCCTCAAAGCTACATTGTTACCAGAAACAATTCTCATTCATTCTGAGGCCTTATGGCACATTAGGGAAAGAGAGAGGAAAACAGTCTGGGCACAAAAAGGCATCAGACATTGCTTGTCATTCCACTCATCAAAGAAAGTGGACCGTTCAACAAGCATCATCAGAAAGAAAGTGCTGGCTCAGAATTCCAAATTCTCTTGATGATAGATGACCATGATGGGTGTATCTATTTTGTTCCCCCTTTGAGCTCATGCACAATTTAAAAAATGCTACCAGCAACAGTCATAAAGAGCATAGAGAAGTCCTCACCTATGGCTATGCCTAAGGTTATTTAAAGAGAGGGCTATTTGATGTTCTCAATCACAGCAATCTCTTCACCAGCACAGTGTGGCGTCAAACCATTCAGATAGATACTCTCAGTCTTCAGTAAGGGAGGCAAGACATCCCTCTCGCTGGTCAGGTGGTTCACTGACAGGGTCCTCCTACAAGGAGTCAGCTCCTGATTGTGGTTTCCAGCCAGTTCTGCCGAGAGCTTCCGCTTGATGGAGGTGGCCCGCTGGAACTTGTCATAAATCTCCACACTCAGTCGCCTCCTGGTTTCTTTGAATTCGGCTGTGACGTTGGCTGTCCACTCAGCAGCGTGTGCTCTGAACTCTCCCACCTGGAACATACAAGCAGAGAAAAGATAAAGATATTGACATGCCGATCAACATTTTCTATGCTTTATCTTCAGTTCATTTTATTTTGGGATTTTAAAAAGAAGAGTGGAGTAGTCTTTTACAGCACTGGTGGTCTGAGAATTGATGAAATTAGGCAGGGTATACACAGCAGGATTCTATCTTATATAGATATAGCTCTAAAATTAATCTATGAACTTAAACTCTATGAATCAAACAATATTTCAGGGGCTCTACATGTGCTTGTTTTTTATACATGAATCCTGTCATTGAAATTTTTGATGCTGTAAAAAGGCAATCTCTAGCTTTTAAAAAACATTTTTAGTATTTTTTTCACTTGTATCTAATTTCAAGAAGTATTGGAATGTACAAAGGGCAGTAAGATATAGTAGAAGAAGCAAGGCAGAATAAAAGAGTCTGCAATATGAACCCAGGTGACCTTGTTTAGTTCTGAAAACAGCAATGCTGTTTGCTCAGATGTGAACCTAGTTTTCAGAGATCAGAAAAGGTGTGTGCAAGAGCGTTGTATCCAACCTCATACTGGTCATTTAGGAATTCTCTTTTTCCTAACTAAGCAACAAAATATTTTGTTTCTGCTTTCAGGGAATGCAAATAAATAATAACTGTTAAGTCCACCTTGAAGCCCACTTGGGAAACAGTTAAACCCAAGGCACAGTTTCTCAAAAAGTGTTTGTGGAATCCGTGAAGTTACTCAACCTGTGGGCTGCCACCTCCTCAGCTGTAGAACAGACATCTTCACAGTACACACCTAACAGGATGGCTGAGCTAATGAACTTTACAAACTGCAAGATGTTATGCATTTATTATTATGTAGTTATCTTTTGAGAATTAAAGAAAAAAAAGTGCCATCGATCACCCTGAGTCCATCAGACATTTTCTTTGACCTCTTTCAAAACTGCATCCGTATGTTTGTGTCCTAAAACAGAAAATATGACCAATTGTATGGGAATCTTTATAATCCTCTTAACTAACCAGAATTTAATAATCTAGACTGTCGCTTAAAATAATCTCCTAATATGGAACAACTCCTCCATTTTCTTCTAGCACTTCTGCTTTCAGCTTGGGAAACCCACTGAACTCATTTCTTAAGTGACCCAGGCTCTCGTTTGCTTCACAAGCAAACAACTACAGCTCTGTCTAATGTGTTTAATTTTTGCCCTCTTGATTTTTCTTTTAAAAAATCAACAAAGGAAATATAACTGATAGTTTCTAAATGTTTACACTCATCTGAATTATTGGAGGGGATAGATATTATAATATGATATGTACACATACTTGGAAGTAAGGCTATAGATATAAATGTGTGTGTGTGTACGTGTGTGTGTGTGTGTGTGTGTGTACTCAAAAACAGAAATGAAACTTCAAATATCCAAGGTGGATAGGAGGATGGTACATGGCAAATCAACTCTTTTTTTAATCCACACATAATCATACAGACACATACATTTGGGGATCTATTTTTTATTTTAACAGGCCTTTTATTTCCTAGTTATACTGTCTTAACAAGAAATAATTGCTTGATATCTAGGTCTGGCTCTGAAAAAAAAGCAAAGCTGGAAAAATGAGAACTCTATGGCATGTAGAATCAGCAAAATCAAGCTTTCCTTAACCACTGAGGCAACTTAGGGGAAGCTTGCTGGGAAAGAGGTGCAAATCTACAGGAATTTATCCTGGAGATACTTACTGTTCCTATAAGGGATCCTGTCCAACTATACTTAGATATAGAACTGATTACTAAACATGTAATTCTGTTTTGGGGGGACTCCCAGGTTAGGAAGGCATAGGCAGTATCTATCAGTGGTAGCACCCAGTCATTCGGATTTGGCTCCTACAAATTTCATGCACACTTACAAATAAACCCTCCCACAGTTTATATTATTTTTCTATTTTTTACCTAAGTCATGTCTCAAGTCTTGGGGCACAGTCAGAACTGATGGATCTAAAATGAAATCTATTCCATCAGGTTTATTTTGGTTACCACCAGCCTCTTACCTCACAGCCAGTCTTTCATGAACAGAAGGGCTGTAGACTTTCACAGAACCCGCCACCACTTTACTTTGGTAATTGTCTTCTTTTTTGTGTTATCTTAAAAAATATGTTTTTAATATAAAAGTAATAGGCTTTGTGCATCAAAATTCAAATGTTCACCTATATACTTGCTAATTTTGTCTTTTCTAATGAGAATGTAAGCTCCATATACATCCTCAGCACCTAGAACCTCGTATGTGGCACATTTCCAATAAGTACCTGTTAAATGAATAAATTTATCACTGGAAATACACATACTCTGTAATCTCATAACACAATGATAGTAATTGGCAGTATTATTTATAGCACACATGCTATCAATTGTTTTTCTTCTATCTGTAGACACTAATCTTACTTTCTGCCTCTTCCATCTCAATTGTCATCAACATTTTGCAAAAAAAGGTCTTATAGTACACACATTGTTTTGTACATAGCTTTTTTCTCATCGAATTTTAGTCCTTTTATCATGTTAGTACTCATTATTTCAGCTCATAGTTTATATCAGCCACCTAGCACTCCCCAAGGATAATGGCTATGGCATGATTTAATCATTCCCCTATTGATGAACATTTGGATAGATTTAATTTTTTTAGCTGTTACAAATAACACTTCAGTGAATATTCTTGTACCTACACCTTTGCTAATGTGTACAAAGTATTACCGCAAGTGGAAACACTGGGTCGAAAGGCATGAGTATTGATATGGCTTTGCTGTGTTCCCACCCAAATCTTATCTTGAATTGTAGTTCCTATAATTCCCATGTGTCATGGGAGGGACCTGGTGGGAGGTAATTGAATCACTGGGGTGGGTCTTTCCCGTGTTGTTCTCATGATAGTGAATTAGTCTCATGAGATCTGATGGTTTTATAAAGGGGAGTTCCCCTGCATTTGCTCTCTTGCCCGCTGCCACGTAAGAAGTCCCTTTGCTCTTCCTTTGCCTTCTACCATGATTGTGAGGCCCCTCCAGCCATGTGGAACTGTGAGTCCATTAAATCTCTTTCTTTATAAATTACTGAGTCTCAGGTATGTCTTTACTAGCAGTATGAGAACAGACTAATACAAATATTTTCTGATTTTGCAGACACTGATTTTCTGTCTGATTTTACTGGAGAGGCAGAATAATGTGCTGGATCTAAACCTCTAAGTTTGAATTCTGGCTCCACCACATATTCATTGTGTGTCTTAGGGTAAGTTTTTTAATGTCTTTAGCCTCAGTTTCTCCTGTGAAGTGGAGGAAACCACGGAATCGTCCCTATAGAGTTGGTATAACAATCAAATAAGTTAATATATTTAAAAGAGCAACACCGAGCACATAGCAGGCACTAGATACACATACAAAATTTTACACAATCTCATGACATAGACCTGTATTACCAGTGAGAGTCCTTTTTATTATGCGTTTATTGCATAATATTTATTGCCTACTATTTATTGAGCATTATTTTCAGACTCAGAATTCCCAGCAGCCTCACCATTTCTTTTCTGCACACTTAGGTATAACCTTTGCATTTTTGTAGCAAAAAGCACCTTATCATTGGCACCTGCATAGAAAGTATTTTAAATGTTTTTATCATCTCTTTATTGCAATTTGAATCTTAAGTGGTCCCAATAAGTTGGACAAAGAATGAAAACCTTTCTTAGACTTGACTGAATTTTCTCGAGAAGTTTCACAAAGTCACCATGATCTCACAGGTTTGCACTAATGGCAAACACACAGGAAACAGGAACATGTAGAGCCGAGTGCTTCTACCAGTTAGTGATTCCTGCCAATTAGGAAAAGGCTGAATGCAAGAAAAGCTCAGACTTGTTGGAGTCCATAAATTATTAATACTTAGTTATCTTTAATTGCATTCAATTTCTGTCAGAGGCTGGTATTTTTGTCTAATTTTGGAAACTTTTTTTTTCTCATTTCTGTAGAATTCCCAGAGGTGGAAAAGTAAACTCTGCAAATCATAAAAGCTGTAGTAACAATCTGTCAGAAATGGGGTGGGACAGGTGGGGGGATGAATGGGAGCCTCACCTTCTAGCTCTATAACCACATTCTGTGTGCCCACAGCCATGCAATTTAACCTTCTTTAAGCTTCAGATTCCTTATCTATAAAATAGGGCTAATAACCTATTTCACAGGACAAATGAATAAGATATATATATACGGCTATATATATATATATATATATTACGGTCTTGTATATATATATATATATGGCTGTTATGTGTGTGTATATATATACATATATATATATATATATATATATACAGCCGTGTGTGTGTGTGTGTGTGTGTGTATATATATATCTACAGCCATGAGCTACACGATTTTTTGGTCTGCATATACAGCAGTGATCCAATAAAACTATAATACTATATTTTTACTGTACCTTTTCTATATTTAGGTATGTTTAGATACACAAATACTCACCATCGTGTTACAAGTGCCTGCAGTATTCACTACAGTAACATGCCGTAAAGATTTGTAGCCTAGGAGCAATAGGCTATAGTATACAGCCTAAGCGTATAGTAGGCTATACCATGTAGGTTTGTGTAAGCGCACTCTATGATGTTGGCACAATGGTGAAATTGCCTAATGCCACATTTTCTCATAACATAGCTCCATCTTTAAGCAATGCATGACCGTGTGTGTGTGTGTGTGTGTGTGTGTGTGTGTGTGTGTATACACACACACAGATATATATATCTATATATATATCTGTGTGTATATATATCTATATATGTATATATATATATAATCTGTGTGTGTGCATATCTGTGTGTGTTCTCAAAATATAAAGGGCTATACAATTATTAATTATGATAATAGGTGAAGATGATATGGTTTGCCAAGGGTGCTTTAATTATTTATTACTTCTAAGGCCTAAACATCTTTTAGAGGAGTGCAGAGCAAATTCATGCTATATAGAAATCTACCCTATAGCGGGTTACATTAAGGTGAGGATACACTGCCTCAATTTCCTAAAGATACTGAAAACAATACATTGACTCATAAAAGTGTGCACTTGGGCAACTCATCTAAACCACCAATAATAGTATCTGTTCCTTTTTAAAAACAAAATCTTTTTTTTTCTTTTTTCACTTTTTTTTCTTTGTTTTGAGACAGGGTTTCACTCTGTCTTCCAGTCTGTGGCATGATCATGGCTCACTGCAGCCTTGACCTCCTGGGCTCAAGCAATCCTCCTGGCTTAGCCTTCCAAGTAGCTTGGACTATGGTGCATGCTCCCATGCCCAGCTAATTTTTTTAATTTTTTGTACAGATAGAATCTCCTGAGGTTGCCCAGGCTGGTCTCAATCTTGTGAGCTCAAATGATTCTCCTGCCTTAGCCTCCTAAAGTGCTGGGATTACAGGTGTGAGCCACAGTACCCAGCCTGTTCCCTCTTTGTTGTACCCTTTCTACTATTATTTACAATGCTTTAGGAATATAACTGCCCAAACCCAAAGCTTGAAAATCAGGAGAAACAAAAGAGAAAATAGAGGAGTCCCTCAAAAACTAAACCAAGGCAAGAAAGAATTAATCATTCACATTCAAAAAAAAAAAAAAAAGAAAAACAATCTTGACCTTATAAGATTATAGCAGGGGTATCTAATCCTTTGACTTCCCTGGGCCACATTAGAAAAAAAAGAATTGTCTTAGGCCACACATAAAATACACTAACACTAATGATAGCTGATGAGCTAAAAATAAATATATTGCAAAATATCTCATAATGTTTTAAGTTTATGAATTTATTTGGGGCTGTATTCAAAGCTATCCTGGGCTGCATGCAGCCCACGGCCCATGGGTTGAACAAGCTTGGTTTATAGCAATGTAGTCATTATTCACCAAGTAACACATAATCCCCTAATGTACGGACTCATATCTTTTCCTGGTGATAAAATTGTCTACTCAAACTCTAAAGATGCTTTTTTGTTTTCGAAGAAATTCAAAAATAAGTTCCTGAGAATATCACATTTATATAAATAAAATTTTTTCTTAATAGAAATAATGCTTTTGGTGTTCTGGATAATTAAAATTAATCCTTGTGCATTAAAATACTTTTGCTTCATCAGATTTTTATAAAAAATATTTCAGCAACTTAATCAAATAGTGTTTCATCTTCCTATGACCAAGCAATCTGCATTACTTACTAAACCAAGCTGAGGACAAAAAGTGAGGAAAAACAGCTCCAAAAAATCACAATGAATGTTCCTACAGGTCATGTAATTTACGGAAGAAAGAGGTCTTTACTGGAATTCCATGTATTCTTAACTTTCACATGATGCTCACAGCCCAGGTGATCTGATTTACAGAAGAAAAAGAAGGAAATGGAGTGCTATATATAAACAGGCACTTGTTCTCCGACTCTACTGGAACTGTTCTCATCCACCTCACTAAGTTCTCTGTCCTTAACTCGCCGGATCTTCACAGCTGCAAATGGCACTGCTCCGTCCCTCCCAATCAGTGTTTGCTCTTAGTTTCTGAGTCAGCACACTCTCATGGCTGTTGTCTCACTGTTCGGGTCAATTTTCTCAATCATCTTTGTAGCTTCATTTTCCTTTACCCTCCTCCTTAACTACCTTTGTTCTGCAGGGTTCTATTTTCATTCTCCCCGGATAATCACATCCTTCCGATTGTTTCAATTACCATCTATTTGCTGATGACTCCCAAATCCATATTTCTAGGTCAAATCTTTACTGAATTCCGCATCTGTATAACTGACTGCTTATTAAGCCTCTTCACTTTCGATGGCTCCCAGGCATCTCAAACTTATGTCCCTAAGTGAAATCATTTAACTTCTTTAACTTTTTTTTTTTAACTTAATATCACATCATGGTACCACTAAGTTTCCTAAGGTGAACTTCAATATAATCCCTTGCTCCTCCTCTTACTGAATCTTACATCAAGTTCTTACTCAGATTTGTTCATTAAAGCAAATCTTACAACCAGCTCCAATTCTTGCTTATTTACCTCTTTTCCTCTCAATTCCTTCACTTCTTTCCATTCCTATTGTCAAAACCGTGGAAGAGTCCACCATTTTGTCTCATGTGTATTACTTCTGTGGTCTGCTAACCAATCTTGCTGACTTAATTCCCTATCCCCTCAAATGCATTCTCCACGCAGCCGCCAAATTGCCCTGTAATGAACACAAATCGACCTAGTACTTTCCCCTGCATAAAACCAATTGATGCCTGTTTCACTTACAATAAAGTTCCAACTCTTTAAAGTGACTCATGTAATCTAGGGCTTACCTGCTGTTTCAGCCTCAATTCTAATTACCATCCCTCTCAAACTCCATGTCGGGGGCCATCCTGAACGTTTCTTTTATTTCCTCAAAATTCTTCTCTCTCTTTTGCCTTTGTTCATTCATTACCTGTTTTTCTCTCATCCAGAATGCTGTTTCCCAGTCCCTCTCTAGGATATTTCCTACTCATGTTAAACTGGACATCCTCATGGAGCCATTTCCCAATCCTCTAGAATACATTAGAATCATTTGCTAGTTGTGCCCATACCCCTCTGTACTTCCTTAGCATTACTGCTCAACACAACTTACTACAATTACTAGTCTGATTGCTCTCCTGACTTCATGACACTAGAGAGGATATGTCCACCATATTCTATTCAGTATTCCCAGCTCCTAGAAGAGTGTACATAGTTAGAATTCAGTCAGTACTTGCTGGACAAATAAATGGGTAAGTGAATAAAGGACAAATGAATCAATCACATTTTTGATACACAATCCAGTACAAAGAATCTGCTTCCTGGTTGACTCTGATGGGATAATCTTGATCCTCTCAGCAGGAAGATGCAGCCGGTGAAAAGCACTGACTCATAGCCATCTCTATTCATAGTAAAGGTCCAAAATATGTTTCCTCAAACTAACTTTTTAGTCATTGCAGAGACTCCTCAGCATTCTAAGAAGCCTATGATGCTAATATCTCATTCTCAAAGTGAAGAACATCACGCCTATTGTATATATAGATCTTTTAAATCAGATTTTCTTTCTTTCTTTTTTCCTTTCTGCTTACCAGCCCTCTAACTCTTTTCACCTCTCTCACCACTTTTCATGACAATATCTCACCAGGCTATTCCAGAACCTGAGCTTTATCATCTTTACGGAATGCAATCTTTGAAGTTAAAGAAAGGTTGGCCGGGCGCGGTGGCTCATGCCTGTAATCCCAGCACTTTGGGAGGCCGAGGTGGGTGAATCGCGAGGTCAGGAGATTGAGACCATCCTGGCTAACATGGTGAAACCCCGTCTCTACCAAAAATACATAAAATTAGCCAGGCGTGATGGCACGCGCCTGTAGTCCCAGCTACCCAGGAGGCTGAGGCAAGAGAATCGCTTGAACCCGGGAGGCGGAGGTTACAGTGAGCCGAGATCACGCCACTGCGCTCCAGCTTGCGGACAGAGTGAGACGCTGTCTCAAAAAACAAAACAAAACAAAACAAATAAAAAACAAGACAAACAAACAAAAAAGATATGTTAACAATTTCACTTCAGAAGAATCACTAACATCTTCCTCTGCAACTATAAATGTTAATCCTCTGATAGCTTTTCAATGGAGCAAAGTATCATGATTACAGAGGCCTAGAATCTGCCTCCTCAATAATGGTTCCAAACCTTACTGTCCTCAGGTTATCTAACATATCTCAAATAATGTCAAGAAAGCCCTTGTCATGGTGGCAACATAATTTAAAAACAAGCACTTGCCATATTTCAACATTTTTAGAGTAATTTTCCTGAAGTACATAAGATTGATAGGGTGGCCTAAGAAGGATAAAAGTTCTCTATTCTAGAAGTTTGAAATGTGTGAAATTTACAGTAAGCTCATTTATAACCACAAGGAATATTTATTACTCCATTGACTCCAGTCAGCTACGTGGCCAATTTTTTGAAGGTAAGGACCATTGTTCTGTTTCTTATCAAGTTCAACCTTCCTTCCTACCCTCTCCACACTGCAACATCTTGGATAGTGCTGTGAGTATAGTAATTTAATAAAATAAGTTTAGTCTTCCCAACTAGATGGTAAGTTAATGACAGAGACTATGCATTCTATCAATTTCTTCTCCTCATAAAAGTACCCAACATGGTAATTTGAATAGACCAGACTCCTACATACATTCTAACTGACTGGTAAGAGAAATCTGTGACCATTGACTGACATAGCCCTCCTCCTGTACAAAAACATTCTGGAACTTTCTTATAAAGGTGATATTTTCATAGGTTCTCTACCAGTGTGTGTTGGTACGGCCTGAAGAGAAAGCAACTTATAAACCAATTTTAATCAGACTAAAATCTTCATATCCTTTGATAAAAGTCAATAATTTATAGAAATTAATTCTGACCACGAATTTCCAGCAAAGGAAAAGGCAAGTATGTAAGAAGATATTCTTTGAGCCATATTTTTAATAGCATAATCTTGAGGCTAATAAATGTCATGTATGAAGTCAATGTTTATGAGAAGCCTGTCAGCTACAGAAACCATTTTTCTTACTACTATGGTTGTATTAAGTAAACTGATAAAAAAATAAAATTGCATTTTTACCAACTGATTACAGCTTTGTAAAATAATGGATGCATATCATGATATACAAAGTACATAAAAATGGAAACTATGGATTTTAGCAATTACCTGTTGAATATCTATTATATGCCAAGTCCTGGGCTTAGTGTTGGCTTTCTTGAGGTAAAAAGTTATTTAAGTAGTATTTTTATTCCCTTTTAAGTCTCCCTTTACTGGTGTTATATTATGCAGTATATAGCATATCCAGCCCTAAATAAACCTTGAGGAGGCAGAGTTCTTTATGAGGTGCTATTTATTTGCTCAACGCAACCCAAGTATCAGAAGTGGACTGCAATTGCCCCTAGGAATTTCTCTGATTCAGATATCACAGTAAAAAAATACCTGAAGAAGGTATTTAATTTTCAATGGTATAAATTTTAAAATGATTGAGATTATTTGAGTCTATATTTCCAAATTGTAGCTCTACATTTTTGACTAAAGTGTAATTCATTATATTTTACTACACACACGAGTGTGATAAAGGGTAGTTGCCAGTCCTGAATTTCATGTTTGCATAATGTTTTCACTTTTGTAAGTTTCCTTGGCTCCCTCTAGCTCTACTCCAGGTCATTTGAGTAGTTATTTCCTTGTCACAAAAAGTGTAACATGATTTAAAGAAAATTTTCAGTCTTTTCAGTTTGAAAAAAAATTTTTTTCATTGCATTTTTTAAGTGGTCTTTATTAACTGCATTTCTAAGGAGATGATTTGCCTCCAAACGACTCTGCAAAATGCCAACTCCCTATTTTTGCAAGAAAGTAAAGCCAATTTTTGAGGAGCAGTACTTCTTAATACTTTCTTTCTCCCTCTGCTGTTTTTGAGCCATGCGTCTGTAACATGAGTACGTATCATCCTACCATGACTTTTGATAGAATAGCGTCCAGAGTCCGTTTCATGTAAAAATGTTTTCTCCACATGGCAGAAATTGTTGTCTCCCCTCTAAGTGGGGTTACCCACTTAGAATTTCATTGTTGAATTTCTAATTTTGAATTTAGAATTTCATTGTTGAATAGTAGCTAATACCCAGGAGGTTCTCCAATTTTAGATAATGCTGTTGCATGAGTCCTGTTTTCCATAAAACTCAGCAATCTCCAAGAGATTAGACATCGTTTCATTTTCAATATGCTGCTTAACTTATCTATATAAACTTAGACAACTCCTCAAATTTAGACTAATTCTAAACAAAATTATTTACTTAGCTTAATTATCTGTTTCACTTTGACTTTCAGAGCCATCCAAAGCTTTGTCCTCCTGAACAAGGCTTTCGCACTTCCATGCCTTTCCATACATTGGAAAACCTAACATTCTCTGCTTCAGTTTTTTTTTTACCCAGCATACTTTGCCCAACTACCTGTGAGCTTTGAAATCCTGCAATACTCTTTATAGAATTTTGATTTCTGGTCATGAATAAAAGTGTAAAAATAAAATTTTCTAGTTTTCTAAATAGTCCATCTCCAAAAGATGAGTGTCCGAACAGCATTATTACAATTATTTGCAGTCAGCTACCTTAGAATAGAAGTATGTGGTGTGATTTGGAAATGTGAAAATAGCAATTCTTCCAGGTGTTCTATGGTAAGAAAGCAATTCATATTTTATTTCTCTCAAAGCCCCTTCCACCATGCATTCCTTTGACTCAGGGCCTTCCCTTCTCACTTTATGTACAAGGTCACTTTTTTTCCCTTGCAGTCCTACAATCTTGTCCTAATCAGTTTCTTCCTATGGAGCTTACCCTGCCTTATCTATATTTTTCATTTGAATTGGCTATACTTTCTCTTCTTAAGCAATCTTCAACTGACTATAAACTGTCATTTGTCAAAGGTAAGCCAGTCCTGTCCCAGAATCATCACTAGATAAGGGATTTCTACCTGAAACTCTGAACTCTGTAAGGTTTTTCCAATTACCAACAGCCAACTCAAGTATCGATAATACTTGTAAGAGTTTTGACTTTTTTTTTTTTTTTTTTTTTAGAAAAGAGCTTATTCTGTACAGATATAATCATTGTTTTTGATGTGGGGAACCTTTTCCACCTAACGGATGGCTTCAAAAGAATCTGAAGCAAAGCTGAGAATTTAGGATTTAAGAATGACCATTTGGAAATTTTCTTCACCAGAAATAAAACTACTGAAGTCTTCCTGATCTTTGACCGGGATTTTTTCCTGTCCCTTTTGGAGGTGGTATTTTAATTTTAATTTGCTTTTCTCAGTGCTCGAATGCTTATATACCTTAATGCTTTGAAGAAAGTTAAATATTAAAAGTAGCTGAGTTAAAAACATCCCTCTAGCTAAATTTGTAAAAATAATTAGAAGCCTACTTTGCATTCCAATTTCAGCGGTTGCCTAGACTAAAATTCCTAACAATTATCATTAATTCATTTTCTAAAGTATTGACATTTCATTGTATTGTTGAACTGTGCTGGTAAAAGGAACATTTCCAATTATTCTCTTTACCAACCAGGTTTAAAGAAAAAAAAAAAGCCTAAAAGGATTATTTAAGTATCACATTATCTTGACAGAACAGTACATGATGTTTTCTCTGGTTTTCTGAGAAGTATATGTAATATTCATAAGGTCTTCTTAACCTAACCTGCTTTTTTTGGCTAGTAATTTCTCTACTTCTTAATGTTACATATATTAATGTAATTGTGTAAAGATTAATTACAAGAGTACTTAATCTTTTTAAAGACAATGTCAAGAAAAATAACACTAAAATTTATAGCATTATTTTAAATAATATCTTTCTTCTAAAAATGTCTAAGTATGAAATACAGTGTTAACTGTCTTAATGATGAGGTGTGGCTGCAAAATCAAACACTCACTTGTTGCAGAGTAAACTCAACTTATTTTTGTCATCATATCACTGAGCATCCTTGAAATTCTCTTCACTGCTCTGCTATTGGGGTTTCTTTAACAATCCATTTTATGAAGCTCATCCAAATTACACGATTGCATTGTAAAGATGATAATATAGTTTGGATAGTTGTCCCCACCCAAATCTCATGTTGAATTGTAATCCCCAATGCTGGATGGAGGTGGGGACTGGGGGGAGATGTTTGGGTCATGGGGTCATGGGGGTGGATCCCTCATGGCTTGGTGCTGTTTACACGGTATTGGGTTCTTACGAGATCTGGTCATTTAAAAGTGTATGTCACCTCCCACCCCACTCTCTCTTGCTCCTGCTTTTGCCATGTGACATGCCTGCTCCCACTTTGCCTTCCACCATGAGCAAAAGCTTCCTGGGGCCTCCCCAGAAGCAGATGCTTCCTGTACAACCTGCAGAACCATGAGCCAATTAAACTTCTTTTCTTATAAATTACCCAGTCTCAGGTATTTCTTTATAGCAATGCAAGAATAGCCTAAATATAGATGAGGATACTGAATTTCAGAAACAATATAATTTGTGTGCTTAGATAAATTTTCATACACTGTTATATGATTGAGTTATAGTAACTAGATACGGTTGATTCCTGAACAATATGCATTTGAACTGTGTGGGTCTACTTATATGTGGATTTTGTTCTGCCTCTGCAATCGCTGAGACAGCAAGACCACCCCCTCCCTTTCCCCCACCTCCTACTAAGTCTACTTAACATGAAGAAAATAAGGATGAAGGCCGTTATGATGGTTCATTTCCACTTAATAGTAAATATATTTTCTCTTTCCTATGATTTTCTAAATAACATTTTTATTTTCTCTAGCATATTTTACTGTAAGAATATAGTACATAATAATTATACAAAATATGTGTTGACTGTTATCAGTAAGGCTTCTCAATAGTAGCCTATTAGTATTTTTTTGTGTGTTTTTTGTTGTCGTTGTTTGTTTGTTTGTTTCTTTTGAGATGGAGTCTCACTCTGTTGCCCAGGCTGGAGTGTAGTGGCGCGATCTCAGCTCACTGCAACCTCCGCTTCCCCAGTTCAAGCAACTCTCCTGCCTCAGCCTCCTGAGTAGCTGGGATTACAGGCACCTGCCACCACGCCTGACTACTTTTTGTATTTTTAGTAGAGATGGGGTTTCACCATGTTGGCTAGGCTGGTCTCAAACTCCTGACCTCATGATCCACCCACCTTGGCCTTGGCCTCTCAAAGTGCTGGGATTACAGGTGTGAGCCACTGCGCCCAGCCAAGTAGTTTTTTAAGGAGTCAAAAGTTATACAAAAATTTTTGACTGTGCAGGGAAAGGGGTCAGTGCCCCTCACTCCTGCATTGTTCAAGGGTAAATTGTTATTTGTCAGGACAATGTGGAAACTCTACAAGTACCACTGTCTGATGACCCGGGTGGTAATAGTGATGAGGCGGTGGAGGGTAATCATCTGTTTGTTGTTCAAGTTCTTAAGGTATTCAGAAAATGCCAAGTCAAAAGTAACAACTGAATAAAGAGGTGGACTGCAACTTTAAGTCATTTGCCATAATATGCATTCATTATGTATTTAGCAAAACCAAAACATTTAATGATGTTTCAAATCTCATTCAGGAAACCTAGATTTAATAGTATTTATTTATAACAAAACGGCATTTTATGTTCACTGCAGCAATACAGGACCAGTCCACTAAAACATGGTTTTGCTTCCTTTTCTCTTCCTCTCCCTTTTCTAAACAATTCAGTCCCAAAGCAGTGAAATGGAGCAGAACTAGTTAGCCATCCGTGCAGTTGCTTTGGGAGAGGGCCATGGTACCAGAGTGAAATGTCAGAGCCAGACCAGCATGAGAAGAATGTCTACTCAAGGGGTGGTAGCAGAGTGTGGGTTTCAGAGTCTGAGATGGGTGACGAGGTCAACCCAAAGAGGGAGGCCCAGCACATAGTGTCAGAAACCAAGCAGGGTGGAGAGGGTGTCCCTGCAGGGTTCCTGGTGGTGGCAGTAGCGGCAACTCAAGATTGGCTACACACAAGGAGACTGATCAAATAACATATTGAGAATAACAAGAATCAGAAGCTTCACCATGGATGAGAAAGGAATTACAAATATAAAAAAGCAGAAAACCAGAAGTAACTCTATTATATCAGATTGGAACTAGAGATACCAGTATGAATTCATGGTTCTCAAAATATATAGATATAAAATAAACAGATATGGAAATATGCATATGCATGAGTATAAAATATATTCCTTAGCTCTGTCAACTAAGAGTGTGTAAGAGCAGTGATACCCCCATTAGCCATAAACACTCATATATTTTCTCTAAATATTATTGTCCTTTATCCACTAAAAGAAATCATGGCACCTTGGAGAAATGGAGGATTCAGGGCTAAGGTAGAGAAACTGTAAGTTGAGTCTGGAACATCTAATGTGCTGCAGTATAAGGAATTGCTCAAGGAATAATGGGGATATGCCAAAAATTCAGAGAAGTTTCAAGGGGCTCCCAGTGGCCAAGCCTTAGACAACTTGAAGATCAAAATAAATGATTGTAACAGATTATAACCCATTGGATTACGGCAGAAACCCATGAGTCTGTATTCACATAAATAAACAAACAATAAATTGACAGTTTGATGATGAAAGGGATAAACATAAAATCTCAAAATGCCTTTCCAAAAAAAATATGCATTAAATAGACAGAGAAAAGAGGAGATTTCCAATGGAAAAGGCTAGCAGACAGCACCTTCTGTCATCTGGTTAATAACATGAGTCATGGGATGAATCAAAATTCTGCATCACCTGATGGATGCAATGAGAAGAGCTTTCCCTGTGCTATTTAGCCTTATGTTGGGTATCAATTCACTTTGGCATTTATGTTTCAGTGGCACATTTAAGGAGATACATAATAGTTATAATTAAATGTCAGTGTTTAAATTTCAGTGATAATTATATTTTTTCTAACTATTTAACCTAAAATGAAGAATGTATTATTTAAACTAAAATCTTAAAATAGGCATGGACAGGATTGGATCTTCAAAATATCCTCAGAGAGGCCACATGCAACATATATGAAGGCCAGTGCTCTGGAACACTGCTGGGCAACTCTAGTACAAACCTCTTTTCTTTATGAATTATCCAATCTCAGGTACGTTTTACAGCCACACAAGAATGGACTGACACAAATGTCTAGTTGGTAAAATCAAAGATGTACTTCTTTCATCCAGATCTATGTGTCTCTGTGAGTTATCTTTTTCAGACATGACAGCTATTAAATTAATCATCAAAATAAACTGCATGACGAAGCAGAATTGGGATTTGCTACAAGTTTTAAATCCAGATTTGAAAAAATAATGAAGCATACAAATCACATTTCTCCTATTATTAATGTTTAGTGAGAGCAAAAAGGTTTTGTATGATCAATAAGTATGATTAAAATATTTTAGCACTATTTCATACTCATCATTTAACATTTGTACTTTTGCACACATTTTAAACATGTATAATATATTAGTACAGAAACAGTAGTACATCTTTGCAACTTACAGATATGCATACATTGCAGGCACATGCTAAAATTTTTTTTACTACTAATAATTTACAAAATTTGAAGATCATAGGATAAAAGAAAGGAGTTGATGAGAAGTAAGGAGGGAAACAGGACATTTAGGAGGGATGCTACCGTGGTGGACCAGGGAGGTGAAAATGGTAGTTTTGGAGATAGCGAAGCATGCATCAAAGTGGTGGTATAGAGACTGAAAATGGAGGAGAGCATTTACATGCTTTGTTCATGGAATCACTAGGACTTGTGATGCATAAGCCATGGGGGTGAGAAAGAAGACAGCATCAGGAATGACTGAGAGGATTCTGGCATGAGCTACTGGATGAATGCGGGGTGATATTTACTAAGACTGGGACATTAGAGTAGGACATAGTCGGGTAGCGATACTAGGATTCCATGTGGGTTATGTTAAATTTGAGGTGGTAAATATGTGGTTGATTTATAAAATATTCCCCTTCCCAGCAGCTCCTGCCATCCTCTTGGGGAAGTTTCCATTTCTATGTCAGTGACTCACCTTCAGACTTCCCAGCACTTTAACCTTTGCTGTAGGTCAATATCCACTCCCATGTTCATAGATAGGATCTAATCTCTGACCACAACTCTAATCATTCCAGCTGTTTTACTCTATTTCCCCTATTATCCTATACTGTGACTGCATTAAGTCTTGCAGACATTTGGTCCATTAGTGCCTTAGTGAAGTGGTCCCCTTTTGACTCCTTCCTTCACTCCTCTATTCCCCTGTGAAACATCATCTCTTCACTGTCCAGGGTCTTATGAATTTCTTCTTTGGACTTCTAGCACTGTATCATGGCTACTGGTTCATGTCTATCATCATGTTTCCTATTAGAGTCTTGTCACTGAGGGCTTAGATTGTGTCCTATTCATCTTTCTATCTCTAGCACCAATCTCAGTGCCTGAAATATAATGGCTGCCCAACAGAACTTTAAAACCCTGAATTGTGCAGATAAAATTTACCGCTTTTTCTTTAAACTACCCTAAGTCCATCATAATAATTAAAACAGACTTAACAATGTTCAAAAATCCAGTTTAATAAACTAAAGGTGGTTATTTTAAAATTTAAAGCCATTAAATCTACTTTGTATTCATATTGGAAATTCTATTCCAAGAAGTGACAGATTTCTTTTTCCTGGGAAATCAAGGGAAGAAATTATTTAGGTTTCTTGGGCTAAAGTAGTCTCTGATCTAGTGAGTTACCAGAATTAGTGTCAGTGCAAGTTAGAGATGAGCAGCTGGAGAGTTTAAGAGTGTGAAAGGAAGATGAGAAGTGAGTAATAAAGATGTGAGAAAAGAACAAGTCTTCATTTTGTGGTTCTTTGTTGCTGTTGTTTTCAGAGGTTAATGCATGTATATCTAAACACATGCTCCATTGGTTTAATAATATCTTTATCATATTTAAACTCTGCCTAATGGAATGTGGGAGAAAATATTCAACATGGTTTAAGCAGATCCAGGAAAATGATTTTTCCAGTTTCTTTTTCAAAGGTGAAATTGCTTCCAGAAATTTGTCTTAAAACTCTCCCATGTACAATTGCATGGGTGTGGGTGGTGGACATTTATAGCAATCCTCTGAAATAATTGACAATCCACTGATGAGCCAGTGTTCCCTTTGACACTGGATAAAATGAAATACCCAGGCAGCAAAAGAAATAGAAGCCCAAAGATATTTCCCAAGACTTGCTTTAGATTTGGAAAAAAATAAGTAATGTGTATTGATACATTTATGTCATTGTCCCTGCAGTTAGTCTTTTACTCCTCTTCTTTCTGTTTGCAAAGATATCAATTACAGACCATAACGTTTCTAGGAGGAGAAACACAATCTATATCATTAGCACAGAAGAAACAGCTTTGGTTTAAGACAGGTTACTGCCAGCAATTCTGATCTTAGTCTATAGCTGTGCTGTGCGCTTCAGAGCCACTGCCATTGTGGCTCCTGGGTGCTTTAAATGCGGCCAGTCTGATTTGAGATGTGCTCTAAGTGTAACATACACACCGATTTTGAAGATTTATTATTAAAAAAGAGCATAAAATAGCTCATGACTTTTATGTTATTCAATATTTACAGGTCAAATGATAGTAGTTTAGATATGCTATTGGGTTAAATACAATATATTATTAAAATTAATTTCACCTGTTTATTTTTACTTTTTTAGTAAGACTATTAGAAAATTAAAAATTACATGTGTGGCTTGCATTTCTATTTTTATTGGAAATAGAAATACAACATTCTATATATGATATATAACATATATAACATACAAGTAACATATAGCATATATAATAGTATTATGTATAAAAATACAACATACTAATATGTTACATATAATAATCTGATATACAAATATATATTATAACATATAATATACAATATTAATACATTATATGCACTATAGAATATATATTATATATTATCTAATATACAATATTAATATATATTCTATATTAGTGGTTACTTTATGAAGTGCTAGTCCACAGAGCCCTTTCCACACCATCTTTAAACTGGACTACAATAAATCATGCTTTTATTCTTTTATGAATATGTAAAAAAAAAGTTCAGAAATCAAGAAAATAAACCAAAATTGGAAAACAATGCAAAATCAGAAATATCCCTCATCCTATTTCAACAAGTAAAAGTAGCAGTGAGGGTCTAATAATGCAGAGTATTCATGCACATTAAGTGAATGCTCACAGCTGCCTTTCCCAAACTAAATATAGCACTGCCAAATTAGTTCTACAGAAATGCTGCTCACTGTGCAGGACATGCCCTGTCTTACAAGCATGCTGCTGTATTTTAATTAACTTGGCTAAACTGTAATGACGATGCCTAAGAAACAGGAAGAAAAGGCAGAAAATAAAATAAGGGACAATGGAAATATTGTGGAGGTGACAGGAAGGCAAAGCTGGCATCTCACCCCAGAAGAGTGCAGGGGCTTACCCTGAGCCTGGTGAAACAGATCAGAAGTGCCGTGGGCCTGTCTCCCCAGCTGTGTCCATTGATGACTTCTGAATTTGGAATATGGGGAAAAATAATGCCTCTGAATGTAAGGATAAAATATGGGACTCTTCCATTGTGAAAGGAAATCAAAGAGCCTAATACTTTAGTGTCCTTTTAACAAATGTTCCTAAACAGTATCCTAAGGTAGCATGATAGACACACACATGGCCACCCTTTGTCTGTGGCCATCAGAGCTGTCCAAAGCATCTACTTATATTCCATGAAAAGTCAAGGACTGTGACAAGAGAGAAAATGAAATGGAACTCCTTCACTCCCACTGCTAGTCACCTCAGGCAAACTTTCATATTTAGCACTTATGATATCACTTTATGCTTTAGAGAACATGATTTGACCTATTTTTTTGTATCCATTTAACAGGGAGCTGTGTTATAATGGGTTTCTGTTAAACCTTGGTCTAGTTATTTTATGAAGCCTGTATTACATCAAGTAATAAAGGGGTAAGAAATATTCAAGAAGGAGACAAGAGGCAGAGGAGAAGCAAAGACAAATTCAAATGCCTCTCCTGGTGCCTTACCAGTATTACCTATTGCCTTTTATTTGGTATTAACTGAAAAAAAAAAATCCCCCCAGCTTCATTAGCTTCATTATCTCTTATTAAATCAATGCTTAGTGAGAAGAAACTTCTTTTTTGCCTTTGTCTGATTTTAACATCTTCAAGGTTCATAACAAAGTTTCTCAAAGGCTTTAACTATTCCCAGGTTTCTCTCTCACTAGCCTCCTTATCTTCTTTCTTTCAGATGTAAAAGTTGGTTGCTCATGCATTTCAAATAACGGAAGATAAAAACTGCCAGAGAAAGAGAAAGCAGGAGAGAATTAACCAGTTCATTTTTCTCTAGTTTTAAAATACCTTCAAACTACCAGTTTCTCCAATAGGGGACAATCCATATAGACATGATTTTTTTTTGGTTTTTGGTTTTTCAATTTTTTATTTTTTTGAGACAAGGTCTCACTCCCACTGCCCAGGCTGAAGTGCAGTGGCATGATCTGGGCTCCTTGCAACCTCGACCTCCCGGGCTCAAGCCATCCTCCCACCTCAGCCTCCTGAGTAGTTGGGGGTACAGGCATGCCACCACACCAGGCAATTTTTTTGGTATTTTTTGTAAAGATAGGGTTTTGCCATGTTGCCCAGGCTGGTCCTGAACTCCTAGGCTCAAGGGATCTACCTGCCTTGGCCTCCCAAAGTGCTAGGATTACATGCATGGGTCACTGAGCCTGGCCATGATTGCTTTGTGAGACAACATACCCAGCTACCTGATAGCTTTAGTAAACACAAAAATATGACGCTATTCATGGATGCTGATATGGTTTGGGTATGTATCCCCACCCAAATCTCATGTCAAATTGTAATTTCCAGTGTTGGTGGTGGGACCTGGTGGGAGCTGATTAGATCATGGGGACAGATTTCACCCTTACTGTTCTCGTGATAGTGAGTGAGTTACTGTAAGATCTGGTTGTTTAAAAGTGTGTAGCTCTTCCCGCACTCTCTCTTCCTCCTGTTGCAGCCATGCAAATCATGCCTGCCTCTCCTTAGCCTTCCACCGTAATTGTAAGTTTCCTGAGGCCTCCCCAGCCATGCGTCTGTACAGCTTGCAGAACGGTGAGCCAATTAAACCTTTCTTTATAAATGGCTCAGTCTGAGGTATTTCTTTACAGCATTGCAAGAATGGACTAATACGACGCCAACCATGGATAAATAGAACATATTTGTAACAGTAAACAGGTTCAAAGAGGCAATGGTGTAGAAATATAAAGGTAGAGTTCTTTCAGCCCCAATTAGCAGTGTCATATTAGAGATGAATGCAAAGACCCACAAATGGACAGTAGGATAAATTAAGATAGAATATTTATTAAATATAAAATTCTAGAGCTTTGACATTACCCAAGAACTTTTGAGACAACACTTTTTACTTAGTTGCTTTTCATTTATAGACTCTACACTTTTCATCATAAATCCTTGGGTTGATTTGGCAAGGTGGGGCGATCCACAAGCAATTTCAAATTTACATGTCTAACAATTCCTCTGTGTATTTTAAGGAAATACTGTTTCATGAGACTCAGCTTTAGCTAATTACTATTCATTTAATAGTAATTAATTAGTAATTTATTTAATAGTAATTTTATAGTAAAATTAGGATAACTTCTTTTTCTTTGAGACAGAGTTTTGCTCTTGTCACCCAGGCCAGAGTGCAATGGCATGATCTCAGCTCACTGCAACCTCTGCCTCCCGGGTTCAAGCGATTCTCCTGTCTCAGTCTCCCGAGTAGCTGGGATTACAGGCATGCGCCATCGTGCCTGGCTAATTTTTGTATTTTTTTAGTAGACGTGGGTTTTCACCATGTTGGCAAGGCTAGTCTCGAACTCCTGACCTCAGGTGATCCACCCACCTTGGCCTCCCAAAGTACTGGAATTACAGGCGTGAGCCACTGCGCCCAGCCCAGGAGAATTTTTTTATAAAGTTTAATCTGCTTATTTAAAATAAGAAGAGTGCTTTTAGTTGGCAATTTTTTATTAGGCCTCCTTTCAAAAAACCATTACCCTGCCCCTACACAAAAAGAACTGCAGGAAGTGTGTGAGTATTCCCACTGGTAAAATGCAGAGTAACAAAAGCATTGTCTATCTTTGATGTAAAACTATATAAAACATTTCCATTTGGATAGCCTGTAAACTGCATGATGTCTCAAAGCCAGGAACGCATTTATTCCAGTCAAGCATAAGCCCCCCTCACTTTTCCCTCTCGAACTGTGAGAAAACATACTGACTTGTTTTATGTGTAGTCCTTAATGCAGCACTAATATAAAATGTCCACATTAGCATTCAAGTGCCAGAAATAGCATCAGTACTCTGAAGATCTTTTAGTATGAAACACTGTCAAAGGGAGAGAGAGGTAGAACTAATTCTTTCCTGGAGCTGCTCATTCAGAATTCCTAAGTGGATCAAAGGGAATCTCAGATACATCATCTCTAATAAAGAACATTCCTGCTAATTTCCACTGGAAGA
Organism: Homo sapiens; assembly: GCF_000001405.40. Taxonomy (NCBI): domain Eukaryota; kingdom Metazoa; phylum Chordata; class Mammalia; order Primates; family Hominidae; genus Homo; species Homo sapiens. The sequence goes on along the minus strand of NC_000001.11, from coordinate 215,212,764 downwards.
AGAAAACTTGTGTTGTTTGGAATTAGCAATCATTGTGAAGCCAGCATTTCTGAGCAAAAGTTTTTAAGTTAAAAATAGAAGCAGTTGATTATTTAGCATTATCCATCAAAGGTAACTATATTTTCTCATTGGAGAGGTTGGAAAAACACACCAGTTCCTCATTTAGAGAACCATAGTGAATTAATTTCATGTTAAGAACACACTTTCTCTAAGCACCCTTTCACTTTATCCAATACTATTACTATGCTTATTGTTCTCTAGAAACATATCAGCTGGATAAAAATAGCCCTTCCTGCCTGCATTTTTCTTCACTCAGCCATAGATTTCACCTTTCAAATCAAATACATGCCCTTCAAATCAGCAAATTTGTCATTTTACACAGTTTAGAAAGTTTAAAAATATTTAAAAACCTTGAAAATGTTATTAATACTTAAAATAGAATCAACTGTTATAAGGGGCATTTCATACGTAGGAAGTGGGTACTCTTTAGCTAGAAAACAGGGAGTCCTAAGGACCAATTATTTAAAAGTAAAACAATGTAAGTATTAAACATGCAAAAAAGCTTCCAGCCATAATACCATCACATCAGGAATAAAAATGAAATATTCCTGACATTTTGCTGCAGCTATAAAGTTTTGAACTAGCTTCTTGTTTGATACATCAAACTTTGTACCACCTCTTACAGTAATTTCTCAAGATTTTCTTTATTAAAACATGAATCATTTTAGCCTCTTGAAAATTTTAAGTAGCTTATTTGCCAAGCTACTCAAATATAAAATTAATCACTCCTTAAATATTGTCATTTGATTTTATATCTGTAAGCAATAATAGAATGAGTATAAACCACCAAAATAAGTACAGTTTGGTTCTACTGAAAACATTTTTAAAAATGAACAAAATTAAAATCTTATCTTTAGTTTGACAGAGATGAAAATCTAGCCCTTCAACTTTTATCAGTGAGATATAGATATATTAATATTGAAAATAAGCATGAAAAACAAAATCTCTACATTATTAAAGATTTATCCATTTTTTTCTGAATTCTATCCCTTCTGAGTTGAATCATTTTCTCTCTACACCCATTCATCCATTCAATTCAACAAGCATTTATTGAGTGCCTGTTATATGCTAAGCAGCATGTCACTTGATTTTGATAAAGCAAAACAGCAACAATTGCTTGTCTTACAAGAAATACTTTCTAGGAAGAGAGACAGCCAGTAGACAATGGCACATAGTAAGTTAGCACGTTGTATGGAATGTTAGACGTTGGTGAATATGATGAAAATGCAGAGCTGGGAAGGGAGAACCAAGGGTGCTTGGGGAAAAGGATGTCAATCTTAAATAGAATGGCCAAGGTGGGCCCCATTGACAAGTGGTGTTTGATGAAAAGACTTGACGATGTTGGGAGGTGAGCCAGGTAGGTACCTGGGAAAAGAGCACTGCTGACAGAGGGAACAGTCAGTGCAAAGGCAGCAGGACAAGAGTGTTCCTGGTGTGCTGGGGGAATCACAAGGGGACTAGCGAGGCTGGAACAGAGTGAGCACTGGGAAAGAGAAGAGGAAGAGAAAAGGCTGGAGGAATGGGGGCTGGATCATCTAAAACCTTTTATGCTGCTTTACAGACATTCGCTTTTACTCTGAGGAAAAAGGGAAGCCATCAAAAACTTCCAAGCAGAGAAATAACATGATACGACTCATGTTTCAAAGGATTATTCTGGTGTCTTTGTTGAGAACAGACTTTACATAAAGCAAAGGTGAAAGCTAGGAGGTCTCTGTAATAATCTAGAGTGAGCTCATGGTGGCACAGGAAAAAATGATGAAACAAGTGAGAAGTGATTGGATTCTGGATACATTTTCAGATCACTGTTGAAGGGCAACTTGATAGATGAAATGTAAAACAGGAAGAGAGATAAGTCGGGGTAGTACCTTCTTTATGCAATTTTCTCCAGTTCACCCAGTTAAATTTAGTAATTATCATTTTTGTGCACCATTGCATGTAAAGCATATTCTGTATATCTCTATTACCGTATCTACCCTGTAGTGATTATTAGTACATGCTTATATACTCCCTTGTACCTATAAATTTCTCCTTGAGGGAGAATGCTACTCTCTCTCTATATATATATAAAACTGTATTCCCAATACCTAGTAAAATGCCTGACACATCATAGACAATCAAACCATGTCTATGAACAAACAAATCAATGAGTACTCCTGGAATGAAATAATTAGTGCTATGCATCTTTTCATAACAGTCCTCAACTTGCAAATCAGAGACACTATTCAGCAAAATCATTATTTTTTCTGTAGTCAGACTATACTGACTTTTGTTGAACTTGTGTAGTTTGCATACTGCACTTCATGAAGCTTCAAAATAGGAAAGCAATTCTTACCCTGCCCTGCTTATATATGACCTTGTTGCCTTGCCTGTTCATTCAGAATCATGTACTGAACATGAAACAGTAGTTATTAAACCAAAGTTGTGTTTAAGTTAAATCCATTCATCAGGTTCTCAAAGTGTGGTAGAAATGACACAAATGAGAGCTAAGATGAATTTATACACATACATATGTGTGTACACACACATATATGTACATACACACACTATATACTATATGTACTATATATTTATAGTGTATATTTATATATAGTATGTATAGTACATATATATTTATATATAGCATATCTATAGTGTATTTGTATAGTGTGTGTATATATATATTATATATATTATATATAATATATATTATATATTATATATAATATATATTATATATTATATATAATATATATAATATATATAAAATATATTTTCCTATTTTGAAGCTTCATGAAGTGCAGTATGCAAACTACACAAGTTCAACAAAAGTCAGTATAGTCTGACTAATATGTACATATTTTATATATATTATATATGTTATATAATATATATTTTATATATAATATATATTTATATATATTATATATTTTATATATAATATATATTTATATATATTATATATTTTATATATAATATATATTTATATATATTATATATTTTATATATATTATATATTTTATATATTATATATTTTATATATAATATATATTTTATATATTATATATTTTATATATAATATATATTTTACATATAATATATATATTATATATATTATATATTTTACATATAATATATATTTTATATATAATATATATATTATATATATATTATATATATTTATATATATATTATATAATATATATATTATATTTTATATATATTATATATTATATATATGTATTATATATAATATATATTATATATAATATATAATATATATTATATATTTTATATTATATATATTATATATAATATATGCATATTTTATATATAATATATATATTTTATATATAATATATGCATATATTATATATAATATATATATTATATATATAAAAATATGTGTATATTTCATATATATAATATATATTATATATAAAATATGTGTATATTTATATATTTTATATATAAGATATGTGTATATTTATATATATTTTATATATAAAAATATGTGTATATTTTATATATATATATTTATAACTAGATATCATAAAAAATGCCCTCACTAAAAGAAATAGCTTCTCAAGAATAGGCAACAGGGCCAGGCGCAGTGGCTCACACCTGTAGTCCCAGCACTTTGGGAGGCCAAGGCAGGTGGATCGCTTGAGGTCAGGAGTTTGAGACCAGCCTGGCCAACATGGTGATACCCCATCTCTACTAAAATACAAAAATTAGCTGGGCGTGGTGGCAGGTGTCTGTAATCCCAGCTACTATGCATGCCGAGACAGGAGAATTGCTTGAACCCAGGAGGCGGAGGTTGTAGTGAGCCAAGATGGTGCCACTGCACTCCAGCCTGGTCCACAGAACGAGACTCCATCTCAAAACAAAACAGAAGAATAGGCAAAGGGAAATTGAAGGGGCCACTGACATATTACAAACTTTGACATTCGTGAGAAATTCCTTGAAAAAAATCATCATATTTATACTCACAGTTTCCAATTTTGAAAATGGATTTCTTTATATAGTAAGATATCCCAATAAACTTTATTTTCTACCTAGCTTTAGGGCAATATTTCATACGTAGCATTTTTCTCAGAAGATACTCAAGGGCTTGCTGATGTCGGGAGCTTATGAAAATAGCAAAACTAGAGTGGTTATGAACAAACAGCTGCAAGATGTGAGAAGCATTTTTGTTGTTTTTGTTTTGTTTTTAAACTTTTATTTTAGGATGGGGGATGCATGTGAAGATTTGTTACATAAGTAAACATGTGGCATGGGGATTTGTTGTACAGAATATTTCATCACCAAGGTATTAAGCCCGGTACCCAATAATTATCTTCCTGTTCCTCTCCCTTCTCCCACCCTCCCCCTTCAGGTAGGCCCCAGTGTCTGTTGTTTCCTTCGTGTTCATAAGCTCTTATCAGTTAGCTCCCATTATAAGTGAGAACATGCAGTATTTGGATTTCTGTTCCTGCGTTAGTTTGCTAAGGATAATATCCTCCAGCTCCATCCATGTTCCCACAAAAGACATAATCTCATTCTTTTTTATGGCTGTGTAGTATTCTATGGTGTATATGTATCCATTCTGTCATTGATGGGCAGTTACATTGATTCCATGTCTTTGCTATTGTGAATAGTGTTGCAGTGAACATTCACTTGCATGTGTTTTTATAATAGAATGATTTATATTCCTCTAGGTATATACCCAGTAATGGGATTGCTGGGTCAAATGTTATTTCTGCTTTTAGCTCTTTGAGGAATTGCCACACACTGCTTTCCACAATGATTAAACAAATTTACAATCCAACCAACGGTGTGTAAGTGTTCCTTTTTCTCCATGACTTAACCAGCATCTGTTGTTTTTTGACTTTTCAATAATAGCCATTCTGACTGGTATGAAATAGTATCTAATTTTGCTTTTGATTTGCATTTCTCTAATGATCAGTGTTTAACTTTTTTTCCATATGCTTGTGTTGCTGTTTAATTAAAGGTGAAAAACCAGACATTTTAGGAATCCAAAATAACTTGATATGCTGGATGGGAGCTAGAATTTATCAGTGTAGTAAAACCTCCTTCATTATGAAAGTGACTACTTTGGTGAGCGTATTTGTTTATTTATTTGCTTGTTTACTCACAGACATGTAAGTCAAGTACCTGTCCACCATTCTTGGGAACAACCTTACATAAGGAAACAATTCAAATGCATGTGCTTCAGACTAAGACAGCCAGTGTCACAGTTAATCATTTAAAACAGCAGTCCCCAACTTTTTGGCACCAGGGGCCGGTTTCATGGAAGATAACTTTTCCACGGACAGAGCTGGGGGAATGGTTTCAGGATGAAACACTTCCACCTCAGATCAACAGGCATTAGATTCTCATAGGGAGTGTGCAGCATAGGTCTCTCGTGTGCACAGTTCACAATAGGGTTCCCGCTCCTATGAGAATCTAATGCCGCCACTGATCTGACTGGAGGCAGAGCTCAGGCAGTAATGCTCACTCACCCACCGTTCACCTCCTGCTGTGCGGCCTGGATCCTAACAGACCATGGACCAGTACTGGTCTTCAGCCCAGGGGTTGGGGACCCCTGATTTAAAAAGCTATCTCCATTTGGGGGAGAGTATGTTTGCACATACATTATCATTGTGTCAACTGGTCTGCTAATGTGGCCTCTATACCACAGGGGAGGGGATATCCAATAGAATGAATTTGTCTGGAGCGGTAAGCAGAGCCCTATAAGTATTGAGAAGTGAAATGGCCAAGAGGAAATTCTTTAAGAAGATAGCCAAGAGATTCTAGAAGCAGCACTGTCTGATTACCAAGCATGGAGTTTTTATTTTCTGCTCTGTAATTCCCTTAAATTATCTGCAGGACTTCTATAAAGTTATAATCTGTTTCAGCCTTATATTAACTGTGTTATAGGGAATAAAGTGAGGGATCAATATGCATTATTAGAATGTCATGGCCCCAGAGAGAGCTTCAGCAGCAGGAGAAGCAGTTATGATGTGCTCACGTGAACAAAGAAGAGGGAAACCTGGAGTGACAGTCTTAGAGGGACACATGACAAGTCTAAAAGGCAGAGATTTGTGTAACATGCAGATGCAACACATTGGTCTGTGGAGTTGAGACGCAATAATTATTCCATAGTCTGTATGTAATCAGAACAGGATTTTGAAAAGTTTTAGTTAACTAATGAATAAAGAAAATATAACATAGATGTGTGGCTAAATATGATTTTCCATAATGTAAAGGTTATAATCTAGTGTGAATAGATTTTATAGTACTTGGAAATATGAGTTTCAAATATATTTCCTTAGAATATTACATTGAATCATGTGAGACTGTGATTCTTAAGGTCAAAAACAGCTGAATGTCAATAATTTCACACAGTTCAACTTAATAAATTTCAAAAATAATATTATATAAGAGTATTCTACTCTTCCATATCTGAATGCTTTGATATGCATTGATTTTTTGAAAACACATTCAGTTCAATATTTCTTCTTATGGAAATTTTACATACAAAACCGATTCAGCATCACTGGACTCAATCTTATATGAGTATATAGAATCAGAAACAGAGGTAACAGTAAGGCTGAGAGCAGAAACTGCCTTTTTACAGGATCTGGTCTCTGGAATTTACAGCCCATGAAGGGTTTTCTTAAAAGGCTGGTTGCTCTATTTTACTTGAACTCTTACCTTGATGCTTCCGTTTTACTAAAACTACTAGTGAATCTTAAATAAGATAATGTAGATAATACACCTAAGCCTGTCAGAGATTTTGGAAGCTAAAATAAAACTTACCAAATATGAATGTGGCACATAAAGTCTAAATCTCCCAAATTATTATTTTAACTCTTTCCTTGAACAATACTATTATTAAAATAATAATATTATCCTTGTAATTGTGTCCTTGAATTAGACAAACAATGATTGGTGTGTTACCAAATTAATCAGGATAGCAAAGGTTATATAGAACAAATAGCCCCTTCATCTTAGTGGCTTAAGGCAACAAAGGTTAATCTCTTGTTCTGGCTAAATATCCACAACAAGTCAGCAGGGGACTCTGCTCATTGTAGTTACTCAGGGACCCAGGCTGACATGGCATCCATGATCTCCTATGGTAATTGTGCTGGAGGGCAAGAAGATCTTGAGGCACTCACAGATGCAATTAAATCTTCTTCCCAGCCGGACACAGTGGCTCACGCCTGTAATCCCAGCACTTTGGGAGGCCGAGGCGGGTGGATCACCTGAGGTCAGGTGGGGAGTTTGAGACCAGTCTGGCCAATATGGTGAAACCCCGTCTCTACTAAATACACAAAAATTAGCCGGGCGTGGTGGTGTGTGCCTGTAGTCCCAGCTACTTGGGAGGCTGAGGCAGAAAAATCGCTTGAACCTGGGAGGCAGAGGTTGCAGTGAGCCGAGATCATGCCACTGCACTCCAGCCTGGGCAACAGAGTGAGACTCTGTCAAAAAAAAATCTTCTTCCCATTCACTCATATGAATTCTGCCCACAAATCCTTGGCCAGATCTATTTATATGGTTAACCAAACACAAAAAAGAAGAGGAAGTAACAATCCTAATATGTATCTGGAAAGAGAGTCAAATGAAAATATTTCATGATCAATACTAATGACTAGCACTTTTGCTGGAGAAAGAATAGACATTCTACCTGGTTTTGAAATAAGAGATTGTATGTGTGCACATGCACACATGGGCACACATATACATGTATACACATGCATGTGAGTCGTTTATTAGAAGCTGTTCATTTGGTTCAAATCAAGTTTGAGGCAGGAGGAGCTAAATTCTCTTATTACAATTAGGGTCCCATCCACTGAAAGCTAAACAAATCATCATACTTTGTTGCAAAAGATGATTAAATAATCCCTGACTTGATTATTCAAAATGCCCCCTACTCTCAGTCCCAACCAATCATAAGCTAATATTCATTTAGAAAAAGCCATCTTAAAGAGGAACTAAAACCAAGTTCATTTTGATCTATGTTTGAAAACACATTTTCTTCTGTTCTCAGCAAACATAGCTTGATTTTTTGTAAAATGAGATTTTTTTAGCTCTGAATACAGGCAAGTGCAATACTTTGGTTTGCTGAAGAAAGTCCAAAAACAATTTTGAAAGCTAAGTTCATGGTGGCCACTTTTCCTAACACAAATTCTCAAAACAGGTAACAGTCTCGAAATAATCAAAAAAGAAAAATAATATTATATCTTGATGCACTAAATCCTCATAATGTGCTCTCTAGCTAAAGAAAATGAAATTACTTATAAAGAGCTTTGAGACAGAAACTATTAACTTATTTTCCTATTATTTACAAAGGAATAGAAAAAAAATTATTCTGAATTTCCATTACCAGATGACATTCTGTGAAATACATGAATCAAAAAAAAAAGTTACCATTTATACTGAGAATTCAACCTAAAATTTAAAAAAAAGGAAGAAAACAAAAGTAATCTTCCTGCACATTTTTATTTTTTTAAGAAAACATTGAGCTATTGCCTCTTAGTTTAATAAAAGGAAGAATCCAGACAGGGTCTACCTCAATAGAGACAGCAAGACACTAGAAAATGTGTGGGTCTAATTCAAGAAAAAAAAAAAATGAGCATGTGGGTAGATTTTAGGAACATTTAATGTAGAAACTAGTTCTTTTTTTTTTTTTTTTTTTTTTTTTTTGAGACGGAGTCTCGCTCTATCGCCCAGGCTGGAGTGCAGTGGCGCGATCTCGGCTCACTGCAAGCTCCACCTCCCGGGTTCACACCATTCTCCTCCCTCGGCCTCCCGAGTAGCTGGGACTACAGGCGCCCGCCACCGCACCCGGCTAATTTTTTGTGTTTTTAGTAGAGACGGGGTTTCATGGTGTTTGCCAGGATGGTCTCGATCTCCTGACCTTGTGATCTGCCCATCTCGGCCTCCCAAAGAGAAACTAGTTCTTTAAAAAGTCCATAGAATATCCAACATATTTGAAATTTCTATATTCATTTTTTTACTAGGCTATTTTGGTCTCTGGTTTTGTGATTAAATTCTAGCCATATACACACCCTCAATAGTTTTTGTTTGTTTGTTTATCTTTTCTTTTGTGTTTACTTATTATTTCAACCAGGTAAAATGTTTAGACCTATAAGCACTCATGATATTTTATGTTCTACATAGAACAATATATGATGATATTATATATATATATAGTCTTAAAACTTTATAAAATTGATTTGAGATAATTTGATATTAATTTATTCAGAAACCCATGTGGAAAGAAACAAGCATTCAGTAAGCATTCAGCCACATCACATACACTCCTCACCACATCGTCACAGCAAACTCATAAAGGAGGTACCATTACCTTAATTTTACCAAAAAAGAAATAGGGATTCAAAAGAGATTAGACATTTTGGTGATGTTTGCAGAGCTAGTAAATAGTTGAGATAGAATTAAATCTCAGTTCTGTTGGCCTCAAAACCCACTCACTTTTCGGAAATCATACAAATCATTTCTTTTCACTTGAAAGAATATAAAAATTTTAGGTTGATTTCACTGATCTATACCATAAATAATTAGTAACCAAATTAAATACAAAAATCCCTTCTCTGTAGTTACACAGTAACAGATGGGTAAGCCTTGGGCACAGGTTTCTGATGAGTCAGTATTACCCACATAAGGAGAAAAGAGGAAAGAAGGAGGAGAAAGGAGAGAGGAAGAGGGAAGGGAAGGAGGGAGGAGAAGAATGGGGGAGGATGGGAAGAAGTGAGATGAGAAGGCAGAGGCAGAAATAAATAATAACAACAACAGATAAGAAACATTGTGAGCACTTGGGAAGCAGCATAGCTAAAACGTTAAAAGGCTGGGCCATGGAGTCAAGTCATCTGAGTTCATTATTGATTCTTCCACTTTACTAGCTGTATAACCTTTCACAAGTCACTGTACCTGTGTGTGTTTCTGCTTCCTTATTAGCCATTATTATTTGACAGCTGTGCATTTTACATCATTCTCTCATTTAGTATTAAAAGGGAAATAACTTACAATGTATTCTAGAAGTGTTTCCATTTCTGAACGTCTTCAAGTCCTATTTCATTTTTAGTATACATTTTGACTTATTAAGGCCTTCCTGAAGTTAGAAGCACAAAGGTTCATACATGCAACATAATACTGAGGCTACATAGAGACATAATTAGGGTCTTGGTTCTGCAGAAATGACTGCTCATACAATTCACTTAGGAATTAGACATGTCTGGGCTTCTGGCAGTTAATGCTGCCTTCAAGCATAATTTAATTCTTGCCTTGTTTTATTCTCCTCTCCAATTGCCTATTTACTAAATAGACAATAACTTGCTGAACTCAGACTGTGACTAGAGAAAGAAAGAACTTTCTCCTTTGCTTGATTAGGCAGAGCCAACATTGACCAGCAGATGAACTTCAAATCTGATTGCTCTGACCTTTTCCCCATCACATAGTGAAGGACACCCCTCTCCCCGTGGGAAAGAGAAGACGGGTCTTTTGTGTATTCCTTAGTTTGAACAGCCCATTGTGACGCTTCCTGCTTCTATTTTATTTTATTCTTATCCTTTGGTCAAAGAAGAGTTACAAGTGTAAGACATAAACCTGAGAAATTTTACAGTCAATGAATAATATGCCCATAGTCCAATTTCAAGTAGTCATTTATAACTACTTGAATATCTCAGTAAGAGAACAATAACAACAAGAAACACTGCCAGAAAAATTGTACCAAACAGTATTGCCCCCCTGCCCTACAATATGATAGAAATCAAAGCAATAATTACAAAGTCTGATATATAGTCTGAAGATCAAAGAAAAGAAGGAAGGGAGTGATGGAGGGTGGGAAGAAGAAACAGAAAAGAAAAAAGTAAAAGCAGGCTACATTAAGAACTGATCTCCAATCAAAGACTAAGTACCTTCTTAGTCAAAGCTTCTTTTTCTAGCATTGGAGGAAGAAAAGTAAAAGCAAGCATTATAAAGATCAGTAAGCGAACACACCACCTACGCAATCCTCCCAATAAAGAGATGGACTTCAAACTACCACAGATGAAGAGTTACTCCCAGCACCCAATACAGCACTCATCACATAGTAAGAACTTAATAGCACTTTTTGAATGAATTAATAATTTAGGAACTCAACATTAAATAATTCTAATTCCTAACTGGTCTCCATGCCATGGCTCAATTCCCCAGGGCACCATTCATATGGATTTCTATTAGTCATGCTCCAAGGGCTCCCATTTCCATAAAAACACTGTGACTGTTGCCCTTTGAAATTGTGTTTTATGTGGCCGGAACTATCTTAAGATATAGCTACTGTATTGCACCCATGCCAGGGAACAAGATTTACATTGCTTTCTACAAGAGTGGTGCATCAGGAGCACAACCTAATGGGGAATTCTAGTTACTTTATTCATCGATTTTATGTTATTATGTTAGCCTTTTCTTGGATTCTTTTTCTTCACCATTTTCTTTAGCCAATATGATCTACCACTGTAACCATCTTCCTCTCTTCAAAACCTCGATGCCTTTGCCTTTCCAACAGACCCAACCACAAATCAATTTATTTAACTACATTATTTGCTAAATAGTCTCCACATCCCACACCTTAAGTGAAGGTGTTACTCCAGGTTCTGTTTTTACCTCCACTATTGACTAACTTTACGAATCTTCATTAGGTGAATTCGTCTATATTCACAGCTCTCAGGTAGTGATGGCCCCAAACTATCTTCCCAGCTTTAATTTCTCCTACATTCCAGGCACGCAGATGCAATTTTCTAGAATTTAACTACCTGGATATCGGCTACGTCTGCAATCACAACATGTCCAAAATAAAACTATCTCATTGCTCCAATTTACGCAAAATCTCTCATTTTCCAGCATTCTGTAATCCCACCCAAAGTTAGAATTATGGATGTCATTCTCCTTTTCTCTTTATTGTGCACAATTAATGGGTTACCAAATTCTGTTCCTTTTATCCCCCAAATATGTTTGAAATCTGAACTTTCATCTCTATCCCACTGCTACCCTAGACCCTTCGTTTGATAGTATCTGGATACTTGCAATAACTCTCCCAACTGATTTTCCTGAATCCAGCTTTGTTTGCAACTAATTCATCTTCCTCACTGTTGCTAACATCATTCATTCCACTTACTTAAAATCCTTCAATGGCTCCCTAAAGTTTTCTGAATAAAGTCTAAGCTATTCAAATGGCATATAAAATCTTTCAGATTGAAAGCACTTCTCCCATAAGAAATAATGATAAAGTGATCTACTGCAAACTTTCCAGGGCCCAGGCTGCAACTATTTCTTAATTGCTCATCTCTGGCAAAGATAAAGAGCCTCCAAGTCCCAGCTCTTTTCCTGAAACAGTCATTGCCACCCAGAGTGAAATTTAGAGGAGACCAAATGCTGCCACCAGGTAATTAGCAAAACAAAACAAAGCTATGTTCTTTCACATTCTCAGGCCCCTTCACAAAATTGGGGTGAAATAAAAATTCAGGGACAGTCTTTCAAGGCTTCTTGGCACTAGCGTTGTCCAGTCAAAGGGTGTAGTTTTCATACAATACAATGCCAACTTACTAAAGTGAGAGCCTCTATTTGCATAAACATCTCCGGAGACTAAGGAAATGATATTGGTAGAGAAGCATTGCTTGCCTATCAATTCACTGTGGCCAGCTGTGGTGCCACCCAGCCTGACAACACTAGCATGCTATGGTGTGGGCCGCAGTGGTGTTTATCTCATATGTGCACAGGAACACCCAAACACCGGTGCTTGGGCATCGATAGAAGAAATATGTAGAAATCACAGGCCCTTTCAAGCTCAAGAAATGTAAACAGTAGGAACCTGAGGTATGCCTGTGTGTAGTAACGATGCTCTACTCCCTGCTTTCCTCCTAAGCAAGCACAGATTTTACCTTCTGAGTCTTGTGGTCACATCTTATTTCTATTATGCCTCCCTCAGGTAGCAGTATTATTGTATTATCCAGAATATCTAAATAAGTTTTATTTTGTAAATGGAAACATTATTTCCTCAGAAGAGAGTACATAGTTTCATAGAAAAGATAAGTTAGCTTACCAATCCTTTCTGTTAAACATGTGCCTACCCTCCACTGGAGCTTAAAAAATAGACAAAGAAATGCTTTTACAGAAATGCATATGTTTCCATGGAAAACTGGAAAATTACCAAGCTCATTATTGTTTTCCTTGATGCAGATCAACTATAATTATATGTGGCACTTTTGAATATATAGTATGTTTCAACAAATCATTTCCTCTTCAAATATTTCAGATGGATTAGCTATACCATGTTTTATTTCAGCATGTTGATGGAAAACAAAACATAATTTCATTAAAACTATTCTTCATTGGAAACAGAATTTATTTTATTTTTTATTTTATTTTTATTTTTTTGGAGATGGAGTCTTGCTCTGTCACCCAGGCTGGAGTGCAGTGGCATGATCTCGGCTCACTGGAACCTCTGCCTCCCCGGGTCCAAGCAATTCTCCTGCCTCAGCCTCCTGAGTAGCTGGGACTACAGGCACCCACCCCCATACCCAGCTAATTTTTGTATTTTTAGTAGAGACAGGGTTTCACCATATTTGCCAGGCTGGTATCAAACTCCTGACCTCTGGTGATCCTCCCGCCTCAGCCTCCCAAAGTACAGGCATGAGCCACAGCGCCTGGCTGGAAACAGAATATGTTTTAACATAAAAAACAGAAATGGAATAAGGGCATATATGACTAGATCTATATTTTCACACTTAAACCTGTATGGTTTAAGCAGATTTGTTTTTGAAAAAATAATATAAGACTGGGGTTATTAGCCAAAATCTTTTCATTCAGGGAAAGCATGTGTCCAAGTATTATCACTTGGAAAATTTGAAGCTATATTTAATTTTGTATTTTTTATATTTTGTACCAGTTAAATCTTTTAGTGAAGAAGATTCCCAGTTATCAAAAATGTTTAGTGTTTTTATTCATCAAAACTGAAAACTAGAAATAACTTTGTTATTTCTTAACACTTTGGGAGTTTTTAAAACTAACAGCGCCCAGAATGACTTGGGCATGGAAAGTAAGGAATATCTATTGAGCAGTCACCTGGCATTTGTTCATTTACACAGAGATGACAACTAGAATATATTTAGTTGGCTTTTATTGATTTATACCCTTTAGTGAGTTATTTCAAAACTAAAATTGTCTAATAATCGTTTTCCATTGCTTTAGAAATTTTAACAGTATTTTGTTTATAAAAACTTTGGCCATGATAATATTTTGAAAATTATAAGGGGCCTTTCCCTGTCTTTCTTCACATTCTCTGTTGAATTCATGACCCCATTTTGCAGTTCCCTAAATTACATTATAAATCAGAAAATACACATATCTACTCCAATTGAAAGCTCCATTTCAACTGGCTCCCCTGTCCAGAGCAGCTGAAACTTTGGAGGGTTCACTTAAAGCTCTGGTCATAGCCTTGACTCATGGGAGCTTTCGACAGATGCAATCACCAGAAAGTACATGCTACCCAGAATATTAGGTACATGCCAAAAGATGTGTGGTAAGAAAAAACAAAAAACAAAACCAAAAAACCCTGCAATGTTTAACTAGCATGAAAACACAATGCTACACCTCATACTTTCAGTTGAGAGTCATGAAGATCACTCATAAGTAGGGACACAACCTTGTTTTTTTTGTTTGTTTGCTTGTTTGTTTGTTTGTTTGTTTGAGACAAAGTCTGGCTCTGTTACCCAGGCTGGAGTACAGTAGCGCCATCTCTGCTCACTGCAACCTTCGCCTCCCAGGTTCAAAGGATTCCCCTGCCTCACTCTCACTGTAGCTGGGACTACAGGCATCCACCCCCATGCCCAGCTAATTTTTGTATTTTTAGTAGAGATGAAGTTTCACCATGTTGGCTAGACTGATCTTAAACTGCTAGGCTCAAGTGATCTGCCTGCCTTGGCCTCCCAAAGTGCTGGGATTACAGGCGTAAGCAACCCCACCCGGTCTTGTTTTCATTTTGAATAAATCAGTTATGTAGAAATTTGTATTTATTTGAAAAGATGGTGTTATGGCCTGATTTGTGTCTCCCCAAAAGTCATATGTTGAAGCCCTAAGCCCCAGTGTGACTGCATTTGGAGACACGGCTTTAAAGAAGGTAATTAAGGTTCAATGAGGTCAAAAAAGTGGGGCCCTAATCCGATAGGACTGGTGTCCTTTTAAGAAGAGAAAAATATACCAGAGTGTGCATGCTCACACGATCTCTCACTCTCTCTCATGCATGCACACAGAGAAAAGGCCATATGAAGACACAGTGGGAAGGCACCACCCGCAAGCCTAGCAGAGAGGCCTCACCAGAAACCAACCCTGCTAGCACCTTCTTGGACTTCTAGCTTCCAGAATTGTGAGGAAAAAAAGTCCCATGTTATAACACCCAGTCCGTCCTATTTTGTTGTAACAGCTAGAGCAGACTCATTACTTTGGAAAAGTATGCTAATTCTTTGACCCAGCTAGTCCTATCACAAAAAGCACTGTTTTTTAGTAATACAAGTTTTAAACATTTAAGCAGATATTCTATACCAATTTCATCAATTTATAAAGGTACAAAATTTCCCTCTGTACTATCTGTGCCTTAGTGGCTTTCAAACTTTTGGATTGTGGACCACAAAAATATTAAGATATTAAGTGTGTATGTATATAATACATAGTTTATTTATAATATTATATCTGTGTATTTGTGTATCGCAAAACAATACTTTTCCTAACTACCTGACCGTATGAAATAGGTTCTGCTCAAGTCTGTTTTATTTAAGAAATACATGCTTGTGTGCATGTGTTTTCAAATCCATTTGAAAGCCAGATTATTGCTTGATGTTTGAGTAGTTCTCTTTTTAGCTATGTTGTCCAAAACATTCCCTAGCTACAATTTCCATTTTTTCCCTTAGCATCTCAAGATACACATGAAGTACACATGAAGAATAACCATCCATTATACTTCTCTCTCTCTCTCCCATCTCCCACCGCCCCCACACACACCACACTCACACACGCACACCACATACAATGAGCCTAAGGTTAAGGCAAATCCATTGCGGTCCTATTCAAAGCAAGGCTTTTCATACAGTTTAAATTATAGTGTCAAGCATATTGTCTTACTGACTTGTTTATAATAAAAATATTTCAATTTGATGATGCAACTAAGATATAGACTAATGCATACAGACTGAATAAGTAAATTCCCAATTAGGAAATATGGTATCCTTGAAGTAAAGTATGGATAATTTACATTCTTGCTAGTTCACACAGGCACCTTGGGTATGAATAAAAAATTGTATGACTTGGCCTGGCACGGTGGCTCATGCCTGTAGTCCTGGTACTTTGGGAGGCAGAGGCGGGCAGATCACTTGAAGGTCAGGAGTTCTAGACCAGCCTGGCCAACAAGATGAAACTCCGTCTCTACTAAACATACAAAAAATTTAGCTGGGCATGGTGGTGTGAGCCTGTAGTCCCAGATACTCGGGAGGCTGAGGTGGGAGAATCACTTGAACCTGGGAGGCAGAGATTGCAGTGAGCTTAGATCATGTCACTGCACTCCAGCCTGGATAACAAAGCGAGACTTCATCTCAAAAAAAAAAAAAATTATATGACTTGATAATTTTCAAAGAAAACATTTGTAAAGGGAAGTTAATTTCATCATTTTCTATCTTATTCTATTTCTTTTGGGTGTATACTTAAAGAATTCATGCTTATAGCCATGAAAGAGTCTGACACTGATATCTGTGGTCTAGGAATAGATAGTTAAACGAAGGCAATGGGTACTATAGGGACAGGTTTTACAGATTTGTTGTTCTCTGAAACAATTAGCAAAGTTGACTAAGACCCAGAAGCAAGAAATACACATTTCATAATAAAACATTACCCTGTCACATTCAAACTAATAGTGATCCTGGATATGTAAATATGAAATCAAAATTTAATTTCCAAACAATAGAATTTCAAAATCAATATTTAAATTTCAAATTTTCCCAAATTTCATGGGTCAAAATTCTAATGTTCACTTCTATATGTTTAGTTGTATAAGATAAGTAAATTGACACCTTTTAAAATTGTTAAAATCTATATACAGGGAAAACGGCCATAATGCATACAGCTTTGGAATATATATACATGTGTACGTACAAATTTATATAGACATAAGAAAAATAAAATAAGTTAAAGGTAAAAAGCCTTCCACATTATTTAAAACATCCACTATTTCATGCTACTGATATCTTGATACAAATATTTTCTATTATATTTTTATTTACAGAATAAAATTTATTTTGTGCTCTTGAGAACAAAAGAAAGAAAACAAAAAAAAAAAGAAATAATGAAGAAAATGTTTCTAGTTACATCCTTTTTCATTAGAAATTACCCTCAGTTCTGAGACAGCAATTGGCACAGAAACATTTTCTAAGTGAATAAATTACAACTCATATATTTGCTCATAGCCTAATACAGCAAATTCATGCCAAATAGAAAATATTAACATTTTAAAATGTTTAAATATTTTAAATGTAAACATAAAAATAATTTAAAATAACCTTTATTGAATTAACTAAATAGAAGTTTTTTGCACACTTCTTAATTCTCACCTCTTCTTTTGTCTTTTTAGATATCACTCGGAGCCAATCTCCAATCATGCTCAGGACAGCAGCAAAGTAAGCAAGCCCTACAAGGATCCAGAACCACACGACAGGCTTATAGAAGTCCAGATATTCAATATCGGATCCACCTGGAGACAAAACAAAGTAAAACAAAATAACTTCATAGTCTTAAAAGTAAACAATCTAGGTATTGCTAAAATTACTAACTAAATTTTGGTTTGCAAAACATAGAAATCTAGTATTCTTATCAATGGAGTTACATTATTTTCTTCATTTTGAATTTCTCCTTTTCACTCGTAATTCTTACCTATTTTTCAAGAACAAGTTGTTTTTCTTAATGAAAACTTTCATTGCTTCTTCAGATCATCATGATTTTTCCTTGCTCCATGTTTCATTTACATTTATATAATCCATCTCAGTCTAGTACTTAATTATTCTATGTGTACTAAGTTTCTTTTTCCACCTCTATTTTAACAAATAGAAGATAGGGATTACACTTTTATTGGTGTGCATTTAACTTAGCATATTTACCTCATTGCCAATAAATACATGCTAGCTAATCAACTTAATGCCAAACTGAACAGCAAGTGAACAACTCTAGTGATGGTTCTTATTTTAAAGTCATCAATACAATGAATCACTAACAAATGCCAGAGACAATGACTTGATGGTTCGAATGAAAACAAATAGAAATTTGCAGGTAATACTACCATTCATTATTCTCTGACTTTTCTGAGAAATTCCCATGACTGTCATAAAATAAAACCGTAGCTCTCAAGAAAAAAAATATTGGCAAGGCTCTTGTTTTTTTTTACTCTAATCCTTGAAGTACTTCTCCATCCACTTGGAACAATAACTGTACCTATAAGAATCTGGGTTCATTTCAACACACCCTTTGTTTAGTACCCCATTAATATGGGGGCATTTATTAAGTCCCAACAGTGAAACTATTTTTATTTTCACAAGTAAGAAATCAAATACCTCCCTTGAAAAATTCATAATTTAGCCCAAGAAATCCTCATATAGACAGTTAACCTCAATGGGGTATATTGCATGATGGCAAAGAGAATAAAAAAGTACTATGAGAGGACATAGAAGAAGTGATTTTTACTTCTGGAAGAAGGAAAGTAAGAAGGGGAAAAGTGAGTCTTAGGTAATGAGGATCAAAACATGGAATAGCACAGTGTGGAAAATATATAGTATAGTCAAATGACTTTTAGTCATGGATGAATCTCCACATGTATTGGGCCAAAGAGCAGATAAGTAGAAGAGAGAAATCTAGAAAAAGTAGGCTGTATCAGATTGTAAAGATTTGATCTTAACTCCATGGAGAATAGGTAAAAGTCTCTCGGGAGATAAGTCCTGTGTATTCGTGTTTGACTATCTCCACAGAAAGATCTAGTGGCAGAGAAGAACAAATTGACAGGGAAGCCCCATGAGAAGCTTTTGTTCTGAATTAGCTAAGAAATTATTGTGTCTGAGATAGGGCAGAGATGGCAAGAAGAGTCATTTTACAGGCCGAATCATCAAGGATTCATGGCCAATTACTTGGTGGGATAAGTGAGAGGAAGAGCTCTCTGGTGACCAAAGACCAAAGATATTGTAACTGAATAGGGGAAGAAAGAGTGACTTTAAAAAAAAAAAAAGTAATTAAAACTGAGAACTGACAGGTTCGAAGTGCTTGAGGTAATAACCAACAAGATCCTTACATGCAAATCTAACACTTAATAGAACAGGGCAGAAGATAAGGATTTTAGGACCAACAGCATAGAGACTGGAGGTGCTTAAACAGAGCATGGATTTGCCCAATTCACAAAAATTCAGCCAGTAAATTGCAAGTATATCAAAGATCAAGTATAAAATACTGAGTATAACATTATTGTAGAGAAATTAAATTTTGCTAATAAGTTGCAGGTATATATTAAAAATCAAGTATAAATTGCAAGTATATATTAAAATCAAGTATAAAATACTGAGTATAACATTATTGTAGAGAAATTTAATTTTGCTAATAAATTGCAGGTATATATTAAAAATCAAGTATGCATTGCAAGTATATATTAAATCAAGTATAAAATACTGAGTATAACATTATTGTAGAGAAATTAAATTTTAAGTTGCTCATAATGACATTTTCAAATAATAAAGGGTCAATAAAAAGCATTTTTCTGTCAGGTAAATAATTTGAATAGGCATCGTTCAGCTTTCTTTTGGGACAAAAATAATTTTAGAACACATTTTACAAAGTGAATAATATTACTTTCAAATATTATAAAATTTTTACTTTTTGCAACATTAAAAGCTTATTTCTGGGAATAATTATAAATGCATCTCGTGATGGTTAAGAGTTGGCCCATGGAGGATACGGCTCTAAAACTTCACAGAACTGACTTAAGAAATATGTGTGTAAACCTGTTACATGATAGTCTCACCAGTGAATTTCATTTTTTCAAATGTTTCCATTTCAATGAAACCAAAATGACATTTTTTCCCAAGTACTTTCCCTTTCAAAACCAGAAAAAATCTTCATCCAAATATTTGTGACTCATTTAACACATAAGTTCACCAAGATGTTGACTTTAGAAGAGTTAGTTCATGCTCAGATTACTTTTTATAAGTCTTCTTTCTTATAAACAGGATGTCACAGTTTGAAAAGAGTAAATTAGCTTAATCACTAAAAGGTCTATATTTGGGTAAAATGTTCAACCCACAAGTTTTAGTGGAGTCTAAGCCCAGGGGAAAAAAATGCTTTTCCTTTTTAAATTGCCACTCTCAAGATGAAATACTGGCAGTCAGATGATCTAGGAAAAACGAATACTATATATAAGAAATATTGTCAAACAACTCCCAAATCCTACTCACTTGCTGATATCTAAGATTCATGAATTAATTTTCACATTAATCAATTCACTTCATCTAAGAATCTTATCCAAATTAACATATCTGTGATGTCAGGATAACTTGCTAAGAAAAAATGTTTTATTTTTAAATTAGGAATAAATTAGGAAATACCTTTTAAAAAACTTCTTGACTTTTACAAGCATTAATTTCAGTCTAGCTATGTTGAGGAAACCTACCTATTTGTCTCTGGCTTACTAAGAATCGAGTGTAATTTCTATTATTGACTTCTTGTTATTGACAGGGCCACTGCCCCTGTCTCCCACGCTCTGTTTTTTCTCTTTCCACAGACTTCTGAGATGCAGCCTACAAGATGCTACAGCCCACTCTCCCCTCCTAGGTTCCCCACCGACCTGGCAGAAATATTCACTCCACTGCTCTTTTTTCTTTACTACCACTAAAATCATGCACATAAATCCTTTCCATTTTAAGAGCTTTCTGGCTAATCATAATAGGACAGTAAACAGATGGTAATAAAAATAACAAAAAAGTGTGGAGGTATAAAGGTTTTGGGAATCTTATAAACTTTTCCAAGTAGTTAAAATAAGTCTACTCATCCTGACATTCTTATATGACATGTGACAGCTTCTTTTAGATGGTGTAATCTCTCTCCGGATCTCTTGCCCTTATTGCTTGTGTAAGGAACTCAGTCAGAGCCTAATCCAATCTAGTAGATTAAACTACAAAAAATATAGCTCAGGAAAGTTCAGGCTGGTATTATTGCTAGGAAACCATTATCTCCACAAAGCAGGTTTCCTAAACATTTGCTGGAAACAGTCCCTCTACCCAGCATTAAGAAAGCCCTATTCTAGCTGGCTCCAAAGAATCATTGATTAGGCAACAGAACAACCCATGAGGCCGTGGCAGACACCTTTTAAAAGGCATTTTTTTTTTTTTTTGAGATGCAGCCTCACTCTGTCACCCAGGCAAGAGTGCAGTGGTGCATTTCGGCTCACTGCAACTTCCACCTCCCGTATTCAAGCGATTCTCCTGCCTCAGCTTCCCGAGAAGCTGGGAATACAGGCACCTGCCACCACGCCTGACGAATTTTTGTATTTTTAGTAGAGACAGGGTTTCACCACGCTGGCAAGGCTGGTCTTGAACTCCTAACCTCAAGTGATCTGCATGCCTTGGCCTCCCAAAGTACTAGGATTACAGGCATGAGCCACCATGCCTGGCCCCTAGAAGACTTAAAAAAAAAAAAAGAAAGAAAGAAAAATTGGCTCTGTAAACCCTGCCTAACCCAGTTAATATGCTCATTTCCACTGATTTACAGAATATTCAAAATCAGATTGGAAGAGTGGGATGAGAAGGAAGACTTACTGATTACCTCCATGAACGAAATCATTCCATCCTAACACCCTGTGGGTAGGTGTTGAGGGGAGTTGCATTCTCACGCTTCACACTTCCATTGACTTAGGGCAGGGCTGTTAGTTAAGACCATGCGGCCATAGAACTAAGTCACATTGCCAGCTTCCTTTTGCAGCAATAAAGCTGATGATCCAATTGCCATCACTCTCATGGTCTCTTTGGAACTCAGGAATGAAAGACCAGTTTGTATGGGCTCCTTGAAATCCCAACAGTAAGTATCCCACTTTAAAATGGAGATATCACAATCTCAGTAGAGAAAATAACATATGTCAGGCCACCCAAGAAAGGGGTAGCAGAGCTAGAGTTTAACACAGGTGTCTGAATAGCTCCAAAACACAGGCTCCTTCATTGAACCCAGTGGTCCACGTCACCTATGATGTCACCTACTGTCCTTCTTATCATTTATCCACCAACCTATTTTGCTCATACTGCCTGGGAGGTACTTAGCTAAGGCAGGAAATACCAAATTGCACAAGGCATGCCTCTTCTCCTCAAGGTTCTCACCTAGAAACCACGTGGGTCTGAGGACAAGCATCATTCCACCAAGAGCCTCCTTACCTTGCTCTGTCCTCTCTCCAGCGTTCCCAGCCATCGGCCCTCTTCGATGCTAAAGAACTTGGGCATACAACATCCCCTCTTAGTTAAATATAATTTTCTTTTTCTGTGAATTTTTTTCTGAATAACAAAATATTTAGGAAGGAAGAAAAAAGATATATCCTGGTTTTAAAGGATAACCTAGCCACTCCGGACTAAGGTTATCAGTTCCATACATCTCTTCTGATTTTCTAAAATGGCATATCTGTTACAGAATATAAACATAGATATATAACTCCATTTTAAAGAAAGTAGGGATCATTCCTTTAAATCAGCCTATAAGTATTTTAGCTTAAATATCAAACATGGATTTTAATTTTGGGGGGTTTACTTGACTTTACTTTTATTAATTAAAGCTATCCTGTCTTAATATGAAGGAGGGAAAATCTTAATTTCTGTTTTAGTATATCTTATTGTGTTATTAAGTAATTTTACTGAATAAGGTGTTTCTCACTGCTTCAAGGACTGAGAACCCCTTTTAATGATGTTATAAATTCTATTTTCTTTATAACAAATGGAAATATGACTTCAGTATTAAACAACAGCTTACCTACTAAACTAAACTTTTCATATGCCATTGAGTCGGAAAACCAGAATGCCAAAAAAGGTGTCATTTGAACTTATATTTGGGGATTTTAAATTTTAGCATTCAAGAAGTTGTCCGTGTCCCTGTAGGTACTTGTTCTTAAATTGGGAAAACTGCCATGAGAACAGCAGTCTCATGATCATAAAGAAAGAAAAATCAACACATGATGTCACTCACTCATCCTTTATAAAGATGGAACAGTATATAGATGTACCCAATTGTTATTCTTAGAAATTGTCTTTAAATCTCAATCTAGAACAATTTGGAATATTTTTCACGGAATGTAGTACAATTTACTTCCTGCCTCACAAAGCCGTAATTATCAATCACTGAATGCTTTTCTCCTCAATTTTTTCTCCACATGTTTTTACAATACTTCTATATATCCATTCAGAACCCTAAAAGTTAAGTAACTTTTTGGTTTGTCCACAGTCCCTAAGACTTCTGAACCATTTGGGTCAAATCCCACTTATTAAATCATGCAGATGGCCATTATTTCTGTTGTGAGTTCTCCGAGAGTCACAAGTTAAATCAGGGAGTGACTAAACCCTCTACAGAATTTTCCTGTATTATAAAACAGAGCAAATAGCAGGAAGAGAAAAAGATTCCCTACTTAGTTGTTGCTCCTGGATTTCATACATTCTGTCTTACAGGAACAGGAACTAGAGCAATTATTCTCACTAAGTGCTAAGCACAGTATCTAATATACAATATGTGTCCATTAAACACCTAACCAAACAAATGACCAATGAATATAAAACATCTCCCTAGCAGTCACACAAACCCTCCTTTTCCAAACAAAGCAATTTTTCTGAGCCATTGTGATGGTGGTAATGACTGCTCTTCAACAGATCTCACTCTTTATCAGGTACTTTCCTTGTTATCTGTTAAATTCCTGGCAAATTTCTACTCAGTTATCAGCTCAACAATAGCAATTTTAATACCTGGCCTTTGACATGGTTGCAAAACTCTTAGTCAACACAAGGTGCTGTTTTCTAGAGGGTCTCTACTTGAACTAACTGCTTGGGGGTTAGGGGAGAAACATGCCATGGTTTTTTAAAGAGATTTATGTTTTCATAATAAAATTCTCTTAAATTGAGCAAGCTCTGAGCACTCCACTGAATGAGTCATAATTTCAGTTATACAGGAAAGCAAATAGTTTGCTTACTAAAAATTACATTTCCAATAATGACTTTGAAAATGTAATTCCAAGAAGACTGAATCCTTAATATGAGACATACAAATGTGTGCTTCCCAAGTAAAAAATGTGATGGCAAATGATTATAACACTGTGAAAAACTATAAAAATGTAGTAAAGGTAAATATGCCAGAAGAGGAAAAATTTTACCTGGGAAAGTCCCAAATTGTATTGTACCTCTATAGGAGGGAGCACAGGGTACTAAGCAGGAAGCCTGACTGACCTGGTAAGCATTCAAAACTACATGTGTGATGAAGAAAATTTCATTATTTAACCAAATATACTCAATTTCACTGATCAGAATTCCATGATGATGTATTTGGATGGTTAAATAAATTCATGCTCAGATGGAATATGTGTTTTCATAATATTAACCATGAGGATTTCTTAGAACATCTGGATTTTTGCCTAGAACTTTTGGATTTTATTAGAAAACTAGGTAATGTGAGGACACTGCTTTGTGAAACTATAAATTCTTCTCTGGTTTTTTCACTCTTTCACATTACCCTTTACAAAATATTAACCTCAGGTTTATGAAAAGGAGTACTATTTTTCTTTCTTTCCTCTTTTTTTTTTTTTTTTTTAAATTTTTGAGACAGGGTCTTGCTCTGTCACCCAGGCTAGAGAGCTGTGGTGCAATCATAGTTCACTGCAACCTCGAATTCCTGTAATTCTGAAAAGGAGTGTTAAGGACTTCACTGGGCAGCTTCTAAACAAGCTGTGGAAATGAATTCACTGGCTTGTATGACCCCTTTAAGGTATAGACCCTAAGGGTTTATATTAAAGGAGCTACCAGCCTTGAAAAGAAATTTTAAATTGTGTTAGGTTGGGTAATTATTTCACTTTTCTCTAATTTTGAAGAAGAATCACTAACACTTTATGTGTTTTTTTTTTAAGTCTTGGACCTTTGTAAAAGAAGACAAGTTGTAAAAAAGCAAGTGTTCATACATTACCGTATAATTAATAAGACTTCTTAGATTTTAATAAAGAAAGAGAAAAGTTGATTTAGCTCTCAGGAAGGCAAGCATGACTTAACTTATCACCTGAGACTTCCAGTCAAATAAAAAATAAAATGACAAAAGTTAGGAAACAGAACGTAGAGAATCAACACTAATTCTCACATACAATTTTGCCATTAACTTTAACTTATCTGTACAAATTTGATTATACATCATTATTGATGCTTTTAAAATCCCAGCAATTTGGGCAGCCAAGGCAGAAAGTTCGCTTGAGCCCAGGAGTTCAAGACCAGCATGGGCAACGAAGGAGATCTCATCTCTACAAAAAATACAGAAAATTAGCTGGGTATGGTGGCATGTGCCTGTGGTCCCAGCAACTTGGGAGGCTGAGGCAAGAGGATTACTTGAGCCCAGAATGTCGAGGCTGCAGTGAGCCACGATCACACCACTGCACTCCAGCCTAGGCTACAGAGTGAGACTCTGTCTCAAAAAATAAAAAGATAAAATAAAATTAAGTAAATAACACTTTGCAAAATAATTTCCTTTCTCTCTTCTCACCCTTTAGGAAGAATTACTCTGCACTTGCCACTCTTAGCAACAGGGGTCTGCTTACTCATATGTCAAATAAAAGTGTCTACAGATTCTGTGGCCTCCCAAGTGCTTTTTAGCCCCAGAACACTGAGCACTGAGAGAGAACAGAAAGTGCCATCGGGAAGGAGCAGATACCAATCACTAAGGTAACCAGTCACTAAAACATGTTCTCTGCATAAATAAATATGAAGTTAAAATTTTCTGGGAGATCTCTTCCTGTAGAGAAAGTACTAAATGCTGAATTCCTATATTCAGTCACATACACAGAGACACCTGAGCACTGCCTATTTATCTGCACCGGTGATCTCTAAATGCTTTTGATTCATCACTCACAGTGATAAATGGCAAAGTATTGCACATTACTTATGAATTAGAAATGTATTATGCTCTACTATATCATAAGTATTACGATATATAAAAATAAAAAGTGAAGAAATAATGAGATTTAGAAATACATAGAAATAGGAGTTTTCATATTTTCTTTTTTTTCAAGATGGGGCCTCGCCCTGTTGCCCAGGATGGAGTGCAGTGGCACCTTCATAGCCCACCGCAGCAAGACCTCCTCCCACCTCAGCCTCCCAAATAGCTAGGACTACAGCTGCATGCCACCATGTACAGCTAATTTTTAAAAATGTTTGTAGAGACAAGAGTCTCACTATGTTGCCCAGGCTGGTCTTGAACTTCTGGCCACAAGTGATCTTCCTGCCTTGGCCTCTCAAGTGCTGCCATTTTGCCACCATACCCAGCCTAATCGTCATGTTCTCTTATCATAGAAAATCTACTTTTCTTGCTCATTCCCTGGGGACAAGCACTATTTCAGAGTTCTGGTCTAAACCACCCCATCATCACTTGTTCTTAAGATGCTTCTAATAATTATACTGATGTTAAGAAATACAGATCTATTACAATCTGCATCCTAAACATTTATAAATCACTTTCCAAAATATACTTCTTTTCCTTTAATAACACCACAGTTTGAAGAATACATTCTTTAAGTTGCCTTCAGAAAAGTTCAATATAACAATGTAGCTGAACCCTGATCCTCCTCAGAGCAGATTTTGCAGGTTTTGCAGATTGACATCAAATATTAAGTGTGCATTATGGAAGGGACGTCTTTGTTTCCTTATGAGATTTATAGCCCAATAGAAAGATGAGGAGGTTCAAGTTAGAGCAATTCCTCTTGCTTTTCCCTGGCAAAATAGCAAAATTAAGCGAGAACACTGTCTTTAGGACATCTAATAGCAAGAGGGAAAGTTCTAAACAGTAAATAATTGATATTTCCCAGATGGGAAACTCACTCAATAGCTAATTTTACAGTCATAAGGTACCCAGAAGCAAAGTCTAATTTTGTGTACTCTATTGGACTATATGAGGCAATTCTTTTCCAAGATCCTTTAAAAAAATTCACAATTTCTGTTTTTCCAAAGACTCTTGCAAAGGGCACACATCTGCTACCCAGCCGTTGCCACATCTGCCCCCCAATCCACATTCTCATTCCAAAAACACTCCCTGGACACAAGGACCTGGAATGTAAAGATTACAGTACTAGAAACAGGGTATCATAGCTTCACAAAGACCAACACAGCCACAAAAATATATAAGTTAAGGAGATAGTGATGAATCAGCAAAAATAGTGTCAATTTATCTTACTCAGCATCTGTCATATTAATCACATCAAATTCTTATGCTAATTATAATTAACGTATATTTCTATAAGTTTGTATTATTTCCTCTGTCAAATAAAAAAAAATTAACAGATTTGAAGATGGGTAACAATATAATAAAAGCTAGTAAAAATAAAGTTGTTTATTTGATTATTCTTATTAGCACACAGCTATCATTCTCCTATTCTCCTATGATACTATGCCATGACTCTGAATTTTTCATCTTCTACAAAATGATAAAGAAAAATATTTTTTTCCTAAGCTGGTTTATACAATGGTCACAAATATAATATTGTTTAGGACTCCACCCACATTCATTTTTATTTATACTTTTTGTATTTTTTTTGGTCTCAGATCATGAGGGCCACATACTGAATTGACACTGTTAGTTGTTTAAAATAACACTGATATGGTTTGGGCTGTGTTCCCACCCAAATCTCATCTTGAATTGTAGTTCCCATAATCCCCACCTGTCATGAAAGGGACCCTATGGGAGGTAATTGAATCATAGGAGTGGTTTCCCCCATGCTATTCTCATGATAGTGAGTAAGTTCTCATGAAATCTGGTGGTTTTATAAGGTTCTCATTCTTCTTCTCCCTGTCACTATGTGAAGAAGGACATGTTTGCTTCCCCTTTTGCTATGATTGTAAGTTTCCTGAGGCCTCCCCAACCATGTTGAACTATGAGTCTATTAAACCTCTTTCCTTTATAAATTACCCAGTCTCAGGTATGTCTTTATTAGCAGCGTGAGAATGGACTAATACAAACACATACAATACGACATCAGGCCTGAAAATATAAAACGTGTCACATAATACCTATATATTCCACAGTTGCCATAAGGCCTTGTTAGTTATATTTAAAAAGTGATAAGACAGCCTAAGATTAATGCATCACAAGTATATTTTTGTTATCATCACTATATCTCACTTTCTCCTGTAATAACAAACTTTCCATTTCTACTTAAGCCAGTTATACACTTTGAATAAGAGGTAGAAAAATGAGTGTTTCAGGACACAAGCTTATCTTATACGGAGTTAGAAATGTCTCAAATTCTCCTTCCCACATTCTACTAATTATGAAACTAAAAGATCTTCAGCAGAGTGATGCACCCTCCTTTCCCAGGGTCCTCATCCAGAGAGGATATACACTGGTACATCTAGACTGTAGATGTCCTCTGTACATCTACAGTGCACAGAGAGGTGTACACTGTATTTTTGACCAAAAGCAAAGCTTTGTTCATAAAAGTGTCCCCATCTTCATGGATATTAGTGGCTTTGTCTGGTTGAACCTTAATTAACAAATCAATAGAAACAGATAAATATTAGCCCTCTCTGAGATCTTACAGAACTTCAGAAAGTATTTTCTGTTCTAAAAATATTTAAGTAAGAAATTTGCGTCAAGGAAGAACAGTAAACAGCCAAAAAGTATAAAACTCTCTTAAAACTAAATTACACTAATGAGAATTTTAATAACACATTCCTACTCTAATTTTTACCATGTTTTTAATACTTCAAACTGAATTTTTTAAGAGAATGGTTTAGATTTATGGTAGCTGGTAAAAATGATCCATAATAGATTAGCACACTTACTTTTACCATTATTGTATTTTACTTAAAATTGGAGTTAGAACAATAGTAATAGTGGGAAATATAATTGCGAAAAAGAGAACTGAACTAATAGGCACATAGGACCTTACAGATACAACAATAAAGCAAATGGCAGTTGAAATAACACATATATCATAGAAGAGGAAAAGTTTTTAAAATTTGAGTAGAAAAACGTAGACACTTTAGGTCTACATGACCTATTTTAGGTTAAGTTAAAAAATGCTGTCCTAAGTTTGAAAATTAAGTGGGTAAATATCTTAGAGAAAAAAATATTTTACGTAGCCAAGAACTTCTTCTGAAGTTTGCAGCTGTTTTTAAAACTAAGGCAGAAAAGAGCCTAAGTAGAAAGGGCAAAGATAAGTTAAACCTGAATTCTTGTGCCACTAAAAATAATAATAATAGATTCATTTTTTTCCCCAAGATGGAAAAAATGATTAATGGCTTTTAGTGTGCTTCAGTCACTTGAAAATAGCAAGATAGTGCATAAAGATCAACCCCGTAAGCTTTAATTCAAGAAGGAAAATGAGAATTCACTGGAATCATGTAGGAAACCCCAGAACCCGGGGAGGAGAACATGGGCAAACAGCCCCCATGACAGCATCTGGCTGATAAAAGTGAGTGAACCCTCAGGATATGAGAGAGGCAGATAGCCTCCCTCTGTGACTCACCTTCCACTGGGATCCAAGCAACCCAGGCCAAGGGAGAAAGCTTGTTTCTCCCAAGCCCTGGAACTAACTTGGGGAGAGCTTGGAAATGCAGTGAGGGAAAGGCACTGGGAAAAGCTGCAGCCATTTTCCCAGACCTGGGACAGAGAGCAGGAGGCTATTTTTAATCTGGACAAACATAAAGTCAACAATTATGTGGTGACCCAGTAGTGTGCCCGCACAGGATTTTAGTCGTGGGCCAGAGACTGGAGTGCTTGCTCTCGAGTGGGGTAGGAGCTTCCACAGTCAAAACTGTGGAAAGTGCCTCAGCAGTAGGTGCTGGAATTGTGCTCTCCTCCGTCACAGGCCTGGGTAGGGTGGGGAATGCTGCTGCTGCTGCAGTTTCTCTTGGGCAAGGAGACTTGCAGGCAGGGGCAGAGTGGTGACCTGGTACCAATCTGTATGTGTCGTTACTGAGTGCCCAGGATGCTCCCCTGAGATTGTAGTGCAGTGGGCCCTTTCCACTGAAACCCCAGGGAGAACTCCAGGCATTCAGAACACCCACTTGCCTGGCTCAGCAGCCTAAGCTTCCCAATGCTTCCTGGACATAGATTGTTGTGCAGCAAACCCCTCTCCACTCCAACCCTAGGCAGAGCTCCAGGCATTTGGAGCACCTCCTCAACTGGATCAGCAGCCTGAATAGCTCTGCCCTTCCTGCGCATAGATCATGGTGCAGTGGGGCCCTCTCTGCTCCACACCCAGGCAGATCTCCAGGCATTCAGAGCATCTGTTTGCCTGGTTCAGCAGCCTGAGTCATCCCACCCCTCCTTTGAAGAGATCTTGGTGCAGGGGGGCACTCTCTGCTGCATGCCCAGGTAGATCTCCAGGCATCTGGAGCAACTACTCTCTTGGATTAAGAGTTTAGATCTCCCCCATCCCTGTATAGAGAACATGGGGTCAAGGAGTTCCCCAGCTCCATGCTTAGGCGCACTTCTGGACACTCAGTGGCCATGCACTGGATTTTCCCTCAGTGCTAGTGCCTGTACCTGCCATCAGGGGACCTGTATGCAAACCTGCCAAGCCCAGCCCTGCCTATCGTGGCCTCCCCTGGCCTGAGCAGAGAGCTCAAAACACTGAGCAATCCAAAAATCAGCCCATTGCCTTATGCAACAGAAAGATATTCCCGTTAAAAAAGGATTAAGTACATACCCAGCCTCACTGGCCACAGCTGGCTCTTACCCATAAGTGCCATCTACTGGCTTATAAGTTGACAGCATAGCTCAAGATAAAACCTGCTGAGAGAAGTACATAGGGCTATAGCAGCAAAGTCAAAATACCCTGCCCAGTATTCTCTACAGTCACACCCCGTGTAAAAAGCAGGGGAGAGGAGGAAAGAAAAGAGGAACATAGCAACATTATAGAGAAAGAAAGAAAAATAAAAATATGCTATTCATATAAAAATAATTACAATAATTAGAAGTGGCAGTGTCTCCAGATGAGAAAGAACCAGGGCAAGAATTCTGGCACCATGAAAAAATCTGAATGTAGTGACACCACCTAAGGATCACAATAGCTACCCAGCAATGGCCCCAAACCAAAATGGAAACTCAGAAATGACAGATAAAGAATTCAAAGCATGGATTGCAAGGAAGCTTAACAAAAGCCAGTACACAGTTGAAAATCAACACAAAGAAATTTCTAAAACAATCTAGGAAGTGTAAGAGATAAACATATTAAAATAAATCAATCAGAGCTTCTGAAATTGAAAAACTCACTTAAGGAATTTCAAACTAAAACTGAAAGCTCTATCAACAGACTGGACCAAAGAGAAGAAAGAATTTCAGAGCTTGAACTCTAATCTTTTGAACTAACACAGTCAGACAAAAATAAAGAAAAAAGAATTGTAAGAAGTAAAGAAAGTCCTTCAGAAATACAGGATTATGTAAAGTGGCAAAATCTAAAAAAATTATTGGCATTCCTGAGAGAGACAGAGATAAAGAAAACAACCTGGAAAACATATTTGAAGGAATAATTCAATAATATTTCCCTAATCTTGCTAGAGAGGTGACATTCAGATACAAGAAATCCAGAGAACACCTGTGAGAACTATACAAAACAAACATCACCAAGGCATACAGTCACCAGACTGCCTGAGGTCAATGCTAAAGAAAAGATCTTAAAGGGAGCTACAGACAAAGGTCAAATCATATATAAGGGGAACACCATCAGACTAATAGTGGATTTCTCAGCACAAACCTGACAAGCCAGGAGAGACTGGGGTTTTTTTTCAGTATTTTTAAAGAAAAGAAATTTCAACCAGTAATTTTATATTCCACCAACCTAAGCTTCAGAAGTAAAGAAGAAATAAAATATTTTTTCCAGACAAGCAAGCATTAAGGGAATTTGTTACCACTACATTAACCTTACAGGAGATACTTAAGGGAGTTCTAAACATGGAAAAAAGAAATGATACCTGCTACCACAAAAACACACTTAAGTATATAGCCCACAGAGGTTATAAAGCAAGCACAAAGTAGAAACTACAAAGCAACCAACTGACAACTACATAATCGGATCAAAACCTAACATATCAATATTAACCTTGAATGTAAATGGTCTAAATGCCCTCGCTTAAAAGGCACAGAGGGACAAGTTGGAAACACAATCCAAGACCTATCCATCTGCTGACTTCAAGAGACCCATCTCACAGATAAAGACATCCTTAGGCTCAAAGAAAAGGGTTGAAGAAAGATCTGTCACACAAACAGAACATGAAAAAGAGTAGAGGTCACTGATTTATATCAGATAAAACAGACTTTAAGCCAACAACAGTAAAAAAGGACAAAGTAAGGTATTACATAAGGATAAGAGGTTCGATTCAACAAGAAGACTTAACTATCCTAAATATTTATGCACCCAACATTAGACCACCCAGATTCATAAAACAGGCTCTTCCAGATCTATGAAAAGACTCAGCTAGCCATATAATAAGAGTGAGGGACCTCAACACTGCACTGCCAGCATTAGAAAGATCATCAAGGCAGAAAACTAAGAAGTTCTGGGCTTAAATTCAACACTTGACCAAATGGACTTAACAGACATCTACAGAATACTCCATCCATCAACCACAGAATATACATTTTTCTCATCTGCACATGGAACATATCTGAAGATCAACCACATGCTCAGCCATAAAGCAAATCTCAATAAATTTAAAAAAATTAAAAGCATACCAACCATACTCTCAGACTACAGTGGAATTACAATAGAAGTCAATACCAAGAAGATCTCTCAAAACCACACAATTATACAGAAATTAAACAACTTGCTCCTGAATGAATGTTGAGTAAACAAGAAAATTAAACTAGAAATTAAAAAAATTATTTGAGATAAATGAAAACAGAAACACAATATACAATATACAGCAAAAGCAGTGTTAAGAGAGAAGTTTATATTGCCAAATGCCTACCTCAAAAAGTTAGAAAGATCTCAAATTAAAGATCTAACATCACACCTAAAGGAACTAGAAAAACAAGAAGAAACTAACTCCAAAGCTAGCAGAAGTGACTAAAGTTAGAAGAGAAAAAAAATAAAAGAATAAAATCAGAGCAAAACTAAATGAAATTGAGACTCAAAAATCCATGCAAATAATAAAACCAAAGGTTGGTTCTTTGAAAGGATAAGCAAGATCAATAGACAGCTAGATTAACAAAGAAAAAAATGAGAGAAGATCCAAATAAGCACAATCAGAAATGACAAAGGTAACATTACAACTGGTCCCACAGAAGTCCAAAAGATTCTCAGAGACTATCATGAACATTTC
Source organism: Homo sapiens (assembly GCF_000001405.40). Classification (NCBI taxonomy): domain Eukaryota; kingdom Metazoa; phylum Chordata; class Mammalia; order Primates; family Hominidae; genus Homo; species Homo sapiens. The sequence continues at coordinate 215,179,141 of NC_000001.11, read as the reverse complement.
TATGCACACAAATTAAAAAATATAGAGGAAATAAATAAATTCCCATAAACACACAATCTCCCAAGACTGAATCAGAAAGAAATTAAAACCCTGAACAGACTAATATTGACTTCCAAAATGGAATCAGTAATTAAAAAAAAAAATCTACCAACCAAAGGAATCCCTGGACTAGGTTAATTCACATTCAGATTCTACCAGATGTACAAAGAAGAGCTGGTACAAATCCTACTAAAACTCTTTCCAAAAAATTGAAGAGGAGGGACTCCTCCCTAACTCATTCTATGAAGCAAGCATCACTTTGATAACAAAATATGGCAAAAGACACAATAACAAGAAAAACTATAGGCCATTATCCTTGATGAATGTAGATGCAAAAATCTTCAACAAACTGAGTCCAACAGCACATCAAAAAGTTAGTTCAACATGATCAGGTAGACTTCATTCCTAGAATGCAAGGTTGGTTCACCATATACAGATCAATAAATGTGATTCCCACATAAATGGAATTAAAAACAAGAACCATACTATCATCTCAATAGATGTGGAAAAAGCTTTTAATAAAATATAACATCCCTTCCTGATAAAAATCCCCAAGAAATTAGGCATTGATGAAACATATGTCAAAATAATAAGAGCCATCTATGGCAAACCCACAGTCAACAGCATACTGCATGGGCAAAAACTGGAAGCATTCCCCTTGAAAACAGAAAGAAGGTAAGGATGCCTACTCTCACCACTCCTATTCAACATACTACTGGGAGTCCATGCCATAGCAATCAGGCAAAAGAAAAAAATAAAAGCATCCAAATAGGAAAAGAAGAAGTTAAACTATCTTTCTTCACTAACAATATGACTCTATACTTAGAAAACCTTAAAAATTCTGCCTAAAGGCTCCTGTAATAAACAACTTCAGTAACATTTGAAGATACAAAATCAATGTACAAAAATCAGTAGCATTTTGTATACCAATAACATTCAATATCAGAGCCAAATTAAGGACACAATCACATTTATAATAGCCACAAAAAAACAGGAATACATCTAGCCAAGGAAGTGAAGGATCTCTACAAGAACTACACAACACTGTTTAAAGAAATTATAGGTAACACAAAAAATAGAGAAATATTCCATATTCATGGATTGAAAGAATCAATATTTTTAAAAGTACCATACTGTCCAAAGCAATCTATAGACTCAACGCTATTTCTATTAAGCTACCAATATCGTTTTTCGCAAAGCTAGAAAAAGCTCTTCCAAAATTCATATAGAATCAAAAAGGAGCCTGAACAGTCAAAGTAATCCTAAAAAAAAAAAGCTGGAGACATCACATTACTCGACTTCAAACAACACTACAAGGGTAGAGTAACCGAAACAGCATGGTACTGCTACAAAAAAAAAAAATATATATATATATATATACACATATATATATAGGCCAGTGGAGCAGAATAGAGAACCCAGAAATAAACCACACACCTACAGTCATGTGATGTTTGACAAAGTCAATAAAAATTAGTAGTGAGGAAAGGATTCCCTATTCAATAAATGGTGCTGGGATAGCTAGCTAGCATATAAAGAAGGATGAAACTGGACCCCTAACTTTCACCATATACAAAAATTAACTCAAGATGGATTAAATATTTAAATGTAAGACCTCAAACTATAAGAATCCTAGAAGAAAATTTAGGAAACACTATTCTGGACATCAGCCTTGGGAAAGAATTTGTGACTATGTCCTCAAAAGCAATTTCAACTAAAACAAAAATTGACAAATAGGACCTAATTAAACTAAAGTGCTTCTGCACAGCAAAAGAAACTATCAACAGAGTAAACAGACAACCTATAGAATTGGATAAAATAAGTATAACCTATGCATCTGACAAAGGTCTAACATCCAGAATCTTAAAGGAATTTAAACAAATCAACAAGCAAAAAACAACACAATTAAAAAGTGGGCAAAGCACTAAAAAGTGGGCAAAAGACATGAATAGACACTTCTCAAAAGAAGACATTCATGTGGCCAAGAAACATATGAAAAAAAACTCAACATCAGTGATCATTAGAGAAATGCAAATCAAAACCACAATGAGCTACCATTCCATGCCAGTCAGAATGACTATTATTAAAAATTTAAGAAACAACAGATGCTGCCAAGGCTGTGGAGAAATAAAAACGCTTTTACACTGTTGGTGGAAATGTAAATTAGTTCAACCATTGTAGAATACAATGTGATTATTCCTCAAAGACCTAGAACCAAAAATACCACTGGGCCCAGCAATCCCATTACTGGGTGTATACCCAAAGGAATATAAATCATTCTATTATAAAGATACATGCACACATATGTTCATTGCAGCACTATTCACAATAGCAAAGACAAGAAATCAACCCAAATGCCCATCAGTGATAGACTGGATAAAGAAAACCTGGTACATATATACCATGGAATACTATGAAGCCATAAAAAGGAATGGGATGATGTCCTTTACAGGGACATGGTTGGAGCTGGAAGCCATTATCCTCAGCAAACTAACACAAGAACAGAAAACCAAACACCACATATTCTCACTTACAAGTATGAGCTGATCGATGAGAACACATGGACACATTGGGGGAACAACACACACTGGGGTCTGTCAGCGGTGCAGGGGTGGGAAAGCAACAGGAAGAATAGCTAATAGATTCTGGGCTTAATATCTAGGTGATGGGTTGATCTGTGCAGCAAATCACCATGGCACACGTTTGCCTATGTAACAAACATTCATATCCTGCACATGTACCCCTGAACTTAAAATAAAAGTTGAAGAAAAAAAAGTGGGCAAAGGGCATGAACAGACACTTATCAAAAGAAGACACACAAGTTTCTAACAAACATATAAAAAAATGCCCCACATCACTAATCATCAGAGAATTGAAAATCAAAACCACAATGAGATATCATCTCATAGCAGTCAGAAAGGCTATTTTTAAAAAGTCAACAAATAATAATGCTGGTAAGGCTCTGGAGAAAAGAGAATGCTTACACACTGACGGTGGGAATGAAAATTAGTTCAGCCTCTGTGGAAATCAGTTTGGAGACTTCTCAAAGAACTAAAACAGAACTACCGTTCAGCACAGCAATCCTATTACTGGCTATATATGCAAAGGAAAAGAAATCTAACAAAAAGTCACATACACACATGTGTTTATCAGAGCCCTATTCACAATAGCCAAGGCATGGAATCAATCCAAGTGTCCATCAGTGGTGGATTAGGTAAAGAAAATGTGGTATATACACACCACGGAATACTTTGCAGTCATAAAGGAGAATAAAACCATGTCCTTTACAGCAACATGGATGCAGCTGGAGACCATTATCCTAACTGAATTAATGCAAGAACAGAAAACCAAATACCCTATGTTCTCACTTATAAGTGGGAGCTAAACAATGGGTACTCATGGACATAAAGATGGCAACAACAGACACTGGGGACCACTAGAGTGGGAAGGGAGGGAAGGGGGCAAGGGTTGAAAAGCTAACTATTGGGTACTAAGCTTGGTACCTGGGTGATGGGATCAATCTTACCCCAAACCTCAACATCGCACAATATACCCAGGTAACAAACCTGCACATACACCACCATATCTAAAATAAAAGTTGAAATTATTTAAGAAAAAAATCAAAATATGTGCTTAACAAAACAAAAAAAAAATCAGAGGCAGACATTTGGTATCAAAAATTAGAGAGGAAATGTAAAATTCTGAACAACCAGTGATTATATTCCCTTCATTAAATAAAAATAAATATTTAACTCCACCTTTCTGTATACCTTCAGTGTCACAGAGTCACTATTTGTCTTTGCCACTGTTATGGGCTGAATTGTGTCCTCCAAGATATGTTGAAGTCCTAATCTCCAGTACCTCAGTAGGTAACCTGATTACCTCAATAGATGCAGAAAAGGCCTTTGACAAAACTAAACAGCCCTTCATGCTAAAAACTCTCAATAAATTAGGCATTGATGGGACGTATCTCAAAATAATAACAGCTATTTATGACAAACCCACAGCCAATATCATACTGAATGGGCAAAAACTGGAAGCATTTCCTTTGAAAACTGGCACAAGACAAGGATGCCCTCTCTCATCACTCCTATTCAACATAGTGTTGGAAGTTCTAGCCAGGGCAATCAGGCAGGAGAAAGAAATAAAGGGTATTCAATTAGGAAAAGAGGAAGTCAAATTGTCCCTGTTTGCAGATGACATGATTGTATATCTAGAAAACCCCATCGTCTCGGCCCAAAATTTCCTTAAGCTGATAAGCACCTTCAGCAAAGTCTCAGGATACAAAATCAATGTGCAAAAATCACAAGCATTCTTATACACCAATAACAGACAAACATCCAAATCATGAGTGAACTCCCATTCACAATTGCTTCAAAGAGAATAAAATATCCAGGAATCCAACTTACAAGGGATGTGAAGGACCTCTTCAAGGAGAACTACAAACCACTGCTCAACAAAATAAAAGAGGATGCAAACAAATGGAAGAACATTCCATGCTCATGGATAGGAAGAATCAATGACATGAAAATGGCCATACTGCCCAAGGTAATTTATAGATTCAATGCCATCCTCATCAAGCTACCAATGACTTTCTTCACAGAATTGGAAAAAACTACTTTAAAGTTCATATGGAACCAAAAAAGAGCCCGCATTGCCAAGTCAATCCTAAGCCAAAAGAACAAAGCTGGAGGCATCACACTACTTGACTTCAAACTATACTACAAGGCTACAATAACCAAAACAGCATGGTACTGGTACCAAAACAGAGATATAGACCAATGAAACAGAACAGAGCCCTCAGAAATAATAGCACACATCTACAACTATCTGATCTTTGACAGACCTGACAAAAACAAGAAATGGGGAAAGGATTCCCTATTTAATAAATGGTGCTGGGAAAACTGGCTAGCCATATGTAGAAAGCTGAAACTGGATCCCTTCCTTACACCTTATACAAAAATTAATTCAAGATGGATTAAAGACTTAAATGTTAGACCTAAAACTGTAAAAACCCTAGAAGAAAACCTAGGCAATACCGTTCAGGACATAGGCATGGGCAAGGACTTGATGTCTAAAACACCAAAAGCAATGGCAACAAAAGCCAAAATTGACAAATGGGATCTAATTAAACTCAAGAGCTTCTGCACAGCAAAAGAAACTACCATCAGAGTGAACAGGCAACCTACAGAATGGGAGAACATTTTTGCAATCTACTCATCTGACAAAGGGCTAATATCCAGAATCTACAATGAACTCCAACAAATTTACAAGAGAAAAACAAACAACCCCATCAACAAGTGGGCAAAGGATATGAACAGACACTTCTCAAAAGAAGACATTTATGCAGCCAAAAGACACATGAAAAAATGCTCATCATCACTGGCCATCAGAGAAATGCAAATCAAAACCACAATGAGACACCATCTCACACCAGTTAGAATGGCGATCATTAAAAAGTCAGGAAACAACAGGTGCTGGAGAGGATATGGAGAAATAAGAACACTTTTACACTGTTGGTGGGACTGTAAACTAGTTCAACCATTGTGGAAGTCAGTGTGGCAATTCCTCAGGGATCTAGAACTAGACATACCGTTTGACCCAGCCATCCCATTACTGGGTATATACCCAAAGGATTATAAATCATGCTGCTATAAAGACACATGCACATGTATATTTATTGCGGCACTATTCACAATAGCAAAGACTTGGAACCAACCCAAATGTCCAACAATGATAGACTGGATTAAGAAAATGTGGCACATATATACCATGGAATACTATGCAGCCATAAAAGAGGATGAGTTCATGTCCTTTGTAGGGACATGGATGAAGCTGGAAACCATCATTCTCAGCAAACTATCGCAAGGACAAAAAACCAAACAGTGCCTGTTCTCACTCATAGGTAGGAATTGAACAATGAGAAAACCTGGACACAGGAAGGGGAACATCACACACCAGGGCCTGTTGTGGGGTGGAGGGAGCGGGGAGGGATAGCATTAGGAGATATACCTAATGTAAATGACGAGTTAATGGGTGCAGCACACCAACATGGCACATGTGTAACAAACCTGCACGTTGTGCACATGTACCCTAGAACTTAAAGTATAATAAAAATATATATATTTTAAAAAATAATAGTAATAAGATTCTTAGGCCGGGCGTAGTGGCTTGTGCCTGTAATCCCAGCACTTTCAGAGGCTGAGGCACCTAAGTTCAGGAGTTCAAGACCAGCCTGATCAACATGGTGAAACCCCATCTCTCCTAAAAATACATCAATTAGCTGGGCCTAGTGGCACACGCCTGTAATCCCAGCTACTCAGGAGGCTGAGACAGGAGAATCACTCGAACCCAGGAGGCAGAGTTTGCAGTGAGCCAATATCGTGCCAGTGCACTCCAGCCTGGGTGACAGAGCAAGACTCTATCTCAAAAATAAATAAATAAATAAATAATAATAGAAGGCTCCTGTAAATGTAATTAGTTAAGATGTGGTTATGTTATACTTGCGTAGGATGGGCCTATAATATAATTTGACTGGTATGCTTATAAGCAGAAGGGAATTTGGCTGCAGAGACAGAGAGGCACAAGAAGAAAAACATGTGTTGAAGGAGGTAGAGATGGGAGTGATACAGCTGCAAGCCAAGAATTGCCAAGGACTGATGACCTCTACCAGAAATTAGGAAGAGGCTAAGAAAAATTCTACTGAGTCTGAGAGGGATCATGGCCCTGCTGGTACCTTGATTTCCAACTTCTGTGAGACAATGAATTTGCTTTGTTTAAAGCCACCCACTTTATGGTACTTGGGTATGTCAGCCCTAGAAAACTCATACAGCCCTTGTGTTTCGTTATAAACCTAAGTGAAAAATCTATCTAATAAACCCCTGTTAGAAGAGTAACATGGATGCCAGGAAAAGCTTACCTGCAACGTAGTCACCAAATCCAATAGTTGTTAGAGTGATAACCACAAAATAAATGGCGTCCAGGGCACTCCAGCCTTCTATGTGTTTGAATATGATCGCAGGCAGAGCCACAAAGAGTACACAGCCAAATAGTATAAATATGATTGTTGAGATGATGCGAATCTTGGTCTGACTAACATTCCACTTCTAGGGATGAGACAGAAAGGTGTGTGTATATATATATATGTATATAAATGGGGGGAGAGAGAGAGAGAGAGAGAGACAAAGAGAGAGAGAGAGAAATTACTTGTATACCCACAAAGTTAACCTATACACTATTATGAGCAAATTAGCAAGTAAGCATGTTATTTTATTTTCTTTTACACTTAGTTTTTAATTGTCTTTACTTATGAAAATTAGGTATCATCAATAAATCAATCAATGCTAACAATGATGCTACTTTATCCTCACATAGCTTTACAACAGGTGAAATTCTTTTGAAAGGGTAAATTACATTTGCCCTGAGAATGCAATTTTAGATTTGCATCATTATTTGTTTACCTAGAGTACTTCTGAAATATTTCTATTCTATAATCATACATACAACTGATTTCAGGCCAAATACAATCCAGAACCATATGAAAATGGAGACACTGAAACAAGAATTAAGTATTTACAATTGTTCATTGATAAACATTAATTTCATAAAGTTTTTTTCTGTCACTTCCATCACTTTTTCTTATCATCAATTTAATTGATTACAGCATAATACTAACAGCTTAACCTTCACAGTTTGATTCCAACATGAACCAGGTGAATTCTCTGTTCTATGATACTAAATTGTATAACTAACAAAGCTATAAGATCAGCAGGTAAGGATAAGTCTTCAATATCCCTAGGCCATAGCTGTCATCAGAATACCCATTTTTTAAAACTCCTTCTCCAGTAAAAAAATCTCTATAGTGTAATGCATTAAATGAAGTTGGTATATATACAACAGTTTATATCCAGATTTCTATTCGAGGCTAGTTACCATATATTTTAAATCTGACTGGATCTGTCCTATTTACTGTAAAAAATATAGGTCACAAACTACACCATCTGAAAATCACTGAATGTTAGAGCTTGAGAATTTTTAAAGACCTATGAAATCACAGAATGGAAAGGGTACATAGACATTCCTCTAGTCAACCATCCTCATCTTACCTGTGAGAGTTAAATGAGTTCATGTTTACAAAGATTATACAATAGTGCTTGGTACCAAACACTGAACCATGATTACTGGAATGTCATCACCATAAGGGCATGGAACTTTTTTTATGCACTGGTATATATGCAACATAAAAAATATTACCCAGCATCTAGGAGGCACTAAAAAATTTGTTGAATGAATGAACGAAGAATTCAACATTACCATGTTTATGCCGTCAATCTGCCCTCTTGATTAATATAAACAGATAATTCTTTTAAATAAAAGTATAATACAAAAAAAGAATAAAACTCCAATTTTGGAATAACTGTGTGATTCTATTTCAACACAATGTTGAACAAAATGCTTGAGATCTAACTTTGATCTTAAATCATGACTAGTGCTAAAACTGGAACTGTAATCCAAATTGAGAAAACAATACTCGATATTTTATTTCATCAGTAGAGTTAAATGTAAATATTTTGTTGAACTTTGTGTGAAAGTATAAAACATTACTAAACAATGAACAAAATTTATTTGCAACAGTGGTGCTAGAAGTAACAAATCCTTTATAATCCCACCCTCTAACAGGAACAGTTACTTTTTCCATAATTTTCTTCCAAGAACTCAAGTTTATCATCATAGTATTCTTATTTTTCACTTAAAATTCTAACAAAAGCATTTTCATTTTTTGTTGACTATAATACAACTTGAAAATCTCCATGTATTCTACACCTTTGGTTCTACTAAATTACATTGTGTAGATACATTCCTATCAATGGCATTACTGAATTAAGTTATATGATCACCTTTATTATGTTTGTTATTTAGACTACATCTTTCCCAAAGGGGCTTTATAAGGGTATCAAAACAAATTTTAAAATAATAAAGTACAGTCAGTCATTTACTACTTATGTTAAAGTTAAATTTATAATGCCACCTACCCTCAGAGTGATGCCTCCATAGTACCATTATTCAAGTTATACAAATAAGAAAATGTAGGTTTGATGGGATAATAACTAGTTTAAGAGAATATAGCTGGGAGACACTACATATGAAATTTAAATCTGGCTGGGCACGGTGGCTCAAGCCTGTAATCCCAGCACTTTGGGAGCCCAAGATGGGCAGATCATTGGAGGTCGGGAGTTCAAGATCAACCTGGCCAACATGGTGAAACCCCATCTCTACTAAAAAATACAAAATTAGCCAGGCATGGTGGCGGGTGCCTATAATTCCAGCTACTCAGGAGGCTGAGGCACGAGAATTGCTTGAACCTGGGAGGTGGAGGTTGCAGTGAGCCAAGATTGCACCCATTGTACCATTGCACTGCAGCCTGGGCAACAGAGCAAGACTCTGTCTCAAAAAAAAAAAGAAAGAAAAAGAAAAAAGTAAAAGAAATTTGAATCTAAGACTTTTGAATTCCTACTTTTTTCTGTTTATACTTTTGAGTTTTTCTCATGCATCAATTTATTCATTCAGATTAAGTATAAACATAATTAAAAAACAGTGAGTTACATGCCAGTAGAGATGCATATAAATTGTTATGGAAGCCCTAATAATTGAATGTCTAATTGTATCTGAGGTGACAGAAAAGATATAATTTTTTAAAAAAATCAAACAATAAATATACGTAGTTAAATATCTATCATACTCACAATAAACGTATCTTCCACTTTGGCAATTCCTTTTCCAAATATGGTGCCTAGCTGATCTCCAACTCCAGCCAAGAGAAAACCAAAGAGGGGAATTCCCAGTAAGGCATAGATGATACAGAATATTTTGCCGCCTTCTGTGCGTGGTGAGATGTTTCCAAATCCTTTAAAAAAATTACATTGTTTACAAATGAATAATAGTTGTTTAAAACATATGAACTCAAGATTGATTCAGAAACTCCAAAAAATTGCAAGATATCAATAATTGATTTTGACTAGTTAAGAATACGTTTGTATTACATACTATTGTAATATGTTCTAATATAAGATATTCTTATAAGCAAATATTTCAAAAATATACAAAGTATAGTTAATATTCCAATTAAACTGTGAGATGATGAAAACTGAGGTGACGACACATGCAATAATGTTTTCATTATCATTATTATTTTTTCAAAATCATATTTTCATTAAATATTTCTTTTTTCTTTCTTTTTTTGCTTTAAGTTCTGGGATACAATTGCAGAATGTGTAGGTTTGTTACCTAGGTATACATGTGCCATGATGGTTTGCTGCACCTCTCAACCCATCATCTAGGTTTTAAGCCCTGCATACATTAGCTATTTGTCCTAATGCTCTCCCTCCCCTTCCCACCACCCCTTACTGGTCCCAGTGTGTGTTGTTCCCCTCCCTGTGTCCATGTGTTCTCACTGTTCAACTCCCACTTATGAGCGAGAACATGTGGTGTTTGGTTTTCTGTTCCTGTGTTAGTTTGCTGAGGCAGATGGCTTCCAGCTTCATCCATGTCCCTGCAAAGGACATGATCTCATTCCTTTTTATGGCTGCATAGTATTCCATGGTGTATATGTACCACATTTTCCTTATCCAGTCTATCATTGATGGGGATTTAGGTTGGTTCCATGACTTTGATATTGTAAATAGCGCTGCAATAAACATATGTGTGCAAGTGTCTTTATAGTAGAATGATTTATAATCCTTTGGGTATATACCCAGTAATGGGACTGCTGTTCTAATGGTATTTCTGGTTCTACATCCTTGAGGAATCACCACACTGTCTTCCACAAAGGTTGAACTAATTTACATTTCCACCAACAGTATAAAAGTGTTCCTATTTCTCCACAGCCTCTGTTGTTTCTTTACTTTTTACTAATCGCCATTCTGACTAGCATGAGTTGGTATCTCATTGTGCTTTTGATTTGTATTTCTCTAATGATCAGTGATGTTGAGCTGTTTTTCATATGTTTTTTGGCCACATAAATGTCTTCTTTTGAGAAGTGTCTGTTCATATCTTTTGCCCAGTTTTTTATCGGTTTTTTTTCTTGTTAATGTGTTTAAGTTCCTTGTAGATTCTGGATATTAGACTTGTTAGATGGGTAGATTGCAAAAATTTTCTTCCATTCTGTAGGTTGCCTGTTTGCTCTGATGACAGTTTCTTTTGCTGTGAAGAAGCTCTTTGGCTTAATTATACTCCATTTTTCAATGTTGGCTTTGGTTGCAACTGCTTTTGGCACATTAAACTTACTTCTATCTCTCTATTGCTGATAATCCTGTTGACTATAAAGCTTTCATTATCATTCAGAACACACTGAGAATACTATATTGCCTTAATTCGAGAGTATTCAGATATGCTTAAGTTATTTAAAGATTAAAGTTTAGTAGCAACTTTAAAGTATTTTTATTCAATATTTACCAAAAAGCAATATCTAAAAACTTAAAATTATTAAACTTCTTTAAAGTTTTAAAGATCTTAAAGCCTTTCCAGTTTTGTGCAAGGATATCTACTTGTTACTATTCAAGTAGCTCAACTTCATTTACTTTTAATAGCAGAAGCACTGTCTACACATATATGCTTGGGTTAAAAAATATACTTCTAGAAGTACATAGAGTACCTCTTTTGATCAGCAAACCTCTTACTGTCCTTCATATTAAATTAATTTGGAACTTTGATTTTAGTTATCTGTTACTCAAAAATGTGAGCAGATATTTTGGGATTGGTTTTTTTTTTTTGTCGTTGTTACTTTACTTTCCAGTTTAATGACCATTGTAGTTCAAAGATTATGGGCCGTGTGATTTTTACTTGTTGGAATCCATTGAGATTTTCCTTGTGGCTTTATTATGGTCAATTTTTGTATTTATTTCATTGTTATTTGAAAAGAAAATGAATGTTCTATTTGTCTGATACAAAAAGAACATGGAGTGAGGGTGAGCTAATGTTTAGTCACTTTAACCCACATATTTTCCCCTACAATATTTCCATCTTTCTCTTCCTCCTACTCAAACAGTTAGTCAATTCCGTGTTCATTGCTAGTCAACTCATCTACTGAGGGATTTGTTTTCAATGTATCTAATGTTCAAGAACTTTGACTTTTTTTTTCCATTAGCCTGTTCTTATGCCATGAAAATAATAATTATATTAATTTCTTTTTCAGTGTTGAACCACGTAGTAACTCAATTCCTTGAGAGAAATCCTACACTTTCTTTACTTAGGACAATTTCTACGAGTAGTTGAAAATTCCTGGTCATATCCTCATACTTGTAAGCAAAATACAATACTAGATTGGTTAGTATTTTAGTAGAAATTTATTTTCTAGCCTTAGTGGGAACCATGATTTTTCTGGTGGTATATGGAAGATTCTGGTTCAAGGAGCCCAGGCTGAAGTAGTGCTGGTGAAGGAGGGGAGACTGGAGTCTGGACTTTCATGTAGGAGTGCATTGTACAGGATTTCTGGGGACAGGTTCTCCCAATTCTCAAAGCAGCCACCAGTGTACAGCTGCCTTACTGTTTCTCAGGCCTGCTGCCTGCTCTGGGAATATCTGTAACACAGCTCTGTTTGGAAAACACAGCTTGATTCTGGAGGCAAAGACTGGAGGCAGCTACCAAAAAGTTAGGATTAGTGGTTCCACAGAACTTGAACTAATTTATAGGCTGACTGCCCTTGGACCCATTTCTGCTTTTAATTTTGGTGACTTTATGAAGTTCTCTTGGAAATTTTCATCTTTTGAATCCTCTGTTTTGCTTCTATGGGGGATGTGGGCTCCTCAACTCAAAAAGAGTTCATGGTCCCTCTGCATCGGTATGACTCATAACATCCCCAGATCCACTCCTGTTGTGTCAGTCACAATGCTTTCCCTGCCCTCGAGCACACTATGGAAATTTTCAATAATTATTTTTCTATGTCTCTGTCATCTCAATGCAACTTTTTGGTGATGTGAGGTAACTGCATGTTTACATAACAAGGAATTCAATATCTGAATTTACTGAAATCTTTTAAGATGTTAGATATCGATTATCTAACAAAAATTCCACGGTTTACAATAAGGCAATCACACATCATGTTGTTTAAAACCATTTTACGTTAGAGCCTAAAATTAACTGATTGAAAGATATCAGTCAAGAGAAAACCTAGCAAGAGTTTAGCAGTATATTATAGCCATTCCTGGAACCATCATTCCTTAGTTATGTGACCTTGGGCAAATTATTTCCTCATCTGTTAACAGGGCATATTGTTATTACATACTTCATTGAGTTTTAAGTCCTAAAATTAACTGATTGAAAGACATCAGTCAAGACAAAACCTAGTAACAGTTTAGCAGTATATTATAGCCATTCCTGGAACCATCACTCCTTAGTTACCTGGGCAAATTATTTCCTCATCTGTTAAAAAGGCATATTGTTACTACATACTTCATTGAGTTTTAAGTACCAAATAAAGTACTATGTGAAAAGTGCTTACTCTATTATACTATATGTGCTCAATATATGTTAGGTATGATAATAATTCTTATAATCACTATTAATAATAATATTTGTAGAAGCAAAGGTTAGAGGATCAGTGTATTTAGCCTCATCAGTATGCAAACTATTTAATAGCCAGGTTAATGCAGTCATGATTACACATTGTTCTTCCACTATGTTCTGAATGTTTTGTCAAATTATAGATGCCATTCTTTATAAGGGACAATGGCAAAATAGCATGCTGTATGCTAAGGCAACTTTTCACATATAAAAGTTGAAGGAATTGGAGGTGTTTGTGCTGAAGAAAAGAAGGCTGAGAGTAGAAAGATGCAGGCTAGCTGATTCCAACTATGTGAATGATTAAAACATGGAAAAGGAAACAGACCTATTCTGATGCTTCAAGGCAAAGAACAAATCAATTGGTGCAAGCTATGGAAAGCAAGCTCATGCTAAAGTAACTGTGGCCAAAATAGAGTAAAGGACTATAAGAGTCAGACAAAAGCCAGATAATCACTTGCAGTGTGTAATACTTTGGACTGATGGTCTTCTAGGATTCCTTATGATACAAAGTTGTAATGAATCAGTAGGCAAATGTACATGCATAGTAAGAGTAAGGTTCTCTAATATCTGCTTTTGCCATGGATTACAATTACTCATTCATACATTCAAAATTTTTTATTAAGCATCTACTATTTGCCAGGCACTCTGCTAAGCACTAGGGCTGCAGCTATGAAGTAGACAGACCTGATCTCTCAAGTTGACAATCCAGTGAGGACACCTGCAAGAGACTGATACAAACGTGTGATAAGTGTGTGCCACAGAAAGTACAGAATGTTCCTGATGCACAGGATGTAAGAGAATGAGACATGCTGCACACGATAAGTGACCCTGAAGCTGTGATCTGAATCTGAGTAGAAGTTACTCAGGTAGCATAAATAATGAAATTAAGACAGAAATAAATAAGTTCTTTGAAACCAATGAGAACAAAGACACAATGTACCAGAATCTCTGGGACACGGCTAAAGCAGTGTATAGAGGGAAATTTATAGCACTAAATGCCCACAGGAGAAAGTGGGAAAGATCTAAAATCAACACCCTAACATCACAATTAAAAGAACTAGAGAAGCAAGAGCAAACACATTCAAAAGCTAGCAGAAGACAAGAAATAACTAAGATCAGAGCAGAACTGAGGGAGATAGAGACACAAAAAACTCTTCAAAACATCAATGAATCTAGGAGGTGGTTGTTTGAAAAGATTAACTAAATAGACCACTAGCTAGACTAATAAAAAAGAAAAGAGAGAAGAATCAAATAGACACAATAAAAAATGATAAAGGGGATATCACCACTGATCCCACAGAAACACAAACTACCATCAGAGAATACTATAAACACCGCTACGCAAATACACTAGAAGATCTAGAAGAAACAGATAAATTCCTGCACACAGACACTGTCCCAAGACTAAGCCAGGAAAAAATCGAATCCCTGAATAGACCAATAATAAGTTCTGAAATTGAGGCAGTGATTAATAGCCTACCAATCGAAAAAAGTCCAGGACCAGACAGATTCACAGCCAAATTCTACCAGAGGTACAAAGAGGAGCTGGTACCATTCCTTCTGAAACTATTCCAAACAATAGAAAAAGAGGGACTCTTCCCTAACTCATTTTATGAGGCCAGCATCATCCTGATACAAAACCTGGCAGAGACACAACAACGCCAAAAAAAATTCAGGCCAATATCCCTGATGAACATCGAGGCAAAAATCCTCAATAAAATACTGACAAATTGAATCCAGCAGCACATCAAAAAGCTTATCCACCACGATCAAGTCGGCTTCATCCCTGGGATGCAAGTCTGGTTCAACATACGCAAATCAATAAACATAATGCATCACATAAACAGAAACAATGACAAAAACCACATGATTATTTCAACAGATGCAGAAAAGGCCTTCAATAAAATTCAACTCCCCTTCATGCTAAAAACTCTCAATAAACTGGATACCGATGTAACATATCTCAAAATAATAAGAGCTATTTATGACAAACCCACAGCCAATATCACACTGAATGGGCAAAAGCGGGAATCTCTCCCTTTGAAAACCGGCACAAGACAAGGATGCCCTCTCTCACCACTCCTATTCAACACAGTATTGGAAGTTCTGGCCAGGGCAATCAGGCAAGAGAAAGAAATAAAGGGTATTCAAGTAGGAAAAGAGGAAGCCAAATTGCCTCTGTTTGCAGATCACGTGATTGTATATTTAGAAAACTCCATCGTCTCAGCCCAAAATCTCCTTAAGTTGATAAGCAACTTCAGCAAAGTCTCAGGATATAAAATCAATGTGCAAAAATCACAAGCATACACCAATAATAGACAGAGAGCCAAATCATGAGTGAACTCCCATTCACAATTGCTACAAAGAGACTAAAATATCTAGGAATACAACTTACAATGGATGTGAAGGACCTCTTCAAGGAGAACTACAAACCACTGCTCAAGGAAATAAAAGAGGACACAAACAAATGGAAAAACATTCCATGCTCATGGATAGGAAGAATCAATATTGTGAAAATGGCCATACTGCCCAAAGTAATTTATAGATTCAATGCTATCCCCATCAAGCTACCATTGACTTTCTTCACAGAATTAGAAAAAACTATTTTAAATTTCATATGAAACCAAAAAGAAGCCCATATAGCCAAGACGATCCTAATAAAAAAAAAAAACAAACCTGGCAGTATCATGCTACCTGACTTCAAACTATACTGCAAGGCTATAGTAACCAAAACAGCATGGTACTGGTACCAAAACAGATGTATATATAGACCAATAGAACAGAACAGAGGCCTCAGATATAATGCCACACATCTACAACCATCTGATCTTTGACAAACCTGACAAAAACAAGCAATGGGGAAAGGATTCCCTATTTAATAAATGGTGTTGGGAAAACTGGCTAGCTATATGCAGAAAACTGAAACTGGACCCCTTCTTTACACCTTATACAAAAATTAACTCAAGATAGATTAAAGACTTAAACGTAAGACCAAAAACCATAAAAACCCTAGAAGAAAACCTAGGCAATACCATTCAGGACATAGGCATGGGCAAAGATTTCATGACTAAAACACCAAAAGCAATGGCAACAAAAGTCAAAATTGACAAACGGGATTTAATTAAACTAAAGAGCTTCTGCACAGCAAAAGAAACTACCATCAGAGTGAACAGGCAACATACAGAATGGGAGAAAATTTTGGCAATCTATCCATCTGACAAAGGGCTAATATCCAGAATCTACAGGGAACTTAAACAAATTTACAAGAAAAAAACAACCCCATCAAAAAGTGGGCAAAGGATATGAACATACACTTCTCAAAAGAAGACATTTATGTAGCCAACGAACACATAAAAGAAAGCTCATCATCACTGTTCATTAGAGAAATGCAAATCAAAACCACAATGAGATACCATGTCATATCAGTTAGAATGGTGATTGTTAAAAAGTCAGGAAACAGATGCTGGAGAGGCTGTGGAGAAATAGGAATGCTGTTACACTCTTGTTGGTACTGTAAATTAGTTCAACCATCGTGGAAGACAATGTGGTGATTCCTTAAGGATCTAGAACCAGAAATACCATTTGACCCAGCAATCCCGTTAGTGGTTATATGCCCAAAGGATTATAAATCATTCTACAATAAAGACACATGCTCATGTATGTTTATTGCAGCACTATTCACAATAGCAAAGACTTGGAACCAATCCAAATGCCCATCAATGACAAACTGGATTAAGAAAATGTGGCACATATACACCACGGAATACTATGCAGCCATAAAAAAGGATGAGTTCTTGTCCTTTGCAGGGATATGGATGAAGCTAGAAACCATCATTCTCAGCAAGCAACACAGGAACAGAAAACCAAACACCACATGTTCTCACTCATAAGTGGGAGTTGAACAGTGAGAACACATGGACACAGGGAGGGGAACATCACACACTGGGGCCTGTCGGGGGCTGGGGTGCTAAGGGGCCAGGGGAGGGATAGCATTAGGAGAAATACCTAATGTAGATGACTGGTTGATGGCTGCAGCAAACCACCATGGCACATGTATACCTATGTAACAAATCTTCATGTTCTGCACATGTATCCCAGAGCTTAAAGTATAATTAAAAAAAAAAAGACAGAGAGGGAGAAAGAGCAAGCCCCATAAAAAAAGTTTCCCAAGTAGCAGAAATAAGTAGGGTTCATGATAAGGCTGATGAACAATACATGTAAGTTCTTGGAGGAAAAATCAAAACGTAATCCAGCATCTCTGAGAAACTGAAAGAATTTCAGATGGTTAGAAAAGAGTGTGTGAGAGTTGCAGCAGATAAAGGAAGAAAAGAAAGCTAAAGCTAAATAATGAAGAATCATATCCATGCTCAATAGTTTGGGCTCTATCATGTAGGCTGACTGACCAATGCAAGACTTTTAGATGGATCCTATTACATGTTTATTCCGGCTATAAAGAGGAAGATGTTTATAGAGAGGCAAGAATAAAGAAGTGTCAAGTCCAGGTTCCGATATGAGTAATGGATGATCTCGGCAACATTTCTCTGAGACGGACACAATGAAAAATGACCAGGTCTGGGGGATACCAGGGTAGGATCAAGGAAGGTAAGAAAGATAACAAATTTGGAGTAGGTTGATTTTGATATGCCCAGAGGAATAATCAAAGGAGAGAGCCACAGAATATGGCATGTATAAGTCTGAAACCCAAGAGCAACCTGAACTAGATCTACAAATTATGGGGGAGATAAAACAACCAGGAGGAATGTACAGACTCAGAAGGAAAGAGAGCCTACGACAACATTCCAAAAAACACCAACACTTAAAGTGTAGAGATGGCAAAGAGGGCCCTCAAAGAGACTGGTTATAAAAGGATAAAGGGAAGTGAGTTGTTAGGAAAGTCACAGGAAGAGCAAGCTAAAAAAGAAGAGAATGATGAACATTACCAGCTATTTTTGAAAGGTTGAATAAGATCATCACTGAAGAATGTCTAATGATTTAGCAACAAATTGGGTATCAATGACGTCAGAAGTGGTCATTTCCATGGAGCAGTGGAAGGAGAAGCCATACAATAAACCTGTGCTCCTGGAGCCTGTTTTCTTTCTTCTCTGTTTCACCTTTTATTTTCAAAATATCTTTAACTCACAGAAAAGTTATAATTGTACACAGAACTCCTGTATATGCTTCCTGTACATGTTAATATTTTCCCACTTTGCTTTCGCACTCTCTCCACATCCAGACATTTCTTTTTTCTGAACCATTTTATAGTAAGCTGTAGACATCATGCCATTTTATCCCTTAGTTCTCTGCTGTGTTATTTCTTAAGAAAAACAGGGCTTTCTCTTAAGTAACCAAAGTACAATAATCAAATTCAGGAAAATTAACACTAATACAGTATTATCATTTAACTTACAGTCTACATTCAAATTCTTCCAACTGTCTTATTAATTCAAGATTATACATTGTATTTAACTGGCATATCTGTTTAGTTTCCTTTAATCTCCCAGAATAGTTCATAAACCTTCTTTCATCTTTTGTGATTTTTATGTTTTTGAAGAATGGAGGGCAGTTATTTTGTAAAATATTCCTTGATTTGAATCTGTCTGATACTTTCTCACAAATGGGTTTAAGTTATGCATTTGGGGCTGAAATACCACATCCTGCTCAGTGCATCACATCTGGGTATATATGATATTAGCTTGTCCTATTAAGATGATATTGACTTTGAGAACTTGGCTAAGGTAGGTCTGTAAGGTTTCACTACTGAAAAGTTACTTTTCTTTTCTTTTGCAATTAATAAGTTATTTGTAGGGAAACACTTTATGAGTATGTAAATATTATGTTCCTCAAACTTTTATGCACTAGTTATAGTATCAGGAAAAAACAAAAATGCAAATACTGCTAGAAAAGAACACATGAAGGGAAATAAAACCATAGGATAGTAAATAAGATGATAATCCTTTAAAATGCTCCCCAATTGTATTACATATATAGCAAGGATATTCTTCTTTAAAAATGTACTTTTCTATTTTAGGTAGTAGAAAAAACCCTATAACCGTCCGCCTCTGTCCCCAGTAGATCCTGATAGGGGAAAGAAGGAATTAGAGAAGACGCAAGTAAAATTCTTGTCCACCCAGTGTCTCCTCAATGGAACACAGCTTCAGAAATCTCCACAAATTGTAAACAATCCAGAAGTTCCTATATGCTCTGCGCAGAGGACAAGGAGAAGTTGAGAGCCCTGGAGTACAGAAGGGTGCCTAGAGTCAAGATGAAGAATCTGCCATGACTGGCACCTTGACACCTAGGAAAGTCTGGCAGGACCATGGGCTTTGATGTAAGGAGTCTCCGCACTTAACTCATTTGTCTCTTATCTGCTCTTATCCACTAATGCCTTGTAATGTTCTATAGCAGAGCAACATGCACAAATAATTCATCAGGGCAAGCATGACAAAGGCCTAGAAAGCTTGCATGAAGGTAATTTAAAGAAGAAAAAGGCCATCCCAAAGTTTAAGAAGTCAGGAAATGTTCAACTGACCTACTTGGGAGGGTGAACCATTTCTGTACATGATCCAAGAATAGAACTCTAGAACTCAACAACCTCTAACCCATCCTCTATTCTAACATCAATAAACTGAGTACCAAAAACTTGAAGGACTTGCCAAGTCAGCAGGGTGCACTATTTTGACATGGGTTCACTGATTATCTCAGAGTCCTGCTAAGATCCAACACTGTCCTTTATTGCCTTCTCCAGGTCAATAACTATGTGGCCTGGGGTAGGGCAGGCGTCTGAGTTATCCTATTTCATCCAATTCTTTTTTGTTTGTTTGTTTGTTTTTGCATAAGACGACAAATGTCTCTACAGTCATATTCATAAGACGTAACCTACCTCTAAGATGGCAAATGTCTTTAGAGTCATATTCATAAGAAGTAACCTACCTCCAGGAAGGATCAGGGAAAAAAATAAATAAAAGATACAACTTTGGTTTTATTTTTATCCTCCCTGTGGCATTGCTAGAAATAGGCTTTACTGTTTTAATAATAAAATCCTAGCTGTCAAGAGGACTTAATTTGATCTACCCCACGTAAGTTAAAAGAGCATAAGAAATGAGAACCCCAAGTTTACATCAATCACTGACTCAGATTTACCCTGGAGGCCGCTATGGAACATCCTCAGAAAATCTGTCAAAGAATGTCCTCAGGAAGTCTATTTACATCACCTATAAAATGGCCCAAAATCCAAAGAGAATTCTAGATGTTAGGATAGCCAATCTACCTTTCACTGACCACAAAATGGAGACAAGTCCCTTGTCTGGATGTGGGACAAGTCCCTTGTCTGTCTCTATGACAGACAACAGAAGAGAGACCTAAGAGAGGAAGAATGAGGGATCCTGATAGAACCCTTCTCTGAACATTCTCTGCTTCACTTGTCAAATATTTCTTTAGCCGCCATTATACAGAACTCTAAAGCTGAATCTGTGTCTTGGAGGAGGCATCCCTCACAGAGTGATTACTCCCCATGGCACCAAAAAGGTGACTTGGCAGTTTTTCAACACAAAGGGCTTAATTAGAGCTCCCTCATCCATTCTCCTGGTGACCCAATCAGGTGGTTCTTTAGAGAAGGCTTCCTGATGCTTTCTTCCCTCTCTTCCCTGTGTACAATGAAAGTAGACTTCCCTCCACAGATGTACCACAGGTTCTAACCAATGAATACAGACACTAATTAAATGATGTGATATTGTTAACGGATTTATAGGCATCAAATGAAAGATGTCCATTGACTATAAGCGGTAGAGTAGACTGAGCTTTCTAAAATATTAATATTTTTAATTGTCTGGACTCCTGATCCTTTCCCTGGTCAATCAGCAGCATCTTCATTGCCTTAAGTAAAATAGTACTATCACAGCAAGAAGAAAAATGGGCAGAAAAGTATTAAATTTTGTTTTAACTCTTAAAATAAGGTATTCATACTCAAAATGTTTCCCTTGAGGAAAGTAAAGCTTTCAGTTTATGGCATAATATATGCATAACAAGAGAGTGGAAGGAATGGCAGTCATTCTGGCTTCCAAAGAGCTTGAGGAATAGAGAAGATTGCAGATTAATGACGCATAATCTTCAAGGAGGTGGGGAGGGGCAGTGGCCAGAGGACTGAACCTTGGATCTGGTAGGGAGAAGGGGTTTAATACTACAGCTGGCTTAGCAGCTGTTTGGGGGGCTCTAATCATGCATTTGTGTCAGAAAACTGCTAGGTCACTTCTTTTTGTGCCTTGGGGAGTGGTCACCCCGTGAGGGATATCTCCTCTGAGACAGATTCAGCCTTAAAGCTCAGTATAATGGTGGCTAGAGAAATCTCTGAAGGAATTCTGCATGACGGCTTGAAATTATCTTTAATAGATGATATGGTTTTGCTCTGTGTCCCCACCCAAATCTCATCTCCAATTACACTCCCCAAGTGTCAGAGGAGGGGCCTTGTGGGAGGAAAATAAATTTCTGGGGTTTTTTTGAGACAGAGTTTTGCTCTTGTTGCCCAGGCTGGAGTGCAATGGTGCAATCTCGGCTCACTGCAACCTCCACCTCCCAGGTTCAAGTGATTCTCCTGCCTCAGCCTCGCGAGTAGCTGGGATTACAGGCACGAGCCACCACACCCAGCTAATTTTGTATTTTTAGTAGAGATGGGGTTTCAACATGGGGGTGGACTTTCCCCTTGCTGTTCTTGTGATAGTAAGTTCTCATGAGATCTGATGGTTTAAAAGTGTGTTGCACTTGCCCCTTTCTCTATAGCTCTCTCCTGTTGCACCATGGTAAGACATGCTTGTGTCCCCTTCACCTCCGCCATGACTGTAAGTATCCTGAGGCATCCCAGTCATGCTTCCTGTTAAGCCTGCATAACTGTGAGTCAATTAAACCTCTTTTCTTCATAAATTACCCAGTCTCAGGTAGTTCATTATAGCCATATGAGAATGGACTAATACAGTAGAAATATTTGTTCCACAGAAATTGGCAAGCTCTGTAATTTAGATCTTTTTCCCCATCAGCCAGCTAACATTTACCAACACATTACAGAGTCAAATGTAGGGGACTGCAGGCAGTCTGTGCCAAAGAGCTGGATGGATGCCAAGCCAAGGCCTCTGGAATTTAGATGAGTATATCACACAGAAAAGTTAGTATTTCTTTTTCACATCACTTTCAAGGAAGGCCTTCATGGACAGCTATTGTTAAGTTCACTGCAAGCGGCAAGGGGATCATCTAACAGGAGGCCTGCATATGCTGCTCCTGGCTGAACAGTCTCAAGTGAACAGGCATTTTTATGATCAGAACTTAATAACACCACAAATAAATAAAATTCCCATCAATACTGTGTACTTTGTAATTATATACTTATTTGCAACAGTTCATTTTAATGTCTATCTTCCCTACTCAAATTTGAGCTCCGTGAGTGTAGAGACTGATTGATTACATTATATATATATATACACACACACACACACACACAGACTACCTATAATATATCTACAAATATATACACACACACATAATTTTTCATAATGATAACTCCAGAACTTTGCATGAGTACTTCCTTATTAACTAATGGATAATTGACAATCAATAAATATTCTTGACTGATTGACACGCAAATATAAACACCTCAAGATACTTTAGAGAGTGGGTATAGTAAAAGAAAAACTTAGTGAAATACAGTGTTTCTTTGTGGGAACTCACTAAAAAATTAAATCTCGGCCTGGCGTGGTGGTTCATGCCTGTAATCCCAGCACTTTGGGAGGCCAAGGCGGGTGGATCATAAGGTCAAGAGATGGAGACCAACCTGGCCAACATGGTGAAACCCCATCTTTACTAAAAAATACAAAAATTAGCTGTGTGTGGTGGTGCATGTTTGTAGTCCCAGCTACCTGAGAGGCTGAGGCAGGAAAATCACTTGAACCCAGGAGGCAGAGGTTGCAGTGAGCCGAGATCGCGCCACTGCACTCCAGCCTGGCGACAGAGCAAGGCTCGGTCTCTAAATAAATAAATGAATGAATAAATAAATAAATATCTTCCTGAATAAGTAACAAATTTACTATCTTTGCAACAAAAATTCGTAGTTTTAAAAATTATATAATTTAATGAAATTATTCTAAAATCCATCTGGAATAAAATGAATAATAATAGTCAATAAATATTTAAAAGGAACACTAATAGGAGATAAAGGTTGCTTCCAAATTATAAAGATGTTATCAACAGTTTTAAAAATTAAGTTATGAAGCAAATTAATGAATGAAAACAATATAAAGCATAAAAAGGACTCCAGTATGTAAATGAATTTAATATTTGATAAATATGATATTCTAAGTCATTTTAAAAGAGTTGATTATTCACTAAATAGTGATGGGGAAAGTAGTAGGCTACTTCAAAATAAACTGTGTCTTTATCTCACATTATACACTAAATATTATCAGATGGATTAAATCATCAAATATTTAAAAACATGACTGTAAAATATTATGAAAAAAGGACAAGAGAATAATTCTTTAAATGTAACTACTAGGTAAGAGCCATAAAGAAAACAAAGGATAAATATGAATACTAAAAATATAACAGTGCTGGTACCAAAACAGACATACAGGCCAATGGAACAGAATAGAGACCTCAGAAATAGCACCACACATCTACAACCATCTGATCTTCGACAAATCTGACAATAAAAGAAATGGGGAAGGATCGCCTATTCAATAGATGGTGCTGGGAAAACTGGCTAGCCATATGCAGAAAACTGAAACTGGACCCCTTCTTTACACCTTATACAAAAATTAACTCAAGATGGATTAAAGACTTAAACGTAAGACCAAAAACCATAAAAACCCTAGAAGAAAACCTAGGCAATACCATTGAGGACATAGGCATGGGCAAAGATTTCAAGACAAAAATGCCAAAAGCAATTGCAACAAATACCAAAATTGACAAATGAGATATAATTAAACTAAAGAGCTTCTACACAACAAAAGAAACTATCATCAGAGTGAACAAGCAACCTACAGAATGGGAGGAAATTTTTGCAATCTACCCATCTGACAAAGGTCTAATATCCAGAATCTAAAATGAACTTAAACAAATTTACAAGAAAAAAAAAAACCCATCAAAAAGTGGGCAAAGACACTTCTCAAAAGAAGACATTTATACAGCTAACACACATATGAAAAAAAGCTCAACATCACTGACCATTAGAGAAATGCAAATCAAAACCACAGTGAGATACCATCTCATGCCAGTCAGAATGGCGATTATTCAAAAGTCAAGAAACAATAGATGCTCACAAGGCTAAGGAGAAATAGGGACACTTTTACAGGTTGGTGAGACGGTAAATTAGTTCAACCATTGTGGCAGACAGTGTGGCGATTCCTCAAGGATGTAGAATCATAAATTAACATTTGACCCAGCAATTCCATTACTGGGTATATATCCAAAGGAATATAAATCATTCTACTATAAAGACACTTGCACACATATGTTTATTGCAGCATTATTTACAATAGCAAAGTCATGGAACCAACCCAAATGCCCATCAATGATAGACTGGATAAAGAAAATGTGGTACATACATACCATAGAAACTATGCAGCCATTAAAAAGGAATGAGATCATGTCCTTTGCAGGAACATGGATGAAGCTGAAAGCCATCATTCTCAGCAAACTAACACGGGAACAGAAAACCAAACACATGTTCTCACTCATAAGTGGGAGTTGAACAGTGAGAACACATGGACACGGGGAGGGGAACAGCACACACCAGGGCCTGTTGGAGGGTGGGGAGTGAGGGGAGGGAATTTTAGAGGACAGGTCCATAGGTGCAGCAAACCACCATGGCACACGTATACCTATGTAACGAACCTGCACGTTCTGCACACGTATCCCGGAACTTAAAGTAAAATTTAAAAAAAATTAAATTAGACTTTAAAAAGAGATGTCAGAGAAAAAAAAATATATATATATATATAACAACGCTATATATCGAAAGAAGAACGTAAACAGCATGCAAAGGCCTAATGATTTTGCCAAGAGACAGTAAAGAAAGACCCAGACATCTCTGTAATTGGTCCTACCAGGACTCTTTTTGATCAAAAAGCTAAGCTTTCATTTCATTTTCAGGACTGAAGATGGCCCAGATCCATCATGTTTGCACTTGTGATTTGAGATATTCTCCTAATTTAGTCTTCCACCACAGTTATTTAAACCTTGGATCGTGACTTAAGAATATACCTAGTTACTGAGAAATTTCAGACACCCATAATGATAAATTGACAAACCCCACATACGTTTTTGTTTATGTTTACTTGGGATACTTAATGAAAGCCTATCAAATAGCTGACTTTTACAAACAAGTTCACCTCCACTGAAAGATGTCAGGCTAAACTTGTAGTAAGCAACACTTTTGGATAATAGCAGCCTTTCTACCCTCTATGTGAGATTTACTGAAATTAAGTCACAGAGTTAAACTGTTTAGACTTGTTGGGTGCAGTTTATATACTCTGGATTGAAGAGTTCTATTTGACTAATAGGAAGTTCCTGAAAATCTTGAATCTCTTAGCCAGCTTCAAATGTGGAGGCAGTAGTTTATTGTTACATTTATTGACAATAGTAATGATAAAAGCAACAATAAATTAAAATTGCGTTGGTATAGACCCTTCTAGAATTAAACACATTTTTAAAAACATGTAAGTAACTCTGACTAAACATGTGGGAGGTAGAACTCTATTACTCCAATCTCATGGAAAGAAATTTTAGATAAGAAAAAAAGTGCATACTATTATGTTACTCTATATCATAAAGTACTAAGCTATACATAGAAACAAATCAAATATCACTACAGCAATCAATAAGATTTCTGTTCAATTAAAAAATTTTCATTGAATACCACTTGCCAATCACCATGCTAGTTACTGAGGAAACTCAGATGAAGAAACTGCTGATACAAAATTTTCAAAATTAATAGTAAAATCAGCTAAATATGCCACCCACTGGCTTTTCTTTATACCATTAATGAAGGCACACAAAGAGACAAAGATTTACTACACTGAAAACCAGGGAAGACAGCATGCATATGAGAAACATTCTCATTAAAACACTGCACTTAAATAGCTGGGACAGTATAATTTTGGGCTCCTGATGACTGTGATCTCTGAAACTCAAGAGCAAGCCAACTAGGAAGTGGAGAGGAAACTGTTTTTGCATTTCTCTACTATCAGTTGTGGTGCATTTTCTGGTAGTGCCATATGTCTCATTTTCTCTACCTCCATCATAATTTATCCCTAAGTTAGTTCTACTAAAATGTTCTATCTACTCAGAGGCCACACGGCTCTCAGTATGCAGCATTTAGGCACTGAGAGTAGAACAAATTCAAGACAAGCCTTGAAATAACTCCATACTGGGACAAAAAATGTTAATGTACTATATCAGGGAATTCTGCAAGGATCTAAGGATAAATGAGGAGTGAGGAGTTAAAGGAGTGTGAACAAAAGAATGGAACAAAAGCCATCCTACTCAACATAAGCCTCTAAACAAAAAGTCCATGAATAAATCAAATGCTTACAAAGGTAAATACAATCAACACTTAGAAGAAGAATTACTGTAAATGAGAATAATTTCATGAAGTAATGGACAAGAGTTAAAAAGATGTAGACGTTCAATAAGTAAGGTAAGCATGGTTAGGCTAAAATTCCTGGGTTCTTATTCCCCACACTACAACATTCCTACACTCCCAGAAATAACCATCACAAATATAATAAAAAACAAACAAAAAAACCTCAACAGCAACAAAGATTTATAAGAATAAATACAATAATATGAAAGTACTGTATGGATAAAATTACAAACGAAAGTTCCAAAATGAATGACATAAAAAAAGACCTGGAGGAATGAAGAGGTATCAATTTTTATCAAATCTATGCATAAATATAATGCACTTTACAATAAATATTTTGGAATTGTTTTTAGTGGAACTTCATGAACTTATATAAAAATCATCTATAAATGTTTTTAAAATGGACAAAAAATAATGAAGTCAAAAGATTTGCCTTACATGATATCAAGATTCACATTAGCAATTAAAAAGCAATATGATTAAGACAATATGGTATTGGACAGGGTACTGAACAGAGAGAGGCAGACCAATCCAAAAGAATAAAGAGCTCAGAAACAGAACTAAACATATTTGCAGGCATCAGATTCTACCAAAATTAGGAGGATGAACTAACCAATGAATAAGGGTGGCCTACTCAATGAGATTGGAAGGGCCTTCAACTGTCTATATTGTGTTTTGTTCAATAATAACAACAAAACAGCATGAAGCAATGTTAACATCTGATAAAGGTAGATGTGCAATATTTTTTTCTCTAGACACTTCTACACATTTGAAATATTAACCAATAGCAAAATAATGAGAGAAAAGAATACCTATAAATATATTACATTTATAGATCAAGAAGACATTGGACAATAGTCTGTACTACTTCTTTTATTTCTTTAAAAACTAGAAATATAAAATTATTTTATCATGACAAAGAATATCTATCTCAAAGTATTTAATATCATATTCAATATTACAGCACAACTGGATGAATTCTCTTAAAATCAGGAAAAATGATATCCATTTTACAACTATTTTTATCATTACTCTGAAAGTTCTAGCAGGTATAATGAAAGAAAAGAAATAAAAATATAATTATTTTAAAGAAGGAGACAAATATATTAGTTGTGCGTGGAATTAAATACCTAGTAAATAAAGGAGAATATTGAAAATTGAATAAAGAAAATTGGAAGATGAATAAAGAAAAGCTTAGTAAAATAGCTGAATGCATGATTAAAATATGGAAAACAACATCATTATAATATTTTAGCATTATCTTAAATGTGCTAAGTGAAATGGAAAAATATTTATTCATGATATTAAGGGAAATATAAAAATTACCTAAAAGTAATCGTTGTAAGTTATATGCAAGAATTTTAGAGAACAGCTTGAGCTAGTGTAGAATGGGATGAAATGAAGCAGAAAAGAACAGAATAAGGTCAGAAATGCTGCATACTAATTTTTAAACGTATCATTACATTTAAAAACATCACAAACGTTGGAAATTAAACAATTATTCAATTAATAGTGATGGAGAAATTGATTACTCTTTCAGAGAAAAAAAATTCACCCTATGTGAAAACAAGCAACAGGCAAAATACACATAAGATAACAAATAGAATACAAATAAGTTAACCAAACCGAAATATTTCCCTATTGGTCCCCTCTGATTATGTTACTTTCCTTGCTTCAAATGCACATTCTCCCATGCCCCCTGCTCTTACCTGGCTCATGCCTAAGAATTATTTTGTTGTTACTTGGGTTAGATATCAATTCTCCAAGAAGCCATCTTTAAGCCCTCAATACATAGTCCCAAGACTGGATCTGAACCCCTCCTGCATGCAGGGTTCCCTTTACTAAGACTGATCTTACTAGATCATAACGATCAGTTCTATAATCAGAAGTTCCGTAAGGTCAGGGGCCATGTTTTAGTCATCATGATAGCCCTGGTATTCCCACTGGATATCTAAACAATACCTAAATGCTTCCTAAAGTTATCTTCCTACAGTCTATGCTTCGTGGTAGCCCTCTCTTCATTCTACTCAGGCAGTCTCTCATCTTGAATGTTGAGGTTTTCAAGAATACCTGATAAAGTTTCAGAGTGTGGACCTAATTGTCAAACAGCTTTTCAATGTGGCCTTCACTGAAATGGTGGGGTTAAGAAAAATATTACATGAAGATATCCCACTAGTGACTCCTGATTATCTTTCAAAATCTCT
The DNA here is from genome assembly GCF_000001405.40 of Homo sapiens. NCBI lineage: Eukaryota > Metazoa > Chordata > Mammalia > Primates > Hominidae > Homo > Homo sapiens. Next base: position 215,149,717 of record NC_000001.11, on the reverse strand, counting down.
TCTGCACATGAGTTTTATCTGCACTTCGTACTTATTGAGTTAACTTCTGATTAGCATGCTTCCTTTAAAAATAATCGTACTAGCTTATTTCATGTTCCTCCCTTTAGTAATTCAGAGTTTTGACCTTAGCGAAAGGCTAGCAGATAACTATGGCCATAACTCACTTTGTCTTGCCATTCTTTGTTAGTGACCTTTTTCTTTAACACCTCATGGGTTGCATTACAACACTTTCTTCATAAAGTATCTTTTCATAGAAGATTGTCTCTTCTCCAGCATCCCTATGCCCACTGACAGATGTGCCGAGGAAGTCTCCTAACTCTGTGTGCTCTGGGGAATACCTTAATCTTTTCCTTCTCCCGAACACTCATGGCATCTATCACCACCATTTGATTATGTTTAAATAACATAAATTGTCACCACAGGGCCAGAGCTCCTGAATCTCACTCATCCTCAGACGACAGAAGGCTTTGTAGGCAATGAGGCAGACCTCCTTACCACCACAACCCCTCCATTCTCCTTCCCTGCTTCCTAGCAGTTCCACCGCCACTACCTCAAAGCATTAAAACAGCCTGTCTGTGTTTTTTCTCACACAAATCCATCTCCTAATAACCAACTCTTTCTAAAGCGCAGCTTCAGTTTTGATATTCTGTAGTTTCAAAACCCTTAAGTGTTCCAAAATCGTTCAGCACAAATCATCACTCCCCTTGTGCCAAGACTCCCCGGTGTACCATTGCTCTCTACCTTTTAGAAACTTCAGAGTCATCATTACTCGCTGAAAAAAATAAGCTGAACTTTCCCGATTCCTTCATTTTTATGTTGTTTTCTCCCTCTAGCTGACACAAGGGTGGACCTTCAATTATCGTGTTGAAATCCTGTCTGTCCTTTCCTCCCACCTCACACCACTTTCACACACAGTCATTCCTTACCCTTTCAACCAGCTGTGATCTTGCCTTCTTTCAACATACATAGTACTTTTCTGCCATTAGAGGAACTATGTATTACTCTAACGTGAACTCTCATCATTCGGTTACAGGCTTTGTCTCTCTTCTTAATCATAAACTTGTTGGGAGCAGAGAATCTCTGGGAATTATTTTTCTTTCCTTTATATATCTTGTATAGGGATTTGCTCAGAGCAGATATGCAAGAAAATATGCTGAATTGAAAAGAGCAATCTATAGGTTTTTATTAATACCGCATATTTTAATTGAATAGACATATTCAGATCTAGATAGTTCTACTGTTCTAATTACTTGTACTCATTTTTATTTTATTCTGGACAGCAAGGAAAAGCAAAATTATTGATACGTACATATTTAAAAAAAACACCCTTAAAAATAATTAATGTACAGGCATGGTGGGTCATGCCTGTAATCTCAGCACTTTGGGAGGTTGAGGCAGGTGGATCACTTGAGCCCAGGAGTTCAAGACCAGCCTGGGCAACGTGGAGAAACCCCATCTTTGAAAAAAAAAATTAGCCAGGTGTGGTGGTATGCACCTGCAGTCCCAGTAGCTCAAGAGGCTAAGGTGGGAGGATTGCTTGAGCTCATGAAGTTGAGGCTGCAGTGAGCCATGATCACACCACTGCATCTCCCGCCTGGGCAACAGAGCAAGACCCTGCCAAAAAAAAAAAAAAAAAAGGAAAAGAAAATAAAAAAATAATAATTAAAATATCATTTCAATACAGAACCATTTAAATTACTTTAGAGGCAGAAAAACAACATTAATAATACAGGGCAAAAGAGTTGAAAGTAGGATGAGAAAAAAGAGCAACATACATTTAGGAGATGCCCTCAATAAGCAACCTAAAAAGAGCAAACCTTTTAGAAATCAGAGTGAAATGACAATCACATCTCGTGTTTTTGTTTGTTTGTTTTTTGTTTTTTGAGACAGAGTCTCACTCTGTCACCCAGGCTGGAGTGCAATGGTGCAATCTCAGCTCACTGCAACTTCCATTTCCTGAGTTCAAGCAATTATCCTACCTCAGCCTCCCAAGTAGCTCAGATTACAGGCACCTGCCACCACACCCAGCTAATGTTTGTGTTTTTGTTAGTATAGACAGGGTCTCACCATGTTGGCCAGGCTGGTCCCGAATTTCTGACCTCAGGTGATCCGCCCGCCTCAGCTTCCCAAAGTGCTGGGATTACAGGCATGAGCCACTGCGCCAGGCCACATCTCGTGTTTTTAGAAAAGTGAGTCAAAGCTACTGTTATGCAGAGGAAAGAGCCTAATCAAACACTGAAGAAGAAATATGATTCCAGAAAAATATGATTCTAATTACAAGACAATATCTTTGTGAAAAGATCTGTTCATTTTAGAATTTTCACACATCGTACACTGTTCCTCTATAACACCAGTTTTAAACTAAGGATCCATAGCAAAATCATATATGGAACTTTAAAAATCCACTTCAGAACAACTAAATTATTTTCTTCTGGAAAGGGAGGATGGTACATGTGCATTTTAAAATACCTACAGAGGTGATTCTGATTCATGCCCCTGTCATAGATGCAAGGTTTATGGGTCGCAAGCTATATGAGGCTCTGTAGGAAAAAAAATGAATAAAAATTAAAAAGAAGACCCATACAAATGAGGAGTCTTAATTTTCAGTCTCGAGGTAAACCTGCCTCTGTCTCTTTGTACATAGAACAATATTGATTAGATTTATCTCTTCTAGACAGCTATGACATCACTCTATTACTATATTTTCATCAATAATAAAATAATTTTCATTACCAATAAAAAGGGTAATTGCGAATATTTCTTGAATGCTCACAATCTCACTGCATATCAGATACCATGCTGATCCCTTCATGTGTACGCTTATTTTAACTTGCTCAACAATCCTACGAGGTTTAAGTACAACTAGTTATCCCCACTCTCTGAATGTGGAAAGTGAGATTTACTGAAGTGAAGTAATGTGTACAAAGTTAAACAATTGTTAAATGTTAAAGCTGAGATTTAAACTATTAATTCAGTTGCTTGGAGCAAGTGTTTGAGATTAAGGCGAGAGATATGGGTCCTCAAACTTAGCGTTTTTCTCAGTTGCATAACTACAACATATAAATCTGGTTTGGGACATGCCATTCTGCAAATATGCACTGTTTTACCTTGTCAGACTGGGAAAGTATGTATATATAGGTGCATCAAAACAAATGCATTGATTAAAGTAGGTAAATCAAAGGGATGTTTTGACATTTTGTGTCAACTTTAAGTGATCAAACTTCCTCTTGGCCCAGAAACAACCGCGCCTGCAGTTCAAACAGTATTTCACAAGATGGCTCCCTTGCTATTTTTAGTTGCAACTTACATAATAAAATCCTACATGACAGTTGTAAATTTCAAAATCTATAGGAAGTTACAAGTTTCTTATGTTATTTTTTGAATGAGCTTCTACCAAACATTTTTTGGTAGCAAGATACATTCATATAACCTAGAATTGCAGCTAAACGTTGAAGGGCTATTCCTTTGCAAAGAAATTTTGCCAAAGAACAATAATAATCTACCTGTAGATTGTTTCCAAACTTTCCCAGCTGTTTCCTGAATACATTTGAAATGCATGCTGTTCTCATAGTCCTTCTCAGGCTCCACAAGTGTCTCACAGTGAGAATATTTAACTATTCTGGATTTCATTTCGAGTGTTTAAAGATATGCATTTTGTTAATAAAACACGAGCACTAAATATTGGCCAACTATTTTATCTGAAGCTCAAGCCAATCAAGAGAGAACTGTTCAAGGCGTAATAAAATTATATTTCTGTCAATTGCTGTAAATTCATGTGTTATTTAAATACTGATGATCTGATTCTCCTCTTATTCCAAGAGGAGAAGAAAAATAATTCTGTAGCATTAAGGAAATGGAGAACTATTTCTTAGCACAAAATTTGAGTAACTTAAGTTTTCCTGTGTATTGAAAGAGATCATAAATTAGGAATCTGAACTTCTATCACAAAGCACTTTCTGGAAATCACACTTTAAAGAGTATTGTTAAAAGACTTTTCCAATATAATTTGATGTTGTATTCCTGACCAGACTTGGCATCAAACAATAAACCATAAAATCAATAAATAAAAGTCTACTATAGCAGTAAACTGATAGAACTATATAATTCCTCTGTCATCAAATTGTCCTAAAGTAACACATTAGACATAACATATATTTTTTTCATTTTAGAAAGCTGGATCTTGGTGGACATAAGTAATCTAAAGTGCCAAGAAATCCATGCTATCTTTGATTCACAGTAATTTTTCTCAACTGCAAATAGACTTATTCAAATTTATTTTCAAGTGTACTGAAGGTAACGTAGCATAGCAGTTAAGACTTCAGGCTCTAGAGCCCAGGTGTCTTGGTTTAAATCCTAGCTCTGCTACTCTGTCACTGAGAAAGTTACACACTGCTATGTGCCTCAGTCTCCCCATGTATAAAACAGTAAAAGGAATACATAATATAACAAACATAAAGAACTTAGCATGAAGCATGCCACATAGTAAGCAGTCCATGAGTATCAGCCAGCTAAAGTCACTTTCATGGCCACCAAGCATAGCTCAGGTAGTACCACTGAAGCTCAGAATAAGGGTCTGATGTCAATAAAAAATAATGGTGGCAATGATGATGATGCTAATGATGATAGCACTTTCTCTCCTGAAACATATTTCAAGTAAGGAGTGGTTGAGTCAAAATTCTCTTTTCACACTCTTCACTTTGCAGAATACGCAACCATAGAAAACAGCTACTTGATATTCAGTCAAATAATCTGTGAAATGAAGTGCTCTAAATTACTGTTCACCTTTCATTCTCCTAGCCAAACAGACATTAGCAGCTGTGAGAATATTTAATCCTTCATTAGTAAGTGGTATAATAATTTTATGACAGCAAAGCCTGTTATTTTGAAGGCGTTAACTTTGACATCCCTCACAGAATTGCTCGACCGTATCTTGTTTAAGATGGCCTATTAATTTTTATATTCACAATATAAACCACCACGAACTGAGGTGGGAAAAGCCTCTGAATTTTTTAAGCAAAATCATTAAATGTAAGCATAGACACAGCCAATAGAATTCTGACCCCATCACTACACAAAGTGGAAAACTGAGGCCAAAAAAAATGAAATATTGGTGGCAATAAGGCAGAATAGATTGAAGAGATAAAACTCAAGGTTTTCAAGTACTGACTGTCTATATTGAATATAATTTTACTTGAAATAAGGGTGTAAGGAACGAGCCGTGCCTTGACTATTACCTTGTGGTAGCAATTCAAAACTCATCAACTACTGTCTGTCTCAGACAGGAGAGAGAAAGCAAGTGACAGCCAACCCACCTGAATGATGTGTAACTATACAGATCCTGAATCTGAGTGATGACAGCTGAAGTTGGGTCATTTAGATGAAAGGCTACATCACTAAAACCATTAAGGGGCATCGATTAAACTCAATTTAATGCAATATCCATTACCATTTTTAAAATTCATCTCTGGTATGGGATTCGGCTCCCATGTACACTTTTATTTTGACAAATATCTTCAAAATAATTTATTTCTGTATCTTAGTTTTTAAAAGATACACATTAGAAAAAAGGGCATATGTTTACATTTTTAAAAACTGTACCCTCAGCATCAAAAGAGTAATGCCATTTAGCCTAAATATCATACAAGGTTTTCTCACACATGGTAAAGGCAGATATACTTTACTTAATTCAATATTTACAAGTAAACAAAGTGTTGGGAGACACATCAGAGATATAGTCCAGTGTTTTTCATACTGATTTCTTGCAAATTACTTGTAGACAGTAATTTTCCAAAGGTGACGATTTTTACTTGTAGAAAGTGTTTTCCAAAGGCAACAATGGCATAGCCCTTCCACTTAGAAAGATAGGGTCTTAGAACTAAGTCCCTAAACCATTAGGAGGAAAGGCGAACATATATCATCAGTTCACTTAAAATTTGTGGTACAACATAGATACTCTACATTTTTCAAAATGTAATTCAATACAGGTCTGGCTCCCCTGGCCACTAGAGGCAGAGGTCAGAGTTAAGAGGTTATAAGTGCCAACACTACAAGCTAGGCTCTGTAGGCTTAAAACACCACAATGGCATGTGCCTGCTGCATGATTAGGCACATTGTTTAATTTCTCAATGCTTTGGCGTACTTATCCAAAAATGTGAATAATGGAAACAACCACCTTATAGGGTTGTTATAAGAATGAAATTTCATAACATATGTAAAACACTTAAAACCTGGCACATACCACATGCTAAATACTGTTACACAAGAGACCATACAAAAGGCAAGTCTTTCAATCTAATGCCATAATTTTTCTGACCTATGACATTTTAAAACCCACTGATACCAAGGCCTACAATGTTAAGGGCAAATCAAAAGTGGCCCAGCCAGTGTACAAAGGCAAATCTGTGTGACCTCAAAGTCCTGCCCTCCTATAGAAACAGGCAGCCTTCCCTTGGATACAAAACACTTCCACTTCTGCCTCACCACAGATACACTTACACAGACACACACACGCATAGCACATGCACAAATAGATCTATTTATCTGTTTTATACATGTTAGAAATTCAATTTAAAAAAAAGGATTCTAGGGCCTGGGAGGCAGAGAAGAAATATGAAAGCCACTATTCCACATCACACTTCGTCTTCGCACCTTAGTTTCCTACACACTTTCTCATTTGATCTTGAAGTGAAGTACAAACACAAAAAAGATAATTATGAGAAGGCCCACCCTTGCTCTAAATGTGGACTCTTAGTGTGTTTTCCCCTTTCTGTAATCTCTTCACAGCTATGATGACTACCTCAGATTACATCCTTCATCCTAAATTTAGTCTATTAGAAAAGCAAATGCTGGAACCCAGGATTTTAGCAAGAAATCAACAAAACAACTTTCAAAGACAACTAAGAAAAGCAGCTAGAAAAAAAAAATATTTCTTCATTTCCATAACAATTCAGAGCCTACAGAGAGAGAATATGGAAAATTTTATACTCAGCAGAAGAAAGTAGACTGAAATGCACTCATTGGCAACCAACTATAACTATGCTATTCCACTACTGAGCCTGCTCACATTGAATCAAGTAGAAAGAACATTTGAGGCTCCAACTTCACTGTCTGTCCACAAATTAGAAACACCAATCCAAAGTAAAAACAAGTAACGTAAAAAAACAGAAAAGAAAGATCACCTTTTAGACTCCATTAAAATTGTTCCTCTCATTCCCAGTCTATTTTGCTGTTCAGTTTTCCCCAAAGCTATATAATTAACACATAACATGCTATATTACTTACTTTCCTATTAAGTTTCTAACTAAATTTTTGTCTATTTTAATATAATACTTCTAGATTATGTACTCCAACCATGTAGAAGTTGTTCCATGAAAACTCTGTAAATATTTTGTGAGGAAATGGAAGAATGATTCAAAAGAGCATGTCTCCAAAAATAGTATACTGCAGGACCCAGAATATGTTTGGAAATCACAACAGGAGAGAATAAAACGTAAAGCCAACAAAAAATAAATTCACTGTGATTTAAAGACAAAATTAGGAAAAGAGATGAGTAAAAAAATAGATGATTGAAAGGAAACTGAATATGCAATTGCAAAATTAAAATCTGTATTCAATGTAATTAAGGAGTAGAAGAGAAATAGTACAAACTCAAGTCAGTGATGCAGCTCACAGAATATAAAAGATTTCCCAGAATTACAGAAAAAAAGTAATGGAAGAAAGAATTTCAAAAGACAAATGAAATATAGACAGAACTGAGGATACGAAAGCAACAGAAAATTTTCCAGCGTCTTTGAAGATGGAAAGGCAGAACCATCAGCATAGAATAGCTGAAACTATAATGTAATAGAAAACTTTCTCTAAAAACAACGAATTAACTGGAATAAGTGCAGGATTTTTAAAAAATCTCTTAAAAAATGAAAACAGCAGTTAGTTGGAAAATAGATTACTAATAAAAGAAGAAATTCAGGTTAATATCAAACTTCTCCCTGCAGTTGCCAGGAGACAATAAAGAACAATTTATAGAGTTGTGGTAGGAAAAGTTGTGATCCCAGAATTTTATACCCAGCCAAATTAGCTTTCATGTGTGAAAGCAAGAGAAAGCCATTTGCAAGTATGAAATATTTATTGCACCTATGTACCTTCATTTAAGAAAAGTATCTGAGGGTTATATAAACTAATCGTGAGATAAATCTTCAGAATAACAAGATACAGTCATGTGCTGCGTAACATTTGGTCACAGATAGACCACATATACAACAGCAGTCTCAAAAGATTATAACAGAGCTGAAAAATTCCTATCGTCTAGTGACATCATAGAACAACATATTACCCACGTTTGTGGTGATGCTGATATAGAAAATCTACTGCACTTCTCATTATATAAAAGTACAGCACGTACAATTATGTACAGTACATAAAACCTGATGATAGAAAAAGTTACTATGGTACTGGTTTATGTATTTACTATATTATACCTTTTATTATTATTTTAGATTGTACTCCTTCTACTTATAAGAAAAAACGTTAACCGTAATAGATATTCTAGGAGAAGTTATTGTTATCATAGGAGATGACAGCTCCATGCATGTTATCAATAAAGACTTTCCAGTGGGAAAAAATACGGAGGTGGAACACAGTGATATTGATGATCCTAACCCTGTGTAGGTCTAGGCTAGTGTGTGTGTTTGTGTCTTGGCTTTTAACAAAAATATTGAAAAAGTTTTTAAAAATTAATAGAAAAAAAGCATATAAAATAAGAATGTAAATAAAATATTTTTGTACAGCTGTAAAATGAATTTTAAGCTAAGTATTATTACAAAAGAATTAAAAAGCTCAAAAACATTAAAAAGTTTATAAAGTAAAACAGTTATGGAAAGCTAATTTATTATTGAAGAGAGAAAAATATTTTTCATAAATTTAGTGCAGCCTAAGTGAAGAGTGTTTTTTAAAGTCTACAGTATTGTGCACCAATGTCCTCGGCCTTTACAATCACTCACCACTCACTCACTGACCCATGAAAGCAACTTCCAGTCCCACAAGACTCATTTATGGTAAGTCCCTACACAAGTGTACTATTTTTAAAAAATCTTTTATACCATTTATTTTGTGCATCTTTTCTATGTTTAGGTATGTTTAGATACACAAATACTTACCATTATCTAACACTTGCCTACAGTACTTAGTACAGTAACATGCTGCACCTGTCTGTAGCCTAGAAGCAATAGGCTATAGCAGATAGCCTAGGTGTGTACATCTAGGTTTGTGTAAGTTCACTCCATGATGTTTGCACAGTGAGGAAGTTGCTGAATGACACATTTTTCAGGAAATGTCACTGTCGATAAGTGACACATGACTGTATATGGCACATCACACTGTTTTTCTCACAGTTTAAGTGACATATATTGGATCTCACATTGGATGATACAACAATTTAGATGACTGAATCACCTTGCCTAAAGAATGAGTCAACAAAACTTTTTTCCCCCTTAGAAAAGTAAAGACAGACAGTATAACTAGTAGCCACTGTAAATGACAAGTAATGGCTTTCTGTATCAGTGAAGTTCATATTATAATACCTGAGTCATTGTTTATTTTTATGTTTTCATTTTGAAGCCTAATAAGTCAATGAAAGACAGATACTTATGCCAGCAAACTCAAATTTATAACATCCATAAAGACCAATGATACTGGCATGTTAAATATCTCTAAAAATCAGTGATTATGGTATAATATCAACTAAGTCAACTATACATAGGAAAATCACTGTAAAAGAAACATGGTCCTATCTAGTTATTTCCCTTTTTTATACACTTCTGTATTATTCTATTTTTATGTTAATCACATATTACCATATATGAGAAAAGACCAATCTATATATATACTTTGATAACAAGTCACCTCATAATATTTTTAAAAATCGGGGAAAAAGGCATTAAAAACTGGTACTGGATTAACTCATACATATATATGTCATACCATACATATACTTTTTTTTTGAACCTCCACCTCCTGGGTTCAAGCAATTCTCCTGCCTCAGTCCCCCAAATAGCTGGGATTGCAGGCATGCACCACCAAGTCCAGCTAATTTTGTATTTTTAGTAGAGATGGGATTTCACCATGTTGGTTAGGCTGGTCTCAAACTGCTGATCTCAGGTGATCCACCCACCTTGGCCTCCCAAAGTGTTGGGATTACAGCTGTGAGCCACCACACCCAGCCATGTATATATTTTTTTAAAAAATACCCATTGCAAACAAAAAATGGTCATCAACATGGGATTCATGAAATTATGACCTATGCCTAAAAGGAAAACTATGTAGCTGCTAAAACAATAAAGCAAATCTTCAACGAATGATTTTTTAAAATTTCATGACCTCTTATTATGTGGAGGTAGCAAGATATAGTGAGCTTCACTTGTATAACAAAGGAATGTATCTATATTAATTATAGACACACACACTTTCACACACACATATCCATACATAAATGATTCCTAGAATGATAAGAAATGGTAATCATATTTGACTCTGTAGGGGATGAGACACTGAAGGATCAGCTGCAGGAGGAAGACTTACCTGTCACTCTACATTCTTTACACTGCTTGTTTGTTTCTTATTGCTTAATGATGTATAGACACTCCTTATTAATTTTTAATAAAAGCATATAGTATTTTATTTTAAATGAGTATGCTATTAATTCCTCACTATTTGTATGCCCAAAGTTGCCATGTGAAAGAATATGATTTTCTTTCTGCATTAACATAAGCAAAGCACCTATCTTAAGTTGCCTTGATTTATATGCCCTTCCTAGAGTTTCCATGAATTTAAAAAGATAACCAGCACTGCACATCTTTGGACTTTCAGCAAACATTTATAAAAGTCAGCCAGGAAATACTGTAGAAAGACAAAGAGTGTATGCGAAGTGATTTGCAATCAAGTCTATGCTATTACTTTTCTTTCTCTCATCATCCACATCAAGAGTGGCTTTATCATAACAATCTCCTTTCTATTATCATAAACTCATAATTTTCTTTTTTGAGACAGGGTCTCCCGCTGTTGCCCAGGTTGGAGTGCAGTGGCATGATTATGGCTCACTGTAGCCACCATGCTCGGCTAATTATTTTTTCTTTTGTAGAGACAAGGATCTTGCAATGTTGCCCAGGCTGGTCTCAAACTCCTGAACTCAGCAATTCTTGGCCTCCCGAAGTGATGGGATTATAAGAGTGAGCCGCTGTACCTGGTCTATACACCCACAATTTCTATCCCCTGATTTTTTCCTCTAAAAATATAGTGATCCCTTTTTCTGACACTTAGATTTCATTTTCTTGAAATTTTTCCCCCAAAGTCTGAATTTTTTAAACCAGAATGTCATGGCTTGAGATTGGTAGCACTCTAGTTTTCTTAAATGTAACATTTTGTATCATATTTACAGAAAACAACTCAGAATCTGCAGGAGAGGAGTACTGAAAATATCTGACACTATAACATCACCCAGAGCTAAGCAGTAGAATGAGATTTTCTTATTTTTAGAAATACATTTCCCTGTGGTTTCCGTCTGAGCCCTATATACTCAGTTTTTGAAGCAGTTATTTTGTCTGCTAGCACCTACATTGGAACATGTTACTACGTTTCTAATACAGTATTTTCTCTCAATTTTTGAAGTAGCACAAAATTGCACTTTTTATCAATCTGAAAATTAAAACAAATTATACAAGCCAATGGTTCTAAACCCTTTTGTGGTTTATGGACCCCTTTGAGAATCTGATATGTGCTGTGGACCCTCTCTTCAGAACATGATTTCAGGCTCTTAAAGCTTATCCAGCTGTCTTCCAATAGTTCATAAAAATTGAGTCACAAACCTTATTTCAATCTTCGATGAAAAACAGGGAAAAACAAATACAGCAGCTTATTTAAAAATGAGAAATTTTATTTGCATAGTAATTAGGTTATTTACCACTGTTAAATACATTATCCTTTTGAGTTTTCACAAAACCCTGTGAGATAGCAAGTGCAATTATTATCATTCATCTATTAGAAAGTCATTTAGACTATTCACCTGAAGGAAGTAAATAACTCGGAAAAGTTCAATGACCTGGTCAAAAGCACAAAGTGAAAAAATATTAGAATCAGGATTCAAATCAGGTATTCTATTTATAAATCTTATTTTTCTTCACCTTACATTCTTTCCTTTAGTCCAGTATTTGGCAAACTTTTTCTGTAAAGGAACTGATAGTAAATATTTTCAGCTTTGGAGGCCATACGGTCTCTGCTGTAAGTATTTGATTCTGCCATTATAGCATGAAGGCAGCCAAAGTCAATACAAAACAAATGGGCATGGCTGTGTTCTAATAATTACATAAAACAGGTGACATGCTTGATTTTGCTCATGGGTTATAGTTTTCTGACCCTGAATTATCACCTTTATGAAATAAATGACCTAAATCTTTTAACTTATTTTCCTAAATAGTTTGAATGTTTTTATCATCGTGATATTGACCTTGTTAAGTGATCATTGGTACAATACTCTAAATGCTAATGGAAACCCTAAGTAATATCATCACCAATAACAGCAAAATCTCTGCCAAAAACCTATGATAAAACTGTTACATATTAATTTTCATTTTTATTTTGAGACAATTTCACTGATGAAACCATCATCTAGGAAGGTACTTTTGAAACATAATCCCCTTCAATAACACAATAGGAGTCAATATTACATGGAAAAAATTAAATTTTTTTGGCATTAATAAAGTTAAGAAGACACAGTTTGGAAAAGCAAATTAAAATATAAAATACAGTTTTTTATCATGTTAAATGACTTTGGATATTGAATAACATTAAAGGAGGGTATAATATTAGTATACGTGTTTACAAAAAGATTATGGAAGTCATCAAGGCTGTCATCAGATATCCTGCTTCACTTGAGCACCCTTGAAGTTGGTTTGGCCAATGTCATATGAGTGAAAACAACATGTGCACTTGTATAAAGCTTTATCAGCCGGTGTTCAATGTGCCTCATTCTGGTCCCTAAGCCACAGGGATCATGGAAGAACCTGGAACACCACCTGCAAAGGTCTCTTAGCGAGTACAATGAGGAGAACCCTCCTGCCTATCCACACTGGACACTGACTGTAAACAAGAAATAGACTTTTGTAAGGCCATCATGATATGGGAATTGTCACAGAATATATCTTAGCATATCCTAACTAATATAAGAGCATAGATTTTAAAAAATCATTTAAAAAGGTTTATACTAATATTAATCTTTATTATGCTTGGTTAATTAAAAGAAATACCTCAAGATAACATTATATGCTATTTTGAGGCCAGGCATGGTGGCTCACACCTGTAATCCTAGCACTTTGAGAGGCCGACGGTGGGTGGACTGCTTGAGCTCAGGAGTTCGAGACAAGCCTGGGCAACATGATGAGACCCTGACTCTACTAAAAATATAAAAAATTAGCTGGACATGGTGGCACACACCTGTAGTCCTAGCTACTCAGGAGATTGAGGCAGGAGAATCACTTGAACCTAGGAGGTGGAGGTTGAAGTGAACCGGGGTCATGCTACACCTGGGCGACAGAGTGAGACTCTGCCTCCAGAAGTAAAAAAAAGGTGGTAACATTATACACTATTTTGAATGATCACATTTTGGATTATCTAAATATCATTAAAATAACTGGTTGGTAGGCCAGGCACGGTGGCTAACGCCTGTAATCCCAGCACTTCGGGAGGCTGAGGTGGGTGGATCATGAGGTCAAGAGATTGAGAACATCCTGGCCAACATGGTGAAACCCCGTCTCTACTAAAAATACAAAAATTAGCTGGGCATGCTGGCACGTGCCTGTAGTCCCAGCTACTCGGGAGGCTGAGGCAGGAGAATTGCTTGAACCCAGGAGGCGGAGGTTGCAGTGAGCCGAGATCACGCCACTGTGCTCCAGCCTGGGTGACAGAGCAAGACTCCATCTCAAAAATAAATAAATAAATAAATAAAATAAAAAATAACTGGTTGGCCATTTCATTAAATTAAAATAAAAATTAACTAGGTGAAGAAATAGTCAAGTGTGACACAGTCTTGTGGGAATAACTGGTTTGGGACTGAATTTTGTACATTCAAACTATGCTAAACAATTTTTTTTTTAATTTTTATATTATAAAAATTAGGGGTATGAATTAAAGCTATAAGAAACAATCAATTTTATTTTTTAAATATTAGTGGCAGAAATAAATATGTAAAAAATAATATTGGCTTACACTAATAATAAAATAATAAAAATTAGTCAATAATAAAGTTAGCTTACCCTAAAAATTAGTATACAGTCATTCAATATACAAACTATTTTCATATATGCAGCCTCATTTAGTCTTCACAACTCTTGAGAAATACTAGCCCCAGTTGACAAATGAGAAAATTAAGGATAATAGAACTGTGATTTGCCCAGAATCACACTAGCTTTGCCTAGCTAGTGGCAAAGACAAAACCCTGAACCTAAGTTTTCTGAAGTGAAATCTGATGTTCCTTGTACTGTATCACTCCTTTAAAAAAATGTAGAGTTATTTTCCTTCTAAGCAGCATAAGCAAAACTAGTCTGCATCAATATGTACAGCACATGATTTTAGTTGTAGTATAATGCTAATTAGGAGGTCATGTCTGCAGTCTTTTTTTCCATCAAGTTAAAACATAGCTTCACAAAGTTGTCTACAGGTACCACTGAAATTATCTATTAAAACATGTATGCTTTAAACATAGGCTATTTAGGCTGAATATGACTTATTTCATATTCCTCATGATACTATAATTTATAATAAGAAATATATATATATATAGGTCTTCATCCCAAGTTCCTGGCACAGAGCCCCCTAAAACCCTTGTAATTTCTAGAGCAAAAGGGTTACTAGGAGGATCTTTTATTCTAATAATCGGTCTTTGATCCTGGTTCTTGACACAGAGCTCCAATCCCTTAGAATTTCCTGGGTGATAGGAGCATCTTTTGTTCTAATGAGGTGATTCTTACTGGGTTCCTGGATAGCTTCAGGATGGCGGCTGGTCACCAGAAAAAAAACAAGCCATGACTACAAGTTTGGAACTTTCAGCCCCATCGCAATTCTCCAGAAAGGTGAGAAGAACTGGAGACTGATAATCAACCACACTTAGATGATGAAGCTTTCATAAAAATCTCTGAACTATGGGGTTTGGAGAGCTTTGGGGTTGCAGAACACATGGATGTATCCCAGAGAGGTTGTGGAACCTCCTCACCCCTTCCTACATCCCTTTCCCTATGTATGTCTTTCATCTGTATCCCTTGTAATACCCTTTGTAATAAACTGGTAAATGTCAGTAAACTATTCCCTGAGTTCTGTGAGCTGCTCCAGATGAAACCCAGGGAGGCTCGAACTTGTGACCAGCATGTGGAGTGGGGACAGTCTTGCGGGACTGAGCCCTTCACCTGTGGGATCTGATGCTAATTCCAGGTAGACAGTGTCAGAATTGAATTGAAGTAGAGGAAACCCAGCTGGTGTCCAGTGGAGAACTGCAGAAAAATCCCACACATCTGGTGTCAGAAATGCCCTGTGTCAAGTCGTAAGAACACAGTGGGAGAATTTTTTTTTTCTTTTACACCCTTACTTTCATTTTTTCTTCTCTAACTGCTTGGCTTTGGCAATTTCACTCTTTGTTAGCATCTTCAATAAGGGATATTTACGCCTAGAGGGGAGAGGTAGGACACACCAACCAAACTTGGCCTCTTGTTTGTTGTTTTTGCTTTAAAATTAAAGTTGGAAGGGGAAGAAATTTAAGATTAGCAATTAATGTGCATTTTTGGATAACCTGTGGCTTTCAGTAGTTCATATCATCACTAGTCCTCCCAATGCTCTGTTAGAACCAAGAGTTGGCTGTATGGAATTCCTTTCCATTTGGAATAAGTCACGTCAGCATTGTACTTTAGGTGCACATAAACCACAATAGTTAAACATGAACTTCATTTGGCACAGGTACTTTTTTTGTAAACATCATGCAATATGCACCCTACCACATAAATAACAATGCCAATTTTCCAAGAGTAAGTAAGATTGCACAAGTCTAAAATTAAAAAAAAAAAAAGAATTAGGAAGAAAACAAACATGCAGCCTAATTACCAGCTGAAAGTAGACAGGCCTGAACATTGCCACATTCCTTTCTTATCAAACAAAACACCCGAGACACATAGAAAAAAAGTTTCTGATAATCATTACACCTAGTTTTAATCACATTCAGAGCAATACTTGGATGTCTGGTGGTCAGTCAGATGCTCTGCAAAATCTATAATCTAGAATGAACAGCTCTGCATTTCAGAAGTTAGGAAGGGGGAATGACAAGAAAAAATAGGTTCTGTATTTATTCAGGGCATGAACTTCATGACTATTCCTTGCTTCCAATTTTTGGATAATTTCAAGATCACAACATTTAACAGTGATTGCTTTTCAGACGATTAAAATATGCTATTGAAAACTTTTCAAAATTATTCAGGAATGGGTGAAAGTGTGTTTTGTTTCAGAATACAAGCAATTCCTGACTTGAATTACACTAGAGATATGGGCAACTATGATGCTGCTACCCAATATGCAAACTTTCTCTTGCTGAAGCTTCTGTTAGATCTATAATATATTGTTATGTTTTCTCCTGTTACCAAAAACAAACAAAAAAACCCAAAACAAAACAAATTATGCCTAACTTCTGGGAAGATTATATCCCTAATGTTCTCAAATCCCTTTACAGCTAGCACAGGATTCTGGGTACTAGGTGCTCTTCTTGCCTGATGTAACATACATAGGCAATGAGAAGAGAAGACTAATCTATTTCATTATTGCTTTGGAGTCTACAATACTATTTATGTAGTAATTCAGCTTTATTCCCTATCAAATATACTTTTTCACTCTGCCAACTTAGCTATCATTCATAAGAAATTTTCTCTGAGAAACACATTTTAACTTAGAAAATAAATAAGCCTACATGAAGATTTTTGAGTGGCAGGAGCAAACGTTACTAATAATATTCCGATATGGGTTTTGTTTTCATTAATTTAAGTAGATGGGATAAATAACACAAAATAAAAGACCCAAATTTAATTTCAATTTTTGTATTTCAAATACACAATACTGAAAGTACATATTTTGGAAAAATAATCATCTACTTTCACGAGCTTGCATAAAGAAAAATGCAATGAGATTGTAGAGTAGGAACTGGAAGTCACCTTGCAAAATTCATTGTCTTTTAAGCTGCCTGAGAGAACCTCAATGGACTCCCAAAATCCAATACACAATTCTCTGAGAACATGCAAGAGACTAGTGAAATGCCACAGAGTTATGAGTGTACTAAGTTAATAAGTTAGCACCCAACAGGCAGAGCTACAATGACGACATCCTTTGGGAAAAGGCTTACTGACAAATTCCACACCACTGCTTCAGGTCCATTCATTTCCAAGTTCAGGCAGTGGCTTCTGTGGTCATAAAGTTGAACAGAAAACACAATTTTTCCTCATCCTTTCAAGTTATAGTTTTGTCCCACATCCAACAGAAAGAAAGGTATTAGACTCCCTGCTGAAAACAAGCATAGGCTTTGCGGTGTTCAGTATACTTTCTGTATTTCCAAAAGTGACTCCTTTTTATCTGGAATTGCTTGTTAAAATTACTGCAAACTTTTAATTTTCTTCCTGGTGTTTTTTTGTTTTGTTTTGTTTTCGTAATTACTTAAGCATTATACCAAACTGGAAAAATACAAGTTTGCAGTAAGTCTGTGATTGTTATCATAATAGCTTTAGCAATTCAATCTAGGTAAAAGCCAACTGAAAGCCCCAGTGGCAGGTTCAAAATATAGAAACAAAAATACAAACAGAAAATCACAGAAACTGTTTAGCCAAATTCAATCTCTACACTCCGGTGATAGAAAATAAGAGTCATTTGAAAATATGAGAAATGTTGCTCTAAGGAAAAATTAAGTTTTTCATTAAGACTGAAGAGAAATGCTTTGGTATCTTAAAGTCACTGTAGACCATAGTGGCCTTCTTGTTATTTGCATTCTGACACTCAGATATAATAATTGAGTGATAAATGCAGGCAACTCCTAACCCTGACATTGCAGTTTACTTTCCACTGGAGAATATTTTATTGTTTTAAATATAATTATATTAAATTATATTAACATATAACTAGATTAATATATAATTATAATTAATATAATTTTATATATTAATAATTTGCATACATTAATATCAATATATAATTTATATAAAATAATATATGAATATAATACATAATAATATAATTATATAAAATATAAATATACTAATTACATATTACTATATCAATAAAATTAATATGTAATATATAATAAATTGATATTATATTTATATAATTATAAAAATTATAATTTTAATGCTTCCAAGTAATAAAATCTTCTTACATTTTATTCTAATCTTTAAATTGGTCTTGAAATAGAATACAGTTGTCCATACGTCATTTTTGCCAACTGCCTTTCCCATAGTTTAACTGATAAGATTAAAAAAAAACTTAAAAATAAAAAAAACTTGCTGGGCGCGGTGGCTCACGCCTGTAATCCCAGCACTTTGGGAGGCCGAGGCGGGCGGATCACAAGGTCAGGAGATCGAGACCATCTTGGCTAACACGGTGAAACCCCGTCTCTACTAAAAATACAAAAAATTAGCCGGGCGCAGTGGCGGGCGCCTGTAGTCCCAGCTACTCGGGAGGCTGAGGCAGGAGAATGGCGTGAACCTGGGAGGCGGAGCTTGCAGTGAGCCGAGATTGTGCCACTGCAATCCGGCCTAGGCTAAAGAGCGGGACTCCGTCTCAAAAATAAATAAATAAATAAATAAAAATAAAAAAAACTTAAAAATTAAACGCTAAGCCCTCTAAAGCATTATTCTGAGAGGAGTATATCTCCATCTGTAAACTTTTTTTAAGACCACATATCTGTCCACCTTTCACCCTCCTCACTGCTACCTCCTTAGTTCAAGTCAACATCTTTTCCCATATGGATTAATAGATTAACAAGTCTGTGAGATGTTTCCTCCACCCAGTTCTCTGATTCTCTAACAACAACAATTCAATTCAATTCTGTAGGAGTCCAGACCTACAGATTAAGAGCTCAGTCCACAGGACAGCTTCCAAGTCAGACACCAGTAGCAAATGGCATGCTGTGCTGCTCACATTTCTTTCTGCCTGGCCAACTGCAAATTCAGGGGTTCCTAGGACCTCTCCTCAGATTGGTTAACTCCCTAGAAAGATTCACAGAACTCTGGAAAGCATTTTCCTTACTAATGCTGTCTATCATAAAGGATATAATTTAGGAACAGCCAAATGGAAGAGATGCATTTGGGTATGCGTAGAAGTAGGGGGTACGGAGCTTCTATGTTCCACAGCTTCCCCCACCATACTACCCTCCCACCACCAGTATTCACCAACCCAGAAGCTCTCTGAACTCCATCATTTAGGGGATTTTATGGAGCTTTCATGAAGTAGGCCTGACGATTAAATAATTGGCCATTGGTGATTAAACTCAACCTCTGGCCATTCTTCCCTCCCCAGAGTCCTGGGAGTGAGGCTGAAAGTTCCAATCTGATAATCACATGGTTGGTTTCTCTGGCTATTAGCCCCCATCTTGAAGCTATCTAGCAGCCCACCAGTAGTCACCTCATTAGCATAAACTCAGACATGGTTGAAAGAGGCTTGTTTTGAATAACAGAAGACATTCCCATCACTCAGAAAATCCCAAGGTTTCTAGGAGCTCTGGGCCAAGAACCTGGGTCAAAGACCAAATATATTTTTGTATTATACCACATTTTTCAATGGTCTTCTGCTTCAGCTTTTGCCTTCTGAATGACAGCCAGCATCACATCATGCTTGTTTGTCTTTTGCTTAAATCTTTCAGTGGCTGCCTACTGAATTTAGAATGTTACCAGGACCTATAGAGTCCTACATGATCTTGCTGCCTCTTATCTCTCTAACCTCACTTCTTTCTCCGGCTCCCCTTCCTCCAGTCCCCCAGGCACTGCCTCATCTGTATTCTTTGAACATGCCAAAATCTGTCCCACCCAGATCTTTGCATTGTTGTGCCCTTTGCCTTCATTAATCTTTCCACTTTTCTTTACATAGCTGATTTATTTTCATCATTCAGGGTTCAGCTTAAATGTCACCTCCTCAGAGAGTTCTTGAATCAGCCTCTTTAGAACACCTCCCACTCCTTACTCTGGCTCCATCATCTACTCTCTGTCATGAGTTTCTTTTGCTACATTTATTGCAATCATTCATGGTCTTGTTTTTAATGTACTGATTGATCATTGGTTTCTTCAACCCCAATATTTCTAGTCTTGCTGAATTCAAGAAGAAACAAACAAACAAACAAAAAATGGGGGTAGGGGGAGAAGGGAATGACTAAAATGAATCTTCCTAAAATAATACAACATATAAAATCTTGGCCATATTTTTACTCCTTTCTCACAAAAAAAATCAACTAGCACTGTCCATGAGTTACAAGACTGCTGCCTAAATACTCACTTCACTTTCAATATTTTGACTCTTGTCTCTTCATTCTATTAGTCACCAAGGCCTATTGATTCTTGTATCTAATTATTTCGACATTTTGTGGTTACTCCTGTCCTTCCACACCAACTCCAATCATCCCAGTCAATACATCCCTCCTTCCCTGGGTCACTGCAATGCCTCCTAACTGCTCTCTCAGACAAACTGTCAGTATTTGCTAATCCTCTTCCTGACAAATGTCACTTTTAAACTTTTACTTCACTTTTATTAAAAATCCATGTTCCATCTTATTGTAGTAGATCCTCAAAAATGGGATTATTTTCAATGCATTCTTTTCATCTAAAGCAGTCAACATTACTTCCCCCTACTTCTTTAAACAATTCTTCTTTAAACAATTCCTTTAAACAAGTCTACTCTAACACTTACCTTTCTATCACCAAAACAAATCCAGCTAACTTCTCTTTTTGGATTTTTGCTTAGTCATGCCACAGACTGGGAGGCTTTTTCCCCTTCCTCAGTCTAAATCAAAACATTTTCTTCAAGTCACAGTTCAAATCCAACTTCCCCACTTAAGCCTTTCCTTTCAGTTCCAGCCCATGTATTCTTCCCTTTTTCTCAATTCTCATAGCACTGAAACCCCTGCTCTGTGTTACATTTGATTATCCAAGACTTATTTTTGTTATTCTTCAGTCATTTCATACGTGGAAATGTTGTCTCCCAAATGAGATTGCAAGCAGGGACTACGTCCTTACTTCCTTTGTACTCCTGGCAGCAGCAGAAGTAGCACAGATCCAGCAGGAGCTTCTTACATTGACTTACTGATTAAAATGATTCTGAGGATGAATCCCATCAACTCCCAGCAGCCATTCTAGATAAATGGCAGTAGCCAAACAGACCACACTGTCTTTTACCTCTGATCTTTTCCACATGAGCTCCCGATGCCTGCAAGCCTCCCTTTCCAACTTTCTTCACCCAGCAAATTCCTAATTCTTTCCAGTCAACTGGGACAATGCCTACTAAGGAAAAGGAAGCATCCCTCAACTCTTTCTCACTCACCTACCCACCCAATATCTATGTAAAGTGTTGCACCAATATGTTCCCATTAAATGCTCTTAACTCACAACTCTTGGCACACTGTATTGTAAATGTGTATTTATTCACACTTCTCCCTGACTGATCTATGTACAACTTAAAGTCAAGGAATTTATTTTTTATCTTTACAGCAACAGAGTGATAGTGTTTTATTATTTGTTGAATTAATAAATAGACAAACAAACTGGCAATGAAATCTGTTGAAAGGGCTAATAATTTAGCCTCACAGGTATCAATATGGTGTTATGTAATTTCCAATAAGTCATAGTTCAGACCATATGAAATGCCTATTTGTTTTTAGTTTCAAAAATAATTATTATGCACCCAATATGTATCAGGCATTTGGAGATACAGACAAGATGCAAATAATTAAAAATCCCTAACTTCATAGAGCTTGCATTTTACTATGAAAAATCAGCAAGGGACTATGGCTTTTGCTCTGACTGAGCTGGAAACCACAGCAGAGTTCTGAACAGAAGGTTTCTGCAATGCTGCTGGCATGTGATGATGCTGCTTTGGACAAAAATGGTGGCAATTTGAATGTGGAGCAGTGGTTAAAGTATGTATATAATTTAAAGGCAAAGCCAACAGGACTGGTATATGGAATGGAAGTGGCATATGAGAGAAAAGGAATGGTCAAGAATGGATTTCAGTCTGTGAAACTATGGAATAGAATTTGTGAAGAATTTGGAAGGGTATAACTTTGGAAAGGATGTTTAGATATATGAAGAGAATTCTAAACTTTGGTCTTAAATTTTAATATTTTATTTTGTATAACTTCCTTGGGCATATTTCCAAGGAATAGTAAGGATCATGTCTGTTTCTTAGAAAAATTGATGAAATTGAACACAAAAACCTTGGACAACTGTGGCCAACTCAGCTCCGTGAAGCACTGCCTGTACCAGGAACCCTATAAAAGCCACTGCAATTTATTTTCCAAAACCCTCCCAACTTCTAATGTCATTTTAAAATGTCTTATGCAATGCAGCTATTGCTAAAGGTCATAATTTCTATGATTGCTAAAAATCACTTCAAAGTTCACACAATTATTATCATTAGCAATATTATTAATTATACTTTGAATTTTATGGAATAATGACTTTAATGTCAAATGCACACTTAGGGAAGAGGCCAAATTTTTTCCCTTGCCCAAGACCACCATAACCTAGTCCAAGATTAGAGGACATGGTGTTGACCTCAAGAGTAAAAGACCATGCAGTAAAAAGTCCTCATGTGGGTCACTCAGAATGACTTAATCCACTGAAGACTAAAGCCTGAGATAGAACAGTAGGAGATCTGGGCTGTCAGGCAACTACCTAAAGGGCCTAAATGATCAGCTACTGTGCTTAATGGCTATAATTTGGAGTAAGGCTGGTAATAATGGTTTATTTTTTTTCATGTGTTGAAGTGTATGTCTGCAAAACTTACTGTATTAGGGGATTCAAAAAATGAGACTGTTTATAAACATACAGGGCAACAGTAAGTCTGTATAATGACTGAGTCTCCTGCAAAATAATTTAGTGGTGGTCATGATGAGTTATAACTTAGACTTTTGAATTTTCGTTGGCAGAAACAAACCATTCTCACTCAGTCTGTAAGCTTTTTTTCTTCTAGACTCTAAGTAGTTTACACAATAAATAGTTATTTCCATAGTAGAAATGGCCAAGATGTCTAAGCCCCAAACTTAACCTGTTATTATGGTTAGAAATCAAGGTTGCCATTCTTCCAGATTTTCACAGCCACACAACTTTTGACCTAGCTGATGGAAATGTAAGAGTAAACATAGTTTCTTGACCTCTTAAAAAAGGCAAAAAATCAGCATGCTAAAGTATGTATTTTGCTGGCATGTGATCCAGCGCAAAGAGGCACTATAGTGGACTCATAACAATAGAACAGTACAAATACCTGTAAAAGGAAAACTTTTAAGTCAGAGTTCATCCGTAAATTTTCCATGTTCTCTTATTTAGTACTTTGATATAATCTACTGATATGAAAATGTTATACATGTCATAATTTATGAATGACATCAAAAAATAAGATTAAAACTTTTAGGGTCTCAATTTATCCCATAATCTGAAACTAGTCCCATGAGATGAAAATCTCTTCACAAAGGTATGTGGAAAGAAAAAACTCCCTTTTTTACATATATTTTCTCACACCTGAAATTCCTTCATAACTATGATGAGCCCATTTCCTTCTCTTTCTTAAAAAATATGCTTGAAATGCATCTCTTTCCATGAACAAGGCAGCTATTACCCTTCCCAAGTCTCACAGAATGACAAACATGGCTTTCTTTTTTTTTTTTTCAAATTTTATTTTATATATATATATATATATATATATATATATATATATATTTATTATACTTCAAGTTCTAGGGTACATGTGCACAACGTGCAGGTTTGTTACATATGTATACATGTGCCATGTTGGTGTGCTGCACCCATTAACTCATCATTTACATTAGGTGTATCTCCTAATGCTATCCCTCCCCCATCTCCCCACCCCACAACAGGCCCTGGTGTGTGATGTTCCCCTTCCTGTGTCCAAGTGTTCTCATTCACAAACATAGCTTTCACTGTGGGGTCTGTGTTTAGGTTTCCTGAATAGCTTTTGGGCACTGAATGACAAACTAGCAGAGAGAGGACATTTACATGTACCCATTCTGCCGCTTTAGAAGATGTCAAACATATGTGTCAGTGAGTTGAAAAAACAGACCACGTTCCATTATGCAACCCTTTCAACATTATAACAAACAATGCGATTAAAAGGTAAAACATCAGGGGTCTAAACTTTCATACTTTTTATAATCCTTACATTTCAGTGTTAAATTTTTATATATGTGCTACGGGCAAAATATAATGTATATAAAAAAAAAGCCCTGAAGTAATCATCATAAATGACCATATAACAGGCACAATCTGTTAAAATGTAGAGTTAAAATTTACAAATTCGAAAAGGTGATATCACGTAAGAACTTCCATGAAAAGAATGTCAAAATTGCTACACAAAAAATATCAAAAATTCAGGAAAATTAAAAACTAATTGCCTAAAGAAATAATCATTTTAAGCTGTTTCTTGACATTACTACCATTAGTCAAATGACTGCTGCATTGCTTCTGTTTCACATGTATTTTAAAGTCAACTCAGTATTCTAAAATAACTAATTCATTTCCATTATTCTTTTGTTTAAATCTTTAAATCCCCTTTTCAAAATCAATTTACTATAATCTAGTTTTTCTACCTTAAGTAGATCATTTTGCCCAACTATACAAAAAATTCAAACAAATGGATTTTAGCTCACAAACGGTATCAAAACAAAAAACAAAAATAAGTTGTCTCCTACCTATGGTTGTAATAACAGTGCCAGCAAAGAAGAAGGAACTTCCCAAATCCCAGTGACTGATTTGATTGGAGGTGTTTCCTAACGGTATAATCCCTGCATTTATTGCTGCCACTATTTGCTGCAAGTTTAAAAAGAAATTTATCAGTACACATGAATCACACAGAGGCATCAAACAGCATATATTCCACCCCAGAAATGACTTATTTGACAAAGAGAATCAACTCTAACATTTTGCTCTTCCATTTAAAATGTATAATATAGCTTAAAACTTTATACTGGAGAATTTAATAACAGTTAAGTTATAAGAAACTGACATGTGATATCAAGTGAATTGATTGGCATGAAGGTTATAATATTGCACCAACATGCTTTCATATTGTCATCCATTAACATATTTAATGACTTATTTGAATTAACAACTAAATTTAACAATGTCCTCCAGTAACCACCACAGCATAAAAATAGCAGGTTGCAAACTATAGTTACAATAATATATAATAGCTTCATCATAAAGAAAGTATTTCCAAAGTGCTGCTCATTTCAAATGTTAAATATATGATCCAAGTCTGGGTTGGCTATAACTGTACCAAGCCTATATCATAAAGAGCTAGCAAAACAACTTAAGATGAAAAGGAAAAGGCAACAGGACTTCACTTTCAAGCTTAAGGCAGTCCATGTAGATGTAGACTCTTAGAATTTCTACAGATTTTAATAAATTCTATGACAATAAGAATCACCAAAGCTCTGTAGATGACAATCTGCCAGCAATATTACATAGAGACCACTAAGATCTATTGCTGAGAATGTTGAGTAGTACTAAGAGAAAGACAGAAAGATGACATTATAATCCCTTCTTCAATCATCCCATGTTGGGAGGTGGGGGTTGGAGAAGGAGAAGCACAAAAGATAAGACAATATGTTAGGAGAAAATGTACAGTAGAAGAGAGACAGATTACAGAGGATGATGTTTCAGTTGGAAATATAGCTTTGGAGATCTTTACTACTTAATCTTCATATTATAGAATTGGAAGAAACATCTTTTGATAAGGAAATTAAAGGCCAAGAGAAGAAAAGTGTTTGGTTTAAGGTTACACAGTTTGCTGGCAAATGGACAATAAGTACACTCTGAAAACGGGGTACTACTCAAGGAAGTCACAGGCACATGAAAAAGAACAGGTAACCCATAGCTGAAATGTAATACAAAATCTCATTTCAGAACTGACCATTATGAAATATGTCTGATTTGTCTTAATCTATGAATTAAAATATCAATAGTTCTGTGTAAATTAAATTACATTGCTTTTATTTACTTTAACAGTGATATATGATCTTTGTAAAAAAAAAAAATAAGAAAATACAAAAAGGCATAAAGAAGATAATAAAAAGTACCCATAATTCCAGAATCCAGAGATAACCACTTTTAATGTATTACAATATCTACCCCTGGTAGTTTTATATCCTCTTTTACATATTTGTATTCTCTACTCTTACTTAGTTAATACTATTCCACATGCAGGTTTTTTTTATTACCATATTTATTTAATCATTGCCCAATATGTAGATATATATGTTGTTCTAAAATTTGAATTAATATAAAATGTGCTGTTGTGAACATATTTATGTATAAATATTTTCCTATTTCTGAACATTTCCCCAGGAGAGATTGCTAGGAATAAAGTTGTCACATTAAAGATTATGAATGTTTTCGGTGGGGCGTGGTGGCTCACGCCTGTAATCCCAGCACTTTGGAAGGCCGAGGCGGGTGGATCACGAGGTCAGGAGATCGAGACCATCCTGGCTAACATGGTGAAACCCCATCTCTACTAAAAATACAAAAAACTAGCCGAGCGTGGTAGCGGGCGCCTGTAGTCCCAGCTACTCGGGAGGTGGAGGCAGGAGAATGGTGTGAACCCGGAGACGGAGCTTGCAGTGAGCCGAGATTGTGCCACTGCACTCCAGCCTGGGCGACAGAGTGAGACTCCATTTCAAAAAAAAAAAAAAAAAAAAAAAGATTATGAATGTTTTAAGCATTTGATGTATAGTAGCGAATAAGTATCTTAGAAGGTTGTTTCCATTTACAACTGCCCCCCAACAATTTACAAATGCTTAGCAATATTTCTAATATTAATGACATTTATCTTTAATGAAGTGATAAAATATGGTTCCATTTATATAACCCTTATCATGAATAATACTGAACATGAATGATTCCTTTATCTAATATTAAATGCACAGAAGTATATACATATACACACATATGCACAACACACAGTGAAGCTTGAGATAGCTAATTCTATTCATCTAACTCTGTGTTGTAACTATAGTATCAGATAAGGCAGGTTTCCCTTCATTATCTTTCTTTTAAATGTTTTTGTAGTTATTGCTCTCTTATTCCTGTATAAACTTTAGAATTTAAATCTTACAAAAATTTTTATTTTCATAGATTTAACACATTTCCATTGAAATATGTTGAATACTTCACATATGTTAAATGTTTGGAAATAGATGAAATCTATAAATGAAAAAGTAAACACTATTATAATACTCAAACTTCATACCAAGGAAGATGGTATGAATCTCTATGTATTGAGTTCCCTATACTATACTGATTATATATACCATATAGATCTATAAGGTTATTCCCAAATATTTCACTTTTTTTCCACTTTGAATTATAATTGGTTATTGCTGTTGTATACATAAATATATATTGCCAATCCTCTGCACCAGCAATTCTCAAAATTTTTATCTTAAAATAGTTTACAGTCTCAAAAATTAATGAAGATATCAAAGATCTTCTGTTTGTGCCAGTTATAACTGTTCACATTTCCTGTATTGGTTTGAATTTCTGATTTTTAAGATGTTCTTGTAAAAATATCAAGAAAGCCCATATATGTTAACCTAAGTGATCTATTTTTACAATAAATAATTATGTCTCTAAAACAAAATACATAGTGAGAAGAGAAACAATTTTACAATTTTATAAATCTCTTTTAATATCTAGCTTAATAGAAAACAGGTGTATTTTAATATGTTTCTGCTTTCAATCTGTTGGAATAGCACATCACATAGCTGCTGGCAGACTTCATTGTAAACTCAAAAAGTGAGACACATTATTATGTATTTTTTATATTGAAAAGACAAAAACATCTTAGTACTATAGAGAAAATATCTTTGGCCAAGTGTGGCGGCTCCTGCCTTTAATCCCAGCACTTTGGGAGACTGAGGCAGGTGAATTACTTGAGCTCTGGAGTTGGAGACCAGCCTGGGCAATACAGTGAAACCCCATCTCTACAAGAAATACAAAAAATTAGCTGGGCCTGGTGGCATAATCCCAGCTACTAGGGAGGCTGAGGTGGGAGAATTGCTTGAGCCTGGGAGGTCAAGGGGACACTGAGCTGTGATCATGCTCTCCAGCCTGGGTGACAGAGCAAAACCCTGTCTCAAAAAATAAATAAATAAAATAACTTGGATCTTAACAAACCTCTGAGGGGGTCTTGAGGACCACATTTTGAAAACAACTATTCTGTACTGAACTTGTTATTTTTGTTTGTTTGTTTGATTTCGGTTTTTACCTGGAAAACCAAAGTAAGCAATGCTTTAAAATAATGGCATTTTATCTCCACATCTTTCAATAGCTATATATTATTGATTTTCAACTCTTATTGGACTGAACAGTCTTTCCAGAGCTAAGTTAAATAAGAATAATGACAGCAGATTCTTCATTTTTGTCACATAAAGTCATCAATGGTTTAAGTGTTTAATCACTAAATATATTGGCTGTTGGCAAGAAAATGGCATTTAATTAAATAAAATATGACAACAAGCAAACAAAAAAAGACATAAAACTTTAAAAAACTAAAAAATAACTTTGGAAAATATTTTAAGATAGCAATAAACATACAGGGGATGGAACAGAGGTAATAAGTGAAGAAATATAAAATGGTTCGATTTTAGCATAAATCAAATAAAGTTATTGGTTCATACACTCTAATCTAGTGAACTCATAGGCTATGTAGCTTAAAAATATATATCAAGGCTTCCATAAATCTGAAAGAGTTGCTTGTGATCATCATGCTGTTATCTAGTTACTCTGGAGGGAATGGTTTCACAGTTAATAAACATGGAAATGCCACAGATTCACGTGCACACAAACAATTAGGCACAGGTACAGGGTCATCTAGGTTTGTAACTCTCAGGAAGAACTAAATGTTTCCAGTAAAAATCAGGGAAGGGGAATTTAGACAGATTATACTTGCATCAAAAGTATATTTTTAGATTTTACGTACATTTCTTCAACACGTTCATTTATTCAAAAATATTTAGCAGTTGTATATGGTACTAGGTGATGGGGAAGCAATAGAAAAGAAGAAACATACATGGTGTTGTAGATGAGAAAAGATAAGGTAAGTCTTCAGACTCCGCCCCCATTAATTAAAATTATTTTATTGACTATAGCAATTGATTTAATATAGCCTTCATAACCAGCACTATGATTTTAGCTTATTCTTTTTCTCATCAATAATGAATTACAACATCACCCAGACACTTGGATAAAGTCCACAAATTATTTAAATTCAAAAGAAGACTATAATCAGAAACAGTAGTGTCTGGCAACATGTGGGTTGTAAATCATTATCACAGAGCTGTAATTATTGAAACAGAGGTTTGAGATAGAGCTGAGGGTATGTCAAATCACTATGAGAATGAGTCTACCATGAGGTCTTTTCTCTAGAATATTCTTGTAAGTCTATTTTGTATTTTTGTATGAGGTGTCTTGGTCAACATCCACAGGAAACTGGATGTCCTTTCCCACTCACTGACGTAGAGCTAAGAATCTCTGAAATTTCAACATCAGTTCAGGTCATCAGAGTACTTTTCCAATGCCTTCATGAGAACTGTTTCTGGGTGTGTCACATTATGTGGCTAAAGTAACATAATCACCGAATAGATAATAAAATTTCACTTTTTCATTAAAAGCAACATTTCTGTACAATCAAGTCATGTTGACAACTTATGAATAAGTTGAATGGTTTAGGTTAAGATAAGCGAAGATGGAATCCTATATATTTCATCCTAATACATGATTACCTGAAGTGCTGATTAATAAGAAAGGGCTTCCAAACTTAAAACTTGCCACAGAAACAGTAAAAGATAATCTTGATTGGATTCACATTTAATTTTGCTCCTCCGTTTATAGACAAGTATAGGATGGACACTAGGAAAATTAGTTGAATACATGGTTCCACTTAAGAGTGTAGCATTAAACTTAAGAAATAGAGCTCTAGGAGGCTTATACTCATACACATGATAAAGATAATTATGGAACATCTTGATTTCCATGACAATGGTGGCTTTAGAATCAAAGTTCACAAAGTTCCACTGTGAATTTGTGGATTTTTGAATTGTAAATTGTAAATGCTGTCTCAATGCCATCTGGCATTCTGGAGCTTTATTCACTTTAACACCAAACAATGATAAAACACACTTACTTGTAAGTATATGGGACTAGTACAGACTTGGCATTCAAGGAAGTGACTGACAATCATGAAAATGTTTCTGTCAGTCCAACTCCAAGGAACAGCTTTTTGTGTGCTATAAAGTACTAGAATGGCCATGTTTTCATTAAAGAAGAAGATATAGGGAATTTAGCAATTTTGGAAAAGGCTGAAGAATGTACTGCTTTCAGAGTAGGCTATATTGTGGATCTTAAAACACAAATGGCACCAGAAGTTCTGATTTTACTTATTTTTCCTATACTGAGATGTTTATGTTCATCAAAACAGTACAGAATGTTTTGAACAAATTCCTCCTCTGTTATCATCAGGATTTCATTAAAATATGCTGTCACACCTATCATCCTAAAAGTAGAATCACATTAATAATTTGAACACTTTTAAGTGATAAAGAAAATTCTGAACTGCAGGTACAAGGGGTTAACACCTAATTAGTTTATACCAATGATATATGTATAACTGGTTCGATGCCAACTTATTTTAATTGGATATTTAAGATTTTTTCCGCTTTTTCTCCATTTTTAAAAACGACATAATTTCCAATAAGTTGTACAATGGCCAAATCCACTTATAATTATACTGACATATATACAGTAACACAGCTCCTGAAACAGTAACAAGTATCATCTTGCCAAATTTCTGGTAGTTGCAATTATAGATTTTTATTTGCGACCATTTCTTTGCGGGGGAAGCCAGTTTCCACACTGAGAAGAAACTAGTCTTTAGATAACGAATCCAATCACACATCCACAACACTACATGTGACCACTTCAACCCATGTAAGCAAGATTATTTTTAAAAACTTGAAGAATGTGGGATGAGGAAAGTAAAATAATAAATGATGCTCTCATTGCCAAAAGACTTTGTGGGGAGATAATAGTGGGTATCATTACGATTTATGGTTGCAGCACAAAAATAATCATCACCCATCAATAATACACAGTCATGTGTGAGTATTGTTGCCAAAGGCTACAGGATCCTCATGCATCTCATTCTTAACCTCTGGCTATGTGTCAACACTATGATTACCTTATTCCAGATGATGTGAGCTGTTTTGAATGGTCCTGCTATTAAAACCAGAGAGTATCTCAACATGGCCCTTACTCTTACAGGCTCAGAATTTCACAGACTGCACTGGTGGAGCCTAGGCAACCTTGACTGGCAGGTTTGAAACAATGAGGAACCACACTGGATTATCCATTTTCTAAGTATTTTTAAAATTTACTGGACATATATATCTGGAATGTTATTTATGGACATCATTTACACAAGACACTCCTCCTCTAACATCAGTAACATGTGGCAGTCTTAATGATTGGGCTGCTTCTTGGGCCATTTTACATATTAAATTAGGTTCCACTAAGGGGCAGCAGGATACTAGACCCATCTTCTTTACCTCTTTGTCCTTTCATGATATTCTGGAAACTAAAGTATGTCATTGGGTTCCTTGCATAAAATAATATTCCTGTCGAGTGCCACTAGGACCCTTAATAACCGAACAAGGAAGCAAACAACTTCTTGAAAACCACACTACACTAGCATATTGCTCTTCAAGAATATTCCATGAGCAGTTCTCAGTTAATGCTAACACTAGGCTGAAGCATATAAAATTGCCAATATCTGAGCATTTGGTGCAGGCAAAATGGCAATTAAATATGAGCATGCAAAAGAATAGTACTTGTGTTTTGATGAACAGTGTGTATAACATACTAAATTTCACTGCAGTATGATATTTATTACTGCAGAATTAAGGCTAATTTCCATGAACAGGAAAAACATTGTTACTAGCATATCAATCGATTAGGCTCTCATTACAGTTCTACAGTGAAGGATACATACTTATCAAAGGAAAACCCTTTATTGCCTAGAATGTTATTCTGAGAGAACACAGAGTGATTGTTGAATCCTTACTGGAAATTCAAGTTGTATTCCATTTTTGCATACATCTGAGAGATCCAGAGATACTATTTAATATTTAAGATAATTAAATTTTATAGAAGTTAATTCATATATCTGTGATTTGATATCAAATTTTGTGACTCATTACATGAAACTAGTTTTTCAGAAATTCTGTAGTTATATGGACATGGTACTTGTTTTATTTTTTTCTAGGAAAAATAGAGGCATCTGTCTAAATATAAAATGCAGAAATCACAAAGTTACATTCCACAATTAAATGTAATGTTATAGAGTACTGACAAATGTTAGATTTTCAAAACCTAGCATCAATAATCTTTTTCTTTATAAAAATATATATTTGATTTCATGTGGAGAAAAGAAATGGAGTAGTACTTTGCATATTTTATACAAAACATAGGTGTTTAAATCATACTACACTTAGAGACTGATAAGCATATTTTCAAGGTTCCCCCCCCAGCATATTTTGTAAGGAAGATTTTGTAAGAAACAATATGCCATAATGTTTCTTACAAAAATATGAGTCAAAATATATTTATTTCATGAAGACTTTATAAAAATAAAATTTAATTCTTATTACTTAAAAGGGATATTATTTTCTACAGAAGGCAGTTTCTGCACACCAGACTTTAAGGAAGCACGTCTAAAAGTAAATATCTTGCTTACCTTCTGATATATTTCCTTCCATTTGGGGATTATGCAATCGAGTGTCAAAGCTATTTTTAAACAGACTAATGAAGTGTACAGCTTTTTTCTTGCTCTTTTGAAAGTGTAAATTTATTTTCTGTTAGTAGAAACAAAAGCTTAAAATCCAAAGCAGGGAACAACAGATTTGAGAGCAGATATCATTGAAGGGCCAGAAACCATGAAGCATACTGCTGGGTATTTGGGTTGTCTTTCCTGGTCATATCCATTTAGGGAGATTTTTTTAATCATAAAAGTAATATACATATTATTGGACATTTGGAAAAATAATACTAAAGAAAAAAAATCAGTCACGGTTCCTAAAACAGTATTTTGCAACATGCATATATTCACGTTTTAATAGTTGTAACAATAAATCTGCTGAAAACTCTTTTCATATAACATAAGCATATTCCAAGGCATTTTGTAGTCTTCAGAGCTATCATTTTTAAGGACTTCAATATCTCACTGAGTAGCTACATTTAACATAGTTTACATAACTATTCCTCTATTATTGAGTAAACCTGTCTAATGTCTAAGGGCAAGTAACCATTAGCTGACTTGTTACAGGGAAGATTTATATATCAGGCAAGGGCTGAACTTGAAACACTGAAATTCTTTTTCCTTTGAGCCTCAATGAAATGAGCACAGTGGTGTATAGAAAAAAAAAAAAAAAAACATGATGAAGACCCTGTGCAACTCTAAAGGAGCCAGTCTACATATGTGAAGCAAGCACACTGAAGCGGCATTTCCCTGGTGTGCATTTTTCCATGAGTCTTCCTAGATTCCATATTACTGTATGGAATAATATTTTATGGGACCATTAATCTTTGTCTATCTTTCTGGCCACCTTCTACCCCATCTCAGCATGAGTGGAAGAAAAAGATTAATTTTTTTAAAAAAAAAAGGAAAGCATGAAAGAGAAGGAGGTAGAAGAAGAAGTCAGAAAGAAACCAAAAGGCAAGGAGAGAGGAAAAAGATCAAGGTTGTTTAGTTAGTAAGGAAGACACAGTTCTAGGACAGTAAGATATTTATCTAGGCAGTTCCTTTAAAAGAGGTTGTCCTTAAAATAGGATTTGAGTAGGCAGGAGACTGAGATCAGGGAGACAGTACCTGAAACAATATTTTTGTACCATGTTGCCCAAGGCGTGCTACACTAACCAACATTTATTTACACATTATTTTTCTAAGGCCTGAATTTCTAAACTGATGAGAAGAAAAAGGCTAAAATGTGAAAAAGGATGTTTTTCTCTGTCAGTTACACACATCCATAGGGTTCCTAAATTTGGAAAACCTCTCGTTTTTTTCCAATATAATGTCACTAATCTCTATTCATTTGATTTCCCAATGCACTTAAGCCTATAGTTCCATAATGGATACAAGTTTAAACAAAAAGAAAGTGTTTTGTACCTATATAAAGGTAATCACAGGCAGGGGAAATGGTTATGAAAATTATTCAAGTTTCCACAGAAAGGCAATATTTTTATGTAAGTTTTAAAAACAAAAGGATTTTTTCCTGTCCTTCCAGAATCATAGTGAGAACTGAAATTAAAAAATCATAGTAACTAAAATATCATAGTGATGATTGAAAATCTCAAGCTTTGTACACACACACACACACACACACACACACACACACCTGACAAAGTAACCAGTTAACACAATTTATATTTGAATAAATCAAACTTCCTACAACCCAAATTAGTCATGAGTAAAGGCACTATACTAAGACATTCCAATAATATCCTGATAGACAGATCCTGTTTCAGGCCCCATAAAATGTGTATTTCTCACTTTGAGTGAGTTGACTCATTGCCATTAATAACCTACAAGAAATTTCTGTGCTTTTAGGCTCCAGGTAAAACTTCTTAATATACTGCATGGGAAGTTTATTAATGACTTGCTAACATTATGCAGAGAAAAGGAAGTCTTGCAAAACTGTTTAATATGTTTATATTTCTTGGCTCAATGTCACAAAATCAAGACAGCAAAAATAATATATAACTTCCCAAAACATAGTGATTCATACTGATTCTGTCTTAGCTTCTTAGCTTTTTCCAAGTTTCCCCCGCCTTTCTCAATTACACACCCATACACTCACCAGTTATAGCAAATACTGAATTGGTTGAACTCTATTTTGTTTGAGAAACAAGAACCTGATAGAATTTCTTGCCCTTTTTTGAGCCAACTGGAATAATGGAGCTACCCTTTGACACCTGTCCAGTAGTTATTACACAAAAGTGCAATTAAACCTTTCCCTCAGGCACCTCTTTGGCTGGCATGAGAGTGTCACACCACAACCATCAGCGCTGAAAATGAACTTGGCACCTTTCCTCATGTTTTCTACATTAGTCACTCACTTATACTGTATTGTTTGTCTTCATTCACAACTAAGATACTAATCTCAACAATGCTTCAGAGCACAGCACCCTATGAAAGGGAAGATGCTTCAGAATTCTCATAATAAGCATGAGGCTGGTGGGTCTTCTCTCCACTTCATCTGTCTCCTAACTCCCACAATCCAAGAATATGTTTATGTTGGTGAAACATGCAGAAAACTTTTAAACCAAGCAGGGAAAGAGAAAAGTCAAAAGTCACAAAAAAGCAACATGCAGTCTCTCGAGGATTCAGAAGAGGCATGAAGGGGAAAGGTTATGGGCATTAGGAGATGACTAACTACACTTGAACCTCACTCACACTTTCATTTTTAATCACTTGCTGTATATCTGTTGGGGCTGTACATCTGTTGGGATTACATGCCTGTAGTCCCAGCATTTTGGGAGGCCGAGTTGCGCAGATCACTTGAGGCCAGGTGTTCAAGACCAGCATGGTCAACATGGGAAAACCCCATCTTTACTAAAAATACAAAAGTTATCTGGGCGTGGTGTTGCACACCTGTAATTCCAGCTAATAAGGAGGCTGAGGCATAAGAATCGCTTGAACCTGGGAGGAGGAGGTTGCAGTGAGCCGGGATCGTGCCATTGCACTCCAGCCTGTCAACAGAACAAGACTCTGTCTCAAAAAAATAAAAATAAATAATATGTTGGGTGTCCTCTAGACAGCTACTTCTCTTTAAGCTAACTATTTGAAACAGCAGTGCAAGACCGGAGGGGCTTCACCAGAACCTTGTGAGCATTATGCATATAGTGTTACTTAAGAGGAATCAGATACATACTTATCTTTCACAAAAGCTGAGGCAGAAAGAGGCTAAGTGGGTCACTTGGTCAAAATAAGTAAAATATGCCAAAAGAATAATAAAATAACTTGGCAAGCCAGGTTCAGGTCTTGGGGTTATATTAATAGTTCAGTTGTATTACTGCTTTGGTTGCCTCACCTTGCATATAGCTATCATTTACAATATTATTTCTATGTGGAAATACTGAAAGTTCTAAGCAAAAAAAATACATTCATAAATGAATTTTTTAAAGAACTAACTCATAAAGTTGAACGTCGGTGAACATTTTATTTTATCCACGTGTATGATGCATTCTAAATAGTCATCAGGCCTTGTCTTATATGTTTATGTCGCATATGGCCTATGTGTCCAGTATAATGTTAACTACTCAAGAATCATTTGTAGTATATTCTATGCTTACTGATTTTTGAGTAGACATAAAATCACTATCATGAACTGTCAGAATACAGTATAGTCATCTACTGTTAAGCGACACGTGACTACACTGTATTCTGTCAGTTTGCGATAGTGAGAAATGTGATACTGAGAAAGGTGTGGTTAGGCAATTTCATCATTTTGTGAACATCATAGAGAGTACTTCCACAAACCTAGATGCGATAGCCTACTGCACACCTAGGCTATATGGTATAGCCTATTGCTCCTAAGCTATAAACCTGTACAGCATTTTTCTGTACTGAATACTTAAGGCAACTGTAAGACAATGGTATTTGTGTATCTAAGCATATGGAAACATATGATAGATACAGTAAAAATTGGGTATAAAAGTAAAAAATGGTACACTTACATGAATGGAGCTTGCAGGACAGGAAGTTGTTCTGGGTGAGCCAGTGAGTGAGTGGTGAGTGAATGTGAAGGCCTAGGACATCATTGTACACTTAGGGTACACTGAATCTATTTTTAAAATAAAACTAACTTTCTTCAATAACAAATTAGCCTTAGCTAATTGTAAATTTTTCACTTTATAAACTGTTTAATTTTTTGACTTTTGTACTAGCACTAAGCTTAAAACAAAAACACATTGTACAGCTGTATAAAAATATTTTTTCTTTATATCTTTATTCCATAATCTTTTTTTTAACTATTTAATTTTTTTAACTTTTTAAGCACTTTAAAAAAAAAAAACTAAGACACAAACAAATCATCCTAGGCCTGCACAAGGTCAGGATTGTCAATACTACCGTCTTCCACCTTAATCATGTCTCACTGGGTTTCTCCCAGGGGAGGGAAAGAGAAGACTGACTGAAACATATGTCCAGCAAGCAGACTTTCCAAAAGGCTTCTTGAGGGACTGGTGCCTGTCTTGTCCAGCTAACAGCATTAACAGGACCTAACACGCTCTAGAAGTCTGGGAGCCACTGAGAACAAAGAAGAGCTGAGCAGCATGTGGTAGCTCCAGAGAGAGCAAGAGATTACAAGCCCCTGAAAAAGAAAAGAGTAAATCCCTGTACTTGGTAACTTACAGGCACAAGTCCAGAGAACGCACAACTATAAAAAAGATTTGAGGCCCACAGAATCTCTAGGCAGGCTGATTAGGGCTGATTGGTGATTAGGTATTTCCCCACATGAATCCAGTCCTTAGAGATTTACAGAGGTGACTCTTTATTTCACATGCGTAGATCCAATCATAAAAGTTACAAGGCACATAAAGAAACAGGGAAACATGGCCCAATTAAAGAACAAACTAAATCTCCGCATACTGATCCTAAAGTAACAGAGGCATATGAATTATCTCATAAAGATTCAAAATAACCATCATAAAGACGTTCAACAAGCTCAGAAAAATAATGTATGAACAAAATAAGAATGTCAACAAGAGACATAAAATATAAACAAGAACCCAACAGAAATTTTGGAGCTGAAGAATACAATAATTTAGTGGAAAAATTTACTAGAGTGGTTCAACTGCAGACTTGATCAAGCACAAGAAAAAAACAGTGAACTTCAACAAACATCATTTGATAGTATCCAGTTAAAAGAGCAAAAGGAAAAAAATAATTTAAAAGAGTAAAGAAAGCCTAGTGACAGAGGATAAACCATCAAATGAATGAATATATACAACAAATAATAGTCATATATAACACCCTACAGTTAACATTATACTCAATGGTGAAAAACTGAAGCTTTTCTTTTAAGATCAGGAACAAGACAAGGAGGCCCACTCTCACCATTTCTATTCAAACAGTACTGGAAATCCTAGGTAGAGCAACTTGGCAAGAAAAAGAAATAAAAGACATCCAAATCAGAAAAGAAGACACGAAATTACCTCTGCTCTCAGATTACATGAAAAGACATGCAGAAAACGTTAAGTGCATACTACTAAGTGAAGGAAGCCAATCTTACCAAGCTACATGCTATATAATTCCAACTATATGACATTCTGAAAAAGCAAATTATGGGGACAGTAACAAGACTGTGATTGTCAGGATTTAAGGGGTTAGGCAGAGCATAGAGTATTTTTAGGGCAGTGAAACTATTCTTTAGGCTATTGTAATAATGGACACATGACATTGTATGTTATCCAAACCCATAGACTCTACAACACCAAGACTGAACCTTAATGTTAGCAATTAGTTGATAATGATGACAATAATGTGATAGTGATGTGTCAATGTAAATTCATGAATTGTAACAAATGTGTAACTCTGATGAAGGATGTTGATGATGGAGAAAGCTATGCATGTGTGGGGGCAGGGAATATATGGGAAATCACTGCACTTTCTGTTCAATTTTGCCACGAACCTAAAAATGCTTTAAAAATAGTATATTAAATTTTAAAAAAATGTTTGGGATTAGAAAATGTGAAAAAATCTAGAACAAAACAAAAATAAATGTCGAAACCATGTGATGCTGTCATAAACACAGGCATATGGACCAATGGAACAGAATCAAGAATCCAGAAATAAAGCTATGCATATATAATCAAATGATCTTCAACAAGGGTGTCAAGATTGCATAATGAGGAAAGGATAGTCTTTTCAATAAATAGTTTTGAGAAAATTTGATATACACACCAAAAAGAGGGAAACTGGACCCTTAGCTTACACTATACATAAAAATCAACTCAAGAGGGGTTAAAGACTTAAACATAAGACCTAAAATTATAAAACTACTAGAAGAAAACACAGTGAAAGCTCTTCAAGACATTGATCGAGGCAAAAATGTTATGGCTAAGACCTCAAAAGCACAGGCAACAAAAACAAAAATAGACAAATGGGACTATATTAAACTAAAAAGCTTCTGCACAGCAAAAGAAATAATCAACAAAGTGAAGAAGCAACCTGTTGAATAAGAGAAAATATTTACAAACTATTCATCCAACAAGGGACTCATATCCAGAAGGTGCAAGAAACTCAACCCAACAAACACTAAATAATCCCATTAAAAAATATGCAAAAGACATAAATAGACATTTCTCAAAAGAAGACATACAAATGGCCAGCAGGTATACAAAAAATGCTCAACATCACTACTCATCAGAGAAATGAAAATTAAAACCACAATGAGATATACTCTTACAGAGTTAGAATGGCTATTATTAAAAAGATAAAAAATAACAGATGTTGGCAAGAATATAGCAAAAAGGGAACTCGTATACACTGCTGGTGGAAATGTAAATCAGTACAGCCACTATAAAAAGCAGGATAGAGATTCTCAAAAAGCTGAATAGAACTACCATACAATCCAGTCCAGCATTAGGTATTTACTCAAAAGAAAAGAAATCAATATATCAAAGGGACATATTGTACTGTACTCTCATGTTTATTGCAGCACAATTTCCAACAGCAAAAATATGGAATCAACCTAAGTGCCCAACAATAGATGAATGAATAAAGAGGTGTGACACACATGCACGCACACACACACACACACAAATAATACTCAACAATGAAAAAGAATTAAATCATGTCACTTGTAGCAACACGGATAGAACTGGAGATTATTACATTAATTAAGATAAGCCAGGTACAGAAATATAAATCTCACATGTTCTCACTCTTACATGAGCGCTAAAAGAAGTAAATCCCACGGAGGTAGAGAGTGGAAAGAAAAACACTAGAGACTAGGAAGGGTGTGTGGGCGGGAGAGGGGTGGGGAATTAAGAGAGGTTGGTTAATGGGTACAATCATATATGTAGGCAGAAAAAATAAGTTCTAATGTTTGACAGCAGAATAGGATGACTGTGGTTAACTTAATATATATTTTAGAGTAGCTGGTCGAGAGAACTTAAAATATACCCAACACACAAAAATGATAGACACTTAGGTGACAGATATCCTAAATACCCTGACTTAATCATTACACATTCTATGCATGCAACAAAATTTAACATGTACTCCATAACTATGTACAAATATAATGTATCAAAAAATTAATTAAGAGAATGAACTATATATATGCATATATATATGAATGAATGATATATATATGCATATATATATAGTTCATTCACTTTTACATTTCAAAAAACAAAA
This sequence comes from Homo sapiens, assembly GCF_000001405.40. Taxonomy (NCBI): domain Eukaryota; kingdom Metazoa; phylum Chordata; class Mammalia; order Primates; family Hominidae; genus Homo; species Homo sapiens. The sequence goes on along the minus strand of NC_000001.11, from coordinate 215,108,965 downwards.
TGGTAATAGCAAACTATTTTCGTTTTTTTCCACTTTATGCTTTTTACATAACATTATATCCTGAAGTTCACTCCATGTTAGCACGTGAAGATATTTCTTCATCTCTCCCTCCCTCTCCCCAACCCCTCACACACACACATCCACACCCACCCACCCATCCCACCCCACACAGATGAATACTACTGTTTTATTTGTTTACTATAATTTAAACAACCAGACCTCTGTTAGTGACTGTTTGAGCTGTCTGCTGTCTTTTGGTATTAAAAATAGCCCTGCTTAATAAACCCTTTACCAAAAAAAAAATGACTTCAACATAAGGCCTGAAACTATAAAACTTCTAGAAGAAAACACAGGGGAAAAGCTTCATAACATTGGCCTTGGCAATGATTTCATGGATATGACCCCAAAAGCCTAAGCAACAAAAGCAAAAATAGATTAATAGGACTATGTCAAACAAAAAAGCTTCTGGGCAGCCAAGGAACAATCGGCAGAATGAAAAGGTAACCTATAAAATATGAAAAGCTATTTGGAAACCATATACAATTGTCTCTCAGTATCTATGAGGGATTGGTTTCAGGATCTCCTCAACCCATGGATACCAAAATCTGTGGATGCTCAAGTGCCTTATATAAAATGATATGGTATTTGCATATAACCTACACATATCCATTAAATCATCTCTAGATTACTTATAACAGGGGTCCCCAGCCCCCAAGCCACAGACCCATACCAGTCCATGGCCTATTAAGAACCAGGCTGCACAGTAGGAGGTGAGCGGCCACCAGGGAGCTTTACCACCTGAGCTCTGCCTCCTGTCAGATCAGTCATGGCATTAGATTCTCACAGGAGCTCAAACCCTATTGTAAAGTGTACATGCGAGGGATCTATAATAGGCTGTGTGCTCCTTGTGAGAATCTAATGCCTGATGATCTGAGGTGGAATCGTTTCATCCTAAAACCATCCTCCCCTGACCGCCATTGGTCTGTGGAAAAATTGTCTTCCATGAAACTGGTTCCTGATGCCAAAAAGGTTGAGAACTGCTGACTTATAACACCTAATACACCATAAATGCTGTGTAAATGGTAGTTATACTGTGCTGTTTTTATTTGCATTATTTTTATTGCTGTACTATTGTTTTTCAAATATTTTTCATCTGTGGTTTGTTGAATCCCTGGATGCCGAACCCACGGATACCGAAGGCTGACTATACCTGATAAGAGATTTATACCCAAAATATACATAGAACACACATGACTCAATAGAAAAAAAAACAAATAACTTGATTTTTAAAATGGGCTAAGGACTTGCATAGACATTACGCCAAAGAAGACATGCAAATGAACAAGTATATGAAAAGATGCTCAACATCACTAATTATCAGAAAAACACAAATCGATGAAATAGTACTTCACATATACCCCTTAGGATGGCATCATCAAAACAACAGAAAGTAACAAATATTGTCAATAATGTGGAGAAATTAGAACACTTGTGCACTGTTGGCTGGAAGGTAAATGGTGCAGCAGCTGTTGAAAATAGTATGGAAGTTCCTCAAAAAATTAAAACTAGAACTACCATATAATCCTGCAATCCTGTTTCTGGGTATTTATTTACAATAGCCATACAAAAAAATAAAATACCTAGGAATACGTCTAACCAAGAAGATGAAAGGTCTCTACAAGGAGAACTACATGACACTGCTGAAAAATATCATAGATGACACAAACAGATGGAAAAGTGTTCCATGCTCATAGATTGAAATAATATCATTAAAATGGCCATACCACCCAAAGTGATCTATAAATTCAACATTATTCCTATCAAATTAAAAACATCATTTTCACAGAATTAGACAAAACTACTGTAAAATTCATATGGAACCAAAAAAGATCCCAAATAGCCAAGGCAATCCTAAGAAAATTAAAAAAAAAAAAATCTAGAGGCATTACATTATTTGACTTCAAACTATACTATAAGGCTACAGTAACCAAAACAGCATGGTACTGGTACAAAAACAGACATATAGACCAATAGAACAGAATAGAGAGCCCAGAAATAAAGTGACACACCTACAACCATCTTATCTTCAACAAAGTCAACAGAAATAAACAGTAAGGAAAGAACTCCCTATTAAATAAATGGTGCTAAGATAGCTAGCTAGCCATATGCAGATGAATGAAACTGGACTCCTACCTATCACCATATGCAAAAATTAACAGGATGGATTAAAATGTTAAAAGTAAAACCTCAAATCATAAAAACCCTTGAAGAAAACCTAGGAAATACCCTTCTCAACATCAACCTTGGCAAATAATTTGTGGCTAAGTCCTCAAAGGCAATTGCATCAAAAACAAAAATTGACAAGCGTGCCATAATTAAACTAAAGAGCTTCTGCCCAGGAAAAGAAACTATCAACAGAGTACACAGACAACCTACACAACTGGAGAAAATATTCTCAAACCATGCATCCAACAAACTCTGGACCTAATATCCAGAATTCATAAGGAACTTAAATCAAGAAAAAAAAATATCCCTATTAAAAGTTATGCAAAGGACATGAGCAGACACTTCTCAAAAGAAGACATACAAGGGACCAACAAACATACAAAAAATGCTCAACATTGCTAATCATCAGAAAAATGTAAAATCAAAACTACGATGAGATACCATCTCACACCAGTCAGATGGTTATTATCAAAAAGTCAAAAAAATGACAGGTGTTGGCAGGACTGTAGAGGAAAATGAATGCCAGTACATTGTTGGTGGAAATGTAAATTAGTTCAGTCACCGTGGAAAGCAGTTTGAAGATTTCTCAAAGAATTTTAAATAGAACTACCATTCAACCCAGCAATCTCATTATTAGGTATTTACCCAAAGGAAAATAATCATTCTACCAAAAAGACACATCCACCTATATGTTCATCACAGCACTATTCACAGCAAAGCCATGTAATCAATCTAGGTGCCTGTCAATAGTAGATTGAATAAGAAAAATGTGGTACATATACACCATGCAATACTATGCAGCCATTAAGAAGAACAAAATCATGTCCTTTGCAGCAGTATGGACACAGCTTACTCACTATCCTCAGTAAACTAATGCAGAAACAGAGAACCAAATACCACATGTTCTCACTTATAAGTAGGAACTAAACATTGAGTATGCACAGACATAAAGATGGGAACAACAGACACCGGGAACTACTAGAGCAGGGAAGAAGGAAGGGAGGAGGGCAGGGGTTAAAAAACTATTGGGTACTATGCTCAGTACCTGGGTGATGGGATCAGTAATGCCCCAAGCCTCAGCATCATACAATATACCCTTGTAACAAATCTGCACATGTACTCCCTGCATCTAAAAGTTGAAATAAATAAATCAATAATAATTAAAAATAAAAGAATTGAAAACAGGACATTCAAGAAATATGTGCATTTCCATGTTTATTGCAGCATTATTCACACTAGCCAAGAGGTGGAAATGTCCATCGATGGATGAATGAAGAAAGAAAATGGGGTATAGACATACAATGGAATATGATCCATCCCTAAATAGGAAGGAAACCCTGTTACATGCTACAACATGGATGAAACTTGATAATACTACGCTAAGTAAACCAATCACGTAAGGACAAATACCGTATGTTCCCACTTATATGAGGTATCTCTAAAATGGCCAAACTCATGGAAGCAGAAAACACAGTGCTGGTTGCTAGTGGGTGGAGGAAGGGGAAAAAGGGAGACTTGCTGTTCAGTGGGTATAGGGTTTCAGTCATGCAAGATGAAAAGTTCTACAGAGATCTGCTGTGCAGATAGTCAATGGTACTGAAGTGCACATAGTCAACGATACTGTATTAGACATTTGTAAATTTGTTAACTGGGTAGAGCTCTTGTTACATGCTTTTTCCCACAACTAAAAAATTAAGTGCCTGATATAACAGAACAGTTTAAAAAGATGGTACATCCATAAAAAGGCATACTACAAAGCCTCTAAAAAGGGTTCTACAAATCTATATTTTAGAGATATGGATAGATGTTCATGATATATTACAAAATGAGATAATCAGGTTATGAAAGAATATGTAAGATGAAACACAATTTGCCTAGAAAAAAAACCCCATAGCCCCTTACAATGCTAGGCACATAGTAGGAACTCAATAAATATTTATTTAATTCATAAAATTTTCATTCATTTACCATACAAAATAATTTTTAAAATTCTGAGTTGTCTCACTTCTCTTTACTAACATGTTTTGTATTTATGATCCATTAATTTGTGAAGTCCTTTTTAAAAATCCATTTATAACCTCACTTGGGCATTTTGGTGATGAGATACTTCATAAAGACACCACCTGCTTTTATTTTCCCCAAGATTCAGGAGGATTTTTCCCTAGTTCTAAAATTCTGAGACGTTTCACTAATTCATTCAGCAATGCACAGGAGGCAGCAAGCAGGCACTAGCAAGAGAACAGATGATCAATGCAAAACAGTGAGTCACACCTGCAGGGAGTTTGGGGCAAACTGCTGCTGTGTAGGGCAAAGAAGAAGACATATGGGTTACCGACTCAAAGAAATGAAAAGTGCTGGAATAGCTAGCTCTGATCCTAGAACGATGATGGTATTTATAAGAGAAAGAAAAAGTAAAAAGGGGACATTAGGAGGAGGAGAGTTTGAAAAACCAGAAGTCACAGATCCGGTGTTTGTTCTATTGCTAACCAGTAGTATGCTCTTAGGAAAATGACCAAATTGTTTATTTTCTTAGCTCTAAAATGACAGAGTTTGAATAGACAATATCTATGGTAGATCCCAAGTTCCAAATTCCATGAGTTTATGCCTTTGAATGTTACATGCAATTAATTCAAAATATATTTTGATACAACTTTGCTGAAAGATTCTTTCTTACAATTGCCTGCCTTTCAGATGTAGTCACCATTTTTTGCTGGTTCTTTGTATTTCCTTTTAGACTCAAAAACACTCATCCCAGTTTGGCCTATATATAAGATTAGCTTATTTTTTTCTCTTCTTCAATAGAAAGGAATCTCAGTAGGTTCCTATTAAGAAGGCTTATCTGAAGCAATTTAATCCTGAATCAGGGGAAAACGATAGGGAATAAAACAGACACACAGACACACAAGCTGTCTATGGATCAGGAAATAATATGATTGCGAGGTTTTGAATAATGGAGAATAAAGCAGGAGTTATTGTCCCGTCAAAAAATACTTATTTGCATAATAGCACAGTACAGCTGTCCAAGAAAAATGTGCCTCAGGAATGATATCATTATTATAAAATAACATCATTTACCATTTTAATTAAGCCAAATTATTTTAAATTACCCTCATGAAATAGATTTTTAGGCCTGCTTAAATCAAGAGCCAAATGTCATTGTCTGATAAAACATCTCCCAGAAATTAAAACTGATGTGAAGCTTTGGAACTCGTTAACCAGAGAGAAAATAGGAAGCCTATATTTATTAAGAATAAAATAATTACATAGTCATTTCTGGTAGCATGTAAGCTATAACATGTCCAGTAATATCAATCTTGTGGAAGATTTTTAATACAAAATAAATTTTAGAGGTGAAATAAACATCTTTTATCTTAAAACAGATGTTAGAATTTGTTTTGAGAAAACAGAAATAAAGAGCTCTACCACAAAGAGCCCATGCATGAGAATCATCTAGTATCATCTATGCTCATAAAAATTTATCTTGTTCTTGAGGAATCTTAGACACATTAAATTCAATACCTAGTAGCAGCTTCAGAATCCTTAACCAGCCATCTCCTCTCTCCCTATATCGTCCCAGAGATACACACATTACCTGTCTCATCACCCTAAGCATCTCTTTCTGAAAAGTTCTCTCCTCTCCTACTATCCCAAACCCTGTGTGTTCCCTCTTGGTCCTCATTCTCGAAAATTCTTCACCAAACCAACTTTCATAAACATTTCTCCAATTAATCTTTCTAAATGTATTTGATCTAATCCCTCTAACAGGCCACTGCATGACTGTCACATGTTTCTTACATGGGGGTCTGTTCTGAAAAATGCATCCTTAAGCAATTTCATCCTTGTGTGAACTTCATAGAGTGTACCTCCACAAACCCAGATGGCATAGCCTACTACACGCCCAGACTATATGGTAGAGCCTTTTGCTCCTAGGCTATAGAACTGTACAGCATGTTACTGTAATGAATACTGTAGGTAATTATAACACATGGTAAGTATTGGTGTGTCTAAACATAGAAAAGATAAAAAAAATAGTGTACCTGGTATAGGGCATCTACCATGAATGGAGTTTGCAGGACTGAAAGTTGTTCTGGGAGAATAAATGAGTGACGGTGAGTGAATGAGAAGGCCTAGGACATTACTGTACACTACTGCAGACTTCATAAACACTATGCACCTAGGCTACTAAATCCATTAAAAATACTTTCCTTTCTTCAATAACAGATTAACATTAGCTTACTGTAACCTTTTTATTTTGCAAACTTTAAAATTTTTTTTAACATTTTGACTCTTTTGTAATAACTTAGGTTAAAACAAACACATTGTACAGCTGTACAAAAAGATTTTCTTTCCTTATATCCTTATTCTATAAGCTTTTTTATTTTTATTTTTTACTTTTTAAATCAAACAGTTTTAATGAAAACTAAGACACAAACACACATATTAGGCTAGGCCTACACAGGGTTTAGGATCATCCATATCACTGTCTTCCACCTCCACATCTTGTCCCACTGGAAGCTGTTCAGGAATAATGACATGCATGATGCTTGTCATCTCCTATGATAACAATGCCTTCTTCTGTAATACCTCCTGAAAGACCTGTCTGAGACACTTTTACAGTTAACTTATTTATATATTAATATAAGGGATCCCAATTAGCCTCCTTTAATCATTACATATTGTATACAGGCATCAAAATATCACACGTACACCCAAGATACGCACAACTATTATATATCAATTTAAAAACTCAAAAAATTTTAAAAATAAATAAAACAAAATAACATAATGGAAACAGTATAGTATAGTGAATACACAAACCGGTAACACAGTTGTTTATTGTCATTATCTACTATTAGGTAGTACATAATTGTATGTGCAATACTTTAATATGACTAGCAGTACAGTTGGTTTTTTTACACCAGCATCATCACAAACACTTGAGTAATGCATTGAGATATGACATTTTGATGGCTACGTCATAGGCAATATGAACTCTTAGCTCCATTATAATCTAATTGGACCACCGTCATATATGCAATCCATCATTGACCAAGATGTCATTATGCGGCATGAGACTGTATTTGCCTAGCACAATTATGATGCAATTGTCTATTTCTTTTGAAATTTTCCATTTGTTCACTTCCCATTGCACCTAAAGCCCAGACCACTTGTCCTACCAGGTCTACCTCCCTCACCTCATCCCCTACAGCTGTCTTGATCCACCAGAGATGGCCCGATCACATCAGACCTTCTATGGGTCTTAGAACACATCAAGTATGTTCTAGCCTTTGCATGTGCTGCCTTTTCCTTGAACACTTCCTGCCCACCCCAAAAAACCTTTATTTGACTGACTTTCCCTCATCCAAACCTCATCTAAATGTCATGTCCTCACAGAAAACTTTTCTCAACATGGCCCATCTAAAGAAGCCCACCTCCCATCTCTATCTCATTAGGCGTTGTTTAGTCTTCAGATGATTAGCACCTTCTGAAATTATCTCGTTCAAGTAGATATTTGTTAATTTTTAGTCACCCCTCACTAGCATAGCAGTTCCATGAGAACAAAACTCTCAGTTTAGTTAAATGTTGATTATATCCCATGCATAGAACAAAGCCTTTCAAAAACAGAAACACAGAATGGATAAATGAACGAACATGAATTTTAACTATTTCTTGCTTTAGATGTGTAGATCATCACACCAACTATCTTACTTCAGGCCTCTATAACAGCTAATATGCTATCTGAATAAAATAGATAAATGCAAAAATGTTTCTAAGTAGGGATTCAGAAAGAGAATTCAAAATAATCAGTATGTTTCCAAATATCCAAACAAATTCAGGTTCACAAAACTATACTGCAAATCAATTATCCTTTTCTTTTACACGAATGATAAATTATTTTGAGCAATAATTACATGTAACTTTGTCTTACAAAATTTTACTTAGTAACAACTGGGAATAATTTTCTCCCATGTTTTTGTTATGCACTTGATGGTTTATGGATGGTTTGCGACAAGTGGAAAACAGCAGAAGCCTGCCTCCCTTTCTGAGAAGCAGGAGTAAATTGGGTGTTCTGAGAAACCATCTCCTAGTACAATAGGAACATCAGAACCGCAACCAGCAATGTTTAAATTTCTTTATGGACTGTGATGCCATTAGCATTGTAAATATTTTTTAACTAAAAGAGGCAAAGTCACCAAATTAAGCTTTAAAGTAAAGGTTAACAAGACCTCCATCATATTCACTGGCTTCAATGCTTAAGAAACACCTAGGTTGCAGGCATCTGAGATCCTGCTGTATAAAACAAATGCTGCCCACTAAACATAATTTGTAAGCCTCTCTATGGCTATTCTGAGGAAAATAAGACGTTCCATTTAGTCCCAATGCAAAATAAAATATATGAACTCTAAATTCATCTAATAATTGTGCTTCTCCTTTCTCACCTATTTTGGGCTGCCCTGCTTGGAAATCTGTTTAGGCATCCTGACCACACTGTTACCCTGTTGAGAACACACACAACACCATAGACCCATGGTGTAGTGACTCCTGGGTTAACAGGACAAAACCTTACTAAGGATTCCCCTCCACATCTAGAAGATAAATGAGGTACCTCTGCCCTCTAAGTTAACCCCAAAATGCCTACATGGACACAAACCTGTGCCTCTTTATTCACAAATCTCAGAATCTACTTTCCTGGTGCTATTAATAGCACACTGGTGCAGAAACCACATGACGTCCAAAGAAAAAGAAGTTAATTTTATTGTATCTGTCACTGAAATCAAATGTTTTCAAATCACCCTTTATTGCATATAAATAATAGTGACAGGAAAGGAGAATTTTTTATTTTCCCAATGGGAACATGTCCTGTTTTAACAATTATGAGTTCTTGATGAATTCCCTTCTTCCTCTAAGGAAGTGTTAGCTAAATAATAAGAACAGATACATAATTGTGGAAGAGGAACTTTACAATAGCCAAGAAACCATGTTGAGACCTTAAAAATGAAAAATTTAAGAATTAAAGACTTTTTTCCTTAAAATGTGCTTCACCTTAATCTGTGTGGTCATGTGATGGGGTCTACTGAGATCCCCCTCCCTTTCCTCTGTCCTGACATGTACCACTTATTTCCCTAAGCTTTCCTTCACTGCCGCATCACCAAAGAATACATTACACATTATACTTCTACAAGCTCCTGGTAACTTTCATTCCTTAAGTACTTCTAAAAAGAATACAAACTTTTTAACTTAGCAGTCCACAAATAGTAGCACTTTCACTCAACATTACTGTAGACTGAGGATACACTAACTAGAACTCTCTCATGTATGTATAATAAATCCAAAAGAATCCTTAGTTTTCTTATATATACTCCAATGAATACCATGCAGCCATAAAAAAGAATGAGATCGTGTCCTTTTCAGGGACATGGATGAAGTTAGAGGCCATTATTCTTAGCAAACTAATGCAGGAACAGAAAGCCAGATAACATGTTCTCACTTATAAGTGGAAGCTAAATGATGAGAACACATGGTCATATGGAAAGGAATAACACACACTAGGGCCGATCAGAGGATGGAAGATGGGCTGAGGGATAGAATCAGGAAAGATAACTAACAGGTACTAGGCTTAATACCTGAGCGATAAAATAATCTGTGCAACAAACACCCATGATGTAAGTTCACCTATGTAACAAACCTGCACATGTACCACTGAGCTTAAAATAAAAGTTAGATAAATACATGCATACATATAATTTATCCATAAAAGAAAAACAGAACACCTAGTCTTCTGAGAAACACTTAAAGCAAAACAGAGTGAAATCACATAGAGAATAATATCTTTGAACACATATGCACTCCTAAGTCATCATAGAGAAAAATAAAACAGCTCTGTACAGAGAAACCATCCTCTACCAATCAAATAGCTACTATAAGGTGACAAATTAGGACAGAGACAAAAATCAATTCACAAAATGTAAGTTGTCATAAAAAGAAGATTATCTACAAAGACTGAAAGATAATTGATTCCTTGTACAAATAAGTATGTTTGGCTAGAGATCTAAATGAAAGAATTTTAACAGTTCAAAACAGTTAAAAAATGTAGATAAAATAAATATATATTTGAAGAGTAAGTGTAATGCTAGGTATCTGTTCTGTGATGTTTTAATATAAAATTGAAAAGGGAAATATCAAAGTCTGGAAATATCATCATGATCTTTAACAATGAGAAATATATTCGACGTTTAATTAAATTTTTAAAATCTCACAATCCAGGAGAAAGAGACACATAAATGAGAGTTGAAGCTTATCCTTGTCACGTGAAAACTAACAGATTTGGGGGAAAATAAGCAGGCTGCCCTTTTCAAATAGTGGTTCCAGTGACCTAAAAGAAGGCTCAAGAGTCACCATGACTCTTTGCCTAAGGACATAATTAAACAATGCCAATATCACTAGGGAGATAATAGAATTGTTTTAAAAAAGAAAGAGAGAAAAAACAAAAAGCCACCCATGGTAAATTATGATTCTCCTCTTCTGGAATACTGCCCACAGTTTTAATGAACACTTATCAAAGTCTTAACTAAGCAGAATGTATGTCTGCAAAGGACAACTCAAATAGGCAAGGGACACTATAACTGCCAAGGAACAGATTAAAAAACAAAACTACTAGGAAGACAAAGACCCAAGATAGACATGATCATGGATTATAAAAACAAAGAGTTGAATGAGAATTAATTCTAGATGTGATCGTATCATCCAATTCCCTTACTGGTAAGAATATTACCTAACCTATGCGGATATTTAATCAATGATAAAATAGGTGTGAAGGAGACCATCAACCATGCCTATGAGTTCAGAGCAGATCCCAGTTGAATGGCTGAAAGGAGCCACCTTTCATTTCCCAGAAGTCTCTTTTGTCTTGTCACAGGTTCTATTCCTCTCTATTTTACTTATTAAAAGAATTGGCCATTTGGACCAAAGGACCACAAGGAAATATAAACTTCTGTTGCTCATCTTCAAATTCTAAACTTCACTTTAAAAGAATCACACCATCACTTTCACAATCCCAACCAAATATCATAAAGGAATTGACACCTTCTAGAAAGTAACCATTACACTTTATCTGCTACTAACCATTAGAGAAAATTGTCAAAATTAAAGCAACTGCATGAAACCATAAGGAATGAACTCACAAAGGTAGCAGAGGACAAGAAAATTATGTAATTTCAAATGCTGCCAAAAAAAAATTTTTCTTTATTAACATTCACCCCAAAAGGAAGCCATAGCCAATAACAGAAGAGCCATTTAATTTTTTTTTTTTAAGAAAAAAAGGAAAGTAAGAATGGGGGAGGGAAGAGAAAGAGAGGGGAAGAGAAGGTATCAGAATGGAAGGGGGCAGGAAGAGGAAGGAAGAAAGAAGCACACGTCTGTAAGTCCTAACCTGAGAGCAAAACCATGGCTGTCAATTTAAGAACTTTTACTTCTGCACTACCATACGTGTCTAGAATCTTCTTACATGCCTTTCCAAAGCATTATTTTTACCACAATCATACTTTTAGTCCAGACATTAATATGTCATTGGTTAAATTTTACCATTATCCACCAGCTAAGAGAACTATTCTTAGTACCTGCAGGTATAGATTTTTACAAATGCATTTTAGGTAAAAACTCCCTCCTTTCTCGGTTGATCTATTAATTATTCTGCTTGCTGTTCATGTGGAAGCAGGACTGAAAGGCAGATCCCACTTAGATGCTGGGTTTTCTATCTCTAAGGATCCAGGTTCCACCCTCAAAAGAACACAAAGCAAAGCACTATTGTTGAAGAACTTTTAAAAATTAGAAGGGTCGAGAGAAGAAAACTGCATGTCCTAGGATAACTGTGATAGGCTCCACTTAATGCAGTTCCGAACATCGTGGAATCAGAGGTATCTCAAAAACATCATAAATCTGAGAGGGAAGTTTTCTACTAGAAGGAACTCAATATTTTGGCTTAGCTCCATGTTCCATATCTTTAAAAATGTGTTGTATCAGTTTGTCTGTGTTGCCTATCAAAACATGTGAATTCAAAATGGTCCATGTCATGAAGATTCTTAAAGCTACTTTACCACAAACAGCCACTGTGCGAGGTTCCCTATGATCCACCCTACCTTGCCCCAACAGCACAAGTGGACTCATGAGTCAGAACCCCACTGTATTAAGTCTTCTGTGTCAAAGCCCTTGAAGACTATATTTTAAAGCAAGACTTAGAAAATTCTTTGCTGCCTATGAAATCATAAATGTTTGAGGTTATGAATATCCCAGTCACCCAGATTTAATCATTATGCACTGTATGCTTGGATCAAAATATCACATGTACACCATAAATATGTACAACTATTGTGTATTCATAAAAATTTTAAAATAAATATTTTTAGTAGGAAAAAAATGTTACTAAATCATCCCCTAACAATGGTAATTGAAAAATGGAGACAGCAAAATGGCATGCATACGTGATCCTATACGTGTAAAATCATGTGTGGAAAGATGTGTATGTGTGTATGTTCACACACACACACCTTGGTATATCCATATATGCTTATAGGTCTAAAGAGAGGTTTGCTTTCTTCTTTCTACCTTCCTGCATTATTTGAATTTTGTGCAACAAAAAACTATTATTACTTTGTGAATGCTAGCAAGCAAGAAAGGATAAAAGTCGTATAATCCAACAGGTAGCACGTGAATTTAGTGTGTCTTTGCAACTATTTCCCCTTGCCCCCACTCTTGCCTTCCCTGATTTACCTCACCTAGTCATGCCCCGGCATGAAGAATGCCCAGTCACACACGTTTTAGCAAAATATTTTATTTGCCCTTTTGTGTCCTTATAATTGTGCTCAGTTTACCATGAGTAAATGTTCTGCCTTCACATCTACAGACCTGCTGTATCTTCAGCTGCTCATCCTTGCTAGTACAGCACAGAGCACACAGACGACTAAAGCAGTGTTTACTGGGTTTACAATCCAGCAGCAATTTAAAATTAAGGAAGCATGTCCTAGAGGCACAGATCATAAATCTGATTTGGTTTGTAGGGTTGGGTAAAACAGGAGCCTGGGGTGAAAAAAACGCAACCCCATAACATCGCTTCTAAAGAGGCCATTTGGTACTGTGGAAAGAAGCGTTAGAGTCACCTGAATAGAAGCTCTGCAATTTTAACGTTTGCTGTGCCACTTTCAGCATCTCAAGCTGAAACAGGCAGAGGGGTCCTTGGTTAAACAATATGTGCCTCAATTTACTCATCTGTAAAACGGTGATCATGAAGAAAAATCTTTCTGTTTCCTAACAAAGCAAGACAGAAGATTTATCAAAGTATCTCTAGGAAGATGCAGACTTGAACTAAATATTTATTGGGTATCTATTATTGCTAGACATGTGTTGCACGCATTCCTGTATAACTGTCTAAGAGGAAAGAACTGGAGATGGGGTCATAAGGAAGAATCTGGTTAAGGTGCCATTTGTTTCTTTCTGAACTGCAAGGCGCTTCATCTGTCTGTCCCTCTGTTTCTCCATTTTACAAATACGAATTACTACATATGTGCCTAAGGGATGTGAGAATTAAGTAATATAATTTACTTTAAAGTGTAAAATGATATACAAATATGTGATAAAATACACAAACGTGGAATATACAACTCTTAGAATTTTAGAGCTATTATTACAATTAATATTGACAGATCTACATTGGTCAAACCTTACTCTAATACTGTCTGTCTGACTGAGCTCTACATTTAAGTCTTGTTTTTAGCTTAGACTAAATAAGTTTTCTGCCAAAAAATATTTTGAAATATACGAAAATTTACATGCAGAATAATTTCTCATTCTCAAATAACCATCCCACCTATCAAATAATATTCTAGCCATTATTTTTAAATAATATTCCTTTTTAATCACATCAGTTTGAGTGATATTTTATTGATATATACCACTTATATGGCATTTTTCTCATTTTGTATCCAATATTAACTTGTTAATCTTCATATATTCTTCAAAGATAAAATTTTCTGACAGACTACTTTCATGTTTTATAATAAAAACCTAATTATTAATAAATAGTACATGAAAATGTCTCAATTGCTACTTGATGTAGTTATACAAGAAAAAGTATTTTGCAAGCCAGCATGAACATATGGGCAGAGAGTGAAAGCAAGAATGATTTATTCCTCTAAGAAAGTAGCACGTGGGGGAGTCCTAGGAAAATTGGAAATTGACATGGTTTTCTTTAAGATTTCTATATCCCCATTTGGTAGCCCAATTCCCTCTTGGAACTCTCACCTTTGCAGCACTGACATTTAAGTAGCATCTAGTTAATCTGGTAAAATAATTCAAGCTACTAGGTTAATATACATCCAAGAAGGTTACAAATGACACTGCTTTAAAGTGCTTTTTTCCAGAGATTAACCGAAAGGACAGAAAGTATTTATGGGATGTTTAGACATTTTGCAGGCTATTTTTATGTCCCTAAAATCTATAATTAGGTACAAAAAGTTTTATGAGAAGAGCAAAACCACTGGTAAGAAAAGAAAGCCTTTTTAGATACTTTCTGGACAGCATGTTATCTCTCCATAAATAAAAAATAATTGTACTCTTTCTAAGACTGAAGTCAAATATCCAATATACCTGAGTGCTTACACAAATCAGAATGACAGCCACCAAATCATTGTATTAGGTTGGTGCAAAAGTAATTGCAGTTTTGGCCATTGAAAGTAATGACAAAAACCGCATTTGCACCAACCATATACAATATATATATATTATATATTTTATATATTATATATATTGTCATGTAATAATATATATTTTTATATATAATATATAATATATTTTTATATATAATATATAATATATAATATATTTTTATATATAATATATAATATATAATATATTTTATATATAATATATAATATATAATATATTTTATATTATATAATATATAATATATAATATATTTTATATTATATAATATATAATATATTTTTATATTATATATTATATATTTTTATATAATATATAATATAATATATAATATATACATATTATATATGTATATTCTATATATATCCTATATTCTATATTATATATTGTATATATATTCTATATTATATATTATATATACTATATATTATATATTATATAGTATATATACTATATATTATATATCTTATATATACAATATAGTATATATATTCTATATTATATATATCCTATATTTTATATATAATATATAACATATATTATATGTATATTATATGTACATTATATATTATATATATTATATGTATATTATATGTACATAATATATATTATATATTATATGTATATTATAGGTATATTATATGTATATTTTATATATAATATATGTATATTTTATATATATGTATATTTAATATATGTATATATATTCATGTTTCTTTTAAATGGCCCTTAAAGGAAAATAATAAAACCTTTGGAGGTCTGGCAGCATAGAGTGATACGGTTTCCTAAAATGAGGTAAATATCCTTGAAATCTTTTGGATTCTAGTCCTTACAGATTGCTACATGTTGAAGTGCTCCTGGAACCACATTAGAATCTCTGTTCATTTCAACCTACACTCATTCCCCAGATGTTTTTATCCAGCGTCTTGATTTTAAATAGCTTCTATATAATGATGACTTCCAAATGTGTATCTTCAGTCTGGCCCCTCCCGCAAACTCCAAACTCATATTTGCAGCTTCCTACTTAACATCTCCACTTGGATGTCCTAATAATCAACTCAAATTTCACATGGCTGTGCTGACCTGAAATCAGTCTGAGCTGTTTTGCTTAAATACAGCACTGTCCCTTGGTAAAGGCATGAGACACGATAACCAAGAGTATCACTTTATAGCCATGGTCTGAGGAGTTTCAGGGAGGTGGGTACCAGCTTGTCAGCATTGCTTGTTAGTAACAGTGCAATGGATGATTTGCACCTGGTCTTGGTGAGACTCTGGGGAGCTATGTCGCTGGAACTGGTTACGCAGGAAACACATCCCTATGTGACCAGCAAGATATAAGAAGCCCAGGCTGACACCCCATTTTAGGCTATTTGGTTCCAAAATGTTCCATGCACACATCAGTGGTTCTTGATTCAAGAGAGGAGTGTCCTGGTATGGCCTTGCAGAGGAAGTATCACTGGAGCTGGCACTGGCCTCTGCAGACCCCTTGCTGTCATGCAGCCTTTGCCTCTGATGCATGGCTTTACTTGGGTACTGCTGCTATATGTCTATCATTTTCCTGCAATAAACTGTGGATCTGTAAGCCCTGCTATGTGGCATCCCATCAATCTTCCTCAATAACTAAAGCATGTATAACTGACACAATTAGTGCAATGTCCAAAGCTAAGCTCCTGACATTATGCCCAAAACCAGTTCTTCTTCACTCTTTCCCATCTCAGGAAAGTGGGAGCCCCATTCTGTTCATTCCCTGGGCCAAAAATCTTGGGGTTGTCCTTGACTCCTCTCCCTTGCACTGCACCTCTGGTCAATCAGCAAACCCTATTAGCTTTCCTTCCAAAATACATCCAGAATCTGATCGTATCTCACAATCTCTTAGGTCAAGCCCCCCTCATTTCTTACCAGGATTATTACAACAGCCTCCTGCCTGCCTCCCCTGTTTCTACTCACTGCCTTGTGTGGTCTATTTTCAACACCACAGCCAGGGAAATCCTCTTGAAATGTAAGCCGGAGCTGGATACTTATCTGCACCAAAAAGCCGAACTCCTTATGATGATGACTTCCAGGGCCCTACATGACCTGGCCCCCATTACCTGCCTGACATCACCTTCTACCTCTCCATCCCAGCATCCTTGTAGTTCTTCTACATGCCAGGAACTCTCCCCTCGGTGAGAACCTCTGTATGTGGTGAGCATTCTGCCTAAGTGTTATTCCCCAGACAGCTACTTGGCTATTTCCCTCACTCTTTACTTAAAAGTCACCTTATTAGTGAAGCCTCCTTAGTGACCATATCTGGAATTAATCACCAACGCCATCCAACATTTCCAAGCCCTCTCCACTGCTTTACTTTTTCTCCCAAAACTTGTTCTATCAAACATATTACCTTCCCCAGCAAATGTAAACTCACGGATGGTACAAATTTTCTTCTGATTTTATTCTCCACTGTCTTTCAGCACTTAGGACAATGTACACAGTAGGCATTCAACAAATGCTTTTGAATGAATGAATGATTATGGAATTAATATAAAACAATGTTTTGTTTTGTTTTTAAAGGCCACTATCACTGGTATTCTAGAGAAGGCATGTTTATTTATTTATCCTGTAGCTCCGAGTATCCTCTGCTACACAGCCAAGTGCCCACAAAACTGACACCAAGTGGAGGAGTAGGCCTAGGATAAAGCCCACCTCCCTGGTATGGAACAATGCTCCATGGTCTACTTTGTCAAACCTGCTCATGCCCCTGCCCCTCACACCCAGATATTCAGTTACTGGAGCATACCATGCCCATTCTGCTTAGAATGTCCACTATTCCCCTCGTCTTCCCCTAGAGCACTATGAGGCACCTTAAAATCAAGTTTCCTTTCACATCTTCTGTATCTTCCTCTCATTAAATGCTTAATTTCTTCCTCAGGGCCCCAACACGTAGGGATTCCAGCTCAAGTCTGTAAGTATTTCTACGGTAATGCTATTGTACCTATGTTAATAGCTATCTCCTTTGATTGACATGTAGGAAGAAGCGCCTTGAGAGAAGCCATGTGTTTTTTTTCCATCATCTTAAATGGCTCAACACCCACCATTGAGGTAAACACATTGGAGGTCCTCAGTAAATGCCACTGGATGAACGAAAATGAGATGCCTAGTATAAAGAGAAGATAATCCCTTCAGCAGGAAGACTCTGAAGATCTAGACCTGAGGCCACCAGATGACCTTGTCCAAACATGTCAGTTTCTTCACCACAAAACAGATAGAATATCTTCCCAACCTAGCTCAAGAAGGAGTGGGGCTCAAATTAGAAAACAAAAAAGTCAAATGTCCTATAAGATATTTTTATTGTCAATATATAGATCATAGATTTCACTCTATCTTTTAACCTTATAATTGATTCAACTAACACAGAAATAAATGAAGACCAGATATGTCTAATGTGACCATCCTCTACTGGTTTGCCACATTTAAATGGGAAAATGCTGATATAATCCTGTTGTCCAGAAAGAATATTAAGATTCAGTTTATATACTTTTCATTTTGGAAAGAAAGATATGCTATATGTACAGAGAACTATAATATTCATTATACCTTAACATATGGAATAACAGGAAACTTTACATCAAATATTTATTAAATTATTTTTAAAAGCAGTAAATACCAGAAGTAAGTGCTAGAGTTTATCCAAACATTTGAATGACAGTTCTTCCACCATGCACTCTTGGAAACTGAAGCGCCCCTTACTTCAGTTTCCCTATAAGGTAAAAGCAGATAATAAGGCACCTACCTATTACGGTGGTTTAAGAGAGTTATGTGAGATAATATAGGTAAATAGTTAGAATAATGCCTTGCACATAGTAAGTGCCAATTAAATTTTGGCTATTGTTAATGGTATCCGTGGCTCTTAAAATTTAAACAGGCGGGGTGCAGTGGCTCACATCTGTAATCTCAGCTCTTTGGGAGGCTGAGGCAGGTGGATCACCTGAGGTCGGGAGTTCGAGACCAGCCTGACCAATACGGAGAAACCCCGTCTCTACTAAAAATACAAAATTAGCTGGCCGTGGTGGCACATGCCTGCAATCCCAGCTACTCAGGAGGCTGAGGTAGGAGAATCACTTGAACCCAAGAGGCAGAGGTTGCAGTGAGCCGAGATCACGCCATTGCACTCCAGGCTGGGCAACAAGAGCGAAACTCTGTTTCAAAATAAAAAAAAAAAAAGAAAAAGAAACCTGAACAATTTGCCATATATGTTTCTGTACTGACATCACATTAGTTTAAATGTAATGGGAGTTGAAAATCATATTGCTCAAAACATGTCAGATTGGCAAAGGTATCTGTTTTGATGTCTTTGCCCCTCCTCAACCTTGTCTTGAAGGTCCAGTGCCAAAAACAACACTTAGTACATACACACATGCTTCTATAACAAAAGAAGCAGTTGATCTCATCTGCCTTAATGCTCCATTACCCATATCTTCCCTCACCTCCCCAACCCCACCCTGAGACACAACCACAGCATGAAATCAAGTTGCTATAGTCCAATCAGAGGAGTAATTAATAACCTAATGCCTGAGACCAGATTAGACTAACTGCACCTGATATTGGCCCACTGTCAGACCACTCACTTCCTCCTCTGTCCTCACTCTCCATAATATGTAGCAGAATTTCTTCAACAACACTAGAACTGAAATGCTAACTACTCCAACTGTTTCCCCCCTCAGCACTGAAAGAAGGTAAGCTCCAAAAGAGCAGAGACTTCTAGGAAAAATGCCTGACCAAAAGATTCTGAAGATCTGAACTCTCATCCGAATGATGCTATCTAATCCTTAATGTTGTGGTATTGCTGCCCAATAGATAGACTTACGAGGTTTTAAGGGATGATTAAATGGGAAAATAAATGTGAAAAAAAAGATTGGGAAATTTATAAGAATCATATGAAGGAAGTGTAATTCTAATATATGATTATTGGCTTATTTACCTTCCTCCCTGTTTACACACTAATCTTGATCCTTGAAGTCATGGCATTGTAATGATTTCTTTTATCAAAATAAATTATGTTTAAAAAGAAAAAATGATTATCAAAACCATTGGATTATAAAGGTGAACAGTGTAAGAGTAAATAAAAGGTAATTTCTGCACTGAAAAATATTGAATTGATATAAAAAAGATTTTTATGAAGCAAAAATAATCAGCAGAGAAAATTAATAAAGCTAAAATGGATTGCCAATGCAGAGCATAAAGAAAAAAATTAGGTCATATTTTGATTTCTGCTTGTTTCCATTTCAAAGACAATGTAGCAAAAAGTGATCAGTATTCACCACCAGATTGCTCCTACCTGCCATGACCTTCAAGTTATCTTTAGAGTTCTGAATAAATCTGGGTAATACTGGACGGTGAGACCATTTTCAAATTCACACATAATTTCTTCCAGTGTTGTCCTGAAACGCTGGTCATGGTTTTTTTTTTTTTTTCCTGTCCTGTCCAACCAAGCATCTCACTCCAGGTGATAAGAATGCAACTACATGAATCAGAGGCTACAATCCAATGAAGGGACAAGAGAGGAAAACAATAACCACAGAAAACAAATCTAACACTTTCTGAGCACCGAAACACTTTATGTGGATTATCTCTTTACCTCACAACAACCCTACTTGATAGATACTCTTTCCTCATTCCAGATAGATCATTTAAGGCTTAAAGAGGAAAACTACTTGTTTAAGATGACACTTCTAATAAAGCACTCAACTGCAGTTCAAAACGCATCCTGCCTGCTCTCAAAGTTGAAGCTTTTACTGCTACACCATGCTGCCTCCACCAAGATATCCAAGAGCTCTTCTTCAGAAACCGAGGGAAGTGGGGATTTTTCAAAGATTTTTAGTACCTCATAGGTCTATGTGGCCCAAAGAGAGAATGAAGTGAAAGTGATCTTACATGGGACCAGGGAAGGGGGCAGTTGGGACAATAATATTAGCTGACACTTTCACTGCCAATACTAAAAAGGTCACCATCATCTAAAAATCATAGAGAATTCAGTATATAAGTGAACAGCATTTTCAAAACTTAAGGCAAATTTTCAGATGCAGAAATTTCTGAATGCGGTAGAAACTAAATAGGTGTCAGAGAACACTAGTTTTGATATCTTTCAATAAAACTTGAATAAGAACGTGTATGCATATGCTGTAAATTGAGAGGACTATGAAGGGCAGAGATAGTATCTTGAGATCCATGGCAAGAGGAAATGAGAGAAAGGGTCCTCAAACAAAAAGCAGGATTAAAGCCAACAATAATTTTTCCCCTCAGTCCACTATTCCAACTCATTCAAACAATGTAAAACCAAATATGAAATAAGAAAGAACATGCTCAGATGATGACTCACAGATAATTTCCATTCCAATTTGAATTAAATCAGGTAAGAAAAGTGGGCTCTATAGGAAAACAAATGTGTATACAATTAAAACATTTTCAACAACCAGTCAAGTCACTCCTTGTGAGAAAATTCTAAAGTTTTCTTCTTCACTAAGATCCCGATTTGACCAATGAATTGTTTTATGCAAAAGAAATCTACAAAAACCAGAATACTGCCATCTCTAAAGAGCCTAACTGAAACTTACTGTGATTAATTTTTAAAACAAAAATGTTTTTCTGTAAGGATATTGTTCTGCTATTATAAAGTAAATTAGAACTAAGTTAGTTTTATTCAAAAACTCTTTTTCTGTGTACTAGTAAATTTCTCTTAGCTGGGGGTTAGAGAAGCAATAATTAATCACTTATCTGCAGATACTTTAAAAAGGTAGTCATCAAAGTTATACCTTGGCTTCAGAGGTAAGCTACAACTTATTGACCTGAGCGGTACCCATCTCAAGAGGGTCACATCATGAATTCATCTTTTCTATCTTATGATGGCCACTGCCAAGATTAAAGCACATTTCTGTATATTTTGTTTTCCTCCCCTTTGCCACAGCAATGTTTCTCAGTTGACAATGATTATCCTAACCATGAGGACCTTCAGCGTGGTAACCCCAACCCCATGGATGTCCACTGGCACTTCTAAGACAGGGCAAAGGGAAAGAAAGCAGGAAGACAACAGGAAAGAAATACAGAAGAACAGAAGCAGAAGAGGATGTGAAGGAACACTGGGAGAGAGAACTAAAAGAGGAAGAGAAGAAAAAGTGGCAGAAGTGAGAATATAGGCAGGAGAAGTGGAAATGAGACAAAGAAACTGGGGAAAAGAGCTATATGTTAAGGCAAATGAGGTGGGATAGGGCTCCCACCAGCACACCTGTAATACACTGGGCTACAAGTTGTCTCCTCCTATCACTTTATTTCCCATTTGGGGGAACAGAGTAACAACTCCTCCCATGCCATTACCTGAATGAGTTCATCCAGCTCCGTCGAATTGACACAGGAATGTTGGGATATGAATGTTTGCTTCTGGATCACAATGGTGGTCCTCTGTGAAATCTCATGAGGCTGCTCCAATGCTTTGAACACGGTGGCTCCGATGATCAGATAGAGGACAACCACCAGGAATATCGTGGAGACCGTCTTCCATTTCATAACATTAATGGTCGTGTCACTCTCCACCCGGGAAGCAAGCACTGTGGGTTTCGTGGAAAACGAGAGCCTCGGTTTGGAGTTCTGAGCGGCAGATTTAGGATCCAGCAAGTCAGGTGCCGCCACTGACAACAACAGAGAATGAGGGTTAGGTTGGAGGAGATGAGAAGGGAATTGGTCGGGCTTCTTCTTTAAGGGGTCAGAGAAGGTTGATTGAATTCCGCTCGCTCTCCTAGTGGAAGCTCTGGAACCCAAACCAGGAGTGCTGTCACTAGATCTCAGGACCACATATATGGGTTCAAGGAAAGGGGGCTGGATCTGTGCTCTCTGCTGCTATTGGAGTTCAAAATGAGAGGAAAAAAACTGGAGTCGAACCAAGAAACTTCAAAAAAAGAAAAGAATGCCTGAGGGCTTCTTAATCAATTTCTAAATTTACATCTGTCCACTGTGCCGGTCCACAAAGAGATACTGAACTCCTAAGAGTTGATGGTACTTAACTAGATATTTGAATACTCAGGAAGACGGCTCATGGTTATTCTCGTTCTCAAGAACTTTATATCACAAGCAAGCAATATAAAGAACATTCTCTATTTTCATTTTAAAATTTATTACAATAAATGAATTGCATTATAAAAGAATTTGTGATCCAAACATTGTTACTCAAAATAAATCATTCATCATTTTCTGGTAAAACATGGTGGTAAATAAACCACTCGATGGTCGAATCTTGTCTTTTTGCCTGTCCTCCAAAGTGGGCTCATGATGAAACATTCTCTGTATTTTGTTTTTCAATCTTGGACATGTTTTACCAATAAAAGTTACTGCTAATCATTGTGTCAATCCTAGGCACAACCTAGAGAAGACAAGTAACTTCCTTTTCAAATGTGAACAATATCAAGAAAAAAATGAAAACCGTGGCTCACACCTTGACTGTCTACATGCTCTGTTCAAAGCTAATTGCTCCATTAGAGTGGATTTATATGGTTCCCTAACAAATTGCCATATAGTCGGAGGTGACTATAAATCCATTTATTATTTATCACAGCTGTTCAAAAATATCATTAATGGATTTCTTTTTCAAAAATATAAGAGATACTAGACTTCTACTTGCTAAGAGGAAAATAAAACACCTACTACAGGACATTTTGTGGAAAGACAACATTGAACTAAAAAAGGTTAATAGAATGGCCGAAAAATAAGACTTTTAAAAACCATCAACTCAAACAGAATAATCAGCTTAAAGTCCATAATTGCTACAGATTTCAGTAAACTTGCTATCGTGTATATAATATAGATTATAAAATGATAATCTTATCTAAAACACACTTTCAGGTA
This sequence comes from Homo sapiens, assembly GCF_000001405.40. Taxonomy (NCBI): domain Eukaryota; kingdom Metazoa; phylum Chordata; class Mammalia; order Primates; family Hominidae; genus Homo; species Homo sapiens. The sequence continues at coordinate 215,085,157 of NC_000001.11, read as the reverse complement.
AGTATATAAGAAATCTCCATGGAATTGCACTCAAATACCCTACAGGCATCTGAAATTACTTCAGTATGAGAAGCTAATAAAAAATGCCAGTTTTCACATGGCTACCTACCCTGCCCTCTTACCTAACACTGTGAGTTAATTGTAGGCTACCATAGTTTTAATTCATAAAATACATCTGTAATTCCCCATCAAAAAGAAGCTTTGCAAACAAAGATATTTAAAACACTAGACCTAAGTAGTGTTGTAAAATGATGGCAGAAGGCAGGATCCTCAGTCAGCAAAGCTCCAAATGGATCTGATTTGGAAGAGATGAAATTAGAGCTGTGATGAGGTTTCTGTACCCATGGCTCCAAGTGGAGATTCCATGTACATATAGCTTATTACAGCAATTTCCTAAGGTTCAACCTACTACACAGAGGAATGCACATGTTTCTCTCCTGATACATTCACCTGTTCCAAATAAAGCCACAAGCTAGTAGATACCTTTAAAATATTTATAAAGACACCTTCACTCAAAATTAGCACTGGGCATGTGTTTAATGCTATAATTAAAAAAAACTGTTAAAATGGAAGTGCTGATAATAGCTAAAATCACTATAATCTGCAGACTCCCCACAACCTCCTAGCTGCTTAGTGAGTCTGAGTGAAAAACAAAAGTCATAATTTAAAATTTAGCCATCTTTGGAACAAAAACAACAAAAAAATCACATAGAAGTTCCACAATTATCTCTCTAAATGAAGATTTCCAAGTCTCTCCTCCTCAGATCTCTGTGCTCTCCTATTTGTGATTTTTCACATCAGTGGTTTACACTCTGCAGAACCAGAAAGCACTAAGACTGTTTACCTTGATGGCACCAAATCCCAATCTGAAATTCCATTAAGACATTGCCACATGGCCATTATATGCTTTTTGGGGAAAGGGGCAGGTATTTTTAAGAGTGTGTGTGTGTGTGTGTGTGTGTGTGTGTGTGTGTGCATTAACCTAATACATTTCCAGAAGGAGTTTAATTCTTTTAAGCTGTTGCCTTATTTTTTAATTAGCAGAAATATATGTAATGTACATTTGGCAGACAGAATGGACAGAAACTGATGAAATACCAAAATAATATTTTTAAAAAATAAAAGCAGACTTTTATCTTTAATACAGGGAACCTCTTGGTTTCCACCTCCACGCCATTTGATGTATGATCAGGGAGAGAAGCTGCCCCTTCCACACACACTCAGCACCGTCACTACCCACTCCCCTCCCCCAGCTCATCACAGTCTTCTGTTAATCCCGGTCTTCTGTTCTCACCCAGATATGTCTTCGCTCCAGCGGCGACTGACCACTGAATAGCAGCGGAAGCAAGCTTTTTTCAGCACCACTGCCTGTCCCACCAGGCAATGGGCAACAAGTGTGACCGGGGTCACCATGAGTCCTGCCTGCCGGCTACTCCCAAGGGCTGACCCTCCTTCTCCATGGGAAACTCCCCCAAGGTGTTCCAAACCCATACCTCAGGCAGATGCAAAAACCCCGGGCACCGGCGGGAGAGGGGGGAGAAGCGGCGTGGAGAGGATCTGGCAAGGGTTTGCCTCCAAATCCAGATTATGACCCAACACTTTGGACGCGAAGCGAAGATGGGAAACGGCCGCTTGCTGAGAGGGGGCATTTGCAGTCCTCCCAGAAAAGGCTGGGGCAGGAGAGCGTGCGGCCAGAGGGGTGGGGGTACCGGAGGGGGGGTCTCACCTCCTGCTCTATAGCCGGGTCTCTCCCGCGAGGCGCTGGGAAGCATGAGGCATGCAGCATTCAAAATGTTTTTTGAAAAAGACGGACTTGAAGCTTTTTTTTACAAACACGCCATTGTACTCACTTCTTATTCAGAGACGGGCTGCGCGCTCCGAGCTGCACGGGCAGGCATTTTCCCCGGCTTTGTTTTACAAGGTGGGGAGAGCGGGGCTGGACGCGGGAGGGGGCGGGGGGGGGAGCGTGAGAAGAAACGAAATCGCGGGAAGGAGGGGACACCGGCGGGCTGGGCAGAGGGCGAGGCGGAGGCCAAGTTGGGCTTGGGCGCCGCCGCCCCCGCGCGCGCCTGCTGCCGGGCCCGGGTCACCCGGAGAGCGCGGGCGACCCGGGTCCCGCGCCTGCCCGCCGCCGCCGCCGCCGCCGCCGCCGCCACGCGCTCAGCCCCGGGCTGCTCGCTGGCCCGGCCCCGGCACGGCGCGGCGCGGGGGCGGTGGGTGCAGCCCCAGCTGCCGTGCGCCCCGGCGTCTTTGTGCGCGAGCCTCGTTCAGCCCCTCTTCGCATGTCTTTGTGTGTCTCCCCCCGCAATGCCCTCCGTGCCCCGCGGGGGGTGTGTGGCACGGTCCGGGCGCCCGCAGCTCTGCAGCCCTCCGCTGCTCTCCCTTCCCGGCTCGCTCCTGTCGCCCCTTGCCGGCTCGTTTCCCTCCTTTCGGAACTCCCTCCTCTTCGCCTCCTCCCCCTCCTGTCTCACCGCCAGGGCTTGCTTCCCCGCACCTCCTCCTAGCCCTACCCTTGCCTGCGTCGCCCCTGCAAGATGCTCCCTTCTAAAGATCCTCTCTTCCCTCTTCCTGGGGGCACAACCCCTTGGCTCACCTGCTGCCTCCTCCCCTCTCAGCCCCTTCCACTAACCCCCATCCCCACCCCGCAAAATCCTCACTCTCGCTGTCTGGCATCCACATCACACTGCGCTGCATCCTATCTCCTTCCCGACCAGCGTTCGGGGTGTGGGACCGGGTGTGGGACCAAGCTCTGGGACGCGAGTCCTTGGACCCCTGCACTAGGGCGTCCTCCTCGCCCTCGTGGCCCCCCAGACCTGTACAGGGAAGTGTCCCCGTTGGCGCCTTGAGAGCCCTGGAGTAGGGGAGGTAATGAAGACCCTGGCTTCTTCCAGTCTACACCTTCGGGAAGGGTTAAGGAGTCACCAGCTCGCCCCACTTCACCTCCGGCGGTGCTGGACATGAGCTGGGCGCTATAATCTGCAGAACGTCCGGGACCGAAAAGGATGGGGAACGCACCTGGAGCCAGGGCGAAGACATCTAGAGATGCAAAGGGAATGGAAGAAAACCCGGTTAGGTTCTCTCAGAGCAAGACCCCTTTGCTGGAAACATAGGTTTCTAAGCGCGGTGGGTGGGAGCAGCAGGGTGGGAGAACTCAGACTCCAGCCTGAACTTAGCGCTCCCCGACCTCCTCCCCATCAGGATCCGTATTTGGCAGGTACCAGACCCCGCCCAAACTCCAAGACCCCGGCGTAGGGACAGCCAAACTCGCAGCGACAGGGGGACGGAACGGAACCCACCAAGGAGGGGAAGAAAGCCAGGAGATCAGACGTTGCTGTCGTCGTAATAGGCGAATTCTCTAACAACACACGTGATGTAGTGGAACTTCAATCCGTTTCTAAACTCTCTTCCTTCCCACTTTCTCAGCGGGAATCCCCTGATGACCTCCACCCTCCCATCCCAACTGCTGTTTGCTAGAGTTTTTCTTCCATAACTGCTGCTCGGCCAGATTGGAGTATTTTCCCAGTTACAAGAACTTCTTAGTGAAAAATATAGACGTAATTGTAGGGGAAAAAAAGCTTGTAAATCTTTTGCAAAACTGTTACCGTCAATGATAAAAATGCAATTTTTTCTAGATTCCAGAATACATTCAGCACCTCTTTCCCCTATTAAAAAAAAATCTTCCTAATATCCTTCCTGCTGGAATTCAAACACATTTTTCTCAACTTATGTGCTCAAAAGTAATACAATCAGATGTCCTTTCTAAAATGTGAATCTGATCCTCTCACAATCCTTACAAAGTCTCTAGGTCACCTATAATGTGCTTCCTGATCTGGCTAAATCTTTTTCATTCTAAGTCTTCCTGGGCAGTTACCTTCCCTCAGTGCACACACCACACACACACCAACTTTACATGACTAAGGTATTTTATCAGTAAGGTTCTCTAGAGAAATGGAACATATGTACACACACACACACACACACACACACACACATTTGCGTGTACGTGTGTGGGGTAACAGATTTATTTTAAGGAATTGGCTCAGGATGATGGGGGCTGGAAGGTCCCTCTGAAATCTACAGGGCAGCTCTGGCAGGCTGGAAACTCAAGCAAGAGTCGATGCTTCAGTCTTAAGGCAGAATTTCTCCTTTTCCAGGAAATCTAATTTTTGGCTCACAATTGCTTGTGATATAGGCCCACCAGCATTACCTAGAGCAATCTCGTTTTGAAGTCTTACTGTAGATGCTGAACACATTTATGAAACACCTTCACAGCAACACTTAGATTTTAGATTCGTGTTTGATTAAATAACTGAACACTGTAGCCTAGTCAAGTTGACACATAAAACTAACCATCACAGGTGTTACCCTGCAAATCTCCATGCTGCCCAGAAATTTCCCTGGAATCCTGGCCAGTCAGGTGTTTTACTATTTGCTTCCCAGGTCAACTCGTCTTTCATCTATCTTTATACTTGTCACATGATGTTTTGCTTCTTTAAACTAGATTGTATGCTCAGTGAGGGCATAAACCATATCTCTCTGTTCACCATAATATCTGCAGTAACTAGCATCTGCTGCTAAATACGTGTTTGATAAACATCTGAGTGAAATCGTTATTCCTACTAAATAGCTGACATTTTCTTATATTCACCTGGTCTCCCTCCAGGTATTTGGAACCAGGGTATACCCTACATACATGAGAAATGAGATGAATTCACTATATTCTGAATCATTTTCTACCCTGTCTCATAGGCTCTTTGTTCTCCAGATGAAATTTCCTCAAATTTTTTTGAATATTATTTTCATTTTTCCCATTTTGTTCGCAATTCGATTATTCTTTTTCATTCCCCCCTCCGAGTTTTCTGCAAATTTAACCGCATCTTGCCCAGCACTAGTCCTCTGTCAAACTGGCTAATGCTTACTAGACTGGGAGATTAATAGTTTGAATATGCCTGTTTAATAAATTAAATATGTTTTGATATATGCTTGCATAGCGCTTCTGTTTTTCCAGACTCATGGAACTTAGGTCTCATCATGAATCCCAAATGCTGGATTGCCATCTTCCCTGCTTTTTGCTATCAATTCATACATAGCAGTTGTCCTCCACATTCCCCTTTGTATTATTTTCATTATTAGGCCCCACATTCATGTAGGGTGCTTGGGGGTTGGGGGAGAAGTGATGTAACTTACAGAGATGTTAAGATAAAAAGATAAAATTTCAGACTGTAACATTAACAGGAATCATCCCAACAAGCCAAATGCTCAGCCTCACAAATAATTTGAAAGAATCAAGAAACCACCCAGTCCTCCCACAGTCTGCCCCCGTTAAAAGCCCTCTTGTTCCAAATGTAGACTTACTCATGCTGTTTGAAGTAAGAGGGAAAATAATGTAGTATACTAATTTGTATGTCATTGCAGCTGGAGGAATGAGGAAATAGGATGGTTTATCCCATTTAGCTTTATTCCTGCATCACTCAGTGATATGGTTTGGATTTGTGTCCCTGCCCAAATCTCAAGTCAAATTGTAATCCTCAATGTTGGAGGATTGCCCTGGTGGGAGGTGATAGGGATCATGGGGCCAGACGTTCCCCTTGCTGTTCTGATAATGAGTTCTCATGACATCTGGTTGCTTAAAAATATGTAAGCACTTTTAATATCTGCAGTAACTAGCATCTGGTACTAAATATGTGTTTGATAAACATCTGAGTGAAATCATTCCTTCACTCTCTTCCTCCTGCTCCAGTCATATAAGATGTGCCTGGTTCCCCTTCACCTCCTGCCATGATTGTAAGTTTCCTGAGGTCTTTCCAACCATGCTGCCTGTACAGCCTGAAGAACTGTGAATCAATCCAACCTCTTTTCTTCGTAAATTACCCAGTCTCAGCTAGTCCTTTATAACAATGCAATAATGGACTAATTCACTCAATATATATAAGCCCCATCGAAAGTATAATAGAAAGAAAAGATGGAATACATTTATTTCATGCTGCAGGACTACTCAACACCTCTTAACTTTAATTTAATGAATAAGCAAACTGAAATTATATAATTAAAAAATTTAGTTCTCCAAAAATTCCATACTGCCCTTATTCTGGTGCTTTCAGATCTATTGTTCTGCTCCAACTAGCAGCATGAAATCTACAGGACTTCACTTTTATGTTTATTTTGATTTTTGACCTTGGCCTATTCAAAATGTCATAGTGAAAATTAAAATTAAAAAATGAGAATGTCACTGCCTTTTCTTGCAGTTCCAATCATATCTAGGATTTTGGAGTCAAAGAGACGTCTGTGGGTATTCTGCCTCTACCATTTCTGAGCCATGTGAATTTGAAGAAGTCACTTTTTATTTCTGAACATCAGTTTTCTCATCTATAAAATGGAGATAATACACTGAACTCACAAGAGATTGTTGTAAGAATCAAAGTGAGACAGCATTTATGTGTTCAGTATGTCCATTCCTGATATGGTTTGGCTCTGTGTCCCCACCCATATCTCACCTTGACTTGTAATCTCCATAATTCCCACATGTCAAGGGTGGGAACAGGTGGAGGTAAATGAATCATGGGGGCAGTTTCCCCCATGCTGTTCTCATGATAGTGAGTTAGTTTCATGAGATCTGATGGTTTTATAAGAATCTGGCATTTCCCCTACTGGCACTGATTCTCTCTCCTGCTGCCCTGGAAGAGGTGCCTTCTGCCATGACTGTAAGTTTCCTAAGGCCTCCCCAGCCATGCGGAACTATGAATTAATTAAACCTCTTTTTTATATAAATGACCCAATCTCAGACATTTCTTCATAGCATTGTGAGAACAGACCAATTCAGTTCTAAAAAGAGTTTTATTATCTCCTGCGTTTGATCAACCATATGAACCAGGGGAGCTCCTGACCAAGCAAGAACACCAATGAATTCCAACTCTATAATACAATCTTGTCCAGCCTGCGGCCTGCAGGCTACATGCAGCCCAGGATGGCTTTGAATGTGGCCCCACACAAATTCATAAACTTTCTTAAAACATTACGAGGTTTTTTTATGATTTGCTTTTAGCTCATCAGCTAACATTAGTGTTAGTGTATTTTATGTGAGGCCAAGACAATTATTCTTCTTCCAATGTGGCCCAAGGAAGCCAAAAGGCTGGACACCCTTGCAATGAATCTTGCCACTTATTTAATCTTCTGAGCAACACAATTGCACAGGTATGAGAAGATGAAAAATAAATCACATTCATCAGATATTTACTGAGTGCTTAAAATTCTGATAAGCCATAAGAAGAAGGCACGAGGTAAAGTGGGAGTATTTACTTCTAGAGGGTCAGGGAAGGCTGGTGTAAAGAAGTGATGTAAAAATTAGATTCTGAAGATGAGATGAGCAAGGGTGGAAAGGGAAAAGCATAATGGAAAGAAAGGGCTTCCCCAACAGAGAGAAGAGCTCGGAAGAAGACTGCAGTTGGAAGAAGCTGGGAGAATTTGGAAAGCTCAGAGAGTGAGGCTTGGTGGTGGACAGTAATCAAGCTGAAGAGGCAGGTAGAAACCAGGTCAGGTGGCATCTGGATTTTAATTAATGAGACCTGGATGAATTTTCATCGCAGAAGAAATCTCATCAAGTGCATTTTAAAAAAATCCCTCTGGTTGCTATGTGCAGAACAGGTAGAAGGTGAACAAAGAATGTAAGCATGTAGATAAGTGAATTTGGACATTATTGCTTTAGCCCAGGTGAGGGTTTCATAGTGATATTGTTGGGAGTAGATTGGAGAGTTGCCAGTAGATCAACAGGGCTCTGCGTCCCTTTGGATGTGGGGAGTGGGTGGTGACAGAGAGGGTAGGCATATTCCTAGAAGTTCCAGTTTACTAAAAACTCAGGGAGAGACAACAGTTAGGCAGTACTTCGATGAAATGTCTTTCTGATGTCCTTCCAAAGGCACTTACCACCCCTTCTCATACCTGTTGTGTTTTATATGAGACTCATCCCTGATTGTGAATGGAGTGTGTGTCTTGGGCCTCAACCAATATAGTCAGAATTTCTCAGCTTCTCAACTGGTTCAGGCATGGGCCTATGACACACTCAGAAAAGCAACTTTTGCTCTATACCGCTGACCTTGAGCCTGAAAGCCTTGGAGGCTACTATGCTAAGAGGAGAGGAGAAGCTGCCTGAGAGTGAAGCAATACAGAGCAAACAGAACCATGATGACCAAGTCCAGGTGATAACATTTGACCAATCCTCCATGTCAAACCACACCTTAAGCCACATACATATTCTTCTTGTTTAAGCCAGTTAGTGTTGAGATGTCTGACACTTGATATCAAGAGCCTTAATTGAAACATTGCAATGCAAGAAATAGGAGAAAATGACAAATAACTCAGCTCTGTGGGGGGTCCCTAAGTTGACCCCCGCAATGATTCCTGCCTCATAGTATTCAGGCCCTTGTGTTTCACCCCTCCCCTCGAGTGTGGCTGGATTTACTGACTCCTTCTGATAAATAGAATATGGCACAAGTGATGGAATATCCCTTTCAGTATTAGGTTACAAACAGTCTGGGGTTTCTCCTTTGTGCTCTCTCTAGCTCTCTCTTGATTCTCTTTCTGTGGTAGAAGCCAGTTTCACCATCATAAATCAACCCTCCAGAGAGGTTCATGTGAGTAAGCCTGCAGGTGGAGCTCCTGAGGCCTTCCAACAGCCATGTAAGTGAGCTTGAAAGCAGGTCCTTCTCCAGTCAAGCCTGGAGAGGACAGTAACCTCAGGCAACACCTTAATTTCAGCCATTTGAGAGACCCTGAGCCAAAACCACACAAGTAAGATGCTTCTGCATTCTTGAGCCTCAAAAACTGTGAAATCATAAATGAGTCTTGTTTTTGCTGCTAAGTTTTGGGCTAGTTTTCTATGCACCAATAGATAACTAATACAACCTCTAAGAGTCTGATTCCAAGCCAGACTATAAAGTTTCAGACCTGATACACAAATTATTTTAAGAAGGCAATTTTTCAAAGGCCAAAATTTATTCATTTTGAAGAATTCATATTCCTAAAATTAGAATGTGTTAATGAGAAGGGAGTTGGACATCACTGGAAGAATGGAAAAGGGAGCGAAGAGGTAAATGTTAGCAATGTCCGTACAAGCATTGTCTACAATTGTAGATTTCAAACTTGAATGTACATTAGAATCACCTCCAGGGATCGTTAGAGCACAGATTATGGGGCCCACCCCCAAAGTACCTGATGCTTCTTGCCTGGGGGGTGGGCCATGAATAACAAGTTCCCCGGTTATTCTGCTGATGCTGCTAGGGCAGGGACCACACTTCAAGAACCACTGGATGAGAGGCAGGATTCTAGTTCATTCTGCCCTGATAGCTTGGTGGTGAGGAACTGGCAGTTGTGAGAAACTGGGCAGTGCTGAAAACCTGGGCTACATGGCAACTCAGGTCCTCTACCAACATGGCTGGCTAGAAATTTGTGGCAGACACTGGCACATAACAACATCCACTTTCAAGCTTAAAAGTGTGAAGTTCAAAAGTTCTTTTGATTTGCAACAGCATTACAAATTTTTTGCCATTTATGCCAATAAATATATGTATTCATTCAGTAAACCAGTACTTATCAAGCACCTACTATGTAGCAGAAAGAGATTTTCCAGTATTTGGGGATATAGTGGTCAAAAAGATGCAACAAATCCTCGTCATCATGGAGTAAACATACTAAGGAAAGAATGACACTAGTGAAACTGTGTCCATATCTATTCAGTAAAACACCATTGAATTCCTGAGTGGGTTTCAAATTAAAGTGCCTCACCCTGAAATTTTTTTAAATGTTACTTTACCATAAAACTTTACAAAATTCATTAAAATTGGCTGGTTCATTTCATACAAATAAAAATTCCTAAAATATATGACATTCAACAATATCTTTTTAACAGCTTTGCATATTTGCTTACATTAAAACAAACATATACACCCAAATATATGAAGAAAGGTAAGTTTTTAAATGTAAACAATGGTCTTTGCTTTATAATAATAGTTCTTAGTCTGATATGATTTCTTTTTAGTTTTGAAAATTCATGCAGGTCAAAACACCCATGTTTTGCATATGAAGATTAGTGCTTTAACCAGTGTACATACAGCATATGTTAATTATTTAAATTAAGATAACATTCATATTTAACTTTGCCCAACAGAGAATAAGATATTGAATAAGGGCATTATAATAAAAAGAAATCTTTATTTAATGATACTCTGTTATACCAGAATAAGTTCAGAAAACATTAGAATTTACTCCATTTTCGGGAGGAAATTCTGCTGTGGGATTTCTTTTTCCCTTTCAAAGCTGAGTGACATAATAAACTCTCACTAGGAAATGAACACAGCATATTTAGACTTCAACGTTTCTTACCTCTGGCATCACAGGTAAATCCTCCACCGACAATCCTCCACCAACAATGAATTTGTCAGATAATTTTTTAAGTGTGCCAATACTAGGCAAAGCAATTATATCAAATGTGATGCTTTTTAAAAGAATCAGCCATAAATCCAGAAGGAACTACAGCATTCTCAGTGTTTCTTGATGACTTTCATTATCTAATGAATTTCTAGCACATCCAGTACTTTATTTGAAACTTATATTTGTTGTGAACATTTGCCAGTCCAGCATTTTGCCTTCACCTGAGATCACAAATTCTGTTAGCACTGAATGTGGCTTTATGAAGAGCAAATCAATACAATTTCCCTTCTAAAATGAATTCACAAGACATAAATGGAATAAAAAAGCAAAAAGAGGATGTATTTGGAATCTCCTAAAGACATTTTTAAATGTGTTCATTAACCAAAGATGTTGACTTCACCCTATATATATGGAATCTAATTCTCCCTTTTACCTTTTTGCATCATGATTAAATGAGCCACATGAGGCTTGCTCAAGACCACTTGTTAAGTTTATGGAAGGATTGAGATTGAAAATCCATGCATCACCCTGGGGCATTTCGTTCTAGAAGAAAACCCTTAAACATACAAGAAAGTGTCTTTTGTGGAATTCCAAAATCTGTTAAGATGGTTGTGTGATCTCCCCAAATTGTACAAAGTGATCAAGGCAAGACTGCCACCACCATTACCTCAGTCACCTCTCCTCAGGCCTCCACTCCACCGATCTCCAGTCCATTTTCCACACTGAGTCATGTGGAACTTTTACAAACAAAATCTGGCTTGAAGTATTGAATTTCTCATTAAAATCCCGCACTAGCTTCCCATTGCCTTCAGGATAGAGACTACATCCCTAAAGGCATCCCAGGGCCATAAACATCCTGTCCTGTCAAGAATAATAACAAGAACAGGAATCATAATATTAAGTAACATCTATCAAGGGCTTACCATGTCCAGCCATTTCACTCAGTATCTCATCTAATCCAAATAAGACGCATGTGAGGTAAACACTGTTGTTATTCTCAAAGAAGTTAAGTAACTTCCCCAAAATAGCACAGCAAGTAAGTCAATACACCTTGCTATATAGGGCCCACACCTGCAGGCTCCATGATTTTCTCTCTGTGGTTTAGTCACTGGCCGGATTCCAGTTTCTTGAATGTATCTTACTCTTCCTTCTTTCCTTAGAGCCTCCACACATACAAGTCCTTCCAGCCTAGACTGTACCTGTCTCCCTCATTACCAGAAAAATAAGTTCTATTTATCCTTCGGACCTCAGTAAAAACACATCTTCCTCAGAAAAGCTCCCCTAACCTCCAAACAAGATCAACCAATGCATCCCAACATATACTCTCACAGCACTCTGCACCCTCCATTTATTACCCCTTTGCAAGAATTATTAGTGCTTGTTCCAACTGTTATTTAGTAACTTTCTGTGTTTCCTAGGGCTGCTATAACAAAGTGCCAAAAACTCATGTAGCTGAAGTAACAGAAACATGTGGTCTGCGGAGTAGAAGTCAGGAATTCAGGTGTCTGCAATTCCTTGCTCTCTGTGGCAGCTCTAAGGAAGAATCCTTCCTTGCTTCTTTTGGGTTCTGGGGCTTACCAGCAATCCTTGGTGTTCCTTGGCTTGTAGACGCAGCGCTCCAGTCTCATGGCCACCTTCTCTCTGTGTGTCTTCACATCCTTTTCCCTTTGTGTGTATCTGTCTCTGTGTCCAAATTTCCCCCTTTTTAAAGGACACCATTCATATTGGATTAAGGTCTATCCTAATGACCTCATTTTAACTTCATTACCTCTGTAAAGACCTTATTTCATAATAAGGTCACATTCTACGGTATTGGGGTTAGGACTTCAGCATATCTTTTCTATTATTTATTGTAGTGGGGGGACAAAACTCAGCCCATAACATTGCCTATAAGACCAAAACAAATTCCAATAGACAAGGGACCTTGTTGTCTTGTTCCTCAGCACAATGTTTTACATGTAGTATGCAAAAAATCATTATTTATTAAATGAATGCAAGACCATCTTTAAGAGGTATATTGTAAGGATGCTGTAGTTAAGCAGAATTCAGAATCTCTGGATTTCCAACACCTACAGCACCAGGCAGGTAACATGCCCACATGAAGTGGGCCCAGAGAACTGGAGAAAATATTCTCATCAGCTTTAGTTGATTACTGCTGTGAGAGAACATAGACCCAGTGTGTTAGACCTTCCAACTTTTCAAGAGAAGCCTGACATCCAAATTGTTTTTAGAAGAAATTTTCCAATTTTAAGAGAGGCAACTAATGCAATTTTAAAAAATAAACATTGTTTATGGCAAATAAAATGTGTTTGCAGGCTAAACATGGTCTTAAGTTCTCCTGGTTGCAGCTTCTGCAAAAGCTCTCTTGCCTGCCACCATCTAAGACATAACTTGCTTCTCATTCACCTTCAGCCATGATTGTGAGTCCTTCCCAGCCATGTGGAACTGTAAGTCAATTAAACCTCTTTCCTATACAAATTACCCAGTCTCGAGTATGTCTTTATTAGCAGCATGAGAACAGACTAATACAGGTAACATCAGATATCCTGTGAGATCACACCGACAATAAAATGCAATGGGTCTATTTACTCATATAGTGTAAGTGTTAAAATATCTCACTTCAACAGCAGTCATGCAGGGCCAGCACTAAGGAGATACTTTCCTCTGGAGTAAAGTGTAAATAGTGTCAAAACACACACTAATCAAAATAAATAATAATGCAATATTTTAAAAATCAACATTAATACAAAACTCCATGTTGAACAAAAGATTACAATTATAGACAAAGGCAAGATCTAACCTTGCACTTGCACAAGTTGGCCTCACTTGCCTTACCCTAATCCTTGCCTGCTTGCCTGTTTCACTGACATTTACCCTCCCCGCTGGATCACTGTTTATGGGACCTGTCTTCTATTGCATTGATTCCCCCTTCCTGGAGCTCCAGGTATTGTGGTACATTACAGAAGAAGCAGCTCCTCATCCACCCAAAATTTTATGCCCAAACATGCATTGCACTGAAATTTTGATGATGCAATTTATGCCTTCTGCAGATTCTTCTGTTCATCTCCCTTCTCTGAAAGAATAAATCATTTCTTTTCCTACAAGGTGGTACCACTCACTTCTGATGGAATTGCTATAATTATAGCTTTCTCCTAGGCTTTTGCTTATTACCTGCTGACTTCTGCAACACTACTAGATGCTTCAGATGGGGATGTGTTTCTAGTCCTGCAACAGCCTGCTACTGGAGCATAACAGATGCAGGCTAGTTACCATGGAATGCTCTTATGTTGATTCAGTTCTCAGCTCGGAAATCACAACTGAAGGGTTTTAAGGCTTGATATTATAGAAAGCACTTCTGACCTTTCCTAAGCAGTCACTCAAAATATAGACACTCTCATCTATCATCCCTGCAAACCCCTCTATGTGATAATGTGCATGATTAGGTAATAACTGAGGACAAAATGTTGATTCAGGGTTGTCACAAGCTTCTCTGAGACCTTGAGAATCACAAGACATGTCAAAATCACACCAGAACTAACACAGCCAATTATGCAAATATATTTATGGAGTGTCAAAACACCCATTGGGAGAACAATTGGAACCAGCATGGAAACTCCACTAGTTCAGAATTCTGCTAACTATAATTTAAATAAAAACAAGATATGATGAGGAAAATTAAGCTTGGCCCTAAGTTCCCATGGAATCTGTTTCTTCATATAGTAGAAGTAAATTAATTAGAAAAATTTAATTACATTAATAATTGATTTGATTAATTTAATTTGCTCAGGACAATTGCCTGATCATATATTCTGAGTATATTCCTCTGTGAAACTTTCCCTCTTCTTTACCTCTGATACATTTGATCGTAATTGCATGTGTCTTGATGTATGCTCATAGCATCTTTTATGCTGTGAGTCTTTTTGTCTGTATGTCTGGCTTCCTCTACTAAACTGAAAGCTAATAGGACAGCTGAAGGAAGGCATCTGATATGGTTTGTCTGTGTCTCTACTCAAATCTCATCTTGAACCGTAGCTCTCATAATTCCCATGTGTCATGGGAGGGACCAAGTGGGAGATAATTGAATCACGGGGTCAAATCTTTCCAGTGCTGTTCTCGTGATAGTGAATAAGTCTCACAAAATCTGATGGTGTTATGAAGGGGAGCTCCCCTGCACAAGCTCTCTTGCCTGCCACCATGTAAGACATGCCTTTTCTCCTCATTTACCTTCAGCCATGATTGTGAGGCCTCCCCAGCCATGTGGAACTATAAGTCAATTAAACATTAAACCTCTTTCCTTTTTTTTTTTTTTTTTTTTTTTTTAAGACGGGGTCTCACTCTGTTGCCCAGGCTGGAGTGCAGTGGTGCAATCTCGGCTCACTGCAAGCTCCGCCTCCCAGATTCACGCCATTCTCCTGCCTCAGCCTCCCAAGTAGCTGGGACTACAGGTGCCCGCCACCACATCCGGCTAATTTCTTTTTGTGTTTTTTTTAGCAGAGATGGGGTTTCACCATGTTAGCCAGGATGCCTACGATCTGCTGACCTTGTGATCCGCCCACCTCGGCCTCCCAAAGTGCTGGGATTACAGGCATGAGCCACCGTGCCCAACCTAAACCTGTTTCCTATATAAATTACCCAGTCTCAAGCATGTCTTTAATACCAGCATGAGAACAGACTAATACAGCATCTCATCTGAATTATTCTTTGATTTCTTAGTGCACATCATGAGTATGCAAATATTTTTTGAATGGGTGTAAGTAACCACCATTACCCCAATACACACAAAATCACCAGTTCTTATTAACTCCAAGAAAGATTACATCATAACCATGACTTTTATCATCAAAAAGCATTTTAATTCACACCAAGGGACTTCGGGTACATTGAAAGTCATTGTGTTCCCTCCATGACCTTCATTATCCCAAGTAATTCTGTTACAACATAGATTCACATGAAAATTAGCATTGTTTACAGATAAAGACTGTGAACTACCTAGATTTGAATTCAGGCCCAGCCAATTGTTAGTTGTGCCTTGGTTTCCTCAGCTGCAAAATAGGGGTGAAAATTATATAAACCCCAACTTGTTAATGAGACCCCAAAAAGTTAACATTTGAAAATGTGTTTAGAATAGTGCCCAAATATATTAAGAACTCAATAAACATTAGTCACTATTAATACTAGTATTACCACTGTCAGCACTGAACCATGGAAAGAGGGAAGGAAGATGGGTCTGGGAAGAGAACACAAAAAGGAGGAGGCCAATTATCCTCTGGGGCTTGGCCCAGAAAACACTGGAAGCTGGCTTTTAGGAATCAAATGAGCAATTGCAATTCAGGAAGTAATCAGGTAATTCAGGTTGCAAAAGAAGGAGTCAAATTCCAGCCCCTCTGTTCCAGAAAGGAGAGGACCCTCCAACTTAGGCAGCTCCTTCCTAGGGCAGGGAGCTTTTGCTAGACACCCTGATGTGGGAAAAGTCCTTACCAGGATGCGGCCAACAAAGCGCAGATAGGTGAGAGCCAATTCAGTTAGAAAGGGAGACAGTAGGGGTGTTCACAAGGCTACACTGGGTGTCTACGCATCTATCCTCACTGTTAAAGATGTGAGGATGCCACCTTCTTTACAATGGACATACTCAGATTTCCCTGAGTACATTTGTACTGCTGCTATCTGAAACTGTCCATTAAATTGTATTGACTTTATTTTCCATCTCCTTAGCAACCGTGATTGCTTTAAATGCTTTGGGTTTGCTTGATTTTTGTTTCCTTTCATTGTTATCAATGTTGTTTTCTGGACACTGATAAAACTTTTCCACAAACAGGATTTCAGTTAAAGTAAAACTTTTGTAGCCCCAAATAGCTGGTTGCTAAGGGGATCAAAGTGTGAAAATAACAAATAAACACAATAAGGGCCCCAGGAAGGGAGTTTTCTATTAAGTCAACAGGTATAATATGTATATACTACTAAGACTCATATGTTATACCTGTTTCTTCTTTGCAGATTTACCAGGGATGTCCCTTATCCCTATCAACCCAGTATCACATTATGCTCATCTTAATTAAGACTGAGATGTCAAATGTTTATTGTTCTATTTTTAACAATTGCCAATGCAAATCTACCAGCCACCAAGTGTAGCTATTAATAGAATAAATTATATTTTTGTTTGTTTGTTTTTGTATCTACCCCAACAATGGAATGCTAAGTTTTTTGGTGTCTTTTTGTTGAGTGAAAAACAAAAACAAAAAACCTTGTTTAGTGTTTAGTGTTTTCTATTGAGAGCCAATAGTGCATTGTTCAGATTCCAGAATGCCTTGCCAACCTTCTTGGTAATTAACTGTAGTGTTTCTTTCGCCTGAAGTAATAGATGTCCTCTGTACCATTTTCATATGTGGCATTATATTCTTCATATACTGTACCTGCATATTTCTGGCAATGTGAATCTTAACTCCACATGTCTTATCTGGTGACAGTGGCCCCAAAAATTCAGTTTGGGGTTGAGTACCCCTTTACTATGTTCTCATAACACATAGTAGGAATTACATAAGAATTGAAACATCATTATCATTTATATAGTACTACACTAAACACTCCAGAGAGTGGGTGATTAATATATGAAAACCAGGTAGCCCTTACTGAAGAGTTGGATATCTAGCTGGGGAGATACATTTCCAAGAAATTAAAAAAAAAAAAAAGAAAAAGAAACATAAAGACAACAGACTTGGAGAAGACCATATAGAAACATATGCTAAGGTACATAACATTTATTGAAATAAATTACATGGGCGAATTTCCCAGTTGTATTTTGAGGATCTCTCACTAACAATATTTTGTTTGCAATTAGTTTGAAATATTAAATATGAAAGTAATTTTTTTTTGAGATGGAGTCTCACTCTGTCACCAAGGCTGGAGTACAAGTGGCACCGTGTCGGCTCACTGCAACCTCCATTTCCTGGGTTCAAGCAATTCTCCTGCCTCAGCCTTCCAAGTAGCTGGGATTACAGGCACCCACCACCACGTCTAGCTAGTTTTTATATTTTTTTAGTAGAGACGGGGTTTCACCATGTTGGCCAGACTGGTCTTGAACTCCTGTCCTCAGGTGATCCACCTGCCTCAGCCTTCCAAGTAAGTAAATTTTTAAAAATTCAACAAGTGTGATGATTTTTTTGCCATGACTCTGACCTAGATTTCCTCAAAGTCTTCTAGGAAAGGGTCCTTATAGAGTCAATCATTCTATTTAGAAGCCATTACATATGATTGTGATCATCACATATTATTGGGAGTATTTGTTATATCCCTCTTCCCTCTTGACAATGAGGTCCTTCAGGTAGAGTCCCCATAATCCTAATACTTGTGTTCTCAATGTCTAATGCATGGTAGATTCTCAAACTATTTCAGCAGCCTCAGAGACTTTTTTAAAAAATTATATATATCATGTAATTTTTTAAATTGATAAATAATAATTGTACATACTTAATGGGATACATGTGATATTTTGATACATGAATTATGTAAATGTTTATTTAGTAAATATTTCAAAGTACAAAAAAGAACTGAAGATAGTATAAACCTGGATTTTAAAAGTACTAACAGTTGGCGGACTTGCTTTAGATAGATTTCCTCCTTTTGAGGAAAAACAGTTACAGCCATAGTCCCAGTTCAGCCCAGCCCACCCCGTTCGTTTTTTTCTTTCCCCTCTCCACAAAATAACCACTCTCCTGGAGTTGGTGTTCATCTTTCTTGTGGGAATAAATGTATTTTTCTGATGTATGTATGTGACCATAAAAATATAAAGTGTTTTAAAATTTACAAAAATTATATCATATGAATTTTTTCAACTTTATTTTTTTATTGAAAATGTATGTTGTCAAGATTGACGCATGTTGAGACATGCAGAGCTTTTTCTGAATGATACATTTTCCCTAATCAAATTTAGAGTAAAAATCCTTATCCTCCAAAATCTACTACCTGGCCTGAAGTTATAAAAAATAAAAGAAGATTCCGAGGCAAAGAAAAAGGGGCAGAGTCCTTTTCACACATTTTCACACTATCAGACTACCTTGGTCAGCCCTCTCTACTGACTATTGCATGGAAGCAAAAAATCCCGAGTTTAGAGCCAGGAATCAGAAATGAGAGGCAGGCTTGAATTACCAGGCAGGCTGGTCCAAAGAGCCACACCAAAAACAGCCCCACAGCCACCAGATTCACACTCACTTTTGAGCACTGGCAAGGAAAAGAGGTGGATTCTCTTTTGAAATTTCTTTAATTTTTTTTAGCAGTCTAATTTATGTCTTTATTAAATAGTATTTCTCAGTATCCATATTGATTTTGGTTACGTTCAGTAGCCAAAATAAACAGGAATACAGGGGTAAATTTGGTAGACTTTTAAACAGTTATATCATATGTTTCTATCAATTATTTTGTGCACTTATTCTTTTATTCAAACAGGAAATTATTGAATATCAGTTATATCTTTTTTTATTGTACTTTAAGTTCTGGGGTACATGTGCAGAACATGCAGGTTTGTTACATAGGTATACACGTGCCATAGTGGTGTGCTGTATCCATCAACCCGTCACCTGCATTAGGTATTTCTCCTAATGTTATCCCTCTCCTAGCCCTGCACCTCCCAACAGGCCCTGGTGTGTGATGTTCCCCTCCCTGTGTCCATGTGTTCTCACTGTTCAACTCTCACTTACGAGTGAGAACCTATGGTGTTTGGTTTTCTGTTCTTGTGATAGTTTGCTGAGAATGATGGCTTCCAGCTTCATCAATTTTTTTAGAGACAGTCTTACCATGTTGCCCAGGCTGGACTCAAACTTCTAGGCTCAAGCAATCCTCCCAGTTCAGCTTCCTGAGTAGGTGGGACTAAAGATGCATGTCATTACATCTGGCTTTCTTTGAAATTTTAGAAGAGACATCCTTCCTTTCTTTCCTCCCACTTTTCTTCCAAAAACATATATCTTGTCACTAGCCAGACCAAGTCAAAGCATGGGTTACTGATGCAAGGTGTCCAAATTTTGCCATCTAATAAAGATATATAACATTTGTAAGAACAAGGCACTGACTTAGAGAGACTTGGTAGTTAATTACATGAACAAGTTCCTAAAATCGTTTGCCTTCACAAATCCCTTTTACCATGTGGTTCCTGGGCACCTAATTCTCATTTAACATGAAACTGAGGCATTAAGAAGTCATAATTTACCTCTAGTCAGTAACAAGACATCAGGGCTAAGGAAAGAACTTGGTTTTGAGGTCCTAAATGCTCCAATAAATATATTTCATATCTCAATTCATGAATTTGATGCTTAACTTCACTTCTTCCTTTTCTTTTTTTTTTCTGAATATTTGGGTAAGGCTAAAGATCAAGTCTAAGTCATTTGTGGAAATTTAAAGAGCATATAAATTTCTCTGTAACTTCTGGTTCACAGGTGTACATATTTAAAGAACAAATGTACAAAATCAAACTTTGAAACCAGATAAAATAGATGACAGCCGCTGGCTTTGTAAGATTTATCTCAGGGCTTCTACAAATTAGGAGTGCCCCTAAAAATCTTGTTCCATTTTCAGAGTTCTGTTTAGAAGAAACTTTTAAAATACTTTCTGAAAGTATTTAGATAGATATGTAAAAGTAAGAAAACAAAGCCTTGATTATATAACGTCTAATTTCCCAGCTTAGAACTACTTTAAATAAACACTATATTGAAATACCTAAAACGTTTAAATCCTGTATTACTTTCAAAGATTCCCCAAATCAAATAACAAATGAACCTGTTTGACAAAACACAGTTAATATTTAAACACTTTAACACAATACTGTGACATCCCACAAACACAAGAAATAAAGAGGGCATATAAGGGCAAGAAATTGGGAGGAAGAGGAAGTTAGAATCTTTTCTGTTTGGAATGGCAAAGGAATGTAATAATATAATATAATTACAAGATAGGGACTTCAGAGTGGACATGTCAATACAAAACAACTGTGCTGTCAATGAAGCTTGGCCTTGACGTTAAAGAAAAACAGAGTGGCCCCTGTTTCTCAGCTCCCTGAAGACGATACTCTTAGATGGTATCATCCTCTTCTTCCCTGACCCAGGTGCCAGCAAGCCATGGTTTTCTGTGTTACCTGCATTTCTTTAAGGATCAGCTCTATGTCTGAGTAGTGAGCTCCCTGGAAAATACTGAACAAGTCCAGGCCGGTTGGAATCACCCAGGGAAGCCAATGGTGCCTCGTGCAAAATCTAGGCAGTGGATACTGCAGTCTCATCACCGAGGTGATGCAGTCAAACATCCTGTCTAGGACTTGGGCAGTTTCTAAATTTTCTGAACTACATGAAATCCAGTTGTTTAAATTTTTTTGGTTGGATTCATATTACACACACACACAAACAAAAACACGTACACACACACACAAACAAAAACACGTACACACACACACCCCCGAGGCATTATAGCACAAAAAATTGTTGAAAATGAAAAATTGCACACTTTTGTCCCAGTTTTCAAGATATTTTAGATGTTACAGGTAAAAGCAGTACTTTAGCATAAATGTTTCACACGGAATCTCCTTTCTCTAATTTTCTTTGCACTACCACAAGTGAATCAACATAGCTTCCTTCTATTACGATCAAAAAAATGCTAAAAACTTGATAGATAACAGTGATTTATTTTTCCTCAGTCTTGTCACACACACATTCCCCTCATACACACATCACAGTACTTTTCCTACGTTTAAACTCTACTCAAGCGATTTCATCCATAAAATCTTCCCAGACATGCTCCGTATGCCTCTTGCCCCTCTGGTGACACTTTATCTGTGACCTTTACAAATCTAACCAGCTGTTAATTTTGGTTTCCCTTTGAAAATATTGTGAAGGGAGCTCTGTTTCTTTGCTTTCTTTCTCCATTTCCATTTGGCACCCTATCCCTCCGGTTCTAATGCTTGCCAGGACCCTCAGTATGACACTTCCTTAAGGAAAAGAAGGCTAATGTACCGTGTATTATGCCTCTCTTCTATTCTCGTCCCAATCACAAGAGACCTGCTCTCATGCCATTCTCTCAGAGGAGTCTGAGCGAGAGAGGAGTAGCTAACGTGGTATATTAATTTACGATCATTGCTTCTTTCAGACAATATAGGTGCATTTCAAGGAGGTCTTCCTCAGAGAATTTAATGGTATTATTACTGTTAGCACAGTTCCTCCCTGAAAAAGCAGGAGAAAGTAGCTTTCAGGTAATCATGATATGTTGAGTAGAAAGTCCAAAATGCAAGCATTCATGGAGATGAGGATGGGGACAGGTGAGCAAGATGGACCTGTTACCTCATCCTGTTCACCTGGGTGACTGCAGCAGTCTCCAAGTTGGTGCTCCTGCCACCACCGTATCTGTTTCTAATCTTTTCTCCTTGCTGTGGTCAGACTACAGCTCTGACAATAGTACAATCCAGCTGAAAACCTGCCAGTGGCTTCTCACAGCCTTAGGGATAAAATTCAAGCTACTGGCAAGAAATAGAATGTTCTTCAATTGCATGTTTCTCCAGCTTTGTATTCTGTCTTGCTGCTGCAGTACCCTAGTTCCCAGCTTTATTATTGTTTATTGCTTACCGTT
Source organism: Homo sapiens (assembly GCF_000001405.40). NCBI lineage: Eukaryota > Metazoa > Chordata > Mammalia > Primates > Hominidae > Homo > Homo sapiens. The sequence continues at coordinate 215,063,140 of NC_000001.11, read as the reverse complement.
CCCACAAACAGACCACTCTCCCATTCTTCATTCTCTCACTCCTTGACCCAAATCCATCAGGCTAACTTCCACTCAACCTTCAAAATTCTTTCCAAGATTGAGCATTGCTTTCCCTGTTTTTCCTTCTCTCACAGGAACCTTTCTGGAATCCTTCTTCTAGACCCAAGTTTATCCTTTTCATTCTTATCCCATTGTATTGTATGTCCTCATTGGTTTTCTGGTGTGTTCATTCTCCTATAAAATCAGGGTCTCTATCTTTTCCTTCTTGTATTTCAAAATTTCTGACCGGCACCCAACACATAGTTGAGTTGGTGTTGTAATACATGTTTAAAGAGTGAATAAATGAGTTTGGAATCAGCAAAAATTAAAAATACCAAAGAAATTTAAAAGCAGGCCTTTAATTTAAACAAAACTTCTGTGGTCTTATTTGCACAGTTCTGTAGCCAACTCTCTCTCAATAGTGATGAAATTAACTTTAGCCCATCCCACATCTAATTATCATAAATAAAACTCTAAGCCTAAAACAAGAACTCTACACCTGAAATGATTTAGATAGTATCTAAATCACTCACTATCTAAATCATATCAGGTGTAGAGTTCTTGTTTCCATGTTCATCCCACCTTCCCCTTAGAGGTTGCCCTTTTTTGAAGTCTGATTCGATATTTATTTTCCCAGTGTGTTCCACCTGTGTGTAAATATCTGATGTTGTAGACTAGCTATGGTACTAGCCATAGGATTCAACAAGTTTAGCTCATGAGCTGAGCACATGCCTTCTTCATATCTGAAATGGTTTAAACTGATCCAAAGTAGTACAGTAAAACAAAAAATTCAAACCAGTACTGACTGCCTTTGTTTGCTGCCCAGCATTCATCTCCTCTCTTTAAATTAAAGCCCAGACTCTTATCTTGTCTTTGGTTTCCAGTATAATGTTTTTTATTCCCAGAGAGCAATTTTCGGCCTTTTGAACAGGCTTAGACAATTAACTCTGTCAGAGACCTGTCTGGTGTTTAATGAAAGCCATGTATTGGTTAGAGCAGAAAGGGAGAGTGTTACCATTATAATCATAATGTTGTGTTGAAGATTGTTAGCATCTATTATTATATTACAAATTACTTCAAACTGTTGTATAATTTATTAATAATTTTTAGAATTTAGAGGCTGTGTTTAATTAATCAATCTATAATTCCAGGATGATTTCCTTTTAAAAGTAAAACAAATGAAATCCACTAATTATTCCTTCTTTATTCCTCCTACCCTTAGACAATTTCCTACATAATTTTCTCCTAAGAAGCATCCTGAGCCATGGAATCTCAGTCTTATCCTTTATTATTAAAACTAACTAGTAACAAGGACAATCATCTTTTATTCTGAAATTTTTTTTAAAAAAAAATGTACTTCCCTTTTAAATCTGTTGAATTATCCAAACTACAAAATTAACTCTAAAATATTTTTATATGAAGGCCCCAAGAGTTGCTGCTAGTGAATTGATTAACTTTCAATTCTCAAGACAATTTGCATACTTGACAGACTATCAGAAGTTTCTTTTTAAAGCTTTATAAATGATTTTTGAATCACAAAAATCCCATGCCAGTAAAGCAATTAAAATACTTGTTCTTTGTCTGGAGATTTTTTTTCTTTTAACTTTTAAACCCAGAAACATGTGATAGTCTTATTTCTGAACCCATTCCTCCCAAAAAACCAAAGTCCCTTTAAGAGGAACATTGAAACTAAATTTGAAAAAGAAATAAACCATATAAATACTGGTAAACTCACACTTCTAACTAATTTCAAAATTTAAAGAATGACAAACTTGATTTTTTTTTTTACATGAAAGCTGAAAGCAGATGCTTCAAAACATTTTGACAATTAAGCCAAGGCCATATTGTTTGAAGTTGATACTTGGTGGTAATGACAAATCCATTAATACTGAACTTTCATTCTCATATAAGCTAGTTAACATATTACCATTTCCTGACTGATTAGATAAAATTGCAAAGTTTTATGTATACACAAAAGTATTTCTAATAGGAAAAATGGTGTAGTAAGTTTATGTTCATCATTAGAGCAATGGTCAAAAAATCATAATATCTATATGTTGTTGTATATTATATACACGTTAAATACTATTTTTGAAGGTATGTATTTCTATTAAAATACAGTTGTGTGATCCAAGTTTTCCTAACATTCATGTCTTCTGTAATCAGAAAACTTACTTAGAAATTTTAAAAATATATAAATAATCTTCTAGTTGCACAATCATATAGTCTTAATATTTAGCTTAAATAGTTCATTGTGTTCCTAAATTTATTCTTTCATATTTTTATAATGATGTACCTAAGAAACCAGATTCTGTGCTAATATTATTAGTCCCATATTTTATAGAGAAGGTAATTTATATTCAATGAACACCCAAGTCATCAGAACAAAGAATGAGTTTCAAGTGAACACTGTGGACTAGTTGATACAAAAGTAACACACACTGCTCCCGGGCATGTAGATAAATATAGATTCATAATTTTTTTCTACGGCTACTCTGATCTTCCTCAAAGCCCTCACCTCCTACATGGCATGAACGTTTCTTAAAAGGAAACCGGATCCAATTAAGTTTTAAAGTATATTTTTGAGCCAATAACGTATACCCTGCATCTAGGTGTTACTCAGTCCTTTGGGAACATTTGCACTGGCCTTCAGACTCTTTTCTTCTTTTGATCCTTTCAAAGACAGTGTCTAGGCTACAAGAAAATATTTACCTCATCTCTTGGTGGCAGGAGGATAGAATCAACTGGTCATGCCACGCCTTCGTTGTGCATTAGCTGATGCCTCTGAAGTATCAGCCTGGTCTCTCCTGGAGCCTACTGCTAGCATCTCCCCTTGACTCCTCTGGCCAATACATCTAGACTCATTTTTCTCTGTTTAGTTGCGGCCGAGGTTCTGCCTGCTCATTTAGCCTCCTCTCAGCGCTTTCTGGCTGGCACTGCGGACTGAATCTCTGCCAGGTCTACAGGTCCAGGGCAGGCCTGTTGGCTCTCACCTCAGTACCTGAGCCACAGGGAAAGTGAAGGGAGCAAATATCACAACTAAGAGGAGGGAGTACCTTTACTTTCTGTCACAACCTGGACACTCCATGTCCCTGGCCATGCTGATGTGCCGTCAACTGCATCGGAAGCCCCATGCCCATCTGTCTACATTGCCTCAGCACCTCCCTGCTGGAGGGTCTCCTCTCTAAAAGGGAACAGATGCCACAGAACGTCAGCCATGGGTGTTCCCCAGGCTTATGTAACACACACATCTGAAGTCCTGGGGTTCAGACCAGAGGAGAGAAGAGGATGCATTTCTGGATTCTGACCTTCTACCTCCCAGTTCTTCTTTTCTATCTTTCTCCCCTTGTCTAGGCCCAGATAACATGGCCTTGTCTTTTACTTCCTCTTCTTTTTGCCCACAAATAAAATTCTGTGATCTAGTTGGGCCAGGCCTTTTGAACCATTAAATGGGAGCTATAGAATTTTAGAAAATCATTTCTCTTTCAACAGTCTCCAAACATTTCTAATCCCA